>NC_000020.11:58165360-58782241 GCF_000001405.40 Homo sapiens | reverse complement strand
TCTTAATTTTTACACTGAGTCACTAATATGTTAGGGTATTTCGCAGAATCCTTATTTTAAAAGGTGGTATATTGCCAAAGCAATTCATTTTCTCCTAAGAAAAATTGAGCAGGAGTCTGTGGTCTTCTTAGTGCCTGCATCTGTTTTCCCGATCAAACTGTGCAGCAATCCTACCACCTTGCAAAAAAAGTACACAAAATACCATAGTTTGATTCCTTTTATTCCCCAGGGATTGTAAAGTTTTTTTGTTTTATTTTGTTTTGTTTTTTTTTCCGGTCAACATCGTGATGTTTGTTTTGGTTTTTACCCTGCTTTGTTCATACCCGAGGTAGGAGTTGGAAGCCGTAAAGAAAATGGAAATGGTGCTGGTGAGATGGTCGGGTCTCTCGGGAGTTGCAAGCTACACAAATGAGCAATGTGCTCTTTCTCCCACTCTCTAATCCCTGAAATAATGTGCTCAGAAACGTGGAATGAAATGGAGCCCTGCTGTAGGATGAGGAGAAAACCTGGGGAGAAACGTTCTCTTTTGTGTTCACCTGGGCCCCATTGGATCAACTCACTGAATAGGTGAAGGGGTGAGGGTTTTCTGTGGTGGGCCTGTTGTTTTCACTATATGGAGGAGGCTGACAGTGTGTGGGACCAGATTGCCATTGTAACGTCCCAGAAGCACCAGCCCCTGCTCATTTCGAACATTATAAAGGCTTTGTGATCTATATCCCCCAGCAACTCGAAGGAGGAAACTGATGTGCAGCTCCTGTTGGATGTTCTTTTCTTTAAGATTTCCTTCTGCAAGGAGTTTTGTCCTCTGCTTGCCTGTGCTAGTGACGCCTCACCTTGTTCAGGTGCCGTGCTCCTGCTCATCTAGTGTTAATCTCATTCTCTAAAAAACTCCAGCAGGGAATGAATGCCCATCACTAGGGGACCGGTTAAACAAACAGTGGTCTGTCTCAGTAGCATAATGCTATGCAGCCATTAAAAAGAATGAGGCAGCTCTATATATACTGATATGGAATGAGCTTCAAGATCTATCACCAAGTGAAGAAAGCAAAGTGCAGAATACTGTGTATAGAATGTGCTACCATTTGTTTAAGAAAAAGATATATATGCACATGCTTTTATAAGCAAAGCATATCTTTGGAAGAGCAGAGAAGAAACCTTCAGTGGTGCTTGCCTCAGGGAGAGAGGGAGACAAACGTGGGAAGGAGAGTTGCTTTTCACTGTTTACCCTTTTGTGCCTTTTGAAATATTTTTTAAGTATGTGCATGCATTGTTTAGTTAATATAATAAATAAGCACAATATTAAAAATTGATTAGGGAGTTTGCTGTCAAATAAATCCAGTGGAAATGAATACTTTTGTGAACAGAGGAGTCTCCCTCTTTCTCCTCTCCCCTCCACCCCGCCTCCTCGCAGGCTTAAGGTTACAATTTGGAAACATCAAAAGAGATAAGAGCTAAATCATGAAGGGAAAGGCATTCTTTTAGTTGGATTTCTGGAGTCAATTGTGCCTGAGAAGATGAGAGAAGCATAGACGTCATTCCCAACAGTGTAGAATGAACCAAGTCAAGCTAGATTTTTTTAAATGACCAAGTCAATGACCATGCCTCCTACCCAATATTTCCTAGTGGCTTGAACCCATTTTACTTACAGGCTTTGATAAAACCAGCTGGCCAGGTGACACTCCATTTCCCATGCTTCAATGCCTAAGCGTCCTCTGCCTTTGATTTTTAGCCTGGGGCCTGACGAGGGAAAAGGGTGCAACTCAGAACTTAGAGGACAAAGCAGGCAGCATTGTGCTGGGTGAGCTGGGGAGACAAAGTATGGACAGCCTGGGGGAAGGCGCCATGAAGTTGAAGATGTCACTTTCCCCTAGAAGTCCTGCATGATGCATCTGGGGTTGCTCTGAGTGTTACCAAGAATCCTGGGCTTTCAGGCCAACAGTTGATTCATTTAAAAAAGAAATTAATTGAGGCCAGGCACAGTGGCTCACACCTGTAATGCCAGCACTTTGAGAGGCTGAGGCGGGAGGATTGCTTGAGACCAGGAGTTTGAGACTAACCTGGGCAACATAGTGAAACCCTGTCTTTATAAAAACATGCCAAAAACAACAACAACAACAACAAAAACTAATTGAGACTGTTGACCTGATTCAACAAATGCCTCCCTGACATTTTATGTTGGGGGCAGGCAGAAAAGTGGCAGCTGACTGTCCCAGAGGTGGGTGGACTCGCTGCTGATTTCCCACCCTCTCCCTGCTTGCTCCTGTGAAGCAGCTAGGCATTTTACTCCGATGCCATGGGGAGCCATTTATGTTAGTTGGACCTTCAAATTCAGAATAACATGATGATTCTGATACTGGCTGGGTTGGCAGTTGCCACTGCACTTTCAGTGAATGCCTTGTTTGCAAATGAAGAGTCACAGAGATTTCTGTGTTTGCTTACTTAGGGAATAAGCTGCTTACAGGTGATTTCAGGAACATGCATGTGCTTGATTCAGCTTATGGTTGAGATCAAAATAAGAAATGTGGGGCACTTAGCACAGTACCTGACACATTCTGAGTACTTAATACATGCTAGTTGCTTTCATTTTTCCAAAGTAGAATCTTTCTCAACTGTTAAAGAACAACAAATGTAGGACGGCTTCTCTTGGTTAAACTTCAACTCTTCTTGGACATATAGTTTTGTTCTTTATTCATTTGTGCATCAATCAGTGAGCATTTAGTGAATGCCTTTTATGTGCCAAACACTGGGATAAGCATGGAAGTGATAAAAGGAAATAATTGGTCTTTCTCCCCTCAAGGAACCCAATCCAAGACAGAAGTCAACCAATCCTGGCCCCTGGGCCAAGTCCAACACTCCTGTTTTTGTGGATAAAGCCATCTACGTATTGTCCATGGCCACCTTCATGCCACCATGCAAGTTGACTAGTGTGACAGCAGCCATATGACCCACACAGTCTAAAATATTTACTATGTTCCCCTTCACAGAAGCAGTTTTCCAATCCCTGGTCCAGAGGGGGACACAGGAATATTAACAGATACCTGGAGTATGGGGAGAGTGATGTTATGGCAGAAAGTGATACAGAAAACTTGGGAAGCAGAGAAGAGGGAGCCTGGTCTGGAAACAGAGGGGCCTCGCTATAGGTATTTAGTATTATCAGAAAATGGCATTAAAAAAAAAATCTACCACTTCCTGGTTTTCTCTGCTTTGTTCTGGCTTCCTCTTTAATGCAGAGGTCTGCATATTGTTTTAAACAAGAAACTGGACCCCACACCATCGCTGGGTGCTTGGGCAGCCTGTCAAAGGTTTCTCTTCCCCTCGGAGGAGGAAGCATGTGATGGAGACTCGGCAATGAACATGCTGACCACACGTTTGCTGAAATTTCTAGAAGTGGTTAACGGGACTCAAGTGTTGCTGGGTGCATTCTGGAAATACACATCCTGAAGCTCGTGGCCTCTGCGATCGTCAGGCTCAGGCTGTAGGTGGTCAATGGCCTTCACAGAAAATGTGTGCTGTTGGGGTTTAGAGACTCAGGGGCAGGTTTTGAGACCTTTTTTCCTCTCTGTTACAGAGTGTAGGCCTATCATTTAAGGTCCAGTGAGTGTTTTTTAAAACTCCCTTTTTACCCTAATTTGAAATGCTCCGATCTCAGCCAGGGAATGAAAACCAAGCTAAGGAGACCTGCAGACGCCGCACTTCCCAGAAAGGTTTCCCCCATGCACTCGCTGTGTTTCATCCTCTGGGTGGTGTCCCTGCCCTGCATGAGATTCTGACCTGGTGCCTCCTGTGTTTCTGCTGTTTGGGAATGTGTGACGGGGACCCACAAGATGCTGTACCTACTGTCATGTGTCATGTCCTCTGCCTACTCCTCAAACTGCTCAGAGGAGAGCTTCATTCCAGACCAGAGCCTCTCCACACCCCAGTGCGAGCTCCTTGGTGGAAGACAGGAACTGAGTCTGGATTTCTCCAGAGCCTGCCTTCATAGAACCTTCTCTAAAAAGAACCAACTCTAAGAAGAGTTGTTGAGTGAACCATTCAGACACAGTGATTGGAAAATTGCCATCTAGTGCAACTCTTGCTATTTTAAAGAGGCCCTGGGTGGGAGGGACACAAAAGACTCATCTAAGATTCTACGTTTCCTCCATTCATTCATTCATTCAACAAACATTGATGGATGGCTGTTCTGTGTCAGGCACTGTGCTGGGAGCTGGGCAGGCAGTGAGACCCCACAGATGAGATTCCAAAGGAGCAGATGGACATATGCAAGCAAGCAGAGATACTTGCAATGGGAGGTGGTGGCAAGAGCTGTGGGGAAGGGTGGAGGCTGGTGAGGGGGCCGAGAGGGTTGGGTGGCGTTAAGCACTAGGAGGTCAGGGGAGACCACGAGAGAATGAGGGCCGGAACCGTGAGGATATCAAGGGAAGAACACCCCAGGAAGAGGGCACAGCAAACCAGAGGCCACGAGGTGGGAGGGAGCCCAGGGCAGGGCAGGCAGCAGGGGCCAGGCTGGCCCCCAGGCTGGCTTTCCTTTGGCCTCGTGGCCTGTTCATGGTGTATGCAAGAGAACATGATGGAACAGAGCCTCTGTTCCACCTCTGTCTGCAGGTGGAGAAGCAGACAGCTGTTGGCTCATGTTGCAGGGAGCTCTAGAAGGAGCTCTGCTAGGGGCAGGCATAGAAATGAAGCAGGAGGGGAACTTGTGAGAAGCACAGCTTCTTAGGGCTCAAGACTATGAAGGGGCAGGACTCTGGGAACAGAGCTCAGGCCTGTGGGCCCAGAACCGATGGCACCCACTACTCCTCTGCGGCTCCAACCTGCCCCAGGCTAATCTGAGGGATGGTGAGGCTCATGGTGGGGACGGACTACAAGGGAGTTGGAAACATGGCCCTGCTCCATCCTGGTCTTTTACAGAGGGGGAAACTGAGACTCAGCAAGGTGCAGGGGCCTGCCTGGGGTCTAGAGTTCCAGCCTACTTGCTTTCAGCCTGAGGTCCTTCCTGGACAGCCCTGCAGCCTGAGTTCTTTCTGCAGTCCACAGCTGGGGCAGACTCTCCACCAAGTACACCTGGTGGTCATTCCTGCCTCTACCAAGGTGTGGCAAGGGAACAGAACATGCCCACTGGCCAAGCTTGCCAGAAAATGGATCCTCTATCTATCTGCAGCCTGTAGACCTGGCACAGTGGCTTGGAGTGTTAAGGAAATGTAATGGCCAAGAGTTGCCTTGTCTAAAGGTAGGGATGGAATAATGGCCCATGATTAGTGGGTCAGAGAAGTGCAAACCTCTGGGATCTGTGCGCCAGGGAGGCTTGGAGGAGATGAAGTGGCTGGCTCAGGGCCTGGCACATGGTAGGCACCCACTCAATAAGCTCAGCATCCCCTTCCCTTCCTGGGGAACATTACATTAAGTAATTGCTTTGGTGGCCAAGTTCTATATTACCGAGAATGAACCTGGCTCTGACTTATCATTCACTTTTACTGTTTTGCCTAGAGTGGTTTCCGTGGTAGCTTGGAAAGCCAGAAATGAATGAGGAGAGAGGTGACATTAAAGGGAGGCTGTTAGCAGAAGTGAAAATTAAACAACTCAGCCAAAATCAAAGGCTGGTTGCACCTTGCCTGGACGAATGGGGAGATTAATTGCCCCCCTCCGGAGCCCCTGCCAAGTGCTGGGAATTTGCAAGAGTTTATCTATTTTGATCCTAACTCTTTAGATGCAACCCTGAAGCTTAAGGGTTGTAGCTCCATTTTCCAGAGGAGAATACTGAGGCTCAGAGAGGTGGGATGACCTGTCCAAGGTCACACAGAGAAGGAATGATGGGGCTGGAATGGGTCCCCATCTTGGGGTCAACATTGGGCTATTGGAACATCTCATCTCACCAGGTCACCCTTGAGGAAAAGGAGGCATGTGGAGAGGGCCCCACCCACCCCGAGCAGGCAGAGAGAAGGTGGTGACAGCAGGTACAGTGGGGTAAGTGGGGACGGACACCACCTTCACTCCATTTGGGTGGGTGGGCCCAGACCTCAGTTTTAGAGCAAAGAGGAATTCAATAGCAAATGGGAGGAGTCCCTAGTAACCACAGTCTAAGCATGTGGGGAGCAAATGTGGCTAGCCAAGAATCTCTGATGCAAGAAATTGGCGTTATGATAGTCAAGAGTGGCTAAGATTGGCATTCCCGGAGGCCTAGCATCGCCCCACAATGACCCATGCATTTTCAGCATTATGATCACTTTACTTGTTCACTGAATTCCTGCTCTGGCCCCACTAAGAAGCACCCTTCTCAGACGAGGACCCTGAGGTCCAGAAGGCTCATGCTGCTCAGCCACAGTCAATGGAGAGAGGCAGGATGGGGCTTTGTCCCTTATAGCTCATTCTCATGAGAAATGTGCAGACCATGGGGCCGTCTGCCCTGCAGCCTAGTTGGGCTGAGCTCTGGAAGGTGAGGGAAGGGCTGACCTCACTCATCAAGGAAGAACTAAATTGTGCTCAAAAGACACTGTTCAGAAGGCAGGGAAGAGCAGGAATCTATTTTTTTAAACAAGTCACACAAAAAGATGAACAAGAAGGCTTTGTGGTGTCCACGGGGATAAATGCTCTGCTCTCCACGGAGTCACCTCGGGCAGACCTCCGTGATTCATTTCCTGGGAGCGCTGGAGCGCTGGGATTTTGTTGTAAGACATCTTATTTAAAGAAGTGCCAGGCTCTGTTGGTGACCACTCAACTCCAGACCTTGCCCCAAAAAGCTTATGGAAAACGATGCGCCAGCCATCCAAATCCTCAAACAGAAGTCCTATTTAGGCCTCATCTCCTAATTTGCTGAGAAGATGTATAGGAGGGCTCTGTGTAGCCACAGGAGGCTGGTCAGAACAGAGAATCTCTATGAACTTCATGAAAGAGACTGAAGAGTCCAACAGCATCTGCATAGGAATAGGGGCAGCGCTTGGACCGTCTGGGGCGCTGAACAGACTGTGCTGTTCATCTCAAATAATTAGTCTCTTGCAAGTGCCCCGAGTCAAGCACGAAGGGCATACTTATGCCTAAATATGATCTAATAAGGTAATCCTTTTAATTTCGATGTCATATAATCAATAGGGAAAATACAGCATATTTATAACTGACAATTAGGCTTTCACTGTATTCCCCCCACTTCATTCATCAACAAACACCCTCTATAACCCCCATCCCCAAATCTGAGTCATTCTCACTCTATCAATCTAGTCTTCATGGGTGTAGGGGAAGAATCCATAGCATGGCTATGGCATTTTTTTTTTAAAGCCCACTAAGGATGATTTTAAAATCCACACATCATGCAGTAAGATGGATTTCAGCATTAAGCGGCCTCATCATGAAGAGCTGGCAGCCTAGCTGGGTGATGTCCTTGAAAGGGTGTGTTGGGTATGCATTGTGTTATAAAGTAATATCAAGCCAAGTAAATGAACTCATTATGATTGGCTTTTTATTCCCCACTTGTCAGGAGTCATAACTGTATGAAACATTCTCCACCTCGATCAATTGGAAAATCAATACCTTGGTATTTGTGGAAAGCATCTCTTATAGGAAGAAATGAAAAGAAATATTTGGGAAACATTCAGGAAATTAGCCCATCTGACCGTCCCTGTTTTAAAGCAGTCACTCTTCTTTGTAGGAGTTGGTGCTGAAACATGCTCTTTCTTTTGGAAGGGGGCAGGCTGGCTGGGATGGTAAATGGTTTTGATCATCCAAACCACAGTTTTCTTGAAGTGTTGATGATGGTGAGTCCAGGTGAATATTTCATTCGCTTGCCTCATGGGTGGCCCTGGCGAAATGAGGCTTCCATCCTGGGTAGCGATGGTTTGGGCTTGCTTGGCTTGGTGGAACCAGTTTGCCATCTTGGCCCTCAGGACTCTGGGGGTGACAGTGAGTAGGCATCAGATATTACACTGGCTTTGGAATCAGCTGCCAGAGCCCCTCACTGGCATGATCGTTGACATCATCGCTCCAGCACTTCTTGATGATGGGCTGATGAACACTTTGCAGTATTTCATCAACTATAGATTTTATAAGCTTGGCCTTGAGGTGATGTTCCTGCATAGGCCCCGCTTCCTGGATTGTTGATTGCTTTTTTTAAAAAAAATATGGAAAACAGGCCTGGCACAGTGGCTTACGCCTGTAATCCCAGCACTTTGGGAGGCTGAGGTGGGTGGATCACCAGGTCAGGAGTTCAAGACCAGCCTGACCAACATGGTGAAACCCTGTCTCTACTAAAAATAGAAAAAGAAAAAAAAAAAAAAAAAAAAACATAGCCGGGCATGGCAGCGTGTGCCTGCAATCCCAGCTACTCAAGAGGCTAAGGCAGGAGAAATGCTTGAACCTGGGAAACGGAGGTTGCAGTGAGCTGAGATCGCGCCATTGCACTCCAGCCTGGGTGACACAGCGAGACTCCATCTCGAATATATATACATATATATATGTATATATATGGAAAATATCAAACATATGCACAGTAGAGAGAATAGTACCATAAACCCCCATGTATCCCTCACCATCCTCAATAGTTGACCCCCCTCTGTCTCCCCTGCCCATGAGTTATTTTGGAGAAAATGCTAAACACCACGAATATTTCTGTGTATATCTCTAAAAGATGTGGGCTCTTCAAAAGACATAAACAATACAATTATCACAACGAATTATCAATTCCTCAGTATCAAATATCAAATCTGCCTCCAGGTTTTCTTGAATGGCTAATACCTTTAAAAGAAAATGTGTTCAATTCAGGATCCAAATCCAGTCTATGTTTTGTAAGTGGTTACTTGGTTGATATATCTTCTAAGTCTTAATCTACAGATACTCTCTCTATCCCTGCAATTTACCGGTTGAAGGAATCTGATCAGATGCTGTAGAATTTTTCATAGTCTACATTCTGCTGATTGCATCCCCATGGTTTCACTTAAAATGGCAATATTCAAGTTCTAGTGTGTCTTCTTTATTTATTGCCTGAAAGACTTCTATAAAGAGAAACTTCCCCTCATTAACTATCCAATTTCCCTGATACACAGTTCTTATGTTTTTTTTTTTTTAAAAAGCAAGATAAATGCTTGATTTTTCCCCTTTATTTACCAGTTTTTGGAATAGTGAGTTAGTTCCCTAGCATCCTTCCAAGATGCCCAGTGAGCTTTCAATGTTTCCATTCCTGGCAGCCATCCCACTGATGCCCGAATGGCCCTGTCTTTGACCAGTGGGAGTGCCTTGCCTTCACTGCCCGGGATCTCTTTAATGGGCTCTGCCCTTGACTTTTTTTTTCTGTTTAAATCTCAGACCCACTGAGAGCCCCTCGGGCCAGGATCCACCGCAGAGCATGACCCTGTCTCCTTATCATTGTGCGGTTGACAGATTCTGCTTTCTTTTCTCTCTCGACAGACCTTAACAAATTAGTCTTGTTATTTATCCAATTTCCTAATACCCCAAAGGGTTGTAATGAATTTCTGGCAATGGGGGTGCATCATAAAAGCGAAGAAAAGCACAAACAAATTAAAAAACCCAACTCCCCACCCTCCCCAAATCCCAACAGTCTTCCTGCCCCAGGGCCTGAGATTGCTATTCTGTCCTGTGGCATTTACTCACTGATGTTCATGGACGTTGTCTTGCACCTTTTTTTTTTTTTGAGACAGAGTCTCACTCTGTCGCCCAGGCTGGAGTGCAGTGGTGCGATCTCAGCTCACTGCAACCTCTCCCTCCCGGGTTCAAGTGATTCTCCTGCCTCAGCCTCCTGAGTAGCTGGGATTACAGGTGCCCACCACCACACCTGGCTCATTTTTTGTATTTTTACAAAAATACAAGATGGTTTCACCATCTTGGCCAGGAAGGTCTTGAACTCCTGACCTTGTTATCCACCCGTCTCAGCCTCCCAAAGTGCTGGGATTACAGGTGTGAGCCACCGCGCCCAGCGTGTCTTGCATCTTTCAGCCTGTGTTTCCGCTGTGCCTCGGGGCTGCCCTCAATGCCACAGGGCAGCACATGGATTTCTACTCCGCATCCGTGTCATCTGGTTGATTTACTTGCTGAATCTTCTGTGGAGAAAAGCAGTTGCTGAGGTCTGGCCAGATACTGTGGTTTTCTTGTCAGTCTCAGGATCTTTTAGCATTTTCCATTCCTGGGGCTGCCTCCTGCTTTCTGCAAAGGTAAGCCCAGCAATCTACGTGTCCACCTGACTCTTCAGGGGAAATGCTGAGTTTTGGTAAATACTGACTTTGCCCTAGACATGCTCGGTATCTTTGGGCAGGGGAGCTAGGGTTCCTGTGCCTCCGTTTCTTTTTAAAGGAGAATGGTTGCATTGAGGAAGAGGACCTCAGAAATAATTGGGCTTGATACCTGGGTCACCTTGTCCTGGAGAATAATTGACTGCTATGGGCACAGTTCAGGAATAGAGCCAAACCCACCGAGCCAACCCAGGCTTGCTTGAGAGGAAGAGTTGGCTCACCTCTGCCCTAAAATGCAAATAAAAAATGAAAAGAGCAGGAAATAGGAAGAACGATGCCCCCTTCCACTCGTGTACACTCTTAGCTTTCCAAGCATTTCACACTTTTTCCTTATAGCAGTCCTATTAGGTTAAACCAGACACCAGCACTCCCGTTGTACAGATGGGGAAGCTGAGGCTGCCAAGGAAAGGAGCACAGGCTGCACATCAGGGGCTGTGCTGGGGGTTTTGCTGCCTTGTAACTAGGGTCACACAGCTCTTGGTGGCAGAAGCCAAAGAAGGCCTGGGTCCGCAGACTTCGACTGGGTAGTCTTTTCCTGGGATGGTCTTATCTCAACACAGTAAAGATTCAAAAACTTACCCTGAGTCAAATTAACAACCTCTATTTTCATCTTAAGTCCTATCTCCCAGCACACACAGCTGTTCTGCTTAGGGCTTTTCCTAAGATCATCTCTACTGTCTGCATTAGGTTTCCTCACTGAATTTCTTTGGCTTTTCATTGCTCTCCTTTTCTTCCTCTTCCTCCTCCTTTTCCCACCACTTCTCTCTCTTTCCTCCTTCCACTCTACCCTCTATTCCCCTCTTCTATTCTTTCCAAGCCTCCTCTTTTTTCTTCTTTCTCTCTCTCTCTGTGATTTTCTCTGTTTCTTGTTTCTGGCTCGCTCTGTTACTCACCAGCTCTCCCTTCTCATTTTCTTTCTCTTGTTCTCTCCTCTTCTCCTTTTTTTGCCTTCTCTTTGTGGACAGTCACACTCTCCTACTTCCTACCTTCTCTCCTCTCACCCTCTTTTTCTCCCAGCTTGGTGCTGAAATCTTTAGCACTCCCCCTGCACGTGGTTTCTCTCATCCCTTACAGCCTTGCTCAGCCCCCGCCTCCCAATTCCCAACGTGGAGATGCCACCTGGGTTTGCCACCTGCAGATCACCCTATAGCAACCCCATTCAGTTAAATCAGACACCAACACTCCCATTGTACAAATGGGGAAGCTGAGGCTGACAAGGAAAGGAGCACGGGCTGCACCCCAGGTGTGCAACTGATCCCCAGTATGATGTGCAGGCTGGGCAGGTGTCTCCATGAAATACGCCACATATCGTGGGGTGGGCAGGATCATGGTTCCCCAGATGAGCCAGCTGTCAGGCTTTCTGAAGCAGTTTCTAGCATCCTTTCAACTTTGTAAAAGAGAGTTCGTCCCTTGACCCTGAAATTATCATCACCAACATCCTCATCATCATCATTCCATATAATTTGAAAGAAGCATTAACAGAACATAGACTCAATGGTCTTTAGAAAAATAATGAAGACAAGGCTAGGCACAGTGGCTCACGCCTATAATCCCAGCACTTTGGGAGGCCAAGGCAGGCAGATCACAAGGTCAGGAGATCAAGACCATCCTGGCTAACACGGTGAAATCCCGTCTCTACTAAAAAATACAAAAAGTTAGCTGGGTGTGGTAGCGGGCACCTGTAGTCCCAGCTACTCGGGAGGCTGAGGCAGGAGAATGGTGTGAACCGAGGAGGCAGAGCTTTCAGGGAGCCGAGATCGCGCCACTGCACTCCAGCCTGGGCGACAAAGCAAGACTCTGTCTCAAAAAAAAAAAAAAAAAAAAAAAAAAAAAAAAAAAAAAAAAAAAAAATCACTCCTTCCTTTGCAGAGAACCACTAGTACAGAAAGACACTCAAATCTCAGTAAGTGGTTGTATCTCCCAGATTTTTGCCAGGAAGCCGGATGCCAATTTGTTACTCTGTGAGTACCGAGGGTGTCTGAGTGCCTCTTCACATTGGGAACTTCAGATTGGGCAGGCAATTGAGAACTTAGGACATGCCAAGTGCCATCTCAGCTTCCCTTCTTTGCCAATCTTCTTTCCGATATTCTCCATTTCATCTTCTTGTAATCACCCACACAGTACTCAGGGAAGAAATATAGTTACCAGGTTCCAAGGTCTCCATCTAATTAAAAAATGTTTGTGTCGGAGAGAATTTTAATTCATAAGCATTATTCTGATGGGGTGAAGTGGGGAGGGGTACTTTCGATAGATGATTTAAAATCCAGATATTTAGTAAGATACTAAATAAAAAGTAGATGGCTGATTTGCAAATAAGATTTCCAAATGGCATCTCGAATAAAGACTTTCCAAAATATGGATTTGGGGAGATAGTGATTACCTATCCAAAGGTAAGCAGTCTCCTTTTAGGGTTTGCCCTTCTCAGTCAGCCTAGAAAATATCCATCTTCTTGAAAACAGATGGAGTTCTATAGGAGAAAATATAACTATGAATGGTAGAAATAGTCAAAAGTTTTCATTTCCTTCTCCCAGTTCTTGCCTTTTCCTTGCATTCTGTCACACGCAAAATCCGCTATTTATTTATTCATTCATTCATCAAATGCTGATAGATCCAAACTATGTGCCCGAGCACTGCCCTGAGCATGGAGACACGGCAGAGAGAAGATGGCAAAATCTCTGCTGGGTAGAGTTTGCGTTTCACCTGACCCAGGTCTTCAAGGGTTTGGAAGGGTAAAGAGAGCACCTGCCAGGGAACCCTAAACTCCACTGACGCTCCACATGGACGAGTGAGTCCTCTGCCTGCAGCTCTGGGGTCATACTCTGAGCTGAGTAAGGAGGCTCCAGGAGGTGCCTTCTGGAAACTCAAACCGCATCCTTGTGCTACCTCCTTTACCAAGGAGATGGTGACAAGGGAGGCAGCCAAGTGATGTGAAAGGATGAACTTGGTCCCTGAGCATATGGCCTTGCTAGTCCCGGGGGCCTTCCCTGCACTGTGGCCCCTTATGGTATGGCCACTGGGTGAGGTCCTCCTTTGTGTGCCCAAAACCGTGGGGCAGGGCAGCCATGGCCAGGGACCATGAGCCCTCCTTGCATCTTTACAGTTGAGTTTCTTCTTCTCCTGGTAGCCTCCCTGCAGTGGCAGGTGTTTGTAGATGCGAACAGAGTGTAGTGAGGATGCAGGCAGGTACATCGTGGGGATCAGCAGAGAGCTGAGGCCAGAAGACCTCGCCCAGCTCAGCCCTATTCCTAACTTTATTTTCTGCCGTAAGAGCTGATGTCCTGGTCTCAGGCCCTCTGTGGGTAGGCAGTCGTTGCTCCCTTTCAGCATGGTGAGCCCAAGAATTGCTGCTTTTGGAGAAGAAATCATGATAATTTTCTTTTTTAATTTTAAAAATATAAAATTGAAGTATAATTTATATACAGTGAAACATTCAGATCTTAAGTGTGATAGTCAACTTTGATGGAGACACATCAAGGCACAGATGATTTCCATCATCCCAGACATTTTCTTATCTCCTCTTCCTAGTTAATTCTTCTCCCAGGGATTATACCACATTTTGATGATCCACTCATGAGTTGATAAACATCGATTCTGTTTCTAGTTTTGAGCTAATATGCATAAACCTTTCACAAACATTTTTGCATAGGGTTTTTGTGGAAATATATCTGTTCCTCTGGATAAAAACCTAAGCATGGAGTCAATGGGTCATAGGGTGAATGCACCTTTACTTTAGTGTTTTAAGAAGCTGCCAAATTGTTTTTCAAAGAAGCCATGCCATCTTTTTTTTTTTTTGAGACAGAGTTTTGCTCTTATTGCCCAGGCTGGAGTGCAATGGCCTGATCTTGGCACACTGCAACCTCCACCTCCCGGGTTCAAGCAATTCTCCCGCTTCAGCCTCCCGAGTAGCTGGGATTACAGGCATGCACCACCATGCCAGGCTAATTTTTTGTATTTTTAGTAGAGACTAAATGTTGCTCAGGATGGTCTCGAACTTCTGACCTCAGGTGATCCGCCTGCCTTAGCCTCCAAAAGTGCTGGGATTACAGGCATGAGCCACCGCACCAACAACTTTCTGAATGTCTCCTCTCCAAGTCACATGTATGTGTTGACTGGGTCCTGGCATGGGCTCACCACGCATTCATGCAGTCAGCAATTTTATTGAGCATTTGTTATGTACTAAGCAGTGTTCAAGATCAATGGTGCAGAGAGTTCAGAAAAAATAGTCTTTTCAACTGATGCTGCTGGAACAATTGTATGTCCATAACCCAGCCACCCCACCAAAAAAAACCTAAAACACAAAATGCCTTAATCCAGATCTTACATCATATACAAAGATCAGCTCGAAATGGATTGTAGACCTAAATGTAAAACCCAGAACTATAAAACTTCTATAAAAATGGGAAAAGCTTTTCATGACCTTGGGTGGGGAGAATATTTCTTTTAATAGGACACAGAAAAATCATGTGCTATAACAGGAAAAAGTTGATTATCGATATTCATCCAAAAAACACAAAACATGTTTTTCAAAAGACACTATCAAGATCATGAAAGGATAAATCACAGACTGGGAGAAAATATTTGCAAAACCAGTGTCTGATATAGTACCTGTATCCAGAATATATGCAAACTTTTATAGCTCAATGAAAGAAAACAACTCATTTTTTAAAATAGGCAAAAGATTTAAATAATCAAAAAAGATAATAAGATATTAAGCATGTTTTGAAAAGATACTTAACAGCATTAGTTATCAGGGAAATGGAAATTAAAAGTTAAAACGAAATACCACTACACACTTATCAGAATGGTTAAGATTAAAATAACAAACCAAAACCCCCTGGTAATACCAAGTGCTGGAAAAATGCAGAGCAACAGGAATTCTCACTCATTGCTGGTAGGAATGCAAAATGGCACAGCCACTTTGGAAAACGGTGGCAGTTTCTTATAAAGTTGAATGTATACTTACCCTATGACACAGCCATTCCCCTCCTATATATTTACCCAAACGAAATGGAAACTTAGTTCCATACAACAACCTGGACATGAATGTTCACGGTAGCTTTATTCATAATCACCAAAAACTGGAGACAACCCACTTATTCATTACCCGGCGGTTGGATAAATTGTGGTGCGTCCGTGCAAGGGATATGGCTGAGCAATAAAAAGCATGGAACTATAGGCACTACGTAGATAACGTGGATGACTCTGAAAAGCGTTATGCCAGACACCAAAGGTGACATACTGTATCATGCCATTTCCGTGATATTTTGCAAAAGGCAAAACTGTAGGGACAGAAAAGAGATCAGTGGTTGCCTGGAGGGATGGGGACTGCAAAGGAGCCCGGGAAACTTTGGAAATAATGGAAATATTCAGGATCTCAACTGTAGTGGTGGCTACAGGACTGTATGCATTTGTCAAAATTCAAAGAACTACACACCTAATAAGGGAGATTTTGACGATATGCAAGTTACACCTCGATGAACCTGACTCTACATAATACCCTGCCCTCACGGGCAGCACCAGCTTTGCTAAGAGCCTCTGAGGGTCTCCTGCTCGCTGCATTTCTCCCACCGCCTCGGTTTTACATGTTTATTGAAGATATTTTAAGGTGCCCTGCAGAAGATATGCTTTTGTCCCTCTGTCAAGTGACAGCATCTTTACTTTTTCCTCGCTCTTCAACCTTTCAGATCCTACTTGGACATGGTGAAAGTTGTTGTTTTTTGGTATCATTTTGGATGTGTGCTCTGGCTGTTTTTTCTTGTGGGAATGACATGGATCAACACCTCAGGGGCTGGGTACCTGGTGGCCTTTGGATACCTCATGCTGCATGGAGGCCACCTCCTCTTGAAGCCCGTGAAGTTCATTCTCCAGCCACTGGACTGCCTGATTGCCTGCTCGGTGCTGGTGGTTGCTGTGAAGACTCTCCTTTCGGTATGGGAGGCTTTCTTTCAAGACTGCTCTTTGTTTTCCTAGCCTGACTGTCTTAATACCCCAAGAAAAGGCACTGCCAAAACCAACAGTCATCTTAAAAGGCCTTTTTCAAAGCCATGTTTACCAAAGGTGGAAAATGTAAAATGATCCCCCATATGTCATGCATGATGCAGCCTGGGCTTTTTGGAGCAGCTTTTGATGTTGAAGAGCTCTACATTTAAAGGAAATCAAGAGGTAAAAAAAAGAGGAACCCCAATAGAAAGAATGTTTTATAAACTCACTAGTAACCTAGAGACGATCCCCTGATGAATCTGGTGTTCATTCGTGGTAACAGAATGTACCATATATTTCAAAGAGCAGTCATATTAAAATAATGCAGAGAAAAGTTGATTAATCTAACAGTTTGAAGAATGGAGAACTCATGAGTCTGAAACCTGGAAGGGGCCTCAAGAGATTATTTGGTTCTTCCTTCTCCCCGACTCCCTACTGCCATCTTGGGTTGGTAAAACTCAAAATTTCACATGGTAGATGAAGACAGAGAAATAAGAGACCAGCCCAGTGCTGTCAGCTGGCCTGCAAGCCACTGACCCATCTCCAGACCCCCAGTGCTTGTTTTTACTGTTTAATCTGCTGTGCCCCATGCATGAACTTCCAACTTGGCTGTTCGTTAAACTCCACTCAGCATAATGCAGTCATTTTTTGGACAACTCAAAGCCGCAGATCATTATTCAGAATCTTGGTCCTCATTGGCTTCCGAGTGATTGCCTGTCGGATAAACTAGCTTTTATTGTAATGGTGACATTCGTGTTACCAATTCATCATATCTCATCTCCCTGGGTGGAGCTACCACAGTGTCCTCTAGTGTAATACATCTTAGGACTTCATCCTCCTAATGGCCAGTAAGTCTTTCTTGACGAAAAACACAGACCATGAGAGGGAAGGAGGCTTCAGAGATGATGTAGTGACTTTGCAGATGACAGCATGGAGGATGAGAGAAAGGCAAGGGCTTGGTCTTGGCCCCATGGTTGTGTGTGGCTGCTCAATTTCCTGTGCTCAGTCCTTAGCAACATAGAAGATTCTTCTATGGCTTCCTGGTTAAATCCACTTTAGGTTCCTGGGGAAGAGTATAATTGGATCTCTTTGGCTGCCCAACCAAATGGTACTCTACTGAGTGACTAGTACCCTTGAGGAGACAACTAAAGAGACAAATGAAAGATGACACTGGTTGGGCGCAGTGTCTCACGCCTGTAGTCCCAGCACTTTGGGAGGCAGAGGCGGGCAGATCATCTGAGGTCAGGAGTTCACGACCAGCCTGATCAACATGGTGAAACCCCGTATCTACTAAAAATACAAAAATTAGCTGGGCATGGTGGTGTGCACCTGTAATCCCACCTACTTGGGAGGCTGAGGCAGGAGGTACCCTTGAACCCGGGAGGCGGAGGTTGCAGTGAGCCGAGATTGTGCTGTTGCACTCCAGCCTGGGCAATAAGAGCGAGACTCCATTTAAAAAAAAAAAAAAAAAGATGACACCAGTTGTGGAGGGCAAACTGTGGGGGCACTGCAGATGAAGGCAATGGTGAGTCCTCCCCACACTTCTCCTCTGTGGCCAGTCACTATGCGTGAGTACCTAGAGGTTTTACTTGTCTCCCACTGCTGGCTTGTTTACAGTTTGGGCTTAAACTGCACAGTGAAGGGGATCAGTTCTGGGTAAGCACCCAGAATGTTTGCCAGCACAGTGCAGGCATGACCCCAGGGACAGTTGGCATGGAGCAAAGTTGAAAGCATAGTACAGTGATCACCCGCATACCCACCCCTAGATTAACAGCTGTTTATTTAGCCACCTTTGCTTTATCTATATTTGTGTGTGTGCACGTGCGTCTGTGTGCATGAGTATTTTTGAGATATCTCTGAAAACAAAGAGGCAGACATCAAGCCATTCTCCTATATACCCACCACATTATCAGTCCACCCTAAGAAGATGACTCTAATTCCCTGATATCTTCTAATACCCGGTCTGCGTTCCAGTGCCTCCAGTTGCTCCAAATGGTTGATTGCAGCTCTTACTATTTTTAGAATCAGAGTCCAATCAAAGCTCACGTGCTGCATTTGACTGTTTTGCCAGACTGTCCTCTGAAGAGCCACTGAGAAAAGCCCTGGTGGGACCTGGAGGATGTCCATTCTCTCCGGGGAAAACTCAGGGACCAAACCCTGGAGGACGTCCATTCCCTCCAGGGGAAACTCAGGGACCAAACCGAGAGGAAAAGAGGGGATGGAACATCCAAGGCTCTGCCTCAACACCACATGTCAGGTCAAGGGCAGTGGCGCCCTGCAGTCAGCGGCTTCTAGGCTTTGGGGATAATCCCACTGTGTGCCACGGGTGCTTCTGTGGAGTTTGCTAAACTTCAACCCCACCACTAATGACCGGGATTCTGGCCTGTTTAGAGAGGGAGGAGCCCTGAGTTCTGCCCGACTAGAGCTGTAACTGGCTTCCTTTTATGAATGAAGGAAAAGGGGAAATGTATTTATTTTCACTCTTGTCTCTGAGTGACATCTTGGGTTAGGCTCTCATTCTCTTTCTTTTAGTTTGTCAAGAAAATATGTGAAGACACAGCTCTCATCTTTCACAGACAAGTCTGGGGCTTAGCGCTGGGCCACGGGGAGTAGGTTTCCATGCACCACATTGAGCTGCTGAAATGGAAGAATCTACAGTGCCACAAGTTACCTGTCCCACCCTGTCAATCAGCCGCCTGTTTACCCCAAAGGGAAGGCCACGCAGTGGCTTTCAGCAGGACTCACCTCAGGGAACCTGGTACGGGGGTGGGCTCAGGCTCCAGGGAGGGGCCGGTGCTGATGGGGGAGCAGGGAGGACTGGGTACATTTCCCCAGCTCTGACCTTATCTGCTTGTTTCCCTAGAAAATCAGCCATTTGGGCGGAAAGGGGAGAGGGAAGATGAGCAAAGGACAGAACAGTCCAAAAGGAAGTGAAGCAGGGTCTGTCCAAACTGGAACTGACCCCTTCCATCCAGAGACGCGACCCATGCTAGGCTCTGGCCTGGGGTTCTTGGCTTCTCCTGTCTTCCATGCAGCTATCCCTGAGGACAAAATCCATGAACCCGAAGAGAAGGAAGAGGGAGTCCTTTGGGAGGCTAAGTGTTTCACTGTTCTGCAAGTCCAGCGACAGAGCTTCCTGAGTTATTCCCACCTGTATGTGGTCGCCAATCCGGAGGCCACCAAAGCCTCAGCGTACAGGCACCAGGAGACCTAGGGACAAAGACCTCAGATTTCAGGGGCTCCAAGAGTGTCCTGTCCCAAAGGGAACAGGCATAAACAGGCGGCTGATTGACAGGGTGGGACAGGCTTCTCTCCTCATTTGAATGACTGCATGACCGGCTTGCCTGACAGCCCCTTCTAGTGACTAATTCCTCATCTGATACTAAACTGATCATCCAACAGCCCTGGGCTGTTCTCTTTAATTGATGGAAGCAACTCCCTAGAGTTGGACCTCATGCTGCATTTTAACCCTGCACCAAAGGGAAGGGACAGATTCAATTTCAAGGGAATGATGCTGGACTGCAATGACAACTTAGAAAGCTCAGAAACCTCAGACCACCTGATCCCATCCCTCCTCTGGACAGAGGAAGAGCTGAGGCTCAAAACGAGTCACCCGCCTGGGGCTGCTCTGCTGGCTCGGGGCAGAAGAGGGCTGACTGCCATCCCTCCTCACAGAGCCCTTCCACCACACACAGCTTTGTCCTGAGTTTGGGACTCAGTTCTGGTTGCCCCTTTGTGGGACTCTAATTGTGTAGGACCGTGAGACCTGGGGCCACACTGAGTTGTAAACACAGTGGAAGGGTGCAGGCAAAGACCTGTGGGGAAGTGGCATTGACCCAATGGCAGTGAGGAACCAAGGGCAGCTCAGAGTCAAGGGTGAACCTGGCCAAGTTCCTCAGAATCTGCAGGTCAACCAACCCTGCCCGAGATCCAAGGGATCACCTCTCTATGCAATCTCCACCCCCATCCCAGCTCAGGCTTCTCTCCTCATTTGAATGTCTGCAAGACTGGCTTGCCTGATAGCCCCTTCTGGTGACAAATTCCTCATCTGATACTAAACTGATCATCCAACAGCCCTGGGCAGTTCTCTTTAATTGATGGTATCTGCTCCCTAGAGTTGGACCTCATGTTGCATTTTAACCCTGCACCAAAGGGAAGGGACAAGTTCAATTTCAATGGAATTATGCCATCCATTTCAGCAATTCAGACCATATTCCTGAATTCAGATATGCCACTGATCAAATTGTGTGCCCTCAAACTCAACAGCTTCTCACCCTAAGATCCTGCCTAAGCACGTCCAGTTTTCAGGCTGGTTGTAAACTTGCGGAGTCTGTTGAGTGTTCTGTCCTCCATCTGTTGAGCAAAACCTGGTCATTATGCTCTGGAGGTTCATGCTCTTTGGGGAGAAAAGAAGAAAAGGATGGATATCTGTGAGCAGCCAGCTAGACCTGTCTTGTTATGTGAAATGATCGATACAATTCATCTTAGTGCAAAAATTGGTAGTGACTTTTTACTAGCAGAATTCACACAAAAATGTTACCTAGGCTAAGATGACTTTTCAAAACGTATTTTATTGTACAAACAGGAGTGCTAAGCTATTGAAGCAGAGACCCTAAGTCAGGCATTGGAGCACTATGAAGATAAGAAAAATCCCCACTGATTGTCATGAAACAGTCAAGCTGGCTTTTCTTTGTTTTTATCCTGGAAGCATATTCCTTCCAAAGGATCTGCCACCTTCTTCTTGCCTGTTTCTTTCTTTGATATAGGGTTCCCCCTTTCTCTTATTTTTGAGTTTCACCAAGAGGAGGAGTCTACAATAAGACTGAGGATGTTCCAGGGTTGGGAGTGTGGAGCACTAATGAGCTCTAAATGTGGGTCAATCAGCGGATGGAGGTGGCGAAATTGTGGGCTGATTCTTCTAGCTCGGAGAACAAAGGCAGAGCTCTTGAGTGTGATGAGAACATGGGCTTCTCCTGGGAGGAACCATCTCCTGATGTAATTCTTAGATGAGGAAGTGATGCTTAAGCTCTTGACAGCTCAGATGCTCTGCTTTAGGCCACATGCCTTCCTGGGTCTGAGTCTGTCCCTTGCTAAAATGGGCTACCCAAAACCCTACTTAGTCAAGACCATGCTCTGTCTCTCAATGTGCTATGAGGCACACATCCCAGATGCTTCCCAGGAAGGCTTTAGTGGGTATACAGAGAAACGTAGTTTTCGCTTAATGGTTACACTAAAAAACGCAATTCAGGCCTGGCGCGGTGGCTCACGCCTGGAATCCCAGCACTTTGGGAGGCCGAGGTGGGCGGATCACAAAGTCAGGAGTTCGGGACCAGCCTGACTAACATGGTGAAACCCCGTCTCTACTAAAAATACAAAAATTAGCTGGGCTTGGTGGCACGCACCTGCAATTCTAGCTACTCAGGAGGCTGAGGCAGGAGAATTGCTTGAACTTGGGAGGTGGAGGTTGCAGTGAGCTGAGATCGCACCACTGCACTCCAGCCTGGGCAACAGAGTGAGGCTCTGTCCCCCCAAAAAATAAATAAATAAAAAATAAATAAAAAGCGCAATTTAGCGGGAAGTATCTAGACTATCCAGTAGGTGATTTCAAGGATATTATAGCTCAGAATGAAACTAAGTTTAAAATTGAATTGACTGAAAATCAACTATGGAAATCAAATAATACTGGAGAAATTATGGCATGCATAATGACTGAAATTGATGAAGTGCTATTTGGTTGCCTGCTCAAGTCTGAATTCCCAAACTGTCTGAGCCTGCCAAGACCTCCCCAGCCCCAGACCCTCATCTGCACTGTGGTCACCTGACATTGGCAAACTCCATCTGTATAGTAACTCCTGTCCCATCTTCTCAGCCAGAGAGGGGTCAGCTGTCCCCCATGGCTGTCACCATTGAGTCCTCTGCGGCACCTAGAGCAGAATCCTGTCCATGTTGCTACGTGAGCTGTTAGCTGTTGGGGACTGAGTGTTGATGAGGCCCCTCTGAACTAAGGGAAACTTGGGAGCATAACTTTGGGCATCTCTTCCTCAGCCTCGGTTTTAGGGAAAAAGGCAAGCACTGAAACCAACAAAATGGCAAAGGCGTTTTGACTGGTGGAGAAGAAAATGGCTTTCTCTGTTTGTCTTCAATTGCCAGGATGGAGAAAATCAAAGCAAAGCAAAAGAAAATTGCTGCTTTGCAGAGAGCCTGCAGGAGTTCTGACGATTTGGCCGTTAGCACGAGCTACCTGCCCAGAAAGGAAGCTGAGAGAAGGGCCTTCATAAAAGGTGAGATGCTGTTACCATGGGATCATGGAGGTGACCTGCTCCCAGTGGTCTTGAAACAGGGACACTAAACTGATCCCTCTGCTACACTGGGAGCCAACAAGAAAATGAATTTCTCCCCTCAGAACTGTGGTATAATGGAAGTGCCTTTTTGTCTGGCGCATTTAAAGAGCTTAGATTTGGAATCGTGCTTTGAGTTGAAATTCTGAATTCAATCCAAAGTTGCAGGAAGGACCTTCCCCCAGCAGCAAAATAAAATCCCCCTGGTCAAGAAGTGTTCTTTTTGATTGGACCCTGGTTTGGGGGAAATGGTTAGGTTATTTATTTTAAATGACATTTCTGCCCTTCAGTTTTGAGATTTTCAGAAAGCATGACTCCCCCAAAGGGCCAAGTGGCTCAAGAAGAAGGATGTTTCAGTTTTTGTTGTTTTCAAAATAAATATCTTTCTAAAATTGTTCCTTTTAAAGCGGACTAGGTTTTCTCTTTCCTTAGTTGAACAAGTTGAAGAAAATCATGTCATCACTTGGCTCTCAACCACTCTGATGATTCTGTTTTACCTGGCAATTTATGTGAAGGGTGTGATACATAGTTTAACCTTCCTAATTGGGGGACGCACTGTCTGAATTAGTGACAAGACTGAATTATGGTGCTTTTAAGAAAAGATATTCCATTTTAGTACTATCAAGTTCACAAAACCATTAGAACTGGTCTTCCAAAGCAATGCTCAGTGGTGCCTCTGTGGGGAATCTTCTCAAAACAGAAAAAAAAAAGGGCTTATTAGCCTGAACACTCTCAAAATCAGCATATTATTTTAGGTTGTTTATGCATTTCCTTTTCAAATTTTATTTGCACTAATTAATTTGCCCAAACAAACCATTTTGTAAGGTTGGATGAGGGCAGGGGGAGTTCATAAACACTCAAGGAGCTGGTTCTGGTTTCTTCAGAAGCTGAGTAAATTTTAGCCCAGCCTCTTTTTTGAATGACCCCAACCTGGTCCAGGGTGGTGATGGCTGATAGATTTCAGGTTTTGTCTCTGTCTACATGATCTCACCATGATAGAAAATGAAGACGAGATAAAATGGTGTCAGCCTTGGGTGACACATCCTTCTGGTAAGTGGGCCATAAGGGGGGCCTCTACTCAGCTACTCAGCTGCCAGGAGCACAGCCCTTCAGAAGTCCAAGTATGGGAGCCAGTTGGGCCCACTGGCTCTTCTCAGTTCCAGGGTTCCCCAAGATCAGCCCATTCTTCAGAAAATGTCTGCCACCTTACACAGTGGGGACTGCAGCAAGGAAGCAAGCAGTGGCTCATGCTTGGCGTGCAAGTCCACAAAGACCATTAGAAGCAAAAGCTTCTCCCCGCTTTAAATATATATCCTACTAGTTCTTTCCCTCTAGAGAACCGTGACTAATACAGATTTTGGTTCTGGGAGTGGTTCTAGAGGAACAGAATATTAAGGATAGAGTTCTTTCATTGGTTTTGAGGTTTCTGGAGTTGGCTGCTTAATATGATTAGACCCAAAAATGCTAAGGACTCTACTTCTAATAGTATGGAGAACACTGACAGTCCTTGGCATGAACTGTTTAGAGAATTATGCAAAATAAATGCATTTAACACCCCTGATTGACCGCTCCTCATTGTCAAGGAGTTTAGTGACTCTATACATAATACCTTTGACCATATGTGGAGAACCAAGCTGGTTGGTTGCTCTTAAGTCCAGTGGACAAAGTGATGAAAGAAAATGATGAACTCAGGGATTCTGTCTCCCAGCTTCAGCAGCGGATCCTGAGCCTTGAATCTGCGAAGATTGCCCTGAGTGAGAGTCTTATTTCCTATAGAGAAAGAGCTGAAATTGTGGAAAAACAGACACAAGCTCTTACTATGCGAGTGGCTGACCCGCAAAGAAAAGTGGATGCACAGCCTCGCCAGGTGTCTACTGTTAAAGTGAGGGCATTGATTGGAAAAGAACAGAACCCTGCAACTTGGAATGGGGACATGTGGGAGGACCCTGATGAAGCTGAGAACACTGAGTTTGTAAACTCTGATGAACCTTTTTTGCCAGAAGAAATAGCTTCCCCATTCCCAGTACCAAAATCTTTATTAGTCAGGATCCTGTGGAGGGACAGAACTGATAGGAGATATATATATGAGTTTATATATATATATACGAGTTTATATATTTATATGAGTGTATATGTGTGTGTATATATATTATATATAATATATATAGGGGAGTTTATTAAATATTAATTTACATGATTACAAGATCCCACAATAGGCTGTCTGCAAGCTTGAGGAGCAAGGAGAGCCAGTCCAAATCTCAAAACTGAAGAACTCGGAGTCTGATGTTTGAGGGCAGGAAGCATCTAGCACAGGAGAAAGATGTAGGCTGGGAGCCTAGGCCAGTCCCTCCTTTTCACATTTTTCTGCCTGCTTTCTATTCGGTGGCACCTGATTAGATGGTGCCCACCCAATTAAGTTTGGGTCTGCCTTTCCCAGCCCTCTGACTCAAATGTTAATCTCCTTTGGCAACACCCTCACAGACACACCCAGGATCAATACTTTATATCCTTCAATCCAATCAAGTTGACACTCAGTATTAACCATAACACAGGTCAACCAATTTTCTTGGCATAAATCGCTCCCATTGTCATGGACACATGTAAAACCCAAAGGTGTGGAAACAGAAGTGCTTATCTGGAGATGTTAATCAACCTTTTTGGGGTATTTCAGGCAAAAAGATAAGCATTTCCAGGGGCAGTTCATTCCTCGTCCTCACTATGCATGTGTGAGTGTGTGCGGGTTGCATTCTTATTATTTAGGTTTTTTTCTTAAGTGTGCATTTTAGTTGAAAGTATGCAGAAAAATAGTGAAGTAAGGGAAAAGAACCTCGTATGTTATTACTCTTTGCTCCTTAAGGGATCGGTTTTTCAAAGAAATTATTTTTATTTTTGGCAAAGCCACAACTGCTTAAAACAGACAGGAAGAGGAAGGCTGTCACCCCGTCTTAGGCCCTTCTACCAAACAGCACTGACTTTTCCGGGAATAAGGAGAGATCATCCAGCGAAATTCTGTTTGGGGTTGACTTTGATGTTCCGATGCCTAGATGCAACTTTAAACATCTTTTAAATTCACAAACCAGTCCTAAGAGCCTTTTCTCTTCTGAAGGGAAATTACTTGGAACAAATATGACATCGATTTTCCATCTCCCTTGCTTAGTCTCATTTGGTCTGATTTTTATTATTTAAGGCTTACCGACAACGAGAATATACAGTTAGCAATGGTTCTAATTAGATTTTGTGACCTTTAAGAAAGAAAAGGAGGGTCTGGGCCCGACAACGTCTGAAACTGCCAGAGAACAGGGCAGGGATTTATGAGCGTCTCCTGCGGCTCGCATATGACGCTTGGACAAATAGCTCCACGTTTGCTCTCGGGAGGAGGCGGCAGGACCCAGGTGGGATGGGGAGAAGCGTGTGAGAGGAAGAGGGAGAACCGTGGCGTTGCTGTGGAGGTACTGCGACGGCAAAGCGGGGTTTGTGTGGTCACTTTGATCGACAGATGGTCGAATAAGGAACACTGGCGTCCAACAGTCCTGCCTTTTGACTGGGCCCATTAACACCAAGTGGACTGTGCAGGAGAGATGAGGTCATGAGGCCTATGGGAAGCATAGGGACTCTTTTATACGCTCTGATGGGGAGGGGGCATCATGAAGGTGATCCCCGTGGCTGGGGCAATAGGATATTTGCTGAAGGGGCAGCTTGTTAGTCTGAGATGTTGGGGGAAATATGCATTTTTCCGAGCCTGTTTTCCATAACGGCTTGGGCTTTGGAACGCACTGACCGACAGAGAGCGAGATAAATATGTGGTCTGTCGAGTGTCCAATCTTTCCTAAGTGAGGCGTTCACTGGAGTGCAGCCCTGGACCCTGACAAATACTAAATAGGAGCCAATACAAATTTGAAAGGCTTTCTTCCTTACACCGGCCTGCTTTTCCTAGCGTCTGGAATGAAGATCAGGTGACTGAACATTCATGCCTGTAGTGTACTCGCAGCCCCCAAAGAACTGCGCAAGGTTATTACGTTTAAGGTGGGCCATAACTTCCCCAACCCCATCAACATGCCTGCCTTAGACACACACTCACCCCTACTAGGATGTAACGAACATTTACAAAAATGTGTGTCGAAAGCAGACGGGAATTTCCGATGGATGCCTATTTTATTCTTCTTTGGTGTGATTTGGGAGGTGAGAAGCTGGTGATGCGCGTGACCGCAGCTGAGGCTGAGAATTCAGATGAACCTGGTATGTACGGAGGCTCTACCATATCCAACACAGGAGAAAACCTACCAGGGAAAAAAAAAAAATGTGACCAGGTCAGTGCAGACACTCCGGCAAGCTTGGGCAGGGATGCAAATGGGTAGAGGCAGCTCACAGATGTAAACACAAAATAGAACCAAGCTCTAAATAAGACGCTGCCAGACTTTCCAATGGCGTTTACACTTTCTGCCACGTTTCCGAGGTGAAGCAGGAGAGACGTGGCTCTCTATGGGACCCTGTGGCTTCAGCCCTTTTTGATGTGACATAGAATCTTCGTTTCTGGGGGAAGGTAGAGTTTAGGGGCTAGAGTGGCCCCTGGCCCACAAATGCTTTCTACACTTGGAAGCTCATGAGAAAGAACGCTGACTGGGCTGTCTCCCTGGGGTTGAGAGGCGCGTGTTCACACCCGGTTGTAGGAACCAGTCCATGGCCAGTGTTCATCAGGGCTTACTGGGCAAGCCAGGCATGAATCTGACACCCCTTAACACTGATTCCCAGTTAAAGATAGTGATCGGGAGGTCACACAACTTGCTCAAGGGCCCTCAGCAGGAAAGTGCTGGAGCCAGGATGTGAACTGTGACAGCACCTCAGACCCCCCCCCCCTCCCCCACAACCCCAGATTCCTCCTCCCCGTTTGCTGGGCAGCTCTTCCAGGATTCCCTCCGTCCGTGATTTCAAATGACCTTTCTTCCTGAGCAAGTTGGTCTGGGATCAGCTCCTACTTCCACCCCAGTAGCTGATGTGATCTTGGGTGAGTTAGTTAAACTCTCTGGATCTCAGTTCTCCATCGGCGAAGAAGGATAATGAAAGGACCTAACGGAGAGAATTGCTCCAAGATAAAACCACAGTGGGCGTAGTGCATAATAAGTGCTTAATAAACATCAGCTATTTATAATGCAAACCTTACCCCACCAACCTCTCCCCCTACAGGAGGGGTGGAGGCTGGGTAGGGGGCTCAGAGACGAAAAGGGTCTCTTCTCCCCACTCCACCCCTGGAACCCATCTTCTTCATCCACAGTTCCTACCTTGGACAGGAACCCGTTGAGTCCAGGGAAATCCTCCTAGCAGGGCCCCCATAGCAGCGCCTCAATACTTATCTGGTGTGCTGGTTGGATTTTTGTTGGTTTTGGCTCTGTGTGGCAAGTTAACAGAAAGAAACAGTGATGGTGTTGGTGGCATTTCATCAGCTGTCTCTCGGATCACTGTGGCCAGCTTTCTGTCGCCGACGGTGGAAAGCTGATGAGCCATTAAGTCACCTCGTCAGAGGGTTCTTGCTCTTTCCCCAAAGAAGGCACAGCCCAGAGGCTCCTTGCCATGGCCTGGTTCTCCTGGGTGTTCAGGAAGGTCACCGAGGCCTGGGGTGCACCAAGCAGAGACAGCAGCCGTTTGTGGTGGCCCGGAGGGCGGAGCAACGTGTGTGGCGGTGAGCTGTCAGTAAGGCAAGCTTGGCCATGGCAGGGACGGCTTTCTCTTACGATATCAATTTCTTTTAATTATTCCATTCCGACAACTTTGAAAGTCACTTTGTAAGCTGACAGATGATTTATGTCTTGCATTAGCTCCTGGCAATGGCTGCTGAAGGCCTTGACTGCTCCCACCCTCCCTCCTGGCCACACACCCGGCATGTTCCCAGTGAAGCCCGCAGAGAGTCACTGTGCTCAGCCACCTGTGTCCAGAGTTCCCGGGGAGGTCTTTGGGATGACAGCAGGAGATCCCCTTGGTGATCCTAGGTGGCCACTTGAGATGCAAATTGCAAACAATTGCGTGTGGTCAGTTCCCTGTAATGGAAGTAGAACCCCCGCTGATTTTTCCCTTCCTTCTCTCCTTGTCCTTCTTTGCTTCCCTCCTTTTTCTTTTTCTTACTATAATAAAGATCAGACATTTCTCTCCAGGGAAGGAAGGCCACTAGACAGAGCATTCTGAGATACCGCCATGCCCCATTGCAAGAGACCGCACGAGCAGCCCCAGCCAACAGGGAAAAGGGATAGGAGCCGCAGCCGGGCAGCAGAGGGTTACCCAAGTCCTGAGAGCAGTGGCCAGAAGATACCCAACTGGCTGAGGAAAGAGGAGAAGCCATGGCTGTAAAGATCCACGCAGAAACACGCACAACTTCAGCCTGGACACCCCCCAAGAAGGAGGTGGATGACAGGTTGCCCTCCTCAATGGTGATAGCGCACCGTCCTCAGCCCCAAAAAGGCTCCCTGCCCCGGAACAACCCCACGTGAAAAGGGCACCCCCTGAAAACTCAGTCTCTCTGAAGGTCAAGACTGCATTTTGTGGGCCAAGGACATTTATAGAGCTATAAAAGGAATCATTTTTGCTAATGCTATGAAATTATACTCCGAGTTGAATAACAACGGCCCACGGCAGGTACAGAAGTAATTTCCTCTTGTGCGAAATCTGGCTTTTAGAGAAGTCAGAGGCGGCCCCAGTTGAAGTTGACAGGGCCCCTTTTCCTGTGCAATTTAAGTGACCAAATGGGAACTGTGACTTTGTAAATGTGTCCCTCTAATAAAGTCCCCTGGGAGGGGTAAATGATGCAGGCCTCATGAAGACATGTAATAGGAGTGCCAGGGCGGGAGGGAGACCTGGCGAGAAATTCTAGGAGGCCTCGTCCTGGGCCCATCCATAAATTCAAATGTGGCTGCATTCTTGAGCATGGGTAGGCCCTGTCCTTGTCACCGCGGGGTGGGAACAAGGATGACAGGACCCTTGGGATGACAGCCTGGTGCCCATGGTATGCTGAGGAGACGGATGCAGGAGGGGCTGCTCCCATCAGAGTGGTAACAAGGGCTTGTTTCCAGCTCTTTCCATCTGCCAGACATGCTCCTGAGTGGCTTTGTGTGGATAAACTTCCTTAACCACCTCAGTAACCCTGTGAGGAGGGTAGTAAGATTATCCCCGTTTGGACACAAGAGGAAATGGAGGGCTGAGATTACCCCGCTGCCATATTCCCAGGCCTGGGTATCCCTGTGGGTGTGGACGTCCGCTTGCTGTGGACACAGTCGTGAGTAGCCATGGCAGCTACCTCTGCCTGTCCACTGGCACCCCTGCAGACTGGAGGGTCTCAGTGCCACTCAGATACGCTTTTGCTGGGACCTGGGCGTCACCTTTGCTGTTCCCATGCTGTCAATCCAAACCTGAGCCCCTCCCCACTCTCCCCGACCCCACCCGCTCTTCCATCCCAGCAGGAATAGAAGCTACAGAGGAACATGAATGTTCCCGAATCCTCTTCCCCAGGCCTGCCATCTTGACCCTTTCCCCTGTCTCCCATGAGCAGTGGATTCTCACCTCGAGGCCGGGTCCCCTTCCCCTGGTCCGGGGCCTCCCTCATTCCTGCTCTGCTCCCCTGAGTGCTGCTGCTGTGTTGATTCTGTTTTCCAGCCCTGCTCTTCCATTCCTTCCTGTGACCCAGCAGGCTGGGGTCTTCACAGGCCTCAGCGAGTCACACGCTTACCCCATGCCTCACCACCAAACTTCTTCAAAGGGTCGAAGGGCAGCTGAAGCCTTATGCTTAATTTCCACACCAGCCTTTCCCTATTTGGTCTAGCACAGACTGATAATGAGACCACTCTGCCTACCAGGGGTGAGCCCGTGCCCATCTCCTTGCAAATTCCTTCTATTTGGTCTCTTTGCCGAGGCTCCCACCACCTTCCTGGATCTCGGTGCCCTGGATTCTGGACGCCACTTTCTCTTGGTTCTTCCTCTGCATGTGTCCTAAGCATCAGGCCAGCATTTCCACCTGCTCAGGAGCTCTCTCTCACCCTGCAAGACCCAGGCACATGACTTCCTCTCGCCCCTGGAACCGGCTCCCTCTGTGCTCTGTGGTCTTTGCCCATCAACAGCCTTATTCCAAATCTCATAGAAAGTCTTCACCAGCCATGTGGTTCCTGGTGTGGAATCCCAGGTGATGTCGTTACTTTCTTTTTTTTCCCTTACCCACCATGTCCAGGGGATGCTGCATGCTGGGGACTATTTTGGGAAAGTCTCTGGGTTTCAGGCCTGTGCCCACTGTGGCCCTGAGTCAGAGTATTGTTGTCGCTTCTCGGATCTCTCAGTGACTCTCCACTGGCTCCAGCCTCTCCTCAACCCAATTCGCTCTTTAAATTGGCCCCGATTCTTCCCATACCTGCCCTTAACTCTTAGCTGTCCTACCTCTGGAAGAATGAAATCAGGTCACGAAGGATGAGAACACCTCAGCCCAGCCAATGAGGTCCTTTGTGATCTGATGGGCTTTCCATTCCCCAAGCCCCATGCTCTTTGAATTGCACAAGATACAAAGTGTGCCGAGGATGTCCATTCACCAGGCTTCTCTAGTGGGAGGGTGAATTAGTCCATTTTCATGCTGCTGATAAAGACATACCCAAGACTGGGCAATTTACAAAAGAAAGAGGTTTAATGGACTTACTGTTCCTCATGGCTGGGGAAGCCTCATGTTGGAAAGCAAGGAGGAGCAAGTCCCATCTTACATGGATGGCGACAGGCAAAGAGAGTGAGCTTGTGTAGGGGAACTCCTCTTTAAAAAACCATCAGGTCTCATGAGACTTATTCACTGTCATGAGAACAGCACAAGAAAGACCGGCCCCCATGATTCAATTACCTCCCACTGGGTCCCTCCCATGACCTGTGGGAGTTGTGGGAGTTACAATTCTAGATGAGATTTGGGTGGCCACACAGCCAAACCATATCAGAATGGTTTCCCCTCATCCTCCAAGACCTACCCCAGCCTCATCTCCAGGAAGCCTCTCAACTTCCATGCCACCTTAGACGTGACTCTGCCCCAGGTACTGTGCCCTGGGTCCTGCCTTTCACTGGGGCTTCTGTGCCTTCCCTGACCTGTGAGCCCTGTGAGGAAAGAGGGTGTGGGAACCCTCTTTGTGTCTCTGCAGTCTAGTTCAAGGTCTAGAACGCAGCAGATTTTTGGTGTTTGCTGGTAGACTTGTGAAATCAATGCAGTCTTCATTGATCATGCAAGAATAAATCTCAGACCATCCCAAGTGATTGTGAATTCCAGATGGGAAGAGTCTGGAATCAAAATTCATGAGGTCTTTTAAAAAACATGTAGAACGCCCTTTGATGCAAATGTAATCAGTTGGTCATTGAAGGTTTTAAAAAATGATGTCTTAACGGTCTAGGGAGGTCAGAGAGATGGTAATGCACAGTTGGTGTGGGCCAGCCAGGAGGGGCAAAGGCATAAGCAGGGAGAGGAGAAGGACCCTGCCCCAGGAAGGATGCCTGGATGGGTAGCTTCCCTTGCAGACAGTGGGCTGGTAAGTCCAAGTGGTCCCTTGACAGCCACCGCATCCCACCTGTTATACCTCACCTATTCGGAGAGTCAAAAAGACCAGCAGCTCCAGCAGAAAAGCGCCCTTCAAGAAGTTGCCAGCTAGTGATCTGTGCCTTAAAAGGCAAGGAGTATCTGTAACCCAGGTTAGGCACCAGCATGTTTTTCTTATTCAATCCAGCCGCCCAAATAGTTGTACTTGGATTAGCAAGTTAAGCTAAATGGGGTTATGCTATATACTCTCCAATACAAAGCAAATGGTTCTTTGAATTTGATTACTTGTTTGAAAATACTTTACTCAATAGAGAAATTGTGAGCAATTGAGCTTTTTTTTTTTTCTTTTTCAAATGACATATTTTTTTAAAATGCCTCTAGGGCGTGCCTGTTAAATGGAAAACCTTGTGGCTGAGTGCTCCAGGAAAGTAAAAAATTGCTCCCTGTGTAGAGTTTGAAAAAAATCTAGGATTATTTTTACCTATTGGTATTTCTTGTCTGGGGCTGTAGGCCTGTCTTTCTGGGACTCACGGCAGGGTCACTTCGTCCCCCAGCATGTCCCGGGATGAGGAGCTGAGCAGCCGGACAGGGTTCATGGGAGCCTGCCACGCCTGGTGAAGCTGGCCTTCGCCTTGCTCCAGATGGCCGTGTCCAAGTCTGAGATGCTCTGCTATTTGGTGATCATTCTGAATCACGCACTCTTGGCTTCCATCCTCTTGATGTTCTCGCCATCTTATCTTTCCTGTGGGCAATGCTTTCAGTCCCAAGGCTCTTAAAGCAATTTTGGATGGCAGCGATCTATTACATGGAGGTAGGTACCAAGGGGAGACCCCTCCAGGACCCAGCTCCTGCCAGTGGATTATGGCAGCAGATGAGACACTCCACCCACCACCATCCCAGCCACCCACACCCTTTGAGGTGACTTTATACAACAACACTGCCACATGTCAGGTGCTAGAATCAAAACACCTGACTTGGTGGAACCAGAGAATGCAACTCCTACTGTTCTCATTGTCTCCCAAGAGTGCGTCAGCTTTCACAAGTCAGGTGAAGTGATAACAAGTACTTCCACCTGCCTCACACGTAGCAAATACTTATACAGTGGACTTTGGGAATGCATGCTTCTGTTTTTATCTTTTTTTTTTCTTTTTGCATCTTGGACATAATTTACCACTAGCTCTGGTGCTCTTTCTGACTCCAATGCCACATTTGCAAACTTGAAGACAGCCTGTCTACGAAATTAATTAGAGCAAGAGTTAAGTACCAGTCATTGGGTTCTTTCTCCCACCACATCATTTTTATAAGCCTGTCAGCATGAACTATGGTTCCTCTCCTGTCACTGCCCCTCCCCTCCCAAGAGCTGTGGTTGGGGAGGGAGGGAGGGAAGCCGCCTAGATCTGTGTCCCCTCCTTCAGAATCACTGAAGACTCCTAGGGGAAGAGGCAGCTGGCCAGAGTCCATTCTGGTTCCTTTTAAACTCTGATATCCCAGGACTGTACGAGCTAGAAAGAAAGATTTGTGGGTTTTTTTGTTTGTTTGTTTGGTTTGGTTTTTCTAAAAAAAACAGTAAACATCATTATAAAGAAAATTTTAATCCACTGGAAAAATGCACTTTTAAAAGTCCTTGTTACATTTTTTTGTGTACAAGTAGATCCTCCCAAGTATAAATGAAACAGATTGGTTTTGACTGACTGCTTATAGAGCTGAGTCCAATAAAATTTGATGCCCCTTAAACTATTCCTCTAATTTGACCTTCTGTTAATACCATCTCACATTTGGATGGCTTGATCTGGGAGGGTCTACACAACTTTCCATCCCCCTTCATATCCTTCAATCCCTAGGGGCCTCCAGAGAGGCCAGGCCCTGCAAAGGGAGGGAACATGGGCCGGGAATGACATGCCTGAGTCATTGACAAGGGCCCACATCTCCTGCCTCCATGTTCATTGACATTTCCTCTACCAGGAAAGGGAAATACCCTTTGGCCTGCATGTGGCTTCTTCCATCAGGTGCTCATGGCAGACATCCCTAATCTACCCAGGCCCTCTTCCCCATGGTGCCTGGTGACATCCTAAGGGTCATTCCCAACTCCTACAGAGTCCGAGTTATTTCTCAGGGTAAGACTCGCCTGTTCTTGCCTCAAGCCTTTGAAGCTCCAGCTTTCATCTGCAGAGCATGGTTCTCCATGACGTGCCACGTTTGGGGTGCTTTAGAGAAAACCACACACGCCAGTGTCTGAACTTGTCCCTGCCAATTGAGTTATTTGGAGTCATGAAGTCATGCTGGGATTCCAAAGGTATAGACCTTGTGGCTTCTCCATGTGTAGCACTCGTACTTAGAGGGCTGGCTCTCCTTCTCAGTTCCAATTGACTAGTAAAAATAGGTTTTTAAAGAGAGTTAGAGAAGGTCAAATTGGAGAGTGCCTTAAAGATCATCTAGACCAACCCCCTAAATTTTACAGACAAGGAAACCAAAAGGGCATTGGTCCAAGGCAGAATTGGAGATGAGAGCCCACTCCTGAACCCTCTTCTGCATCACACAGGGAGATTCCCCATCAGCCAGTTCCATCCTGGCTGCCAGGATTACTTTTGACAGATGTGGGGGATACTGCCCACTCCCCAGGACCGGAGGCATCTTTCTGCGCCTACTCCTCCGTTATCTCCCTGTGTGAACCAGCTTCCACACAGGAGCATCAACAGCCAGCCCCCAAGGGGGTCCCCACGAGTCGTGAGGCTATTTATCTGACAGAAGAACTTGTACTATAAGAGCTGGTGAAACAGAAGCAGTTCTCTGTCCTGGGGTGGCGCCCAAAAATAGCATTAAAGAAACTGTCTAACATGACGCATCCGGTCATTCACTTTCTTGGCTCAGAAAACTGCTCTCCCTGATGTCTGATAATCTATCAGTGTTCAAAGGATGGGGACTTTGGGTGACCTTTTCCTCTTGCCAAAGGAAACAAAGCCATTTTTGAGCATTTTCAGCATAAAAAGACAATCTCTTAAAACCACTATTCCTCGACTCGCCGATGAGAAGGGGTAGGCTGGGAGAGCCATCTTCACCTGCCTGCCATGTATCAAATTGATTTAGCAGGCAACAAATGTCAGGAGAAATTAAAAAGGGAGTAATAGCTCAAAGAAATTAAAAAGGCTGGCCAGCCTTCAGCAGTGTCACATGGGGCCAGCTTATGTATTCACGGTGGTTTCTGGTGTTTTATTTCCTTTTAATCTCTAGCCTCTGATGATGACCAGAACAGTCTCTTACATTTGTGACGCACGTTAGCATACACTGAGCGCTTCCTAGGCATTCACTTGCTTTATGGGTGTGTGCGCGCATGTGTGTGCGTGTTCATCAGACCGTTTGCAACGGCTTTCCCTCTCTGTTTCTCCTGCCTTTCTGGAGGCCACTGTCGTGGTCAAATAATTTTGCAGTTTGGATTCTTTCCCTGGACCACAAAATGATACACTGGCATCAGTGGGGAAAAGCCACTTTCCCTGCCAAATATAATTGGAATGGAGAAGAAGGACAGCTGTGTCCTCTGCGATCTCCTGCAGTTACTTGTGCTGTTCACCCACCGCTCTACCAGGAAGGGACGCCAGCCCCAGAGCAGGGGGGTTGTGAAAGCTCATTCCATTTCCTAGGAGGCATCCTTTGCTCATTTCTTATTTCTGATGAAAGTGAGAGGGGATTGGCCAAGGCCATAGTAACTGCCTCCGTTTTCCAGATGTGGAAACTGAGACTCCCTGTGGCTGCTAGAGCCTCTTCCTTGGCCAGGGATGTCACAACAGCAGAGACTGACAATGGAATTTTGACGTCCTGGTTCTGCCTCCAGTGGTACTTGCCCTGCCTTCTGTTTGAGCGTGCTTTCTTTTCAGTGAAATTTAAATCATTTGGTTTCGGACTTTCTTGTTCCCTGGCTAACCTCCCTGGAGTTCTGAGCCATGGCTGCAGTCCTTCCTCAGCAGTGAGCCCCACTGTGTGCCGGCTCCCTCGCCTCTCACCACAACTTCAGGGAGCCCCCAAGTTGTCTTCTCATGCTCCTGCTCTTGTCCCACTCTGCAGAAACCTGTCCCCATCACCTTGCCTGTCCTTCCCTAGAAACCTTTCTTTTTCATCTTCCTGCCAGGGATTTATTTTATACTCCTTTGCCTCTCTCCTGCTTTCTCCCTGCCTTCAGGAAGCCACACCCACCCTCTCTCCTGTGCTTCCCCTCCTGCTCTCTGCAGAGACTCCAGCACCTTCTCCAGTCCCCATATCCTCCATCTGGTTTGCTGGCCGAGTGTGAGTTTGGGGAGGCTGTGTGGCCATGGTGGTGGGTGGAAACTCCTCAGCCCCCTCCTCCCTGCCTGCCTTGCCTCTCTAGGGCTTGGGACCTGTTCATTGCAAGGGGAAGAAAAAGGGCAGAAAGCAATAAAAAGCAGCCAAGGGGCTCCAGGCTGTGGCCACCTCATGAGACAGGCTGAGCAGAACCCCTACTCCTAGGAGCTGCCTTTGCAACTGCCAGCCCACCGCTGGGTGTGCTGAAGAGTATTGCAGAGTAGATTATACCCTACTTGGTCTGGACCCCAGGCCCCTGAGGAGGAGCCCCCCATAGTCTCAAACCAGCTGCAGAATCTGGCAAAGTGTGGGCCATTGGGGTTCCCAAGTGATGGGACTGGGAGAAGGTCTGCTGGTCATTGTTCCCAGGCCCACTACATACTTCCTCCTCACCCCAGACCTCCCTGCTGCTCCCCACCCCACCAGGCTTTCTCCTGTCTGGCCTGGGGCTCCAGACCTGGCCCCTTGGGATCAGGGGACACGACAGAGCAAACCCCCAGCCTGAGCTCAGACACTGGTGGAAAGCACGTGGGGCTGGTCATGGGGATGGGAATCAGTGGAGGAGATGGGCAGAGTGCTCCCAACTAAAATAGCTTCTGGGAGAAAAGGTCAAGGAGGAGACCTGTATTATTGTGTCTTGCCAGGGGGTCCCCAAGACCCAGAATCCAAGAAGAGATGGAGCCTACTCAGGAAATTCCCATTCAGCCAAAAGCAACTCAGCCAAGGGATGCTGAAGAAACAGCTGGAGAAAGCCAGGAAGCAGGTCATTAAAAAGTAATTAGGAGACTTCATTAGAAGGAATGGGAGAGGAAGGCTGTGAGGTGGGTGCCTTTCCCCCTTCCTCACAGACCAACTCTTAGCTGCAGGTAGAGCTGGCATGGATAAGGAGGGCCGCATGGTTAATGTGGGATTATGTGCCCCTGGATCCACACATGGTGGGGCCTAGAGCTGGGCCTTGGGAGGAACACTCATGCAGGAGTCAGATCCTAGACTTGGATCTGCCACTTCTAAGAGCACACATCCTTGCCCTCTCCCTGGTCTGTCTGTAGAACTGCAGGAGATTATTTATTCATCCATGCTTTTGCCCAAGCATTTGTCAATTCATACTTTGGTCTTTCCTTTTATCTGCCAGTCCAATCACTCATCCACCTAACTAACAATCTTTGCACCTACCCAACCAACCCTCTTTCCATTTTTTATCTTTCCTTTTTTCCTTGTGTTCAGTCATCATCTCTTGATCTAACTATGCTTCCTTCCTTATTTCCATCCATCCCTTTATCTACTCATTCACCCGTGCACTCATCCATCCCCCCACCCATCCTTCAACCCACCCATCCATCTACCCACCCATCCATATACCCATACATTCACTACCCCATCCTTCCATTCCACCTACCTATCCACCCATCCATCCACTCACCCATCCACCCATCCATTCACCCACCTACCCACTCATCCATCCACACATCTACCCATCTATTTACCCACCCATTTATCCATGCACCTACCTACCCACCCATCAAACCACCTACTCATCCATCCACCTACCTACCATCTACCTACACATCCACCTACCCACCATCTACCTACACATCCACCTACCCGCCCATCCATCCACCCACCCATCCACCCACTCATCCATCCACCCATCCATGCATCTACCCACCCATCCATCTACCCATCCATTCATGGCCTACCTTTCCATCCACCTACCTACCCACCCATTCATCCACTTGTCCATCCATTCACCCACATACCCATCTGTTTACCCACTCATCTATCCATCCACCTACCTACCTGCCCATCAAACCACCTACCCATCCATCCACTCACCCATCCACTCATCCATTCACCCACCCATCCCTCCACCCTCCTCCATGTATCCACCCACCCATCCACTCCCTATTCACCCAATCTACCCACCTCCCTACCTGCCCATCCTCTTTGCCCAGCTGTGGAGATAATCACACATGCCCATTGCACTTTCTTATTCCCAAGGTGGCTTCACATTGACTCCAACGTTTCCCCTCAATGCCCCCCCATGACATAGTCAGGCTAGGGCTCACCACTGCCATTCAGTGGTGAGAAACCTGAGGCTTAGAAACAGAGCAACTTGCTTAATGTCACACAGTGGAGACATAAACCTGGTACCTGTTCTTCCCCAGCTGCACTGGACTAACCCTGCAGCGTCTGTGTTTGGGTTAGTGCTGTGCAACAGCACTCATGGTAGGAGGAATTCAGGTGTTGTGAGAAAGAAGCCCGGCATTCCCCTGAAGATCGGTCCCTGAACACCAGAGTACTTGCCTTCAGTGCTCTTCGCAAATACAAGCTTGGGAAAAATAAACACATGTGCCATCCTCAGCTTCCCCATCTGTCAAACCACGGAGTCCTCTATGGCATCCTCCTAGAACCTTCCAGCTGGTTGTGAGGAATTGTCCAAATTGGGGGTGGCCCACAGCATCCTCCTCTGCCTTCAGGACCTTCCAGGTCTACCACCCCATCTGCCAATTCTTCCACAACTTCACCCACCTGCAGGCCAGCTGGAGGTTAAGTCCTCACGTTCCTGGTGGACGTGTTCAACTTTGCCCTCATCCTCTTTGGGTACTGACTAGGCCTTCACGGTAAGCAAACGAGCCCCGGGCCTATGCAGCTCCCCCCAGACTGTCGAGCTCAGCACTTTGGTTTCCTGGGAATCACTGCCCAGGACTCTGGATTCATGGAATTTCCTTCTGCAATTTCCTTCTGTTGTTGGGGGCAGGGGCAGCCATTAGTTATCCTTAATAACCAGGCAGACGACAGGATAGCATTGCCCTCAGCTTTCTTAAAAGCAGAGAGTGGTCACTCTCTCTCTTTAGAATAGCAATTCCACCGACTCCATTACCGAAATGGCTCTTGCCTTCTGTGCCCCGTCCAAGTTGCTATGTTGTTGTTTTATTGCTTCTCTGAAAAGCTCCTACTAATTAAGGGGAAAGCTGGATACAAATCAGGCTGGGGCTGCAGTGCAAAGGACAGGCCCTGTGCTAAGCTGGCTACAGGGGCTTCTCAGGGGCCCTGCAGCTGCTGCCTCCTCCCTGTCCAGGGCTCCTCGTCTCCTTGAGAAGTCATTAAAGACTCTGGGAACCTGAGATATTTGCCAGCCAGGATGGGGCTGGAAAGAGAGACCAGACTGCCTCACAATGCCCTCAGCTCCAGTCTGTGCTCAGTGGCTGGAGATGGGATGCAGTGACCGTGGGGACAGCCAGGGTTCCCTCCAGCTCTGGATTTCAAGGAGCATGTCTTGTTCTGTGTCTCAGGGCTCACAGAAGTGTCAAAGGCATCTGGACCCCTCAAGAGACTGAGAATGCCACTGAAGAGACAGGACATACATCTACTAACAGCAGACCACAGTCCAAGCCAGAGTCCATCAGGGTCTCTGGGTCCTGAGGCCTGTGCCAAATGGGTGACTGCTCTGCTTGGGGATGGGAGGGAAAGTCTGGAGGGTTTTCTGGAGTCAGGAGACATTGGAACAGGCCTTGGAGACCAAGTCAAAGGACAGGAAGAGAGAGAGAGAGAGAGAGAGACAGAGAGAGAGACAGAAACAGAGTGAGAAAAAAGATATATATATATATATGAATATATATACACACACACACACACACACACACGCGTATATACATAGAGACAGAGGCAGAGAGAGACAGAAAGAAACAGACAGATACACAGAGAGAAAAAAGAAATACACACATATAGAGACAGAGACAGAGAAACAGAAACAGAGAAAAAAATATATATATATACATATATATACATATACACAGAAAGAGACAGACATAGAGAAAGACAGAGAGAAACAGAGACAGATACAGAGAGAGAAAAAAGATATATATATATATATATATACACACACACATATATAGAGAGAGACAGAGGCAGAAAGAGAGAGAGAGAGAGACAGAAAGAGACAGAAACAAGAGAGAGAAAAGAGGGGCCCTCTGTTCCTGGACGGTGTCCTGCTCTTTCTCTGCCTGGGCCAGCAGTCCTGAGAGCAGCTCCTTCCACCCTTCTGCTGCAGAGCTGGTTCTGTCTCATCCTCTGTGCCATCCTTCAGGTCTTGGCATAAAGGCTTTCCCCAAACCCCCAAGCTGACGTACCCGGCCACTGCCTGGTGACTTCCTTTGCAACACTTACCACGATCATACCTGGCTCCCTGCAGGTCATCAGTGTCATCCTACTCCAATGTTCTGTCTTCCTTCTTCACCCACATATCCTGAATACTTAGCACATGGCCTGCTGGAGAATGTGATTATTTGTGGAAAGGGTGGTGAACAGATGGGATCGCTGTGGTGGCTGGGGCCTGAGGTGGATGGGGATGGGATAAATAGGGTATATCGGGTTTTGAAGGCATTGGGGTGGAGTGGAACATGATGGGATGGATGAGGTGATGGATGGGTTGGGTGACAGGATGGGGAGACATGACATGGCATGGACAGATTGGATGGACCAGTGTCCCCTGGTGACCTCCTGGTGGTCCTCTGTGCTCCAGGTTCTGCCTTGAGCCTTTCCTCTTGGAGCCGAGAGCTGTCATAGACTGGGTATGGATGGACACTGCTCTCAGCCTCTCTAACTGGATCCATCTGGGGAACCTGTGTGCAAAGGTCTTCATCATGAAGCACTGGTGGGAGTCTGAGAAGGTGGGTGCGGGTGGGTGGCGTGGGGGTGGCAATTTTCCTTGCCTCAGTCCTGTCCCTACAGCAGTGAGACTCATGTCTTGCCCAGTGTGCCAGGTGCTTACCTGGCAGCTTGACCCTGGCTCCCAGGGCTCATGGAGTTTGTAGTGAATCCTCAGTAAAATGGCAGAGCCCATGTTGAATTCTCCCCACCATCACTTGGGAGTGCTCAAAACCACCTGGCAAAGCAGGCATCCTTTCATTCCCATTTTATGGAGGAGGAGACTGAAGCTTAGAGCGGCTGTGTGTCCAAGGTCACATAGCTGGTTAGTAGTGGCATTGGGACATGACTCCAGCTCCCCCTGACCCTAGCGTGACATTCTCTGAATCAACCACCCTCCTCCAACTTTTAAGAGTGATTTGCCAACCTGCCCTCCCTTGAGTCCACGTCTGTCTGATCCAAGGCATGGCCCTGACCTGCCTGCCCTCTTCAGCAGAAACACCCCAGTCTCCTGAGCAGAAGAGGAGGCTGGGAAACATGGAGTTGGGGGTGTCATCACATTTGCTTTGATCTTCCTCATGCGGTTCCCCCTGGTTTTTATGTCCCTGTTGAAGACAGCAGGTGACATGACCAACTAGCCCCTGCACATGCCTGTCAAGATTGCCATTTATAGTTACAAGATCCCCAGAGTGGAGGAAGGGAGGTGCCTGTCCGTGGTGCTGTGGGGGTGCCAGTGCCTGCTCCCCAGCCTGAAGCCTTTGCTCCTCCAGCTATTGTCCTAGAGGAGGACTCAAAGCTCAGACAAGCCTCTGAGCTTTTTTGCCTTATTATCTATTTCGTATTTTGTCGTGGATTTTTTTGAGGAGCAAATTTGGAACATTAAATGGGGCATATGAGGATGTGATGACGTTAATTGAAGGTTGAACAATATGTTTTCAACAATGTGATAACAATATGTCATAACTTTTTATTGAGATGAAATTTACATACAGTCAATTCACAGATAAGTGTACAATTTTATGAGTTGTGAGTGACACAAATAACCATGTAATCACTACCCCAATCAAGATAGATATCATTGCCATTGCTCCGGAAAGTTCCCTCATGGTTCTTCCAGTCCACACTCACTAGACTGGACTAGCCTAATTTCCATAATCATAGATCAGTCTTCTCTGATCTGAACTATGTCATCATAGAATATGTACTTATTTATAGAACATGACAGTTTTGAGATTCATCCGTATTATTGCATATGTCAGTTTGTTTTAATGCTGAGTAATACATCATCATATAAATATATACAACAATTTTTCATTCTTCTATTAATAGATATTGGGTTGTGCCTGTTTTTGTGGACATACATTGTCTTTTAAGTAAACATGTAAGAGTGGGATTGTTTTGTGATGGGGTAGTTGTATGTTTAACTTTTAAAGAAATCTAGAAAGTTTCCAAAGTGGCTGCACCATTTTGCACTCTCACCAGCAATGTCTGAGAGTTCCAGTTGCTCCACGTTTTCACCAACAGTAGGTATCATCAATCTTTTGAATTTCAAACTTTCTGATAGGTATGACATGGTATCTCATTGTGCTTTTAATTTGCATTTCCCTGATAACTAATGATATCGAGTAACTTTACATGTTTTTATCCATTTGTATATCTTCTTTTCTGAAATATCTATCCAAGTCTTTTTCTGTTTGTTGTTGTTGTTTATGTTGTTTTATTATTGAACTGTAGGGGCTCTTTAAATATTCTGGGTATAAATTCTTTGTCAGACATATGTATTGCAAATATTTTCTCCCAATCTGTGGCTTGCCTTTTCATATTCTTAATGTTGACTTTTGATAAGCAGAAGTTTTTTATTTTGATGAGGCCAATTTGTTAGTATTTCTTTTTGTGATCAGTGCTTTTGGGGTCTAAGAAATCTTTGCTTACCTCACGTCCATGAAGATATTTTCCCATGTATTCTGCAAGGAGCTTTAGAGTTCTAGCTCTTATGTTAGGTCTATGATCCATCCATCTCAAATTAATTTTTCTGTGTAATGTGAAGTAGGAGTCAAGACTCTTTCCTCTATATATGTTCCTAGTTTTTCTAGCCCATTTGCTGAAAAGATGCTTTTTTTCCTCACTTGGCGTGATACTTCTGTAAAAAATCAGTTAACTGAGTATGTCTAAGTCTATATTTGGATTATCTATTATGATCCATTGATCTGTCTATGATTCCATCAGTTCCACGCCACCTTGATTACTGTAGCTTCTGATATATTTTTAAACCAGTAAGTTCAAGTTCTCCAACTTGGTTGTTTATTTTAAAGGTTGAGTATTTTTTCTTTTTAACTATTCTAAGCCTTTTGCATTTCCATTTAAATCTTAGAAACAATTTGTCAATTTTATTTAAAAATTCTATTCATATTTGGATTAGAATTGTGTTGAAGCTAGAGAAATCTGTTCAGTCTGGGAAGAATTTGCATCTAAACAATATTGAGTCTCTAAGGCATACATGTGGTTTTTATCCATTTATTCAGGTTTTTAATTTCTCTGAGAAATATGTTCTACTTTTCTACATATAAGGCTTGTACATATTTAAAGTTATTCCTAAATATTTTATGGGCTTTGATACTACTATAAATGGAATTGTTTTAAAATTTCATTTCTAATTACTTGCTGCTAAAATTAAAAATGTAATTTCATATATGTAGTTTGTATCCTATTACCTTGCTTAATGTGCCTATTAGTTCTAATCGTTATTGTTGTACATTCTTTAACTTTTTTTTTCACGTAGGCAGTCATTTTTAAGTATAGGGAGGATTATTCTTTTTTCTCAGTCTATATGCTTCTTATTTTTCTTGCCTTATTGCACTAGCTAGACTTTCAGTGCATTGGTGAAGAGGAATGGTGAGTTCAGGCATCCTTACCGTGTTCCCAATCTTAGGAGAAAAGCCTTTCATGTTTCAGCAATAAATATGATGTTTACTAGAATTTTCATAGATGTCCCTTATCCTTTTGAAAAAGTTCTCTTCTTGTCCAAGTTTGCTGAGAATTTGTCATAAGTGGGCACTGAATTTTGTCAGACACTTTTTCTGTATTTTTTGAAATGAACATATTGTTTTGCCTGCTTATTTTGTTAATATGGTGAGTTATATTGGTTGATTTTTAACTGTTCCTTGGAAAAAACACTTAATAATGATGTATTATTATTTTGTATATCACTGACTTCAATTTGCTAATGTTATCTTAGGGATTTTTTGTGTCTGCTTCATGAGGCACATTGGTCTATAATTTTCTTATAATGTCTTTTTCAGGTTTTGGTATCTAGATTATACTAACTTTCTAAGATGATTTGAGAACAATTTTCTTCTCCATTTTCTGAAAGAGTTTATGTAAGAGTTGTATTATTTCTTCTTTGAGTGTTTGATAGTATTTACCAGTAAAACACTCTGGGCTGAAATTTCCTTGTGGAAAGGATTTAAAAACAAATTCAATTTTAATAGATACTGGAACAATCTGAGTATCTTTTCCAAGTTGTGTCAGTTTGGGTAAATTGTGTTTTCAAAGAATTTTCCCACTTCATATAAGTAGTTGAATTTATTGGCATAGAATCTCTCATAATATATTTTATGATCCTTTTGATGTCTGTAGGATCTATAATGATACCCCTCCTTTATTTCTGATACTGGCAATTTGTGGGGTTTCCCCTTTTTTCCTGATCAATCCTTCTAGGAATTTTAAAAGAGATTTATCAAGGTATACTTGGCATACAATAAACTGCACATATGTAAAGTATATAATTTGATAAATGCTGACATACTGTGAATGCTGACATCTGTGAAAATATCACCATCATCAAGATAATATTTTCATCACATATAAAAGTTGATTCATGTCTTACTATAATTCCTTTCTCTCTCCACCTCCGTCCCCATGCAGCCATTTTCTCTCTGTAACTATAGATTCATTTGCATTTTCTAGAAATTTATATAGATAAATCTACATAGTCTGTGCTATATTATTTAATCTGGCTTCTTAAGAAATACCAAAATTTTAGGTCATATTGCTTCATGAAAAAAATAAATAAATATCAAAATTTGTTTCTTTATCACATGGTGATGGACATTGGCGTTGTTTCCAGTTTTTGTCCATGAAAAATAAAACTGATGTAAACGTTCAGGTGTAGTAAGCCTTTATAGGGATAAGGCTTTCATTTGTCTTGCATAAATGCCTAGAAGTAGAATGACTGGATTTTGTGATAGGTCTTGGTTAACTTAAAAAAAAAAAAAAAAAAGATTCAACTGTTTACCAAAGCAGTTGTATAATTTTACATTCTTACAACAGTGTAGAAGAGTCCCAATTGCTCTACATCTTCTCCAATATTTTATGGCCAGTTAAAAAATTTGTAGCTATTCCAATGGGTGTGTAATAGTATTAGGTTACAGTTTTAATTTGCAATTACCTACTGACAAATGATGCTGAGCATCTTTTTATGTGCTCATTTGCCATCTACATATGTTTTTAGTGAAGCGTCTTCTGAAATCTTTAGGACATTTTAAAGTGGGTGCCTGTTTTCTTATTAATGAATTGTAAGAGGTCTTTATTATGAATAAAAGTGTTTGTCAATTATGTTTTGCAAATATTTTCTCCCAAATTGTGGATTGCCTTTGCCTTTTCTTAACAGTGCTTTTTGGGGGAAACAGGGTGCTATTCTTTCTTTTCTCTCTCTCTCTTTTTTTTTTTTTTTTTTTTTTGAGACAGGGTCTTGCTCTGTTGCCCAGGCTGGAGTGCAGTGGCACAATCATGACCCACTTCAGCCTTGACCTCCTAGCCACCCAAGGTGCTGGAATTACAGGTGTGAGCCACCATGCCCAGCCTTTTGGTCTTTTTAAAAGAATTTAATTTTATTTTTAATTGACAAATAATAATTGTATATATTTATGGGGTCAAATGTGATGTTTTGATACATGTACACATTATGGAATGATTAAATCAGGCTGATTAACATATCCAACACCTCACATACTTATCATCACTTTATGGTGAGAACATTTAAAATTTACTCTTTTAGTAATTTTGAAATATAAATTATTAACTATAGTCACTGTGCTATGCAATAGATCACTGGAACTTATTCCTCTCAAATGAAACTTTGTACCCTTTCACTAACATCTCTCCCTTCCCCAGTGACTTCTCCCGCTCTGCTCTCTTGTATCCACCATTCTACTCTCTACTTGTTTGAGTTCAACTTGTTCTGATTCCACATAAAAGTAAGACCATGTGATATTTGTCCTTCTCTTAACAGTTTCTTTTGAAGAACAAAACTCTTTAATTTTGATGAAATCCACTCAGCATAATTATCTTGTGATCCATCCAAGTTGTTGCATAAATCAATGCTTCGTTCCTTTCCATTGTTGAGAAGTATTCCATGTTATGGATGTATCACAGTTTGTCCAACCATTTACCCACTGAAGTTCATCTGGGTTGTTTCTTTTTTGGTTGTTACAAATGAGGCTGCTATGAACATATGCATACAGGTTTTTTCATGAACATACATTTCCATTTGTGTTCAGCTGCTGGGTCATATTGCGTGTTTAATCTCACAAGAAACTACCAAACTGTTTTCCAGATTGGCTGTACCATTTTATATTTCCACTATCAATACAGAGTGATCTATTTTCTCTGTAAATAGTGATAATCGTGTTATTGCTATTTTTTATTTTAGTCATTCTGCTAGGTGTGTTAGTGATATCTCATTGTGGGTTTAATTTGCATTTCCTTAATGGCTAATGATGTTAAACAACTTTCCATGTGTTTATTTGTTCTCTGTATATCCTCTTCAGTGAAATCTCTGTGCATGTCTTTGGCCCAGATTTCAATTCGGTTGTTTGCTTTTTGCTGTTTAGTTTTGAGAATTCTTTATGTATTTCAGATACTAGTTTATTTTTTGTTGAACATATGGCTTGCAAATATTTTTTTACAGTCCATATCTTTTCATTCTCTTAGCATGGCCTTTGGTAAAACAAAGATTTTAAATTTTGATGAGGTTCAATTTATCCATTTTTCTTTTTATGGATCATGCTTTTGGTATTAAGTTTAAGAATTCTTTGTCTAGCCCTAGATCCTGAAGATTCTCTCCCATGTCTTTTTCTAAAAGTTTATAGTTCAATAATAACTCCATAATCATTTTGAGTTAGTGTTGTGTAAAGTGTGGGATTTAGGTAGATATTCATTTTCTTGCCTATGGATATCCAGTTACTCCAATACCATTTGTTGAAAAGATGATCCTTCTTCTGTTGAATAGCCTTTGTACCTTTGTTAAATATCAGTTTTGAGCATATTTGTGTGGGGTCTGTTTCTGGGTTCTCTAATCTATTCCATTCATTGATGTGGTTCCCTCCACCAGTACCGTACTGTCTTGATTACTGTAGCTAAAGTGTAAACCTTAAATATCAGAGTGTGTCCTCTCATTTTATTGGTCTTTGTTGTTTTAGCTATCCTTGGGTGGTGTCTTTCCATATATATTTTATTTTATTTTATTTATTTATTTTGAGATGGAGTCTTGCTCTGTCTCCCAGGCTGGAGTGCAGTGGCACGATCTTGACTCACTGCAACCTCTGCCTCCCGGGTTCAAGTGATTCTCCTGCCTCAGCCTCCCGAGTAGCTGGGATTATAGGTGCCCACCACCATGCCTGGCTAATTATTTTGTATTTTTAGTAGATATGGGGTTTCACCATGTTAGCCAGGCTGATTTCAAACTCCTGACCTCCAGTGATCCACCCGCCTCGGCCTCCCAAAATGCCATATAAATTTTAGAATAAGCTTGTCTATGTGTATTTTAAAACTTAGAATTTTGATAGAAATTATATTAAACCTAAAGACCTATTTGAGGTGAATTTGCATCTTTATTATATTGAATTTTCCAATCCATGAATATGATATGTCTCGCCATTTAGTTAGGTCTTTTATTTCCTCAGCATTTTATAATTTTCAGCATAGAGATCATGCACATATTTTGTTAAGCTGATACTTATAGCATAGGCCTGTTTTGTTTTTTTCTGTTTTGTTTTTGCTTTATTACAGTAGCTGGGACTTCTTGGACTCTGTTGAATAAGATGGTGAGAGTGTACATCCTTGCCTTGCTCTTAATCTTAAGAAGAAAGCATTCCGTAATTTACCATAAACCATAATATTAGCTGAAGATTTTTGTAGTTGCTCATTATTGGGTTAAGGAAGTTTCCTTCTATTCCTAATTTGCCAAGAATTTAAAAAATTGTGAATGAACATTAAATTTTGTCAAAGGACTTTTTCACACATGTTGAGGTGATTGTGTGTCATTGATATATGCATTTCACTGATTTTCCAACAATAAACCAGCCCTTTTGAATTCCCAGGATAAACTCCACTTGGTCATGAGGTATCTCATGTATATATATATATATATATGTCTTTTATATATATACACACACATTATACATACATATTTCAATACACATATATATTTAATTTATATATAAATATATATTTATAAATACATCTATTTTATTTTTGTTTTTACAATTTGTAAGTACATTGATAATTTTTGCACCTGTATTTATGAGGGATCTTGTTCTGTAGTTTTCTATTCTTGTGATGTGTATGTCTCAGAGCAAAGCTAGCTTCATAAAAGAGTTTGAAAGTGGAACTTCCTCTTCTGTTTTCTGGAAGAATTAGCATGGAATTGATATTATTTCTTAAATATTTGGTAGAATTCACCAGCAAAGTCATCTGGCCCTGGGGTTGTCTTTGTGAGAAGGCTTTAAAGTACAAAATCAGCTTCAATTCATTCAAATTCAAATTTAAATTCAATTTATTTAGTAGTTATATTGTTATTCAGGTTATATATTTCATCCTGAGTGAGTTTTTATTCTTTGTGTCTTTTAAGATATTTGTTCATCTGACCTGTTGCTAAATTTATTGACAAAAAGGTGTTCATAATATTCGCTTATTATCCTTTTCATTCCTATATGATTTGTAGTAATCATCTCTAATTCTCTTATTGCTAATTTATATCTTTCTTGTTTCCTCTCTGATGAATCTGGTCAGAGGCTTATCAATTTTATTGATATTCTCAAAAAAAAAGCTTTTGCAGCCAGACATGGTGGCCCATGCCTGTAATCCCAGCAGTTTGGGAGGCCAAGGCGGGCAGATCACTTTGAGGTCGGGAGTTCAAAACCAGCCTGGCCAACATGGTGAAACCCCATCTCTACTAAAAATACAAAAATTAGCCAGGTGTGGTGGCAGGTGCCTGTAATCCCAGCTACTCAGGAGGCTGAGACACAAAAATCACTTGAACCCAGGGGGGCAGGGTTTGCAGTGAGCTGAGATCATGCCACTGCACTCTAGCCTCGCAACAGAGTGAGACTCCATCTTAAAAAATAAAATAAGTTTTGTTTTGATTGATTTCTCTATAATCTTTTCTCTATTTTCTCTTGTACTTTGGGTTTAATTTGTCCTTTTTTTCTAGTTTATTAAGGTAGAAGTTTAGATCATTGATTTGGGTTCTTTCTACTTTTCTAATGTTAATCATCTAATGTTTGACATTTTCTTCTAAGCTTTAGCTGCCTACCACTAATTTAAGTCTTGCATTAATTTTTATTTAGTACAAATATTTTATACTTATTCTTGTAATTTCTACCTTAACCCATGGAATTTTTTTTTAAAGAATGCTCTTTAGTTTCTACACATTTAGTGAGTTTCCAGAGATTTTTGCTACTAATTTTTAATTTCATTTCATTATGGTCAAAGAATATTATTTGTACAATTTCAGTTCTTTTAAATTTATTGAGAGGCTGGACATGGTGGCTCACACCTGTAATCCCAGCACTTTGGGAGGCTGAGGTGGGAGGATCAATTGAGGCCAGGAGTTTCAGACAAGCCTGGGCAACATAGCAACACATCTCTACAAATAAAAGCAAACAAACAAATTAATAAATTTATTGAGAGTTGTTTTATGATGCTGAACATGATCTTAGTGAATGTTTTATGTGCCCTTGAAAATAATGTGTATTCTGCTGTCGTTGTTCAAGTCTTCCGTATATTTACTGTCTACCTGTTTTATCGAAAGGTTTCAAGAACTCCAACTAACTGTGAATTTGTCTATTTCTCTTTTGAAATCTGCCAGTTTCTGCTTCATGTATTTTGAAGCTCTATTATTTGGTGTATAAATTTAGGATGATTTGGTCTTCTTCAGGAATGGTCCTTTTTATGACTCTAAAATTATCCTCCTTTTCCTTGTAATATTTCCTGCCCTTAAATCCCCATTATCTTTATACTAACACAGCAACTCCAGATTTCTTTTGATAAGTGTTAGCATATGCCTTTTTCCATCCTTTTACTATTTCTTACTTTCAGCTTTTGAAGTGGATTTCTTGTAAACAGCTTAGAGTTGGGTATTTTTTCTATATCCAAGCTTATCATCTCTTACTTTTAACTGGTGTGTTTACACTATTTACATTTATTGTAATATGGTTGAATTTAAATTTATTATCTTGTTATATATTTTTATATGTTTCATTTGTTTCTTATTTCCTTTTTCCTCTTTTTGCGCCTGAAAAGATTTTTCTACCCCACAGCACAGGGAGTGGGTATGCGAAATTCAGTGGACTCTATGAGTTGAACAGAGAGTCTGGAGTTTAGAGAAGCCAGGGTGCTGATAATTTCTGAATAAGAGTATTTGATACTGTACTTCATCTAAAATATATAAACATTACAACAATATAGTTCCACTTATCCCCTCTCACATCATCCTTTGTTCTTTGTTGCTATATGCTTTACATATACACGTCATACACCTTGCCATATGATGTCATAATTTTTGGTTAAGCAGTCAGTTGTCTTCTAAGAAAATTCAAAAAAAATTATTTTAAATAATCCATGTTTTACCATTTTAGTTGCTTTTTATTTCTTCCTTTAGATCTGAGTTCTATCTGCTGTCATTTACCTTCAGTCACAACATCCTTTAGAATGAGCCTGTCCAACCCGTGGCCTGTGGGCTGCATGCAGCCCAGGACAGCTTAGAGTGCGGCTCAACAGAAATTCATACACTTTCTTAAAACATTATGAGTTTTTTTGTGATTTTTTTTTTTTTTTAGCTCATCAGCTATCATTAGTGTGAGTATATTTTATGCGTGGCCCAAGACAATTCTTCCGTTGTGGCCCAGGGAAGCCAAAAGATTGGACACCCTGCTTTAGAAGATCTTGTGGGGCAAGTCTACTAGTAATAAATTCTCAGTTTTTTGTTGTTCCTATTGTTACTGTTTTCAACATTTGAAAATGTCACTATTGGCTGGGCGCGGTGGCTCATGCCTGTAATCCCAGCACTTTGGGAGGCCAAGGCAGGCAGATCACGAGGTCAGGAGATCGAGACAATCATGGCCAACATGGTGAAATCGCGCCTCTACCAAAAAAATACAAAAATTAGCTGGGTGTGGGGGCACACTCCTGTAGTCCCAGCTACTTGGGAGGCTGAGGCAGGAGAATTGCTTGAACCTGGGAGGTGAAGATTGCAGTGAGCTGAGGTCACGCCACTGCACTCCAGCCTGGTGACTGAGGGAGACTCCATCTCAAAAAAAGAAAAAAAGAAAATGTGGTGTGCGCCTGTAATCCCAGCTACTCAGGAAGCTGAGGCAGGAGAATCACTTGAACCTGGGAAGTGGAAGTTGCAGTGAGCCAAGATTGCGCCACTGCACTCCAGCCTGGGTGACAGAGGAAGGCTCCATCTCAAAAAAAAGAAAAGAAAAAAATAAAAGCAAATGTCACTATTTCATCCTCATTTTTAAAGATGTATTTTTTGTTTGTTTGTTTGTTTGAGACCGAGTTTCGCTCTTGTTGCCCAGGCTGGAGTGCAATGGTATGATCTTGGTTCAAAGCAACCTCTGCCTTTTGGATTCAAGCGATTCTCCTAGCTCAGCCTCTTGAGTAGCTGGGATTACGGGCGGCCACCACCACGCCCAGGTAATTTTTGTATTTTTAGTAGAGACGAGGTTTCACCATGTTGGCCAGACTGGTCTTGAACTCCTGACCTCAGGTGATCCACCCGCCTTGGCCTCCCAAAGTGCTGGGATTATGGGCGTGAGCCACTGCGCCCAGCCAAGATATTTTTGCTGCCTATAGAATTCTGAGTTGAGAGGTTTGCAAATTTTTTTCCTAATGCAGAAATTTGAAGATGTTGTTCTCTTATCTCCTAATCTTCATTGTTCCTGAGAAAAGTCGGTGTCATTTGTACTGTCACCCTTGATTGTAACGTCTTTTATCTCTGCTTTTGAAACTTTTTTTTGTCTTGGGTTTTCAGCAACATGATTATGACCTTCTTTTCATGGTTTTCTTTACATTCATCTTGCTTGTGTTTTTGCTGGTCATTCTGGATCTTAATTGATTTTTTTTCTACCAAATTTGGGGAATTTTTGGCTATTTTTCTTCAAATAGTCTTTCAGTTCCATCCTCTCCCTCTAAATATATATATATGTGTGTGTGTGTGTGTGTGTGTGTGTGTGTGTGTGTATGTAGCTGATTTATATTGTCTGAAAGGTCACTGGAACTCGATTCATTCTCCTTCATCTTTCTTTTCTGTGTTATGCTATTTACCTGTTTTAAGTCTACTGACCCTCTCTTTTGCTGTCTCTGCTATGTTGTTAAGTACATTTAGTGAATTTTTCATGTGAGATATTGCAATGTTTTAGCTCTAGACTTCCCATTTAAACCTGACTTTTGAAATTTTTCAAAATGGTGGTACAATGAACATATAAAATGTATCTTAACCATTTTTAACTGTACAATTCAGTGGTAGTAAGTACATTCACATGGTGTGCTACCATCACCACCATCCAACCACAGAACTCTTTTCCATGATGTAAAACTAAACCTGTCCCTGTTAAACATGAACTCTTTAGTGTCCCTTCCCCTATCCCTTGGAAACCCCATAATGCTTTCCGTCTCTATGAATCTGACTAGGGAACTCATATAAGTGGAGTAATAATAGTATTTGTCCTTTCGTGACAATCTTGTTTTACTTAAGCATAATGTCTTCAAGGTTCATCCAAGTTGAACCATAAGTCAGAATTTCCTTCCTCTTTAACGCTGAATATACAGACATTGTATGCATGTATCACATTTTATTTATCCATCCATCCATTGATGGAGACTTGGGTTGCTTCTACCTTTTGGCTATTGAAAATAAAGCTGCTATGAACATGGGTATGATGCTGATTTTTAAAATTAATATTTGAAATATTCATTGTTAATATATAGAAATACAACTGATTTTTGATATTGGCCTTGTGTCCTCTGGCCTTACTAAAATCACTTAGTATTCTAGAGACTTTTCTGTAGAATACAGTAGATTATAGCATTTTCTACACAGATAGTCATGTTATCTGCCTTTATTTCCTCCTTGCAAGTTCTTTTTTTTTTTTTTTTTTTAACTTTTTCATGCATTATTGCACATTCTAGGGCTTTCAGTATGGTGGTGAATAGATATCCTTGCCTTGGGAGAACTTTGAGTCTTTTGCCATTAAGTGCAATGTTAGCTGTAGTTCTTTTGTAGATACCCTTTACCAGATTGAAAACCTTTGTGTTCATAGTTTGCTGAGAGGTTTTTTAATTTTTTTTTTTTTTTTTTTTTTTTTTTTTGAGACAGAGTCAGGCTGTGTTGCTCAGGCTGGAGCACAGTGGTGTGATCTTGACTCACTGAAACCTCTGCCTCCCGGGTTCAAGCAATTCTCCTGCCTCAGCCTCCCAAGTAGCTGGGATTACAGGTGGCTGCCACCATGCCCAGCTAATTTTTTTATATTTTTATTAGAGATGGGGTTTCACCATCTTGGCCAAGCTGGTCTTGAACTCCCGGCCTCAAGTGATCTGCCTGCCTCAGCCTCCCAAAGTGCTGGGATTACAGGTGTGAGCTGCTGCACCCAGCCTGCTGAGAGGTTTTTTAAAATCATAAATGGATGTTGAATTTTCTTAAGTACTGTTCCCTCATTTATTGAAATGATCACATGATTTTCCTTCTTTAGCATGCTAACATGATGAATTACATTAATGTATTTCCTAATGCTGAACCAGCTTTGCATTCCCAGGATAAACCTCGTTTGGTCATAATACATTGTCTTTTTGTATATTGCTGGGTTTGACTTACCACTACTTTGTTGAGGATTTTTGTGCAGATGTGTATGAGTTATCGACCTTTAGTTTCCTTCTAAGGTCTTTGTTTTTGATATCAGGAAGGATAATGTTGGCCTCATTAAGTGAGTTAGAAAGTGCTCTCTTATTTTCTGAAAGAGCTTGGATATAATTGATATTATTACATCATTAAATGTTTAGTGGGATTTGCCTATGAAAGCATCTGGGCCTGGAGTTTTGTGTATTGGAATGTCTTAAAATAAGAATTCAATTTCTTTAGTACAAAGGCATATCAGGTTAACACTTTCTTCTTGGGTGAATTTTGGTGTTTTGTGTCTTTCAATGAATCCATCATTTTATATAGATTGTTAATTTATGGGTAGCATTCTTCATAGTATCACCTTGTTATTCTTTTAATATCTGTAGTGTCTGTAGTGGTATCTCCTTTTTTATTTCTGATATTTATAATTTGTGTCTTTTCTCTATTTATTGCAGTCAGTCTCCCTAGAGAGTTATCAAGTGTATTAAATATTTTCAAAAACCTAACATTTGGTTTAATTTATTTTTCTATTTTTCTGTTTTCAGTATACGAATTTCTGCCCTTATCGTTATCATTTCTTTTATTCTATTTTCTTTGGGTTTAATTTGTTCTTTTTCTGGTTTCTTAAAGTATAATCTTAGATCATTTGTTTGGCACTTTCTGTTTGACACACAAATTATTTAGAGGTATGTTGTGTAATTTCCAAATGTTTGTGAATTTTCCAGATATCCTTCTGTTGTCGATTTCTAGTTTAAGTCCTTGATGGTCAGAGACTATACATCATATAATTTTTAATTCTTTTAAGGTTGTTAAGCTTTTAATGGCCCAGAATATGATCTATTTTGGTGAATGTTCCATTTGTACTTGAAAAGAATACATGTTCCATTACTGTTGGCTGAAGTGGCTGATAAACATCAGTTAGGTCAAGTTGACAGTGTTATTCAGGTCTTCTAAATTTGTGCTGAATTTCCATCTATGTATTCTATACTGAGAAAGAAGTGATGAAGTCTCCAAACATAACTGTGGATTTCTTCTTTTAGTTCTATCAGTTTTTGTGTCATATCGTTTGAAGTTCTGTCATTGGGGAATCTACTGTTTAGGACTGTTACATCTTCTTGGTGAATTGATTATTTTATTATTATGTAACACCCCTATTTGTACCTGGTAATTTTTTGTTGCTCTGAAGTCTTATTTATCTGATAGTAACATAGCCACTTCTGCTTTGTTTTGATGAGTATTTGCTTGGTATATCATTTTTATCCTTTTACTTTTAATCTATCAATTGAGGGGCCAGCAAACGTTTTTCTGCAAAGGGCCAGTTATTAATAGTAAATATTTTAGGTTTTGTGGCTATATATGGTTTCTATTACCTCTTTCTTCCCCTCCTTTTCTTCTTCACGACCCTTAAGAAATGTAAAAACCATTCTTAAAAACAGGCCATGGGCTGCATTTGCCCTCTGAGCCATAGTTTACTAATTTCCAGTCTATACAATTATATTTAAAGTGTATTTCTTATATATAGTGTATTAGTCTGTTTTCATGTGGCTGATAAAGACATATCTGAGACTGGGCAATTTACAAAAGAAAGAAGTTTAATTGGACTTACAGTTCCACATGGCTGGGAAAGCCTCACAGTCATGGCACAAGGCAAGGAGGAGCAAATCATGTCTTACATGGATGGCAGCAGGCAAAGAGAGAGCTTGTGTAGGGAGACTCCTGTTTCTCAAAACCATCAGATCTCATGAGAGTAATTCACTATCATGAGAATAGCGCAGGAAAGGCCTGCCCCCATGATTCAATTACGTCCCACTGGGTTGCTCCCATAACATCTGGGAATTCAAGATGAGATTTTGGTGGGGACACAGCCAAACCATATCATGTAGCATATGATTGGATCCTGTTTTTTTTTTTTTTTTCAATCCAATGTGACAATTTTTTTCATTGCTATATTTAGATTGTTTCAATTTAATGTCATTATTGATATAGTTACATTTAGGTCTACCATTTTATTATTTTTCTATTTTCTCATTGTTTTCTATGTTCCTTTTTCTGGCTTCTTTTGAATTATGTGAATATTTTTAATATTCTATTTATTTTATTTATTGGCTTTTATTGCTGTATCTCTTTGCATTACTTTTTAGTTGCTGCTTTAGGCATTATATACATACCTAACTTTTCATAATCTATTTAGAGTTAGTATTTCATCGTAGCATGTAAAATATAGAAGGCTTATAACTATGTGGTTATCTTTACCTTCTCTGTGTCATACTTTACCCTCTTTATGTTATACTTTTAACTCCTCTGTTATAATTGTCATAAGTATTAAATCTACATACATTTAATGCCCTTGATAATGTTATAATATTTGCTTTTTATAGCTTATATACATTTTAGGTACTTTGGAGAAGAAAAGTAACCCATTATATTTACCAGATATTTACCTTTTCTGTTGTTCTTCCTTCATTCCTGAAGTTCCAAGTCTTATACCGGTGTAATTCCTTTGTCTGAACAACATCCTTTCTTTTAGAGTAGGTCTACTGGTGTTTTTTGTTTTTTTTTGAGACAGAGTCTCTGTCGCCCAGGCTGGAGTGCAGTGGCGTGATCTCGGCCCTCTGCAAGCTCCGCCTCCTGGGTTCACGCCATTCTCCTGCCTCAGCCTCCCGAGTAGCTGGGACTACAGGCACCTGCCACCACGCCCGGCTAATTTTTTGTATTTTTAGTAGAGACGGGGTTTCACCGTGTTGACCAGGATGGTCTCGATCTCCTGATCTCGTGATCCACCCACCTCAGCCTCCCAAAGTGCTGGGATTACAGGCGTGAGCCACCGCACCTGGCCGGATTCTTTAAGTCTTTTCTTCTTCCTCAGAGTGTGTCTTTTTTTTTTTTTTTTTTTTGCTTTCATTCTTGACAATTTTTGCTCTATGTAGAATTCTGAGTTGACAGTTCTTTTGTTTCATGTTTTTAAAGATGTGTTCCCATGTCTTCTGACAACCATGTTTTCTGGTTAATCTTCAGTCATTGTTTATCACTGCGGTAGGTATGTTTTTTCTCTGGCTGCTTTTTAGATTTTTCTTTATCTTTGGTTTTCAGTAATCTGATTATGATGTGTTTGGGTGTGCATTTTTTTGATTTCATCCTGTTTGGAGTGCTCTAAACTTCTTGAACCTGTAAATTTATGTCTTTTCCCATATTTGGAAAGGTTCTGCTATCATTCTTTTCAAAAAATATTTATCTCCACCAATCTGTCTTCTCTTAGGGATTCCAATTATAAGAGTATTAGATGTTTCGATATTGTCTAACAAGTCCCTGAGGCACTCATATTTTGAAATCTTTTTGTTCTGTCAGTTCTTCAGTTAGAATAATTTCTATTGATCTATATTCAAGTTTACTGGCTCTTTCTTCTGCCATATTGATTCTTTAGACTTTTTATTTTGTAATAATTTTCCATTTACGGAAAAGTTGCCAAGATAAAACACAGAGCATTTCCATTTACTTCTCACCCGGTTTTCCCTAATTTTGACATCTTACATTAACATACCATAGAATGTTTGTCAAAACCAACAGGCCAACATTGGTAGGTTCCTACCAACCAAACTCCAGATTCCACTTAGATTTCACCAGTTTTTACATTAATGTCCTTTTTTGTTCTAGGATACCACATCACATTTAGTGGTTCTTTTTTATAGTTTTTCTTTGTCAAACTCCTATTTTTCCATCCATTTCAATGTTTTTAAGTTTTACTTCGTGAAGGATAGTTATAATCATTTCTCTGAAGTCTTCATCCGACAATTCCAGCATCAGGGTCATCTCAGGATTGGCATCTTTTGATTGTATTTTCTCTTAAGAATTGGTCAGATTTTCCTGATTCTTGGTATGTCAAATAATGTTGGGTTTTCATCCTGGACTTGTAGTTTTTGTATGTTAGAAGACTGGATCCTGTTTAAATCTTCTGGAGAATGCTAATTTATTTCTCCTTCTTTTCTACCTTTCTCTTCTTCTTCTTCCTCTTCCTTCTCTCCTCCTTCCCCCACTCCTCATCATCCAACTCTTCCTCCTCCTCCTCCTCCTCCTCCTCCTCCTCCTCTTTAGCGGGCAATGAATCCAGTGAAATTCACACTGCACATTCTTTCTCTCCCATGAGCGGTGGTTCAGATGTTAGTTCTCTCTTAAGAGCTTTGGCTGTGTGACTTGCAGGTGACCAGTGCATGCGCTGCTCAGAGGTGAGCCTGGAGCTTGAGTGCTGTTGTATATGGCAGTTCAGACCTCAAAGCCTTTGCTGTGCTCCTGCCTCTTGGGAATGTGGCCTGTTTGGGTGCTGTGTGAGTGGTCCTTGTCCCCTCTGCACCTTAGGATGGTTCCTTCCCTAGCTTGGGGTAGTGTCCTCCTCACATGTGCTGAGGAGTACTCAGTACTCCATGAAGACTCAGGGGAACCCCCTGCCCGTCTCTGGATTCCTTTCTCTCTGTGCCACTCTCTTCTTCCGAGTTCTGTGTCCAGCAAACTCCAGCTGCCTTGGCCATCCTGGATGTTCAACTCTGTCCCTTGAGCTCATGGAGGCCACCTGCCTGGGCTTGGCTTGGGTTTCTCCTCCCTGGGCCACACCTGGAAACTCTCCCCAGGCAGGGAGCTGGGCTGGTTGGAGGCGCATCTCATTTGTTCCATTTCTCGCAGGCATCACTCTGGGGCTGCATGTTTCTTGTGTCTGAAACAATGCTTTCTATAGATTTGTCTGGCTTTCTAACTCATCTAAAGCAGTAGTTAAATGCAGCCCCTGCAGCTCTACCATGACCAGAAACAGGAGTCAGACCGAGCTTCAGGGTGCTCTGTCTCTTGCCTTGCAGGACATTCTCACTTCCCCCCATCCCTGGGACTTCCCTGGGCTCTGACAGCCCAAATTCCACTCCCTCACTCTCAAGCCAGTAAGCCTGTGGCTCTCTGTGGGAATTCCAGCCACCCCGTGCTGAGGACTGGGGCGTCCTCAGGGAAATGGTCATATTCACACAGCACTCTCTCGTGACCTGCAAGGCCTGTGTCCACCTCTCCCACCCCATCTCACTCCCCCATCCCCGTGCCCCCCTCTCCTTTTCAGCAGCAGTGGCCTCCTTTGCATTTCTGTAACTTGTCACAGCCCACTCCAGCCTGGGCTTTTGCACATGCTGCACCCTGCACTGGAACTGATTTCTCCCATCTTCTGCACCATTGAGTACTCACATCCTTGCACTCTCAGCTCATGTATCTATACCTCCAGGGAGGCGTTCCCTACCTGGTCCCCTCCCCAAGCAAGGACAGGCCTCCCTTTAAAATGTCCTCATCACACCACCTGCCCATACTTCACGGCAGTCATCCCAGTTTGTGGTGTATTTCTTTGGGTAATACTGTGATGAGCACCTGTCCTCCTGGCGGGACTGTGAACCCTGGGAGGGCAGGGGCCATCTCTCCTCAACTTCGTCTCTCAGCACCTGACACAGAGCAGGAGCACAATGAATGTTCATTGAATGAATGAGTGAATACAAAACTACACACGGAGGGGAGGTGGGGGCCTGCAGTGTTCCCTGACACCATTCCCTCTGCCTAGAACTGCTGTCTGTGAGTCGTTTATTTATAGCATGGGGAGGAAATGGGACTGCGACATCTCCCAGCCATAGGAAGATACCATGTCTTCCTTCGGGGGCCCACGAGTTTGCACAGGAGTGGGCAGGAGCCATGTGTGTCTATTCTGCCTGGAATTTTCAGGGCCAAGCGAAGATTGGATGGAGGAAGCCGAGCTGAGAGGGCAGAGGGTGCAGGGTGCAGACTGGGATGGGGAAGGAAGCTGGGCCCGAGCATCTGGGGCTACCTTTGTTTCTCCGGATCTGCACTTGGCTTTTCCTTCCCCAATTCAGGAATGAGTCTCTGGTCATGAATGTGGAAGTAGCCAGCGAGCACGTGGTATACTACGTGGATAAGGAAACACGAGACCCACTGGCCTGCACGCTCACGCACACCCGAGAGAGCCTGTAGGAGCCCCTCCTTGCTCCAGCAGTGCCCTGGCACAGAGGGTTTTCTGCCGAGCACAACTGTTGCAGGGTGGGGTTTACCACGTGAGCAAAGGAGTCGTCTTTTGCCCATTTACATGGCACTTTCATGGACATATGTCCCCCTTGCACAGGTGAAGAATCTGGCTGACTGACGCCAGGACTCAAAGCTACAAAAGTGGCAGAGTCGGGATTTGAGCCCAGTTCTGCTGACCTGGGCATGGCACACGGACCCATCCTGCCTCCCGGGGCACAGGTGGCCAGAGGAGTCCAGGGCCCATCTATATTTTTTAAAATGTATTATCTTTTTATTGTGGTAAAATACACGTAACATAAAATCTGCCATCTTCCCCATTTCTGAATGTATAGTCAAGTGGCATTAAGTGCATTCATAATGTACAACCCGCACCACCATCATCTCCACGACCCCTTTCATCTCGTAAAATGGAAATTCTATCCCCGTTCAACACTAACTGCTCATTCCCCCCTCCCTTCAGCCCCTGGCAACCAGCCTCCTACTTTCTGTCTCTATGATTTTGACTGCTCTAACTTACCTCGTAAAAGTGGAATCCTACAGTATTTGTGTTTTTGTGACTGGCTTATTTGACTTAGCATAATTCCTCAAGGTTCATCCACGGTGTAGCCTGTGTTGGAACTTCCTTTTTAAGGCTGAACATCCACACCTTGTATTTGTGACATTTGATTATTACTTGTTCATCCACTGATGGGTATTTGGGTTGCATCCACATTTGAGCGATTGTGAATAATGCTTCTGTGAACCTGAGTGTGCAAATATCTCTTCGAGGCCCTGCTTTCAATTCTTTGGGGTGTATACCCCGAAGTGGAGTTGCTGCATCGCGTGGTCATTCTATTTGTAATCTTTTGAGGAACCGCCATACTGTTTTTCACAGCACCTGACCCATTTTCCATTCCCACCGGCCGTGCGCCAGCGTTGTGATTCCCCTACATTTTTACCAACACCTGTTATTTTCTGTTTTTGTGATAGTGGCCCTCCTAATGAGTGCAGCGTGGTTTCTCACCGGGGTTTTAATTTCTATTTTTTGAATGACGGTGATGCCGAGCATCTTTTCCTGTGCTTTTGAGCCATTTGTGTCCTTTTTTATCTATTGAAGCGTCCTTTGAGTGTTTTTGAATCAGATTCTTTTATTGTTGTTGTTGCACTTTAGGAGTTTTTATATTCTGAATATCAATGCCTTATCAGGTATATGATTTGTAAATGTTTTTCCCATTGTGTGGGTTGCCTTTTTACTCTGTGAATACTGTCTTTTGATGTGCAAAATTTCTTAATTTGCATGAAGTCCAATTTGTCTATTTTTTCTTTTGCTGCCTGTGCCTTTGGTGTCATAGCCAAGAAATCAATGACAAATCCAAAGTCATGAAGGTTTTTGTTTTGCAAGGCCCATCCATTTTACAGATGAGGAGACCGAGGCCCGGGGTATTCAACAGTAATGAGTCTGGGATATTCAACAGTAATGAGTCCTTTTGGCCTGGCTGTATGTCTCTGTCCGGCCTTCTATTTATTCACTTCCCTCCCTCCCTCCCACCTTCATCAGCCAGCATACGTGAATCTGCTGGGCCATCGGGGTTTGGATGCCCCCTTCCCTTTCACAAACAACCTGTGCGACCTGGGGCTTCTGCACCTGCTGGAATAGGGGGGAAGATAACAGCACCTCCCAGGGGCTGCCTTGCATGTGGCAAATTGCTGATGACACATTAGCTCTTCTGGTAATGGCTAATAACACCCCGATGGGGCAGGGGGGAGTCCTCAGTCACCCCCGCCCCTGTGGGTGCCAGGGGCACAGCCCTCCTCCAGCTTCCTGCAGGGCCGTGCCGGCTCCTCCTTCCGGAAGCCGTTCCACTTGCAGGCTGGGAAGACACACCTGCAGGAGGGATCTGCTTTTCAGGGACTGCATGCCAGTAGTGTTTAGCAAATATTGTTGGACAAGGAAGCTGGCTTTGGGCCTTCATGCACTGGAACAAGCTGGGTCATGGATGCCACAGAAACTTATCCAACTCATTAGGAGAAAGGGGGGTCTCAGGCCCTCAAAAGAACTCACGGTTGTGAAGTTGGGGTAACTGCTAAACTGATTTAAGGGAGGCAAAGGGGTCCATGACATCACTGAGTTTCTTATGCAGCCAATGGGAACAGATCGTTTCAGCTGGAGGCTGCCGTGGGTTCTAACTGTGCCATCGGTGAACGTAAACCAGGCTTCTATGCTTTGTAATTGTGGGTTTTGGTTTTCAATGTTGTTTTCCTGACTGCAGAATGCTGCCTGGACTGATCCCCAAAGCCCTCGGGACTCCAGCAGGCACTGAAAGCAAAGATGGCCCATCGGTTGGATGTCAGGAAGGACTGTCACCTCCCTGAGGGTGTGTTAGCATCTCATCTGCTGCATCCTTGTCCCCTTGGCCCTGTGCAAGGGAAGAAAGCAAGCCCAGGCCATGGGGAGGGGCACAGGTCTGGGCTTTGGGGACCAGCCTAGCAGCAGGGTTGCATGAAGGCAGCCCCACCCCTCCTGAGCCCTATTTGTGAGGCCGTGGGGAAGGACCCCCGCCTGGGCCAATGTTCCCCAGAAGCTGAGCCTAATGTGGGTGAGGTGGGAGCTTTGTGTGCTGCTGGCCTTGCCTCCGAGAGCTGCATGATGACAATGCCGTCCATGTGCGTGGGGCCTGGGCTGTACATGTGCGCGGGGCCTGGTACTTTTCCAAGGGCTTTTCAATGCATTATCTTGTTGAAGGCTCATTTGAGGCAAGGACTCGAAGCAGACAGGAAAACAACCAATTTACTGAATCCTGAATGGAGAGGAAGCTGAATGCAGTGTGTATTTTTGCTGAATCTCAAACCAAAACAACTTTTGTTAAAGAACAAACAAATAAACAAAAATGCTGAACACTAATTCGCCAGGGAACACAGTCTGGACCGAGGCTCTGGGCAGAGAATCAGGGCAGCGAATTCCACAGCCACTTGGGTTCTGGTGGGGGCTGTGGATGGCAGGCGAGCTCATGAACAAGAGCTTTTGGGGACCTGGCAGCAGGAGCGAGGCAGGAGATGCTGGTGGGAGGGGGTATTTCAGGTGGGGGACCTGAGCCTTGAGCGAGGCAGGAACGAGGAGCCTGTCAGGGGCCTCGGGTCCTGGTGTGCCAGAGTGGAGGTCCCATGTTGGGAACAGCCTGGGACAGCTTCAGAGGTTTCCTGGGGGGTCACCAGCCCGATTGGAGTTGCACTTACAGTAATTAATCTGCAGCGGGAGGTGGGGTGGGATTTTCTAAGATGATTGAACGTCTTGAGCATTCCCCAACAGAAACGATTTCATTCCATTTGAGTTGCTTCTTTTAAGTGTCTATCTCTTCCATTTTTGGTGGCACAGAAGGGGAAGGCACAGATGGGTGTCTGTGTGGCACAGGGAGGGCCCGAATGGGAGGGGAGGTGGAAGACCCTCCACCTCACATGGGTCCTAGTGGAACTCACGCACCACAGGCCACAGACCAGTGCACACGCATGCACTCACGCACGCACCGCCATGGTGACACACGATCACAGAGATGCGCGCTTGGCCTGGAGTTCCTGCTGGAGACGGACTTCCCGGAACCCAGCTCACAGGAGTCTGCTCCCTTGGGCAGCAGGGGCCAGAGGATGGGTGGTGAGAAATCCTCCTCCTCACCACCAGCCAGAGGCCGAGTCCACAGGGACCAACACCCAGTCCCTTCTGAATGGGTCTCAGTGGCCTCTCCTGCACTCCTGAGAGTCAGGTGACCATCGATCCCTTGCTTAAACATCCGTCACAGCCTGTGGGAGGCAGCTGTCCGATGTGGTCACCCTGAGTGGCCCTGGGTCTTCTGAAGTCATTTCAAATGTCTCTGGAGCCTGGTGCCGCCGCTCCCCTGGTTTCCCACCTTTGCTGACAAAGACCTGACCTCTGGGGAGAGATTTTCCATCAGTTCTGGGGGCCTGCATCTGGGTCCTCTCCCAGGCCGGGGCCTGTACCCCTCACACAGCGCACCCTCGTAGGCTGCAGGATGTGGACTGGCCAGCCTTCCGCAACGCCAGGGTCTGGCTGCAGCAGCTGAGGCCGGCCGATGCCCTGAAGACGGCCCGATGGCTAAGTGGTGGGTGGCGCAGGAGGATTGGTGGCCCAGCTGTGACCAGAACCGGGGCTGTGGCCACGACCTGGAAATGGTCATCTACAATGACACAGCCCCAGAGCCCAGGCTTCCTGGCGGATGCCGGTAAAGCTCTCTTCAGCCTGGAGGTGCAGCCTTCAGCCGGGCTTTCCATAGCCCTCTGGCCCTGCTCACCTGTTCTCACAGTGGCCTTGAGTGTGTATGTGCAGCCCTGTGTGCCCTCAGCCCCAGGTGTGCACAGGCCGCTGGTGGCCAGATCTAGGGCTCCCTTCTCTAACATGGAGGGAGGAGGGGCCTCCCTTTCCTTCGCCTGCTCTGCTCATCACCTCCAGCTCCTGCAGCCTTTTTCCCAGAGACATTTCCATCCTCTCATCTCTTGTCCCTGTCTCTGGGATAACATCACCCAGGTGGGCCCTGGGATTCCAGGGAGGGGGTGTGGGTGGGGTCCTAGCCCCGCCTACTTGGCGTGGCCATGGTGATGCTCTCGGCCAAGTTCATCTGGGAGCACTTCCTTGGGGCTGTGCGCTAGCCTGCCTGTGGGGGCTCTGCACCAAGCTCGTCTTCCTGCACTGCTCCCCGGAAACCATGATCAAGTGGACCCAGAGCACCCACCTGCCCCCCAGCACCGCCAGCCGCCCCATGACCCTGTTGCCAGGGCTCTGGTGGGGCCTGGGGAAGCAGCCGTTGCCTCCTAGAGCCCTTTGGCCCCAGGGAAAGCCAGGCCTCTGGCTCACCCCCGTGGGCCCCCCGACGCCGGCAGGCAGGCCAGGCCAGCCAGCAGCTGGTGCCCAGCTGGGTCCCTGGTCCTGAGGCCGCCTTTGTGCCTGCACAAGGGAGACTCAGTTCCTCCCCTGCTCCCTGACCCTGCATCCTGTGTCCATGCGGGCGCACCCCTGGTAGCAGGAGCAGACGGTGCCAGCTGCCCTGGAGAAGGAGCCAGCCACCTCAGGACCTCTGCCTCTTCTGGGTGTCTCAGGGGAGGCCGGCAAGCGGGGCCTACTGCAGCACCATTAAGCAAGCTAATGACCCGTGAAGGCTCCTAACCCCGGCTGCAGCCGCCCCTGCTCAGGAGCTCCGGCTCCGTCTCCCCGGCTGCTGCCCACAATTGCTGTCATTGTGTTGGGTGACAGTTTCCTCAGACAGGGCCAGGACCTTGGAGCCAGTTCTTGCCTTTTCAGGCCCAGCCGGGGCTGTGTACACAGCAGGCAGTTAATAAATATTTGCTTGCGATCAGGCCCAGAAAGTCACCTTGATTTCCAGGGCTGTGGGGGCACATGGATTCTGGGGACCCTTGGGGTGGGGTGGCCAGGGGCTCAGGACACAGCCTAGGGCCACGTGTCCCACAGATCTGCAGCCAGGTCCTCACCCTCGGCCCTAGCTGAAGAGAGGTGGGCACTGTCCCCTTCCCTGTGGGGCCTCAGACCCAATCCCTTCCTGGGGGGCCCCAGGCAGCCCTGCTGCGACTGACAGCAAAGGGGATGTATGGCAGGGACAAGGTCCTGGCCTGTACTGTCACCCAAGCCAGTGGGAGCCTGGCTCCTGGGTGCCTTGGACCCGCCTCACCTGCTTTTCCTGGAGCCCAGGTTCAGGGGTTCCCTGAATCCTGGCGGGGCTCCCGGGAGATCCGAATTGGCTTCGGGGCCCTGCCCTTTATCACCTAGGACAGTGCCCAGGGGCACGGAAGCACAGTCGACCTCACACAGCGCAGGCTCCAGGACCCTCGAGAGACAGAACGGCCTCCGTGCAGGCTGCCGGGCTGTAGAGAGTTCAGGAGCCCACAGCACTTCCACCTGGAGTCTGTGCTGTGTGCACCCAGAAAATCAAAATGGTCAGGAAGGCCAGGCCTAGGCCCAGCGGCCCCCTGTCCTCCCCAGGTCCTGGGCTCCTGTCATCAACACTGGGTTGACCAGCTGGGGCTCAAAGCCAGAGCCGGTCTGGGAGAAGCAGGAGGCAGCCCTGCACTACATTCCCTAGATGGGCTCCAGGACCCGTTTCTAAAATGGAGGGGGAGAAAGAAGAACGAGGCCAGGTGAGGGGGCGGTGTGACTGTATTTAATTGAACCTCAAGTGAATTCTGAGAGGCCGGAGTGTGACTTCTCTTGCCCTATAAATCAGGTCCCCTGCAGCAAGTCAGCTCCATCTTTCACAGGGCTGGGCTGGCTGGATGCGCTGGCAGCCCCGGCTGGAGTAAGAGCCTGGCTGTCAGCCACGCAGGTGCCCTGCACAGGACCTGGGGCTGGGACAGGGCACCAGGCAGGCAGGAGGCCTCACCCCGGGGTGCAGAAGGCCCCAGGGGTAGCAGTTTACAGAAGATGTCTCAGTCCTGTAAGTAACAAACAGAAACAAGCCCCAGCGCTTCCCGGTCCCCTCCCCGTGGCCCGCACCAAACCCTAAGCTGTCTCCTAAAACTTCAGCTGTTTCCACCACCACGCTGACGACCAGAAAGACAAACCAAAACCCATATGAAGGGCAATCTTTCAATTGCTTAAAATTAATCAGTGCAAAGTGAGGTAAAAGATCCCCGTTTGTCAGGGCCGAGGCAGGAGGCTCACACAAGCCTGCGTCTCTTGGAGTCCCTCCCCAGGTCCCCCTCCTCGACATCCACCTCACAGCCCAGTGGGGACACCAGGTTCAGCAGAGGGTCCTCAGAGGCACGGCCGAAGAGCGCCAGCAGGAGGGCCACACCGAAGCCTGTGGCTCGCTCACCCTGCAAGCAAAGGGCAGGACACAGACTCTGGGCGTGGGGCTGCAGCACAGGAGGGGTTCCTGGGGACCCCTCACCTCCTGGGTCCCCTCCACGTGCCCCACAGTCCCCTTCTCAGGAAGGAGATCCTGAGCACCAGCCGGAGCCCAGAGCCTTCCATGCTGCTGGCTGGACACGTTCAGGGCTGGCAGGCCAGGCGTAGGCAGGGGGCAAGGCCCTGTGTGCTCTGCCTTCACCCCGGGAGCTCCTCAGGGTGGGGATGGGTGAGACAGGGCCCAGGATCCCCTATGGAGGACAGGCTGGCTGGGGAAGGGTCGCACACAGCAGCCACTCTGTTCCCAGGGAGGATGAGACCTGGGGGTGGTGGGGACAGCGGGCTGGAAGCTGGGTCACAGACAGAAGTTTCTGATGAGCTCTGCCAGCAGCTCCAGAGCCAGAGGGGCGCTGTTTGGACAAGCGGGCGGGAGCAGCCAGGGCCAGTGGGGAGGGGAGACACTCACAGCATGCACCGGTGCAGCAATGTCCAGGTGGACCCAGACTCCGGGCCAGTCGAAGCCGATGTGTGAGGCGATGAAGAGGCCAGCACAGGAGCTGGGGCTGTTGTCTCGGTCCTAGGGAGGCCAGGAGGACACAGTGCCTGTGGGTTGCTCCGGCCGGGCCCTCTCCACCCTGCCCCATCGCCTGTCACTATTGCTGTCTGCAAGGAGCTCGGGGTGGCTGGGAGGGAGCGTGTGGGGAGGCAGCAGAAGCTGGGCTGGGAGGGCCTTGACCATGAGCTAAGGAGTCTGCCCCCACCATAGGCCAAGGGGGAAGCCAGCAAAGGGCCTGATGGGGCAACTGAGCCAGACCCAAGACTGGGGGAGAAACCCTTGGCTGTGTGGCAGGGAAGCCAGTGAGTGGCCCACGCTGTCTGGGATGACTCCTGTGCCCTGACGCCTGCCTCTCAAGCCCTCGTCTGCACTGTGGCTGCTTCTGGGGGGCCCCAGCTCCCTGGGTGCACCAGCACCCTGAAGGCAGGGCTCCGCCTGCCCGGCTCCACCCATGTGGCAGGCTCCAGGTTCGAGGCTCCAAACCTACCGCCACTGAGTTCTTCATGTCCGCCACAGCTGAGGTGAACTCGCTGAAGTGCAGCTCGGGGCAGTAGACCAGCGGGTGCACCAGGTCCCCACACTTCCTGCCCGCCTTCACACAGGCGGCCTCCCACTCAGCGCTGTTGGTGAGCACCGCGGCGTGGTACTTCCCTGTGGCAATGCCCTGGGCGGGCAGGAACCCGGGAAGCGTGTGGACGGGACGGCAGGAGAGAAACACCCAAGGCAAAAGAGGGACCGGGAGGCAGACAGAGAAATAAGGGAGCCAGAAAAGAGACGGTTGAGAAAAAAAGAAAAAACACAGGCAGAAAGGACCATGGCCATGAAGCACACAGGAGGCGGTTCCCGGCTCTGCATCCAGCCTGGGCCTCGGTACTGCCCACACCAAGCTTGACGGGCAGCTCCTCCTGCCTCCTCGTGCCCAGTTATGAAAACTTCCTGACGGCAGCCCCCACGCGCTGCCTTCCCCACCTTGAGGTCAAGAGTGGGGTGGGGTTCCCTGGGACTACAGCTAAGGGGTGGATCCAGGGAGCACTCACCTGAGCCCCGGTCAGGGTGGCCATGTCCAGGATGATGTCGGCCCCCAGGTCCTTGCAAGCATAGGACACGCCATCTGCCAGCACCAGCCTGCCCTCGGCATCCGTGTTGTTGATTTCCACCGTCCTGGGGCATGGTAGAGATCCCCGCTCAGGGACGGGATTTCCTGGGACACTGGCATGAGCCCCTTTGAAACTGGGGAGACCCCATTTGGAGCTGCCCATCCCTGTGGCTCCCCGAACCCCAACACGTTCCCTGAATGGGAAGGCCGGGATGCCCCCAGTCCCTACAGCAATGCAGTGCCTGGAGCAAAGGGCTTCCAGGTGACATCCCTGCCCCGCTGCTCTGGAGAGCCAGAGACCAGCCATTTGGCTCTCCCATGCCTCAGTTTCTTCTTCTGTAAAGTGGGTGGCATGAACCGGCTGGGCTGGCCTTCAGCACACTGTGCCTGGCACCCGGCAGATGGGGAGGAAGAGCAGGAGATGCGGGGAGGCGCCCACTCAGGCACCAGCTCATGGGGCTGGGGAGAGGGCTCTTCTCTTTTGAATTCTGGAGCCACTTGCTCCTCAGCTGCCAGCTCAGCTTTGACTTTCCAGGGTCAATCTCAAGGGGGAGATGCAGGAGGTGTCCCCGAGCAGGGAATCTGGGGGTCAGAGCTTCACACACCCAAAGATTTCAGGCCTAAATTTTGGAAAGACCTGTCCTGGTAATGCAGGGTAGACCACGAGCTCCTGGGCCAGGCACTGCACGGGAGCCTAGCACCTCATCCAGGTGCCATGGGCCCCTCAACGTGAGGTGCGCCTGCTACCAAAGCTCCCCAGCCCTCCGGGAAGCAAGGAGCCTGCTGCCCAGGGGACCCCAACGCTGAGTGCCCTCCCGATATGCCTGGAGTGAGCTGGCATTGCAGGCCGGGAAGGGTCGCGAGTTCCAACAGTGGGCAGGAAGGAGTGGGAGGGCCAGACGTACTTCCCTGAGTACAGCAGGTGGATGTCATCTGGCCTTGTCGCATTGGGCCCCACCGAGTTCTCAGCCAAGCAGAACACAGCGTGGAGGTTGTCTTTGAAACCCTGGAGGGAGAAGTGGGCAGAGGCTCCAGTTGTAGGTCATAGGTTTGGGGAGGGGGGAGGACGAGCTGGGGGTTCTCAGACCCACAGACAGCAGGAGAGAGAGAGATGGCTCCAAGTTGCAGGGACCAAAGCTCGCCCTCCCTGCCATCCCGGGTACAGTCCTGGCAGATCCCAAGGCCAAGGCTCACCACTGGGGTTTCCTAGCCTCCCCTGGCAGAGGCCACCCGCCGCAGTGGATGAGCCTGGGCATGGGCTGGGCTGTGGGACTCTTGGACTGCATGGGCTGGGCAGTCATGAAGCCTCGCCAACCTGTGCCGACAGAAGGTGGCCAGCAGCCGCGTCCCCTCAATACACACACACACACACGTACACACACAGAGGGGCAGGAAGAGCTCAGCCTCGTGGAAGTTTAGGTGTGAAGTTATGGCTTTCTGATGCCAAAAGTCATTTGTTCACTGAGAAATGTGTGGCCAACAGATGGTGGCAGTTCCTGCCCTGCACAGGTTCTAAGGGTGCCCCCTGACCCCGAAGCGGGCCACACCCGGGCAGCAATGTCAAATGGAGTAGAGCTCCCAGACCCCTGTCCCTGCCCTTCCTCTGCTCCCGCAGACGAATCTTTAACCAGAATACATCCTCCTAGCATGGAGCATGCCTCGAGAGCGCGGACACACAGCTCTATAGGATCCAGCGTCTTTCTCATCTCCTGGAACAGCCGACTCTTCCACCACGGGTGCAGAGCCCTCACCAAAGGCAAACACTTGGGATGGTGGGGCAGGGGCAGCCAGCAGGGCAAGGAGTGGCCAGTGGCAGGAGCTGCAGCAGTGGTGCTGGGCATGGCAGCTGCGAGTCCCTGAGACCTCCCTGGGTCCCCGCTCAGTCCTTGAGCCTCACAGATGGCCCCGCACCCCCACGCAGCACAGGGGAAAGAACCCCACCAGCCTCAGGGTGATGATATCGGAGCCACCTGTCAGCTCCACAAGGGCCCCAAGTCCCCCGCTCCCACTCTCGCAGCCCAGCCTGTGTCAGGGACACGGGGCAGGGGCTTCAGGACCCTCAGCCTCCTCCTCTCAGAGCTCCTCCCCAGATACCCCAGCACTGACATTCCATCTGTGTGTACAGTGACCACGGCCTGTCCCTGTGCTGAGGCCTCCTGTGGTCATTCCAGGGAGAAGTGGGTGTTTAGGAACAACGAATAAATGACAGCATGACCCTGAGGTCACAGGATGAGGCCATGGGGCTCCAGGCCATGGACGCCACAGAGATGAGCTCCACCAACAAAGGAGGGGAGCCCTGAAGTCCTCCTAGAAAGCAGAGTTCTGGATCTGTAGCCTGCTGGGGCGTGGGGAGGAGGAGGAGAGGGGGAGGAGGGGGGGAGGAGGAGGAGGAGAGGAGGCGGGGGGGGAGGAGGGAGGAGCGGGGAGGAGGAGGATTCCCAAATGGATGCTTTCAGCCTCCCAGGGAGGGCTGCTACCCGCTGAAGGCTGGGCCCTGCCCCTAATTTCTGATCCAGCAGGTCTGGGGCAGAGCTGAGAACCCATATTACTAACAACATGGGGACCCCACTTGAGAAGTGCTGGCTTAGAAGACGAGCGAGCTGCAGTCCTGGGGCAAACAGTGCTGAGGTCTGCACGGCTGGAAGACGTGAGACAGAGACAGCACAGGCACGGCCCTGCCCTTGCGGCCCTCACGGCCAGTCTGGAGGTGTTCTCCAATCACCAGGAGCGGCTGAAAAAATCCAAGACTCAGCAGAGCTGGAGGTGAGCCCTGGAGCTGTCAATGTTCACACACTTCCTGGGTGTTACCTGGCACAGTTGGGACTTGCTGGTCTAACAGAAGAGGGTGGCCAAAGATGGGGCTGGACTGTGAGTGCTTCAGCGACAGCGTGGGAAGGGTCTCCAGTGCTACGCCAGGGCTTGGGCCTGGTCCCCCAGGGCGGCCAAGGGTTTTGGGTTGGTAAGTGGGTCAGGGGCTTTTTTTTTTGGTGCCAGGCTTGGAGGGTCGCTAACACCCCCAGAGCCCAGGGCCACCGAGCTCCTGGCGTACCCTTCCATCTTTGAATGGTACATCCTCTTTCTAAAAAGTTCAAAACATTTCACTGTGAAATAATTTCAAACTTACAAAAAAATTGCAGAAATAGTCACAAACAGCCAGGAGCAGTGGCCCATGCCAGAATCCCAGCACTTTGGGAGGCTGAGGTGGGCGGATCACTTGAGGTCAGGAGTTCAAGACCAGCCTGGCCAACAAGGTGAAACCCTGTCTCTACTAAAAATACAAAAATTAGCCAAGGGTGGTGGCACATGCCTGTAATCTCAGCTACTCTGGAGGCTGAGGCAGGAGAATCACTTAAACCTGGGAGGCGTTGCAGTGAGCCGAGATCGCACCACTGCACACCAGCCTGGGCAACAGAGCAAGACACCATCTCGGGGAAAAAAAAAAAAAAAAAAAAGCCACAAACAATTCCTCAACACCCTTCACCCAGATTCTGCCAATGTCAGCATCTTGTCCAGCCATGGGACAATGGGCAGCAGGGGGTAGTAATCACCAACACAGGACCATCACCTCTCGGGACCATCCAGATTCCATGTGCTCCTCAGACGTCCAGATCAGATCAGACCACACATCAAGCCTGGCCTGCTTGCCCTCCTTAATCTGGGCGACTGCATAGTCTGGCTTTGTCTTTTGTGGCCTTGGCACTTTCAGTGCTGGGTTTGTCTGACGTGTCCTTGTGACTACAGGCAGGCCATGCATTTTTGGTGGGAATCCTGCAGAAATGCTCTGTCCTTCCCTGTACACTGCCTCTGGAGGCATGTCAGGTGGCTCTGTCCCTGCCCTGGTGACATGCCCTGGGACACCTGGTTAGGCTGGGTTGTGAGTGTCACCACTATAAAGCTGCGAGAGGCACTCTGAGAGCATTTGACTGTCCTCTTCCCATCCCACTCTCATGCTCCAGTTCCAGCACTGTGGGCCACTCTCACCTGGAATGAAGCCTGGCTGTGGGGTGACGACTTCCTGTTTCCATCACTACCTCTGCAGCCTGAAACTGGGATTCAGTGTGAGAAACGGTTCTCCCCCATTCATTTATTCCTTCAGTGATCTATTCCTACCAGTGTGGACACGTGGATGCTGATTTTATTCTCTGGGTAAATGCATTACCCTGAGGATTGATTCTGTGGCTCAGACAGAGGCGTATTCCTTTCTAAGAGGCCAACAAGGATATGTGAAGGCCAAGCAGGACATTCGCGTTCACAGTGGAGCCTCCAGGCTGGAGCTCTTGTGGGAGGGGGATCTTTGTCCAGAGTGGGGGTGGGGTGTCCTCAGCACCCCTCAAATCTAGAGGTGCTCCTCCACCTCTAGAGGCCGCAGCACCTCTAGAGGTGGAGGAGTGCTGAGAACACTCACGGCTGCTGCCTGATGAATCTGTGATCATTTGTCAAGTGGCTTCCTGTGAACAGGGAATTCAAGCTCAGAAGAGTCTTCCTGCTGGGGCATTCCCAGCCAGCCTGTCCCAGAGGCAGGACAGACCCTCTGTTGGAGGAGTAACCAGGGGTGAACGGCAAAGACGGCCACAGAGGGCTGGCCACACGGCTCCTCCAGAACCACTTGCCCACCCCTGCCCCCGTGCCACCCCAGAGCAGCAACTGCTCCCTTCAGAGAGAGCTGCCCAGCGAGCACCGCACAGCTGGGCCCGTCCGCCTCAGCATTCTTCTGGTGAGCCCATCTGCCAAAGCCACGGGGCCTGGGCAGAGGCAAGGAGGAGGGCCAGGTAGTGGGAGCCCAGAGCCACCCTGCCCCGTGGCCTATGATGCTGGGGCAGTCAAGACCCTCCTTGAGTGCCAGCCGTGTCCCTTGGTAGTTTATAACCAGTGAAGGAGTAGCGCACAGAGGACACATGCTCCTCCTCCAGCCTCTTCCGACAGGCTCTGCAGTGGACGGGCCACGGCAGGTGCTCATGGAGGCATGGGGCTTGCAGGCTGCGTACAGCCCCAGCTGTGTGCTCAGCACGAGAGAAACAGCCGTGAGCCCTAAGAGGCCGTTTCCAAACCCGTGCAGAGCACAGGTGAGGGCCTGCCAGCCCCTCCTGCCCAGGCCGCCTCAGCCCCGCACCTCCGTGTCCCCACCGGCTGGGCCTGGTAGCAGAAGCCCGTCACACAGTCTGGAATGTGCACGGCCAGCTGGGAAGCCCCGGCAGAAGGAGCTCCTTCCTCCTGGGATTCCTCCTCCTCCCTCACGGCCAGGAGCAGGACCCTCCAGATTGGAAACTACTTGCCAAGGCCTTTTTGTTTTTCCATTTCAAGTTTACCCCAAGGAACTGGGTTGCTGGCCTGAGAAAGGTAGGCTAGGAAGGTAAAACCTCGGCTGATGAGTCAATGCACACTCCTCATTGGCCTGTTTCTTTAGACAGGGTCTCGCTCTATCTCCCAGGCTGCAGTGCAGCAGTGGGATCTTAGCTCACTGCAGCCTCAACCTCCCGGGCTCAATCGATCCTCCGCCACCTCAGCCTCCCAAGTAGCTGAGACTACAGGTGCGCGCCACCACGCCTGGCTAGTTTTTAAATTTTTTTTTATAGAAACGGGGTCTTGCAAGGTTGCTATGGGTAGTCTTGAATTTCTGGCTTTCAAGCCATCCTCCTGCCTCCGCCTCCCAAAGTTCTGGGATTACCAGCATGAGCTGGCCTCTTCATTTGTTTAATAAGCACTTTTTATGGCCCCAGGGACATCTGGGCTCCATGGGAAGGTCACTCAAGGTCACCCCCCACCCCCCCCACGCCCCCCGAGTGACTACTGCCACTGAGCAAGGGCTAAGCATTGGGGCACCTGCCCACGCAAGAGAGGAAGGGGGCCTGGCCAGGCCTGGGGGTTGGAGGTGGTGACTTGGTGAGACCAGTCACCAGAGGCAGCTCTGCTGCAAAGAAGGGTTGCGGGAGGGGTACGCAGAACAACGTGTGCCCCTGCCATGAGCTTCTGCCTGCCACATGCCATGAGGGTCTAGGCCAGGCTTCCTCATTGAGCCAACCGCTCATGGGGCTCTGGAGCCAAGGCAGGCCCTGAGCAGAGAACATGGCTGCACCTTGCCCTCGGGGCCTCCCAGAGCAGCTCTGATGAAGGCGGGAAGCTCTGGGGGCCCCAGAAGAGCCTGGGGGCAGAGGGGGGACAAGCATCCGCTGGGGAGACTCGGGTAGGACCCTGGTGGGGCCTGTGGCGGGACGGACAGGGGAGAGGGGAGCACCCACGAGGCACACCCAGGATGCCCCTGCAGAGGGCGGGCAGGGCCCACTCACCTGCTTGATTGCGGCTCTGAAGGCCCCCAGGACGGCCGCAGCACCCCCGCAGTCTCGCTTCATCCCCGGCATGGTAGTCTGCGGGTGGTACAAAGGGACCAGGACAAAGGTGAGCTGTGAGGTCCAGGCCTGGCAGCGGAAGCCCCCCACCCCCACCCGGCCCCACGCTAGCCCCACCTTCCCCAGCTCTCAGGCCTGGGCAGCCCCCACACCAGGCCTCCTGGGCACCCACAGAACTCATGAACCTCATATTGGCCAAGTGGGGTGTTCTCCAGAAGCAACAGGGAGTCATGGCCATAGATGGTGAGGCTCCCTTTTGTTTTGACAGAACTTTGGGGTTATCAAACAGTAACTGCACGGAGGGGGAACCCGAGGAGATGCCCGGAGCTGCAGAATTCGCTGTGGCCGGGCTCTGACATTGAAACAGGGACCCCGTGCTTTGACGCCGGGCACCCTGACCTCAGTCCCGGGCTGCCACGCCGCCTGGGGGTCTGTCTGCAGGGCCACTCTCTCCACTCCTCCGCACAGCGTGAGAAGGAAGCTGAGGTCCAGGGAGCCTCTGGGGCTTGCTGGAGGTCCCTGGCCAGCACCTCAGGGACCTGGGTGGGCTTGCGTGCTTCCTGCACCCATTGCAGATTCCTAGTGTGCTTATGGCAGGGAGGAAGCCTGAGGGGCTGCTGCCGCAATGCAAACCTGCCCTGGCCACCTGTCGCCCCCCAGAACAGGGCCTAGCTTCCTCTCCCTGGCACTTAGAGGGCTTTACCACCTAACGAGACTTAGGCTCAGCATTCTCTGCCCCTCATCACAACCTTGAATGATGGTGAGGGTTGATGTGAACTCTTCGCCAAAATCAGTCACATCCACCCCCACTGACACCACCAGCAGTGAGGACACCTGTCGCTCCTTCATGTCACTGCCAGGTCTATCGCCAGAAGAAGGGGCCACCTCTGCCCTCCTGCTAGTTCACACCTCCTGGTTAATAGTTCACACCTCCTGGTTAACCTGGGTCTAAAGAGGGGCCACCCTTCTCCTGCAGTGTCCACACTGTTTCCTATACGCTGGTTGACAGTGTTACACATTTTTACATTTTACAGGTTCCCAAATCAAATTCACAAGTTCATATTTTAAATTAACAGCAGGTCCTCAGAGGTAAAGGTTTGGGTATGAAATTTACTGAATCATTTTTGAACCCTTATCTTATTACACAAGCTTTGAATTTTAGTGCAAAGTATTTTTAGATGTAAATTGAGCTGCTTTTATAATTGAGTGAAAATGACCCATCTTGTACTACTGAAAATAAGCCATCTCTTCTGAGCTAATCTGTTTGAGAAAGCACAGGATTGTTTAAATGGAAAAACAGGGCCTCCGATCTGGAATCAAACCATGTGCAAAATGGGTCACACAGCAATGCCTGGAAACGGCTGCTCACTGTACACCATGTCTCCCCCGTCACAGCTGCCAGCTCCTTCCCAATTGCAGGTGGAGCCAGGACTGGGCTTGCAAATACAGCTCAACTGATTGATTGTGCAAAGTTTCACCAGCCCCCATATGTTGTTTCTGTTTTTATAGAAGAAACCATTTTCGCAGTGATTTAAGACGGTCTCTGCCTTTTTCACGGGGCTGACACTTACACCCCCTGTGCTGGAGTATCAGGCCACAGTCCCAAAGAGGTCCGGGAGCCACTGTATTCGTTTCCGTGCCCTCTGGGAAAATGAACCAATGCCAATTTCACGTTAGAATTTCCTTGCTGAAGCAGTAAAATTAATTTTTAAAACTCTCAACCCTTGGGTACAATACATTTTCCATATTCCGTGTGACTCATAATGTACTCCTGCTGTTGCTGACGGGCAGTGGTCGGTCAGAGCAGAAGCTCAGCTGTGATTGCTGGGGGAGTTCTGAGCTCCATGAGCCACTCTGGCCACGACACCATCTTTACTTGAAAGAAAAACTGACAGACAAATGGCATTTAATTGGATTTAGGTATCTGGCAGATATTTCCCAGAAAAGGAACAAACTGAGCCTCTTACTTCCAGAAACAGCTGACATTATTTATTGCCAATGGTATACATTTGAGCTTTTAAGCAAAAATCAGAATTTTGAAAAACTTTCTCCTATCACCATGACAACTTCCTCATAATGAGTTTTCTGATGAGATGGATGGTGATATTAAGTGATTTTTTGATACTATATAATGTAATGTGTCAAAAATTTGAATTTCTGCAGAACTCTGTGAACCAACATTTTTCAAGTGAACATTCATTTTTCCATGAAAAACCACATGTTCAAAGTGAGAGAGAACAGCGGATTTAACTGCCACAGAGCCCAAAAGTCTATTCATGAGGCTTCAGATTCCATGTTATAACCAGCCTTTAAGAAGCTACCACTTGTTGAGTTTTGGTGTAGTAGCAAAGAATGTTCATAGTTAGTTAGCTGAAAAAGGTACTAAAATCCTTTTCCCTGTTTCAACTATAAAATGCGTGAGGCCAGATTTTCTTGATACAGTTCAACTGAAACAACACATTTCCATAGACTACATCGGAAGCAGACGCAAGGTCCCTAGCTGTCTTCTATTAAGCCAGACACTGACAGGATTTGTGAAAATGTACAACAATGCTACTCTCTCAGTAAATTATTTTTTCATTTTGGAAGATGCTTATCTTCATAAAATTATTTATGATAACATGCAATGGATTTATATGTTATTTTTAATGAATTATACATGTTATAAATTTCTCACTTTTAATTTCCAGTAGAGTAAATATCAATAGACATTGTTATACAAAAAGCCTCTTTGGGGTCGGTACTTGTTAAGAGCGTAAAGGGGTCTCCAGTAATGCATTTGAGGCCTGCTAGTCCAGGCTGGTCTTGAGCTGCCCTTGAAATCTTTGAAAATGGAGCTGTGATTTTTTTTTTCTTGCAAAACTGGGAGCTGGGCTGGCTCCAGCCGGCTTGCTTTTTGAGGAGTGACCATTTCTGCACCATTTGCTCTACAGGCAGCCACTGGGGAGAATGCCTGCTGCGTTGCGTCTGCGTTTCACACCAGGCCGTTGGGGAGAGATTGTGAGCGCCTTCAGGTCAGGATTGGGGTCTTTGCATCAATGGCTGGAGCCTCAGCGCCCACTCCACACAGTAACAGCTCAGGAAAGGCCTGCTGGTTGATCCCAAATCCACGTAGAACGGTTCCAACTGCAGCGGGGAAGATGGGCTGGTTTAAAATAAAAAACCAGGTATTGTTTCACTGGTGCCAGAACACCCAGCTCTTCCTGGTATTATGGGGTCTGCAGACCAGGTGGACCCCGGGAATAGGCAGGGGCTATAGTCGCATTTTCAGAAGGTGATCTGGAGCCATGGAAAATGCCCTACTCTCTGGCAGTTCTACCAGCCACCCTCAGACCACAGCTTCCCTGAAGGCTGTGCAGCTGTGGCCTCTAGGGAAGGCCTGTGTGGTCAGGTTTTTCCTTTGTGTTAATTTCCAGGCCGGGAGCTGACTAACTGCACAGGTCTACCCACAGCCACATGAGATGAAGTCAGGTGCAACGATATTTTCCCTAAGTGACTAGAGTTAGTGCCACAAGCAAACGAATGAATTCCCAGGAAGCTCATCTTCTCACATTGGTCCACAACAAGCCGACATCAAAAACAAGCATCTGATCCAAGGAGAAGAGGGTCCACGACTCTACCAGCCAGAATGTAGCGGCTTCCAGGGTGACCGTGGGTATTGAGGGTGCGTGCGAGGGTGGGAGCAGCCAGTACCAGGTGCAGGCAGTAGGGGGTGCACTATCTGTGGCGAATTTAGGAATCATAACCGACTAGAAGTCAGTTTGCTTATTACCACCGTGTGCCGGTATCTCTGAACAAAGTCAGCAATAACATATTCCTCCTCCGAAAATCTGTTGTTGATTGAAGTTTAAAAAATTGCTGTGGCTACGGTTGCGTTTTAATCACACAAACAAAAGCTTCAAATTCGCATATCGTTGTTACTTATCCTGAAAGTAACATTACATGGACGTTAGCAATGACCCGACACAAAATCTACTACCCACATTCCTTCTGAGAATCGCTCTGACAGTCAGATCCTGTGGGCTGGCTCTGGGCACAGTCGGGGCCTCCAGGGCCCATGATTTCCTACCTCCCGGTGTCGAAACAGAGGACCCAAAATAAAACACGAGAGTGCGGGATGGTCAAAACGAAGACGCGGAACCTGCGTTCCTTCACTTCCCTCATTCCATGTGAACACTTGGAGTTACTGTGTCCAAAATGCTTTTGTTCTGCAGACATCTGAAAGCCACAAGAATCCACCCTGAAGAACTGAACACACAGTGGGTGTTGTGATTGCTGGAATTTACTGTGAAATGGGATTTTTAAGAATCTCTGCCAAATGATACCGTATTAAAGACTTTTCCTAAGTATCTGTGTATCTGTTGCCTCACGAGATTGGAGCTCTTCAAAATCAAAGTTAACAGATAGTATTCTTGGACCAACTATGAGTGAAGACAGCTGGCAACTCTGCCTACTGAACATACATTAGTAAAGAAGATCAATTTAAATGAAACCATTGTCAAACGTGTAGATGCTAAGACCCAAAGCCAGAAACAAACATTCATTCCACCATCTATTACCCCAAGAGACCCATAGGGAGGCATGTTTTTTCTATTAAAAAAAAACAAAAAACCCTTTTTATGATTAGTGTCATTTTCTGCTTAGTTCTAAACAGTTTTGTGGTTTAGAGGAGGGATGGGAACTGCTCATCCTCTCCAGGTATGAAATAAACTAGGCGTGCTAGAGAGCGCGGCGAGCTGCACCAGCGCCACCCTGAACAGCAGCTGACACTAGGGCTCAGTGTCAGGAAGGCAGCAGCAAGTGGTGGGGCCTACCGCAAACCAAACTGGAGAATGGGTGACACCAGGGGCAGGCCCACTGGCTGCAGGGGAATGCTGCCAGGCGGGAACAGAACGCCAGCACTGGCAGACCTTCTGAGTGCACAAAAGGCCGGAAATCCAGGCTTTGATGAGAATCCTTCCTGGTTTCAAATATTGGTAGCTAATTCAAATTTTAAAAATGCCAGGCCTCCGTGAGCCTTGCAGGCTGCTAGTTTGCAGTGTCTGCTGCGGATGCACTCCCTGCTCCTTCCAGACCTCCTGAGGTATGTACTTCCCAGTCTGCTCCCTCCCTGTCCTTCCCAGCCCAGGCCTGAGCACAGAGGCTGCTCACACGGTGTGTAGGATGAATGGATGGAGATGGTGCGGAGGAGGGCAGGGCTTGCTGGGGCGGGCAGACTCGGCCACGACGGGGGCTCCACAAGCACCTGTCCTCCTGGGATGGCAGGACAGAAAGCCGTACCACGGGACAGGCTTCTAGGGCCACCGCACCGGGATGTTCCCGGGTGACTCGCTTCTGTGCCGTGCCCAGATTCCCCTCGCTCTTGGGGGTCACGTGCCTTTGGAGGGTCTTGTGTGGCCACTCTGAGCGTTTTCTCAGTGGGGACCATGGGCAGACTCAGAGACACAGGCGTCCCCTTGCCCTTCTCTTCTCGGGACAAAGCCCCCAAGCAGCAAGCCCTGCCTCCCTGGCCCTGCTTGCCATTTCTTCCGTCATTTCCGGGGCTGCTCTTGGGCCCTGGCCAGGCTTTTGTTTCCAGACCCTTCTGAAGGGTGGGCATGAAACCCAGGGAGCCACGTGAAGCTGTCGCCTCAGCACATGGGAACCCGCCCTGCGCACTCTCCCCGAACCCACCCCAACCCAGAACCCCCAGAAACCTCGCCGCCCCCCACCCCATGACACCTCTCAGAGGGCTGGCTGGACCCAAACTGGGCCCCTCCCCCCCCCCCAGGGCACCCTGGAGAGCCTGCCGGCACCTCACCTTCCCCTCCCCACCCCACCCCACCCCAACCCCAGGGCACCCTGGAGAGCCGGGCCCACACCTCACCTTCCCCTCCCCACCCCACCCCACCCCACCCCCAGGGCACCCGGGAGAGCCGGGCCCTGCACCTCACCTTCCCCTCCCCTCCCCCAGGGCACCCTGAGAGCCAGCCCGCACCTCACCTTCCCTTTGATGCTGAGGCCTCCAGTGTCATAGACGATGCCTTTGCCCACCCAGGCGATGGTCTGCGTGGCTCCATCTGGGGTGTGGCTGAGGACGGCCAGGGCTGGGGGATGCAGGGCGGCTTTGCCAACCCCATAGATTCCTATGGAAAGCGTGGGGAGAACTGGGTTAGGCTCGGGCTGAGCTGAGCGGGGAACTCCCAGAGGCCCCTGGAAACTCTGGCCGGCTGGTGTTTCTCCTGGAGAGCCGCCTGCCTGAGCCTGGTGCTCCCTGCCCCTTCTCCTGCCCCTGGCCAGTGTGGGATTGGGGAATGCAAATTAGCTCCAATGTCTGAGATTGCAAACAAATTCTATGCAAAGTGTTGTTTGTTAAGCAAGAAAACCCACTAAGGGAAAAAAATATTGTATCCTTTCCAGAAAGAAAAGAACAGGATTGCAGAATGAAACGATGTTTGGATAACACCTCAAGGCTGCCCCAGCCCATGCTCGTCCCCACTTCCTGAATCCTTTGAGCACTCAGGGACTGCACCGCCCTTTCACACTCGCTCCCACAGTCCCTGCACCACTGCCTCTTTGGTTTACATGACACATCTTCTCAAGAAAGCTGTGGCCTGTGCGTGTGCAGAGTCTATGGCTCAAAGTCCTGCAATAATTGAGTCAAACAATCATAGCAACAATGACGAGAGCTAATCATGGCTGCCTGACAAACTCCAACTCATCCTGTAAGATCCACAGCAAATGCCACCTCCTCTGTGAAGCTTTTCCTGACACAAGCGGCCTCTCCCTCCACTTGTAAATGGCTCCTGTCTAGGTAGACACCACCAGGATGGCCCCTGTGGCCCCCACGTCTGGGTATTCATGTCCTTGTGCAGTCCCTCCCCCTCATGTGAGCAGGTCCTGATGTCTCACCTCTAACCAAAAGAAAAAGGTAGAAGTGATGAGATATCACTCCTGGGATTAGGTCACAGAAAAAGATGGGAGTTTCCATCTTGTTTGCTCGCTCTTTATCCCTATCTCTCGCTCAGAGACCTTGCTCGGAGGGTGGCTCAAACAGCAAGGACCTGCTGCCTCCAGCTAATGGCCTGTGAGGCCCTGAGACCTGCCAGCAGCCTGTTGTGAGCCTGCCCGGAAGCACATCGCCAGCCCCAGGCAAGCCCTCAGATGACTGCAGCCCCAGCCAACAACCTGACAACAGCAGGCAGAGACGCTGCACCAGGGGAAGATCCCCAACCCACAGCACGGGGAGGGGATAAGTGTTGCTGCATTCAGCTGCTATCTTCCGAGTGATTTGTTTTGTAGCCACACATAACACAGACAGCCGCCTTCCTCTTGCCAGTCTACAAGCACCACGGGGCAGCTGAGTCATACTTATCTGCCCCTCTGGTTCCTGGGCAGTGGGGAAAGGTGGGTCTGGGGACTTGGGGAAGGCCTCTCTGAGGAGGGGGCATTGGTTGAGATGGCCTCCACCAAAAATATATCTTGGGGGAAAGTATTCCAGATAGGGAGAGCCATCCGCACACAGGCCCTGCCTGCCGTGATGGGAACTTGTGTATTCAAGGAACAGAAAGGCCCTGCTGAGCCAGTCCCAGGAGTAAGGGTGTGCAGCACGCGAGGACGCTGGAGAGGCTGCAGGCAGGGAAGGACTTGGATCTAGCAGCTTCCAGAATCCAAATCAGAATCTGGATTGCCTCCCCTTCTCCCCCAGGGACGGCTGCTTCCCAGGGTCCGGCACTGGGCTTGGACACAGGCTGATTCCTTTCAGGTCACAAGCAGGATGAAGTTTGGGACAATGTGCCATGTGGCCCGCCGACCCCCTGCCACCCAAGTGCCCCTGGCCACTGCCCGAGGCCAAGAGCTGCAGGGATGCAGCCCCCACCCACCTCCAAATCCTCTCGTCTTCAGTTCCTCATCCCGGATGATGGTTGGGATGATCCCCAGCTCCTTTCCAACTTTGTTAATCTCCTGGACATGTTCATGGAAAAAACAACAGCACAACAACACATGAAGATGGCTGGAAACAGGAGAGGCCGAGGCTGGGGCCAGGGATGAACCGCTGCCTGTGCCGCGTCGGGGAGCCGGGCTTGGGAGCCAGCTTCGCGTGTGATGAAACCCAGAAGAGGGGGCTCACCCTCCACACACTCTCATTTCCTGTAGCTCTGGCTGTGGTCCTGCCAAGGGGCCTTGAAGAGGAGGCTCTGTCCTCCCCACACACCCTTTCCTGAGGCTTCCTGGAGCCCGGCAGACAGCAGCGCTCCGCCGAGGGCAGCCCTGAGGTTCCCTGGCCACGTCAGGGTGTGGACAGCCCCAGGTTTCCTCTGGCTCTCCTGGGAGTCTATGACACCCACCCCAGCCTGGTCCCACCCCCGGCCTGATGACGCCACAAACCTCGAGGAAGGTGTCGGTGTTCATCTCATTGCAGGGTGTGTCCACGATGCGGGCTGCTAGCCGCACGCCGTCTGTGGCATTCGCTAAGCACTAGGGAGAAAAAGGCCATCACTGGGGACCAGGTGGGAGGCAGATGTTCTCCCCTTGTCCATCCCCCAGGAACAAAAGGCAGCAGAGGCAAACATCACCCACAGGGCTACTGACAGGGCAGCAAAGAGAGGGGAGAGGGGGACCATGGCTCTCGCTGCCTGCCCCACCCCCAGCAACCCAGGGCCACCGGCCACCTGTAGAAAGAACCTTCAGCACAGCCACCACCCTGCGCCTCCACAAATATACAGGAGTCCCCAGCCTGGGGTCCTGCCCTTCTGTATCTGGATCTTTTCCAAGCCCTGTGTCCTGTTTCTCCCCTGATTCCAGCTACAACTGAAGGTAGGTGGCCCTCATGCCAGCCCCTGAGTATGCCCTGAGCTTCCCACGCCTCACCTCTGCAGATCCCACAGTCCTTTCCCTCCCACCAAGATCCCAGTCATCCTTCGAGGCACTTCTCATAGGCCGTATCTACCAGTAGCTTTTCCAGATCCTCCCCACCAAGCAGAAGCACTCTACATCCTGAGTGCTTGAACCTGCTGGCCCTCCCAGACGCCTTCCCTCTGGGCCGTTGCTTTCCTCATGAGTCCCACGCAAGTCCCTCATAAACCCTGCAAGACAGATGGGGGTCTGGCTGCCCTAGTGCTGTCACTTGACACAGCACGGTTCTGGGCACGGAGGGGAAGGACACAGAGGGAGGTCTCGCCTCATGGAACTGACGTGTCCACCCAGGAACTGAAAACATGGGCCCTGCTGGCCTGGCAGGGCTTCAGAGCCCACACTCGAAGGCAGGGCAGAGAGGGGCACATGCACCAAAGCACACATCACGTGGGTCCCAAAAATGTGTCCTTCAGCCCTGGCTTGGGCCATTCTTTGCCTTCTCATGTGTGTCTCACATCTGCCCTGGGAGCTTCACTCTCTCTCAGCTGAATCTGCGGGCACCCCTTCCCCACCCTGTTCCCCACTGTGCATCCCCAGGCACAGAAGCTTCAGACAGCTGGCTGCTTGCACGGCCTCCCTTGCTCACCAGAAAGACAATATTAAGAGAAGAGCAGCGCTGTTTTGCGGGGGTGCAGGACAGCAGCAAGTTTATCATCCCTGCCTCTAGTCTCATAATGTCAGGGCAGCAGGCGCCGGGTCGATACTGCAGCCTGGCCACCTCCCCCGCCCTGCCGAGGTAATTAAACCCCAAAGCCTCAAAGGTAGAAACCTGGACCTTGACAGCTCTGATATGAATGTGCCTGAGCCGTCCCTGCCGCCTGTCAGCGGGTTCTCTGTCTGTGAGGGCATGTGGGGACTCGACAAGGACTGTCTGAGAAGTGCGTCAATGCTGTGTGACTTGCCTCCAAGGAGGCCAGGTGTCACCTGGAAGACCCCAGACCACGGCGAGCTCGGGGCTCTGACGCAAGAGCGCTCCTGTGGGAGGGAGGGCAGGGCTGCGGGTGCCCTCCACCAACACACAGCCATGCTGCACTGGGGAAGGGTGTCCCTTACCATGAGAGGAGGACCACTCATTCTGTCCACATGTGCCAGGCATCGTGCAAGACTCTGAGAATTCAGAGACGTCCAAGGGAGTCAAGCTCAGCAGAGACTCACAGTACACAGTCCCAGTCCCTGCTACAGAAGAGGATGAGGCCACAGGATGCAGAGGGGACAGGGTCCTGGGTGGGGACTGGAAGGTTCCCGCAGGGAAGAAAAGGGAGAAGCTGAGTACAGGCCACGTGGGTGTCAGATGATGGTGTGCTCAGGACCCAAGAGGGCTGAGTGGTGGCAGCTGCAGCTTAACACCTGGCTCTGCCCCTTGCTGCCGTGGCCCCGGTGAGCCACTCAATGTCGTGGGGACAACAGGATGTATCTCACAGGGCTGTAGTGAGAATTCAGTGCACCAGCACGTGCTGTGTGCACACTCCTGCCTCAGCGCAGGGCCTGACAGCTGACAGCACTCAGAAGATGCCACCTTGCACACACCCAGATGTGCCTTTGGAAGGCGAGTGACGCAGGAGCTGGAAGGAGGCCATCTGTGGCAGGGTGACCAGGAGACTGCTGCCACAGCCCAGGAGAGCACCTCAAGGCACGGCACTGGGCAGAGCAAAGACAAGAAACAGGACACACTAGCTAGTTGGGACCAATGGGGTCGGGGGCCATGGGGACTGACTGCCCCCACTGGTTCCATCACCAGATGTTTACTGGGCCTTTTTCATGTGTGGGGTCGGGTGCTGGGATCACTGTGCACAAGACCAGGTCCCTGCCCTCTGGGGACTCCCAACCCAGTGAGGAGCACAGGAGATCAACAAAGATGTGACATGTCTAGTAGTGATGGTTTAGCTGACAAATGGGAGGGTGGTGCTAGCCAAGAGGGCCAGGCCTCCCTGGGGAGGGAATGTGGGCAGAGGCTGGATGGAGACCATGCTGGGCTGGAGAGGGAAGGACCCCTGCAGAGGAGCAAGAGCAGGAGTGGGCGTGGCCAGTCTAAGGGACAGCAGGAAGTCCACAGGAGGGGAAGGGACTGAGGGCAGCAGAGGTCAGGGTGCCCTGCTGTCCTCGGAAATAAGGGTGATGCTTGAGCCCCCGGTGGGCTCTGCGGGCACCCGTGCCCACCTGGATGGCAGGCCTGGAAGTCAGAAGAAAATCCCTAAAGACAGAGAGAAGAGGCAGATGCTGGTGTCTGACCCGGAGAGGGCTGAGCAGGTCGGAACGCTGGAGAGGCCATGAAGGGGATGCCGAGAGGTGGCAGCAGTCTGGGGAGCAGCGGGAGGGAGGGAGACCTCTGGATGGGGCAGATGCACTTCAAGGAGGGACGGCAACACCCCATCCAGCAGTCCTTAGAAAACAATGTCAGGATGGGGGCAAAAACTCTGTCTCCATGGGTTAAGAGGGAAAAGAGGATTAAGCAAGGCAAACCAGTTAGACTTTTTTAAAAGCTCAGAGACGAAGGGAAAAAAGGGGAGCTATCTCATGCTGGTGAAGATGGAAGAATTTGGGTTGAGGGGCAGTGGTTACAGGCCTCAGAGAGCACACAGTGAAAGAAATGAGGTGTGGCCCAAGTGCTGATGTGGGAGAGCTTGCCTGGGTGAAGGCGACAGCCTTCCAGAGCCAGAAGTGAAGAATGAGCGCTGACACATGAGAAAAGACAACCTGGGTGGCGCTGTGGGCTCGGGGACTGGAGGTGGCAGGCGCAGAGGCTGGGACCGCTGCCGTGGGGACAGGAGCCTGATGTCAGGCCCATCCAAGGATCTGGAGCTGGGAAATCACTTCCGGCCTTGCAGCCTCAAAAGGATCATTCTCAGCATTGAGTGAAATAACACATGTAGAAGTGCTCCCTGTAAAGGGTGCAGCAACACACATGCACACACACCACACACACACCACTCATGCACACACTAGCACTCATACACACACAGCAACACACACAACACACACACACACCACTCATGCACACACCAGCACTCATACACACAGCAACACATGCTGCTCATGCACACACCAGTACTCACACACAACAACACACACCACACATGCACACACCACACATGCACACCACACACACACACCACTCATGCACACACCAGCAAACACACACACACAGCAACACATACCACACGTACACCACACACACCACTCATGCACACACCAGCAAACATACACAGCAACACATACCACACACACACACACATCACACATGCACACACACACCCCCCACACATACAACACATGCACATACACTCATACACGCACAGCAACACACATGTGCACGCACATACACACACACGTGCATACATCACACACGTGCACACGGAGCTCACATAAACGGGCAGGGTTATTTGGAAAACAGCATGGACGTTCCTGGCACTGATTACGTGCTCAACAAACACTGCCTGTATACAACAGAATCCTGAAGTCACAGACCACGCTGAGGCAGAGGCAGGGGGCCTGGGTTTGGAAAAGCCTCTGCCGCTTCCCAGGAACCAAAGCTCCTGGGAAGGGCAGGAACCCCCTCCTGCCCCCGCAACAAGCTTTTCCCTCTCCCGACCTCCCTCCCACCTGCCCGATCTTGCCCGGGCCCAGGGGCAGTGTCTGCCCTTCCAGACACCCACCTGCAATGTGGACACCTCCACCGGCCCGTTGTCTTGTCCCACCAGGAAAAACTCCACGGTGACCGTCTTCTTCTCCAAGCGCCGAGAGGCACCTGAGCGGTGGGTGAACAGCGGGAAGGCCCGGGCCAGGGCACAGGCGGAAGCAAAGACCTCCGGCTGCTCGCAGACCATCTGTGGCACATAGGGAGACGGCGTGAGGGGTGCAAGGGCCGCCACCAGGGAGTGCAGGGAGCTGCTCTTTGAACGCCTCCGGAACATCAGCTCCCTGGCAGGTGACATCTAGACAGAGATGTCCCACAGCAGCCGCCACCCCATCCCTCAGGTCATCCCCGGAACCATGGGACCACCATTGGTCATGCTCCAAGAGAAATAACACATTGGCCACCAGATGTCAACAGCCTGACCAGCCATGAAAATGAGGGACAGAGGGACAGACACAAAGTGGGCCTCAGGAAATCTAGGTTTGAGTCTCTGATTTGCCACCAAAACTGATCTGGGGCAAATCCCCGCGTCTCTCTGGACCTGTTTCCCTGTCTACAGAGCAGGGATGATAACGTCCACAGCCCTCTGGGCGTGCGCTGCAGTCTGAGCAGGGCTGTGAGCTCCCCAGGCCCGAGCTCACCGCTGCCCGACTAGGAGCACCGTGGCTGCCTCCTCTCGAAGCACTCACCACAATGCAGCGATGCGCTCCGGGCGGCAGGCAGGTCCGCACCAGCCGCGTGATGAAGTGGGCGGCCGAGGGGCTGTTGTGCCGGCTCACCCTGCAGGGCAGGGCAGCCACGGTGGCGTAGTTCAGGTAGAGGGGACAGCTGTCCGTGGGGTTGGGGTTGAGCGTGCTCAGGGCAGCCTGCCAGAGCTAGATCAGAAGGGAGAGACAAGACACAGAGGCTTCAAACAGCGGCCACGTGCCAGGAGGCCCTGCCCTGCAGCCACGGCCACAACCACTCCTGCAGTCCTGGAAGGGCACTGCGCAGCTCCCGGCCACCGTTTTCCCATCCTTAGGGAGATGTGTCGCCTCTCTGCAGAGCTAACTGTCTCTAGGCTGGCTCGCATCCCCCTGGTGGGATGAAGCCACCAAGCCTGGAAGGGCCAGGCTGGGGGCTGCTTTGCTTCCAACACTCGGATAGGGCTTAGGCGGCTTCCACCAGAGAGGGGGCAGGGGCCAGGTGTCCCCAAGGAAAGGCAGCTGGGGACACTGCCATGGGAACTTCTGGAAGCCAGGGCCTGTCGCCAGGCGGGGCCGACGCGCGGCCCTGGGAGCGGCCACGTCTCCCCCCCCGCCGTCCGCAGGTGTCGCGGCCTCGCGGGGCGCAGGGCTGGGCTGACAGGAGGACCACCGCGCCGCACCGGCGACGGGGCCTGGGGCTGGGCCTCCGCGGGCGAGGACTGGCCTGGCGGCTGAGCCCTTCAGGGAGGCGGCCCGGCCTCGTTGGGCCCGGCCCGGCGGCGGCGGGGGTGCGGCGGGCGAGGCGGGGCCTCCGCGGGCCGCCCGGGCCTGGGCTTCCGCGGCGCGGGTCGCATGGCGGCCGGCGGCCCGCTCACCTCCTCGGTGACCCGGGGCTGCAGCTTCCCGCGGACGTGGCTCCAGGGCACGCGGTGCAGGTGGTGCAGCTGCCCGAGCAGCAGCAGGGGCCGGCTCTGTGGGTCCGAGTCCCCCGCGCTCGCCTGGAACTGCAGCCCCACGTTCGCCATCTTCCTGCCGGCCCACGCCCCGGCCCTGCCCGGCCCGGCCCGGCCCGCCGCTCGGCCCCCTTCGCCCCGCTCCGGCCCGGCCTCGGCACCGCCCCGGCCCTGCCCGGCAGCCCGCGGGCCCCGCCTCCCCCGCCGCTCCGGGCTGCTCGCGAGACGTGCAGGGCCCGCCCGGGGCGCGAGGGGGCGCCGGCCAGGCCGGGCGGAAGGGTGCGGGCAGGCCCGGCCGGGCAGGCCCGAAGCCGGCCCCGAGCAGGCCCTGCCGAGTAGGGCCCGCGCGCCCGGCCTCCAGCGGCGCCGCCCCTGGGCCTAGCGGCCCTGCCCAACACGCGGGGCGACGTGGCCCGCCAGGCAGCGCCTCCCGGACGGGCCTGGCCTCCAGTGGGGCCTGGGCCGACGTAGGCCCAAGCCCACCCGACGCAGTTCCGCCCGGTCAGGCCTCAGGCTGGCCCCAAGCAGGTCCCCCGAGGTCCCTTAGCAGCTGCTTTTGATCCCCAGGGACCCCGCACCCTGGCCACCCATCAGTTAGGCCGGAGGGGCCCAGTGACTCTTGGACCTGAGTCAGGTCCTTTTGTCCCACTGCCTGGCATGGTGGGTACAGCGTGGACGGTCACTTCCTCCTCACTTAATCGGAGGTTCCCTGGCGTTTATCAGACCCCGCTCTGCCAGGCACTGCCCTGGATGTGAGAGGGTGACAGGGACGTGGCTTTCCATCCAGGGCACTGCTGCTGGGATGGCCAGTTACAAATCCAGGCACTGCCTGGCTGCATGGGGGGCCTTCCCGCCCACCCCTTTGCAAGAAGGGTCATCTGGCACAGTCTAAGCAGGAAAGGAGGGACGAGATGAGACGAGGAAGGAGCAGGGTGACCTGAGTCACCTCAGTCGCCTTACAGGGGAGGAAAGGCCATCGGGGGTGTGGGGCAGGAGCCGGGTGGTGGAGGAGCCAGGGGTGAGCCTTGAGTGGATGGTGGAGGCGGAGGGTCCCACCCACAGGGTCAGATGCAAGGGTCAGGGAATGACGATGCATTGGGGAAGCTCCACCCAGGAGTCATTTAAAAGCAAAAATCTGTTACCCAACATCCTGATTGCTCAAGGGCCTTTGGTTGGTACCCTCCTCTGTTACCTCCATGTAGTTCCATAAGCCACTCCTGTTATTTTGAGTTTCTTCTTCATAACCAGCCTAAAAATGAAAAAAAAAAAAAAAAAAAAAGAAAAGAAAAAAAGAAAAAAAAGCACTGTCAACTCCCTGGCGTGGTGTGAGAGGTTTTCCACCACTGACCTCCCAGCTGGCCCCCTAGCTCCCTAACTTGTAGCCCCGGGAGCCACAAGCCAGGCTTTCACCTTCCCTGTCCACAGGCTCCAGGTCTGTCTGCTCAGCTCTGAGCCATGGTCCCTGGCCCCTTGGAAACACCACAGACTAGAGCTTCAGCATCCTGAAGGCAGGTCTTTTTGACTTTTTGTTGTTTTTTTTTCCTCCAGTTCCTGGCACAGAGCAGGCACTCAAAAAAAAAAAAAAAAAAAAAAAAAAAAAAAAAAAAAGCTGTTGAATGACTGAAAGGCATTCCTTTGAAACCCTCAGCTTTCCCGACATAAAAGTCAACGCTAATTGGATCTTATTTTCTTCAAAAGATTTTACAGCAGCTGAATGTTTTCACACATTGGTAAAGGGTACTAACAGTGTGTATGAAGATCTCTCACTCTTTTTTCTGTTTGCAAATACGTTGCAGACAGGCACACGGCACTCCAGAGGACTGAGACAGCTGGAGGATCTTCCTAGAGGGTGAGAGACTAAGGCCATGCCCTGACAGATGTAATAGGACTTCCACAGGCGAAGAGATTGAGAAAGAAGGCCTTCCACGTGGGAGAAGTCCTGGGAGGAAACACAGACGCAGAATATGTCCAGCAGGCTCTGAAACCTGTGTGGTTAGAACAGAAGGTTCCTGGAAAATAGGAGTGGGTGAGGAGATCGACTGGGGAGCCTGGCTCACTCTATAGAATTTTGCAAACTGAAGAGGGATCCAAGAAGCATTTCAGAAAGCCAGATCTAGCAGGTTTGTGTACAAGGAGTTGGAAATGAGATAAACTGTTGGTGGAGAGGTCATTTTGGAGATGTTTTTCTTTTAGAATTCTTTCATATTTAAGAATAGACTGAATAACCCTGACAGTCCCCAGAAAGGATGAACAAAATGATTCAATTCAACCAACATTTGTTGAGCACTTAGTGTACACAAAGCAAGAGAAAACGTTAGATGCTTGTTAAAAGCAAATATTGGTGATTCTGGTTTTAAGCCACCCCCGAATTGAAGAAATCCAAACTAAACAGAACGCTAAGGAATTATTCCACTTCAAATGCCTGCCAATTTCCTCAAGATTCAGCTTGTGACAGATACAAATACATTCCAGGAAAGTACTTTCCCTTTTTCACTGCTGACTTTACAGACTTTAACATAAATAAGACAGGCAGCACTTTGTTTAGATAAATTTTTATGAAGGTATTAATCCATGGCTTACTATATATTTCACTGTCAATGAAAAATTCAACTCTATTTAATTTTCCTTAAAAAATGAAAGTTTAAAACAAATTACCAGATCTTTAATGCAACCCAAAAATCAACTTATGTTTTTGATGGCTTGAAACCTATTCCACATTCAATTGGATGTTCAGACTTTGCTCCAAAGTTGAAGAAAAGATTAAAAACTTCTGGGACAAATCAGAATAAAGCTCCTAGAACTTACTAGGATGTTTTTTGGTACAGTTCACATTCTAGGACACATTTCTGAAATCCTATCTTGTAAGATGGCTCTAGGTGTTTGAAATCTACATTTATATGTTAATTTCATGTCAGACTTCACCCCTATAAAACCTAATGCCTGCTTAGACTCAGCTGATTGCCACGAGGCTCTCAGATTCCATTATATCCGATACTTCAAAGAAACATTTCCTCGGTGCATCTGCTTCGTATTTTCTAGCATTTTCATTCATTCATTCATTTGACATACATTTGTTGAACATCAGTTCTGAAAAGCTACAGGACCCGTGAGGCTTTGGGGACGCAATAGCGTGTGTGTGTGTGTGTGTGTTTGTGCATGTGCACGCATATGTGTGTGTGGCCAGGAGGAGGAAGGGGAAGCAAGTAGAACAGTAAAATCCAGAGATCCAGTCACTGGGAGAAGATTGAGTTAGGGAAGGCCCCTTGGACTACGATGAGACTTTTGAGTTGGGCCTGGAGGGATCGGTTAAAGTGTGTCAGGCAGTCTGATCCCTGACCAAGGAATTGTTCATGCAAAGGCCTGAAGTAGTAAAGGACATGGTTCATTCTGGCACTGTCAAAAGCTCATGTGGAACCAGGCCCCGTGGCTCAGGCCTGTAATCCCAACACTTTGGGAGGCTGAGGCAGGTGGATCACTTGAGGCCAGGAGTTTGAGACCAGCCTGGCCAACATGGTGAAAACCCATCTCTACTAAAACTACAAAAATAAGCTGGGCATGGTGGTGCATGCCTGTAATCCCAGCTACTCGGGAGGCTGAGGCATGAGAATCACTTGAACCTGGGAAGCGGAAGTTGCAGTGAGCCGAGATCACGCCACTGCACTCCAATCTGCAGGACAGAGACTCTGTCTCTACAAAAAAAAAAGAAAGAAAAAGAAAAGCTCCTGTGCCAGATATAAAGTGCGCATAAAATATATACTGACCTTGCAGGTTGTACTTGACCTTGCAAGTAACTGGAGACCAGTGGAAGTGCCTCAGGCAGGCCTGAAGTGGAAGCAAGGAAGGGCTCCTTCCTGCTTCAGAATGACCTGCTCGTGAGCCCAGAGGAAGCAGAGGCAGGCTCAGCTCCAAGGACCTCCCTGAGCAGCTGGCTGAGAAGTGAGCCCACAACCAGTGAAAACTGTGACAGCTGCACGACCGCCTTGAATGCTGCCCTGCGTTGTGGATGTTTGTGCTGTCCCTTGCTGCAACCTGAGTGCCTGCACAGCAGGGAGGGCCTCCGTTGCCTTTTGCAACTGGCACCAGACATGCCACCTAGATTTGCACTAAATGTTCCCTGAAGGGAGGAAAGAGAACTCGTTGCCATGAAAACACATTTCTCTAGAAACTTTTTTGAAAAGTTCATTAACTTTTGGAAAAGATGAAAAACTAGTATAATGAACACTTGTATACCCTTCACCTAGATTCATACATATATATACAGATACACACACACACACACCACACACACACCACACACACATACACGCACACACCACACACACATACACACACACCACACACACACACACCACACACACCACACACACACATACACATATATACGCACATACACACATGTATACACACACAGACACACACATACACACAAACACACACATAGACACACACACACATAGACACACACACACACATATATACACACATACAGGCACACCTCGGAGATATTCTGGGTTCAGTTCCAGACCGCCACAGTAAAGTGAGGTATGCCTCTATATACACAAACATGCGTATATGTGTATGTGTGTGTATGTATATATGTATATGTATATGTGTATATGTATATGTATGTATGTACACATATTTTTCCCTGTACCATTTAAAGTAAGTTGTATACACCCCTACCTCATTGTGTATCTCTTAAGAACAAGGACACCAGCCGGGCGTGGTGGCTCACGCCTGTAATCCCAGCACTTTGGGAGGCCAAGACGGGCAGATCTCCTGAGGTCAGGAGTTCAAGACCAGCCTGGCCAACATGGCAAAAACCCGTCTCTACTAAAAACACAAAAATCAGCCAGGCGTGGTGGCATGCACCTGTAATCCCAGCTACTCGGGAGGCTGAGACAGAAGAATCGCTTGAACCTGGGAGGCGCAGGTTGCAGTGAGCCGAGATTGCGCCATTGCACTCCAGCCTGGGCAACAGGAGTGAAACTCCATCTCAGAAAAAAAAAAAAAAAAAAAAAAGGAATTAAACTACCATCAGAGTGAACAGGCAACCTACAAAATGGGAGAAAATTTTCGCAACCTACTCATCCGACAAAGGGCTAATATCCAGAATCTACAATGAACTCAAACAAATTTACAAGAAAAAAACAAACAACCCCATCAAAAAGTGGGTGAAGGACATGAACAGACACTTCTCAAAAGAAGACATTTATGCAGCCAAAAAACGCATGAAAAAATGCTCATCATCACTGGCCATCAGAGAAATGCAAATCAAAACCACAATGAGATACCATCTCACACCAGTTAGAATGGCAATCATTAAAAAGTCAGGAAACAACAGGTGCTGGAGAGGATGTGGAGAAATAGGAACACTTTTACACTGTTGGTGGGACTGTAAACTAGTTCAACCATTGTGGAAGTCAGTGTGGCGATTCCTCAGGGATCTGGAACTGGAAATACCATTTGACCCAGCCATCCCATTACTGGGTATATACCCAAAGGACTATAAATCATGCTGCTATAAAGACACATGCACACGTATGTTTATGGCGCCATTATTCACAATAGCAAAGACTTGGAACCAACCCAAATGTCCAACAATGATAGACTGGATTAAGAAAATGTGGCACATATACACCATGGAATACTATGCAGCCATAAAAAATGATGAGTTCATGTCCTTTGTAGGGACATGGATGAAATTGGAAATCATCATTCTCAGTAAACTATCGCAAGAACAAAAAACCAAACACCGCATATTCTCACTCATAGGTGGGAATTGAACAATGAGATCACACGGACACAGGAAGGGGAATATCACACTCTGGGGACGGTTGTGGGGTGGCGGGAGGGGGGAGGGATAGCATTGGGAGATATACCTAATGCTAGATGACGAGTTAGTGGGTGCAGCGCACCAGCATGGCACATGTATACATATGTAACTAACCTGCACAATGTGCGCATGTACCCTAAAACTTAAAGTATAAAAAAAAAAAAAAAGAACAAGGACACCAGCCAACATAATCATGATCATATGCTGATCATACCCATGAAATTTAACATTGAAACAATACTATTATCCAGTATACAGTCTGCAATGAAACTTTAATCGTCCCCTTGTCCTTCATGGCTTTTTCTTTTTAAATCCAGAATCCAAATAAGGCATTGCGTTTGGCTGTGAAGCCTCTCTGGCCTCCTTTAATCCAGAACAGTCCTTACCCTTGTCTTTCATGCACTGGTATATCCTACAGAAGCTCTCACCATCTGGATTCGTCTGTTTTCTTAGATTTGGGTTGAACGTTTTTGGCAAAAATACGGGTTATGGTTCCCATCGAACCTCATCAGGAGGCACATAAACTAAGTGTCCCCCATCATTGGGCAAGTGGGGTCTGCCAGATCTCTTCATGGTAAAAGTGCATTTCCCCCTTTTATAATTAATTGAATTATAATTTCCTCTTTAGAATCCATGGAGTGACACTTTGAGACTAAGAACCGTCTGGGTCTCAACCATCTATTCCTGAATGTCTTTGGTATCCAGTGATGATTTCTGCCTGAATCAAGTATTGGTTGAGTGACTTTCCAGCTCTATCCTCCCTTCTACACTTACTACCTGGTGTTCTTCAGCAAAGACCTCCCCCTCCCCAGGGCTGGCAGCATGATTTGTGGAGTCCAGTGCAAAACGAAAACGCAGCGCCTCTCTTTCAAAAAGCAATTTCAAGATGGCAACAGCTGAGCACTAAACTAGGCACAGGGCCCATGTGGCTATGGTGGCTGCACATCCTTGAAGCCAGCCCTGCCACAGCCCATACGTGTGTGCATCTCATCAAACGTCACTGCTCCCAAGTGTCCCCACTTAGGCCAATGAGAGCTGCATCAGGCAGGCTCCTTTTTGATGTGTTCTTATCCATTTTCAAGGACTTTGTCCTTCCTGGAACAGTAAGATGATCACAGGCTCACTTTGTTCCTTCCTTGACCCAAATCCAGAGTCAGCCATTTCTCCGAGAAACCCTAGCTCCATTCAGTGAGGGGAATGGTTGGTTAGAGCCAACAGCTTCAGAGTTAGAGACCAAGCTCTTGTGCTGGGCATGCTCCCTGCCACTTGGGCGTCATTGCTCCTGGTCCTCTTGGATCTGTTAAGATCAGGTTTTCTTTAACATCATGAGTTGATACTGATTCCTCCCATTCAAATCCACGTGACAGGGCTTTTCCTCACCTGCCCATCTTCCATAATCGCATCTCCCTCTGCCACAGTGAGGACCCTGGTTCCCAGCCCCTCCTAGGGTTTCTCACTCTGTTTCCCACAACACTCACCAATAGCCTCCGCTCCCGACAACAAACCCACAACACAGAGTTCAAGATGTTTTAACTTTTTGTTCCTAAGAGTATATTCCAGGGATATATTCCACATATACTTGATTTTTGTGCAGCTTACTGATTTGATGTACATTTAGGTTCATAAATCTGTGCTTCACAGAAAGGTTTGCCATTTTCCTTTTTTCTACATTTTCTTTTTTGACGACGTATAACATTTTGTATCATTCAAGTCACACCTATAAAAAGGAAATGTTCAAAGATCTCCCCATCCTGCCCTTCCCCCCTTTTCTCAGTCATCCTTCATAGGTAGCATTTTTTACCCCCACAGGTAACCTTTTTTTACCCCCATAGGTAACCATTTGTATTAGCTTTTATCTTTCATGATTCTATTTGAAAAAAATAAGATTATTCATGGATCTTAAACAAAAGGTAGCATACTACATGCCATCTTTTGCACTTTGCTTGACAAGCACATTTGGTAGCCTCATCTGCATGTACTGTGTCTATACTTTCTGGGATCAGTGGGATGAGAGAATGTGTTAATAAAAATGTACCAGCAGAATCATTTATTAACAACAAAAAACGTCTCTTCTAGCATCAGTTTTTAGGACCTCTCGATAAAATGAGGGGGCTGGGGCCAGGCATGGTGGCTCACGCCTGTAATCCCAGCACTTTGGGAGGCTGAAGCGGGCAGATCACCTGAGGTCGGAAGTTCAAAACCAGCCTGACCAACACAGAGAAACCCTGTCTCTACTACAAATACGAAAAGCCAGGCATGGTGGCACATGCCTGTAGTCCCAGCTACTTGGGAGGTTGGGGCAGGAGAATCGCTTGAACCTGGGGGACGGAGGTTGCAGTGAGCCGAGATCATGCCATTGCACTCCAGCCTGGACGACAGAGCAAGACTCCATCTCAAAAAGAAAGAAAGAAAAAAAAAATGAGCGGGCTGAACTAGTTGCTCTCCGAGGTCCCTTGCCATTCTAGCAGCCTAAATTATCCTCCCAGGAAGGGCACAGTGTAATACAGCAATAACCTTCATGTCTCAGGAACTAAACTCTATTTACTTCTGAACACCAGCAAAATTATTTTTGTAGTTGCAAAAGTTTTCAAGGACATGTTGAAGACCTGGAGCCTTTGGATAGGGAGGCTGCGAGAAGGAAAAGAGAAATAATTAACAGACCAAATGGGGTTCCGCATTCCTTTAAGCAAACTCAGTACAAGAAAATGGAGACTTATAGAAAAGCAAAATTAGGAGCTAAATGTTTATTTTGATCAAGGAATCTTTTGTTAGGAAAACCTTCACTTATAGGATCCTTTTAAATAGTATGTTTCTCTAGAGCATTGAAAATGATTCAATCTTCAAAAACCTGAGTCACCTTTTTTCCAGAAACACCCTTGTGTTTATTATACATCTATCTGTAGTATCTGAATGTAGATCTTTTAAAAAGTAAAAAGAATTGACCTGGCGTGGTGGCTCACGCCTGTAATCCCAGCACTTTGGGAGGCCGAGGCTGGTGGATCACCTGAGGTCAGGAGTTCAAAATTAGCCTGACCAACATGGTGAAACTCCATCTCTACTAAAAATACAAAAATTAGCCGGGCGTGTATTTTTAGTAGGGATGGGGTTTCACCATGTTGGGAAGGCTGGTCTCGAACTCCTGACCTCAGGTGATCTGCCCATCTCAGCCTCCCAAAGTGCTGGGATTACAGGTGTGAGCCATTGCACCCAGCCGAAGTCTTTTTCTTTCTTTTCTTTTTTTTTTTTTTTTTTTTTTTGGAGACGGAGTCTGGCTCTGTCGCCCAGGCTGGAGTGCAGTGTTGCAATCTCCACCTCCCTGGTTCACGCCATTCTCCTGCCTCAGCCTCCTTAGTAGCTGGGACTACAGGCGCCCGCCACCATGCCTGGCTAATTTTTTGTATTTTTAGTAGAGACAGGGTTTCACCACGTTAGCCAGGATGGTCTCGATCTCCTGACCTCGTGATCCGCCTGCCTCTGCCTCCCAAAGTGCTGGGATTACAGGCATGAGCCACTGTGCCCGGCCGAAGTCTTTTTCTTAATGCACTATGAATACACAGTAAATACACACTATAAAGTACTATTTTTAAAACAGGATTTATTTGTTACATTATAAACTCAGCAGCACACAAAACCAAGTAGTGAATACATCTTTTTCCCCCCTTTTAAATGAGAGGCAACTTTTCATCTCCCAGTGCTCTTGGGGCCACAGAAAAGGGGGCCAGGTAGATGGAAGGACTCAGCACTCTGGGGTGGGGGGTGCTTCGGGGATCTAAGTGGAAGAGGTGATAGGGCCGGCGGTCAGCTCAGGGACTCCCCCAGTTGGGGTCCAGGGTCTGCTGGTGTATCTGTACCACTGCTGGGACTTTGGTAGTTCAGTGTTGTGCACATACAAAATGTATGCCTCTGTGAGGCACACGATGTAAGTGCTGAAGTTCTGTGCAAATTTATTAGCACGAACTGAAGGTACTGTCATTGTTTAACTCATCCGACCTTTTAAATGGATAACCAACCTTGAGGCTTAATTGGATTTAAAAAAAAAAAATCAATTTCTAGCCATTGCATAGTGTTAAAATGAAGTGCTGCATTCTCAGGCAATTGTAAAATCAGTTTTGCTCAGGACTATTTTTTATTATTTACCACTTTAAAATGACATTATCCATCTTGATAAGCATTTTATGTACACACATACCTTTCATAAACAACCACAAACGTACACGTACGTACACTGACTCACGTCACAAAAGAATCATTATTTTCTGTTGAGCAGCAGGCTGATTCATCAGCAGCAATCTCTTCACACCAATTACACAAAAAACTGAGCTGGGGATAATGACATACCACTGCTTGCAAATCTCTCAGCCTCAGCCAGTCTCATCTTTGTAATAAGAAAAAAATCCTTGAGGAAGCTTTTTACCAAATCGCATCTTGACCATTAAATCTTTCTTGAAGAAGGTCATTTAATTTTATGGAAAGAAATGAAAAATTAAAATGGCATAAGCAGAAATAGTCCTGATCTGGAAATCAGAAAACTGACGATTCTAGTTCTAGTCCTGTGGCCTTGGCAAGAGGGAAACTTGGGTCTCAGTTTCCCCCTCTGGAAAAGGGGGATGTTGGGATGGGGGGCGTTGTTCTCATTCCCCCACCGTTGATGAAAATGGAGGTCTATTATGGTGTTGTGCGTCAGAACACCAAGTTAAAACACGGACACACACACACACACACACACACAGAGACACACAAAACATTTGATCCTTCAGCACTTCCTCTGAGAAAAAGAGACCAAATGATGCATACGAGGGTCTTCTGCCTCCATTACAACATGTAATCATTTGGATGATTAGCTAAAAGCAATTATAGAATTATAGTTGACAAATTGAAAACGCTAAGCCCAGTGGTCTCTTGCAACTGAGCCTCATTTAAATGTGCATTGTGTTGAATGGAGCCTCATTTAAATGGTCCATCTTAGCCAGGTTACGGAACTGAAGTGGAGAACCACACAGTTACCCCGAGCATTCAGGACAATCCACAGAGCTAATTTGGACAATTGGACAAATGATTATTTTCTTTTGCCTCAACTGACCAGATAATTGTACACAAGTCTCTGCCATTTGACTCCATGGAATGTCTCTTTGTGTAGTAAGAAAGCCTGGCCATAGACTGGTACCATGACGTCTGCCCGAGGGTGGCATGGAGTTGGGGACAAGACACACGCAGCTGACACCCACCATCTAACTCCGAGTCCTAAATCAGAAGCACTTTCATACGTGCTAAAAGTCTCTGCTTGCACCCAGGGTTCTCATTAGTTCCTTCTAATACCCATCACTTGGGAGGAGGTTGTTTTCAAAACAGAATTAAAACCATCAGGCAGCAAGGTTAGAAGTGGCATCTGGGTGGTCAAGAAAATTAGTGTTTTTTTTTTTTTTGAGACGGAGTCTTGCTCTGTTGCCCAGGCTGGAGTGCAGTGGTGCAATCTTGGCTCACTGCAAGCTCCGCCTCCAGGGTTCACGCCATTCTCCTGCCTCAGCCTCCCGAGCAGCTGGGACTACAGGTGCCTGCCATAACGGCCTGCTAATTTTTTGTATTTTTAGTAGAGATGGGATTTCACCGCATTAGCCAGGATGGCTTGATCTCCTGACCTCGTGATCTGCCTGCCTCGGCCTCCCAAAGTGCTGGGATTACAGGTGTGAGCCACCACGCCCGGCTTTTTTTTTTTTTTAGACGGAGTCTCGCTCTGTTGCCCAGGCTAGAGTGCAGTGGCACAATCTCGGCTTACTGCAACCTCTGCCTCCTGGGTTCAAGCAATTCTCCTGCCTCAGCCTCCCTGGTAGCTGGGTTTACAGGCGTGTGCCACCACACCCAGCTAATTTTTATATTTTAGTAGAGACGGGGTTTCACTATGTTGGCCAGGCTGGTCTCAAACTCCTGACCTCAAGCGATCCACCTGCCTTGGCCTCCCAAAGTGCTGGGATTATAGGCATGAGCCACTGCACCCGGCCAAGAAAATTAGTTTTTAAGAGCTAATATACGCCAAGATATACAATTCTAGGCATGCATTTATGTGCATGCACAGTGCTAGGTTCTGAAATGTAGTTCATGTTGGATGAACCAGGCCTGCCTACCTAAATCTTAGAAGGAATGGAAACTTACCATAACTAATCGATGAATTAGAACCACAGAGAAGCAGGAAGTCTTTGTGATGAGCTGTCTTCTCTACACCCAACTAGGGACATCCCTTCTGTGAAAAGATCTCTCCACATGGTCCCACATGGCTTGACTAGAGTAAGGGATGCTGATCACAATTAAGGCCCCATGTAGAATGACATGCTATCCTATTAGATTTAGATAGAAATGGTGCTAGGCTAGGTAAATTTTGTTGTGGCTACGTAACTATGGCAGACGGACCAGGAAGGATTCTAGATTGCTCAAACGTTGGATCAGGATCAGACTTCTTATAGGATGGTTGCTAAATTTCACAGAGGAAATCCATATCCAGCCTGTTTACCTGCTGTCAAAGTGAGCATTCAAAGGGACACCCCAGTGGCTCCCCACTTCCAGGCCTCTTGGCAAGTCATGCCTCCAAGTCATTGGTGGCATCCTGCAGCTCTCCACTGACAGCAATGCTTCTGCAGACTGCGTCTGCATACTCTTGTAGTGCTGGTTCAAGACTGGGCCACCAAAGACTCAGCTGAGAACATAACCCAAGAGGTCACCAAAGAGGTGTTGCCGCCTTTATGTGGTCCCCTTCGGGATGGAGGATTTCTTCAATGTTATTAAATAGCATTGCCGGTCAGAATATTCTTGAACCCTATGGCAAACGTCTCTCCCTCGAGAGTGGATTTGATTCTTGGACAGAGCCAGTGGCCAACATGCGAGTTGGGGAAATGTAATTTCTTAACAAAAAACACGGTGAGAGTGCAAGAGGAGGAGGTTGTTTCTTTTGTGTGGTTTGTTGACAGGCTCTGAAGGGTTCTGCTGTTGAGTCGCCGCAACACCTCAGGACCAAACGCCAAGGGTGCCAAAGAGACCTGGCATGACAGCTGCTATTTTTTGTTTGTATAGGTTCTGGTGATGAAACCACATACCCCTACCATCACTCAGGTCCACATCTCCCACCAGCAAAACAAATGCATCAAAGTCAAGTTTCAGGACAAAGGTCCTCCTCGGAGGACCCCAGGACAGGCACAATCAAGGGGAAACATAGTCTTGGCTTTGAGTTAAACTGGCAGACACTTGTCTCTCAAGTTTTTGGTGTAACAGAGTAGGAAACAAAATCATTTAGAAAGTCAAGTCTCTTACAGCCTGTGTGTAAGAATTGCTTCTCAACAAGGCACATCACAGTTTTATTTGGAGATTTCCAAATGTTTCTTGGTATGTATATAAAGCATATATTTTCATAAGAAAAATACTTATCTGCCTTTTAGGCAGTTGTTCTTTTTGTATATCAGATAGTAAATAGATTGTCCCTTTGAAAGCATCCATTAGATAGATCTACTTTCGGACACTGAGGCAAAGGCCTCAGGCACAAAACAGAGTCAGGGGCCCAGAGGATCACAAAACTGGCCAAGCCCTCCCCTAACACAAATGCACTGGAAGAAAACATGAACCCATTGTTAAAATTAATACTAGGATTGCAGGATGTTCTTTAATCTGCGTGATTGCTTTATTGTACAAAAAGTTTCCAGTAACAGTAAATTGGTTTTAAAAAAGGACAAAAAAGTCATTTTGGATAGAAGTGCTTCACTAATTGCTTTATTTAAGCATACAAGAAAAAAAGTTTTATCTGACCAATTACGTTGGAAGGGTTTTATTACCTTTAAGAAGCCATTAGCTAGGATAAAACACTGAAAGCACTTGTGTCAAAACAAATAAATAATGTAAATAACGCTCTCTCAATTAGCAGAGAAAACAGTGAATCCGTTAAATCAGAGACACACATCACTTCACAAGCATGGCCCAGCCAGCACCACCACCCCCAAAACGAACAAAACAAGAGACAGCAGTTTTCAGTTACAATCTTGGGAAAGATCAGGAGCTTTGGAAAACGCGTGGTAAACATGTCTGTTTCTCCTTCTACCTCCACTCAACCTGAGCTGCACCCGGACACTTTAAAGGAGGCATGTGTCCAGAGGCTGCATCCAGGGATGCCCAGAGGGAGCCTGCCCTGCTAGGCCTCCTCTCAGAGGGCGCATCCCAGGCAGAGGAGACTGGCCTGGGTGATCGTTACCTCCACGGCCCAGTAGAGTGTGGAAAAACATGAGGTGCCCACAGACAATGGCTGCCAGCGAGTAAAGGGAAAGAAACCCTGAGGTACCATGATTCTTTTCTCTTACTTCCTCAAATGCTACTGATCTCTCCCCAAGTACAGGCTCAACAGAAAAATACAGTGGTTTGAGGACCCCAAGAAGTCAGCACACAGGCCAGGGGCCAGCTCCAGGCTGGGTCTGTCTCTCCCACCTTGGGAAACCCAGCGCTAAAACAATTTTTTTTTTTTTTTTTTGAGACGGAGCCTCGCTCTGTCACCCAGGCTGGAGTGCAGTGGTGTGATCTCGGCTCACTGCAACCTCTGCCTCCCGGGTTCAAGCTATTCTCCTGCCTCAGCCTCTTGAGTAGCTGGGATTACAGGCGTGTCCCACCCGGCTAATTTTTGTATTTTTTGTAGAGACGGGGTTTCACCATGTTGGCTAGGCTGGTCTCGAACTCCTGACCTCGTGACCGCCTTGGCCTCTCAAAGTCTGGGATTACAGGCGTGAGCCACCGAGCCCAGCCCCTCCTTAAAACAGTTTCTAATCAGATCCGTTATTTTACCCAAATGGGTTGAGGGAACAAAAACCAACCCTCATCACCCTATTTGGTGAAAATAAATATAAAAAAAGATGATCCTCTCTTAAAGGGTCACTTTCCTTCAGGGGTTTGTAAGGCTCAGCACTTTAAAAAGCTTGAACAGAAGTCCGGTATTGCCACTGTGGACTGTTTTTGAGGCAAGTTCCCTAATGTGGACAGCCCCACACCTAAGAGCAGCAGATCTAACTTGGAACGTCTCAACCATGGGTTAAAATCAGATGGGATGAAAGAACACCTGCAGTGACTCTCAACAGCTACGGAAGTCTCACATTGCAGGGCTGACTGATGAGGTGCTGGCTTCTTATTCTCCGGCCCTCTTTCCTAAGCAATGTTTGTCAGGGAATACCAGGTCCGCTTCCTGAAATGCCAGGGCCCCTCTAGGACCTTATCATTCCACAGCCACATCAGTAATAGGAAAACCACCAATGGCTACCTGGAGGTGGCACCAACTTGGAAAGGGAAGGCTGGGCAGGGGTTTGGACACTAAGCCCATGAGCTGTTTGGACAACTTCAATCTCTGGAATTGAGTTTAAATTTCTGTAAACAACTTTAAAGTCAACTCTAGAGAGACATTTTGTGTGACTGGTCCAAATAAAACAGCACATTTAATGAGGTCATATTCTTCTTAAACTTTTTAAGAGAAGCAAAAACAATGGAAAAGCCATTAAAATTTACACAAAGACCATTAAAACTCTACTAGTGTCAATTAAAACAAAGCCAATAAAACATGAACAACTTCAAAGTTACCATCACTTTCCACACTGTTCTACAGTTATAGGAATATATTCAAGCACCATATTGATAATAGGTAGGTAAACGATGAAGTCCTACTTTGGCGGTCTGACCCACGCTCACACAAACGAGGAGCTTCCTAGTCAAGATGCCCCCAGTCCTTGGCAATGTGCCTGCTTCCTGGGCATTGCTCAGTGGCAATGGAAGAGCCAATAAATCAAATCGCTGGTGGAATATTTTACTTTGAAATGGAGTGATGTTTGGTTAATAATTTGAGATCCACTAATCCTAAATGGGGTGACCCATTTAAAATGGCCTCTGTGTAAATTCACAGTTCATTAAATAGAGTCTGGTTTGAACAGGTCATTATGTAGTTAGTATATAAGTAATGGATTGAGCAAGGATGGCTGGGGATACCCATGGGGACACACTGGCTGAGTCTGGTGGCTTTCATAACACTGTCAAGCTTTCTTTTAATGTGAGATTCATTTAAATCACCAACTTAAATTTAGGTGGTTTTGCTTAGTAACCTCTTTTGGTTTACAGTAGAAAATGCAGTGCAAAAATTTTAAATGAGGAATATTCCATTTACAATTAATTTAAAACTTATGAAGCTGTTTTAACTGGCCCATCTAAATGTGTTAATTAACATCAATGATGGTTTCTTATTTTTCACACTTTGTTACTCTGATCATTAACAGTGATGGAAAAGCTAAATTAAGTTAATGGGGAACGGATTATAAATTCTTAAAGGACTTCTTAGTTTGTTTTCAACTGGAAAATATATAGAGAAAGATGAAGGGGCATTTTTGCCTCTACTCATCAATTTTTGGTACCAAATTTCTTAAAAACCAGATGGTTTAAAGAAAATTTTTCCAAAAATTATGTTAACATTCTGCTCAGACATGGCTGCTAAAAAAATAGCATATACACATATAATACTGAACAGCTTCTGCAGTGCCTGTAAACTCTCAGCTCATTTTCTCTTTCTAAAAAAAATATATATTATAACTGATCCCAGAACTCAATCTCTATTGTGCAGCAGTATCAAAGGTCCTTAAATTCTCAACAATGAAGGAAAAACAAAAACCCATTCCCCGGACCGCTTGAGCAGGACTAGGGAAGGAGGAGTCCGTGGATGCAAAGGTTCGCTGCCCCGACGCCCTCAGATTCCTCGAGGCTGCACCTCTGCGGGCAGCTGGCGGGGCGCAGGCCAAGCCCCTCACACCCGGGAGATCCACACGCGCGGCACACACGAAAACCCAATGCCACTTATCGAGACTTCACGCCAACGAGGACAACAATGAGCACAATGATGATGACAAATAATATTAAAATCACAAGCATCTTCCGATTCTTCTTTTGATACTGTTCTGCCTACAAAAAGAGGAGGGAAAAAAGGCCGTCATTTTCCCCAAAATCCCAAATCAAGTCCCACTCGTTTCCAGAATGAGGCTTCCAGATCTCTCTGCACAGTGACTGAGGTCTCTGCTACAGGCTACATGATTGTAATCCCTCCAATCAATCCCACGGAATTCAATCACCAGGAGTGGAAGAGCCCCATGATCCTGGTGCTGCTTATTTACCCTGGACGTGGAAATGGATTTGTTGGAAACCTACTACTAAGACAAAGCCTGACAGGGAAGTGAAAGCTCATGCTTCCGGGTGCAGCTGGGCCTGCTTCTCCCGGCTTTTCCTCCTGCAGGCCGTGGCAAGTGCCCCTGCAGCACGGGTCGCCTGTTCCCGGTCCGTGTTCCTGGAGCGAATGCACAGTTCCTTCACCGCGGAAGGAAACAACGGGCTGGAGGACCGTACCTGGCAGGTAGGCAACAGACACCCGGAAGAGGCCCCATTTCGACCTCCCCTAAATTTGGAAACAAAAACTCATCCTTTGAAATAAAAACAGACACGTGTGCCCCATGGATGTCATATGCAGAAAGATCCCTCTGAGGCGCGTCCTCCCAGTGCCGCTAACGATACAGCAAAGGAGCCCTCCAAGCTCAATCTGGGGACGAGGCTGCACCCTGCACATCTCTTCACCTTAACACCGCATCCTGGAAGCTCGGCAGGAGCGGGAACTCCATCATGCCTGCTAGAGAAATGCCAAAGGGCCCCACCTGGCTGGCGAAAGACGCAGAGCACTGAGAAAGGAGAGCCAGAGGACAGCAGAGTTCAGAGGGCGCCGGGAGGCACGTCCAGGGAGAGCATGCGCTGCCTCTTCCAGACCTTGCTATGGCACAGGAGGGAGGAGGAGACAGCGGGAAGGCAGCCCTGGCGAGAATGGCAATCTCTCCTGCTCCATCCCCCGCGGTGGGCTTGTTTCCTAAGTGAGCCTGCCCGCCCACCTGGAGGAGCCCCTCATCCACCAGGAGGAAACATCAGGCACGGGGACAGCACCGAGAGTCCGGTCATGGGGAGCAGCTCCCGACGCTCAATCACCCTTAGACTAGCCGACTGCCGAGCACGCGCGTGCTGCCTACAGCCTTGTGGCTGGAGGGAAGATGGAGCACGCTGACTTTTCTAATAAGTAACCCAGAACACCAGGGAAGCCAATACTAAATAATATACTGTAAAACCTCTCAAAATGATTTATAAAGTAGAACCTAAAACAAAATTTTTAGTTCCCACTAGATTTGCTCACTCCCGCAGAGAAAGCTTTTCCTTTTATCTGTGTTATATTACAAAACATATTTCACTAGTTTTTATTTAAGAAACTTCAAAACCAATGCATAATTCAGCAGCACATCAAAACCTGGGTATTACAGAGTGAGAAACTTAAGTTAGTTTTCACTTTTAATAGACAGGGCTTGGCAACCAAATTAATCTAAATGCTTAAAAAAACCCTGCATAGACAAGGTCAGACTTCTCTTCCCACCACAGGCTGGAGTCTCATATCCACCTACACATGGCAACAAGCCCCCTGAAAAGACAGCTCAGGGCTTCTGGTTAGACTAGTGCAAGGGCTGACTTTTTGTAAACCCAATACTGCTATTAAATGGGGCGATCTCTGGTATAGGAAGCGACTGATTTCAGAAAAATGGTAGAGTAGTCCAACAGTGAATTGGCAAAACACTCATTATATGGCTAGAAACTCCACTGGGTCTCAAAGATACAAGGAAATGGATATTATTTAATTTGTGAAGTATTGTTATATTCCTTTTAAAGAAAATACGTAACCAATTATATATGAGAGTCTCAGCCGTTTATGCATGTTTCTTATAACCGATAAGATTCCTAAGATGCTTTCCATCTATTTTTTTAAAAGAGAATATCATAAAAACATCCCTGAAACAGCTACCTTATTAGCACAGAATAAAAGAATTACTACTCTCACTTCAACAAACTTCTCTTTTCTCAAGGTAATACAGATATGCTGTGGTAATTAAAGAGAAGATTAGATTTTTATCTTCTGCAGAATGATTCTCCATCAGCAATTCATCAGGAATGTATCACAAGAGAGGCCCAAGTCAACGGCAACAAGCAGACAGATTTTCAACACATATTTTAGCAAATGCCCAATTGATTTCCTAAAACAAGAAGCATTAGAAAAGAATGAAATATTTTCTAAAAGAAAGAACTCCAATCTCTTTAGAATTTACTGTCACAAAAAGGAGTTCTTAGCAATTTTGGATTTAAGTGTGAGATACACCTGGAATCATTAACTGCAATAAAACGGCAACAGCCCCCACAATTGGCTTTAAATGAAATGATGAATCCCTTTTTACACTACTGTATTGAGAGTGGACAACACAAGAATGCTGAAGATCGTTATGGTGGAAAAGAACCCTCTTACCAATTCTTGATTATTTGAAAATAGTTCCTAAGATTCCCAAGTCTTGAAAGACATATTACCTTGTGAAGCTGTTTCAAACCATCTTCAGTTTTGATACAGGACTGTTCAACGTTATAGTCAATTCTGTCAAGGACTGTACCCTAGGTAATAAATGACAGTTACAGACAATCAACAATAGCAACTGGGAAAACTGAACGTCAAAAATGAGATATGCAAATTACAGACATCATCATCCATAAGATGATGTTTTCCTTCCCTGTGTGCTGCAGGTACACACGGAGGGCTCTGGAGTTCACCCTCAAGCAGTGTCAGGAGCTCGATGGCAGAATGCTGGTTAGTGCCATCACATCTAGCTCACGAGAAAGAAGTACTGACAGACTGAGGTTTCCTTATTGGTTTCAGCTGCCATAGAAATGCCATATTCGGACTTCCTGGGGCCCTAAGAAATCTATGGTCCAGTGGACAGAGGCTCTGAGCAGCACAGAAGCTCTGCGCCCATTTGCTGCCTACGTACTTGGATTCAAGTAAGCAGAGAACACCAGGTAAGCTCGCCCCTGTCATAAGTAGACCTGCAAATTGACTATCACGTCTATAAACGTGGATCCACATCTCTATGGGTCAGAGCAGGAAATGGTAAACTCCAGTCTACCACCTAAAATTAAAAATTTGGACTCAAGGGGAAGATGTTTAATTGTTTAATCTCTTAAACAATTAAATTGGAAGACGGGGACACTGGGCTATGAGGAAGAACAGAGCTTTTATTGGAAACATGCTGGATTAGAAGAGATAGCAGTTCACTGGGAACCACTGGAGTAATTAATGTAACTGGATCTTCCAGAGCCTGAACACTCCATTCTGCAGTTGGTTTCAGGGGGATCAGGACCCAAATCCCTGCTGGCAAGATAATAAAATGCCCTAATCAGATTTTAACGGTGAACAACAATTTAATTCTACTTGAACGCTAGTGGTTCCAATTGCCATTACACAATAACCTGCCAAAATTAGAAGGGAAATCTTCTATAGCGTCAGAATCATTGCTGAGCTCGGTCAGAGTCAACTAGGTCTCTAGAGTAGGGTGCTCACATGAGTACCCTCGAGGCATGGGAAGAGAATATTAGAACTTCATTTATCAAAAAAAGATTTATTAATATTCTTATAGGGAATGACAGTAGCCTATGTATATAATTTGTAAATACACACATATACAGGCTGAGTATCCCTTATCTGAAAAGCTTGAGACTAGAAGTGTTTTGGATTTGGGATTTTTTTTTTAGATTTTGGAATATTTGCATACACATAATGAGATATTCTGGATGGGACCCAAGTCTAAACACAAAATTCATTAATGTTTCTTATACCTTTATGTTTCATATACCATTAATGTTTCATATACATAGCTTGAAAGTAATTTTATACAATATATATATATATATTTTTTGAGACAGAGTTTCACTCTTGTTGCCCAGGCTGGAGTGCAATGGTGCAATCTCGGCTCACTGCAACCTCTACCTCCCAGGTTCAAGCGATCCTCCTGCCTCAACCTCCCGAGTAGCTGTTACAGGCACCTGCCACCATGCCCAGCTAATTTTTTTGTATTTTTAGCAGAGACGGGGTTTCACCATGTTGACCGCGCTGGTCTCGAACTGCTGACCTCAGGTGATCCATGTGCCTCAGCCCCCCAAAGTGCTGGGATTACAGATGTGAGCCACCGTGCCCGGCCACAATATTTTTACTAGTTTTGTGCATAAAACAAAGTTTTGACTGCAACCTGTCACATGAGGTCTTGTGTAGGGATTTTCCACCTGTGGCATCATGTTAACACTCAAAAAGTTTTGAATTCTGGAGCATTTTGAACTTCATATTTTCTGATTAGGATTGCTATGTATATATATCCTTTGAGTGTCATATTGGCACTCAAAAAAAAGTTTCAAATTTTGGAGCATTTTGGATTTCAGATTAGGAATGTTCAACCTGTATTATCATATATCATATTATTATTGCATTCCTCTCATTTAATCCCTAACAAGCATCCTATGAGGATGGTACTATGATTATTAGTCCCATTTTACAGATGAGAACACTAGAGTCAGAGGGATTAAATGAGAATCATGTAACTGTTAAACTGCTAAGAGCCAGGGTTCCAACATTCCAACCCCCCAGGGCTTTTCTCAAAGCACCACACTCCTCTGATAATTAGCACCCAGGAGACTTCAGTAAAAAATGTAAACACTGAGGTTTCAACACTAGTCCTATTATTTTAAAATTAATCAAATTTAATATTTGATTAATATTAATATACACACACACACACACACACACACACACACACACACCCACACACACATAAAGGACAGGTGCACACACATGTTGGGAAAATTGGCTCCAATTTTTTTCCCTGAAAGGAGTACAGGAAAAAGAAGGTACAGATAGTATGGCAGGAAAACCTATTCACGAGGAAGGCCAGCTCACGTACCTGTTCTACAATCATCGCCCCTAAGTCCCTGAATATTTCATTCAGGTCAGAAATGGACTGTACAATCTGGCGAATCTCTCGTTCCCGCTCTTCCACCATCAGTGTGTTCTGCTCCACCAGAACTAACTGGTCCTCTGTAAAACCCTAGCAAGACAGTGCACAATGTGTTGGATAGATTGTTTTCCCTCTCAGGAAAGCTATGGTATACTTGTTTAGATATAATTTAAAGACAATGAAAATAATTTAAAGAAAATGAATTCTGAAAATATTTCTACAAAGCACAGTAAGCACTCATTTTTCCCTAACAGGAAAGATTCAAATTCCCTAAACCAGCAGGATCTAAAGCTCTGAGGCCATAGCAGGGAAGACAGAAGCCCACGTCTGCCAACTCCACAAGGGCAGATAAACAAAACCCCCGGGATAGCCCTCTGTTTCTCTGGGCTCTTCCTAAGAAGGCAGGGTGTTGACCACTTTCCCAAAGGCTCTGGAAAGCAGATTACAAGGTCTCCCTGTGGCCTTTGGAAAGGAAGAAACAGTACGGCTGTTCTTCCACCTGCTGCAAAACAACCTGATGAATATACAAGTCAACTGTATCAATCCACTGACACTGCACAGAAGATCGAGGTCTAGGAGGTGAAAGATGCAGAATGGGGTGCACAGACACAGCAATCAGCTTTGCAGCCCGTTCACGTACCCGATGGTAAAGAGTGTTATCGTCTCCATCATCCATTAGTGGTACTGATGTGTCGAAAAAATGCTGGGATCTTTCCTCTCGATTCTTCATGCCTATCACAGATAGGAATTCATTTTACTTGAATATGTAAACCATCCTGAGTATTGTTCTACCATTAAAAGGGGGAATTCTAGAGTAAACTCCAACAGTCAAAATTGAGATATTCTTAGCCGCTTTAAAGAAGCCTATCTCCAATGGGGGTGGAGGGAGAGTAAAGGATTACAAACATACAACAATATGCAGGCATTTGGGATTACTCAAGACAAAAGTCACAGTGTAAATGTGCACAATTCACTTGATGCCAAGATAAAAATGACACAACCATCTGAGAATCTCTAAGTGAAGCAGAAATATTTAATCTAACTGCTGTTACAAAACATTTTAAAAAATCAGTATTTCTCTCTAGAAGCATCTCTAGTATGAATTCCATATGGCCCTAATCAAATTTTGGAAATAATAAAATTAAAATACAAATATGCCAGTTGTCAGAGGGAGGGAGAACTAGGTTTTTTGGAGTATGTGGGGACTTTATTGATTGCAAGGGCAATTTTAAAAAACCCAGTTTACAGGGTGATTAGAATGAGAAGAGAGCTGAAATCTGGCTTTGCACTATTTGGGAAGAAAAGGTCTGCTGGGTGAAACCTGTGGTGCCAGCAGAGGAAGTGTTTCAAGGACCCTGGGGAGGTTTTCTCAGGTGCTCTCAAACACTTTGGTTGTTATGCAAATATGTGGCTTTCAGTAATAACAACTGCTTTTTACCTATTGAAGAGCAGCTCTCCCAAACCCCAACATCCAGAAAACAACAGGTTTTTAAAATGTGCTTGGTTGATTTTCAAATTCTTGCAGCTTGACACAAAACAAATTTTGTTTGCTGAGATGCTGAACTATCTTGGTGCCCTCCCCCAGCCTTGGTCGGTACCCCACGCTGTGCCTTCATTCCAAGCCAGGGTTTCACATGGGGAGGAGGCTTCCCTTTACTGTACAAGGTATGAGCATGTTCAAAAGCTAACAATGAAAGGTACTGGACTAAATGAAAAAATAGTGGCAAAAAAGAAAACATAAAGTGCTTTTCTTACTCAAAATCCCTTCACTAGGCCCGGGCAGCACTCACGTTTGAGGTAGCCTGACTGTGCGTGCCGGAAGCTGGTGGAGAGTTCCTGCAGGGCCTGCGCCAGCGAGGCCACCACGTTCCCAAGCAGCCGCCCCTCCTGCTCGGAGCAGGCCCGGGCCCGGCTCGGCAGGGCCTGCACGGCACGCTGGCACCTGTGGAAGAGCTAAGAGAACAAGCCCGAGGCTCAGGGCAAGCCTGGGAGAGAAGCCCCTCTGCTAACACTGCCACATCACAAGCCAGAGTGAGAAGTGAGAGGCTCTGTTCACTCAGTCTGGTTTAGAGAAAGGTGAACAGATAAAAGGAATCTGTGGCTTCATTTATATACACAGAAAGATTTCACTAGATTTCAGCTCCTGCTATGTAGGGCCTGCTGTGTGCCCAGCTGCTCACATATCATCACGTTAGACAGGCTGAGTATCCCTCATCCGAAATGCTTGGGATTGGCAATGTTTAGGATTTCAAATTTCGGGAGATTTTGGAATATTTGCAGAATACCTACTAGTTGAGTACCCCAATCTGAAAATTCGAAATCCAAAATGCTCCAATGAGCATTCCTTTGAGTGTCATATTGGCACTCAAAAGAAAGTTTCAAATTTTGGAGCATTTTGGATTTCAGATTAGGAATGTTCAACCTGTATTATCATATATCATATTATTATTGCATTCCTCTCATTTAATCCCTAACAAGCATCCTATGAGGATGGTACTATGATTATTAGTCCCATTTTACAGATGAGAACACTAGAGTCAGAGGGATTAAATGAGAATCGTGTAACTGTTAAACTGCTAAGAGCCAGGGTTCCAACATTCCAACCCCCCAGGGCTTTTCTCAAAGCACCACACTCCTCTGATAATTAGCACCCAGGAGACTTCAGTAAAAAATGTAAACACTGAGGTTTCAACACTAGTCCTATTATTTTAAAATTAATCAAATTTAATATTTATAAAAAATTTTTTCTAGGATACTAAGTTGTTTTTTCAATTATGAGGACTATAATTTAGCATTGAAATTTCTTAACACTAGTATACGATATTAGTTATACATTTTAAAATCAAATGATTGAACTCGATAATGTTTGAAATTTCATATTTACTTAATCCGTCCACAGCAGTTATCTGCCAACAATTGAAAAACAGTCCCCATACCTCCAAGGCCTCACAGGTACCTACGCTGACAGCTGGAGGACTTCAGGGCCTCTTGAGGTCCCTCTGAGAACTTCAGGTTGGGAAATGACTCCAGGAGACTGATTCTGAGTAACACTCTAGTTTCTGAGATTGCCATGAGAAGGCTCGCTGGTTTCCCCAGGACTCACTTGCACTCCTCACCTGAGTGATCTCTTGGGTAGTTATCTCAATGGCATGTTCCTCTTCGCTGCTGTCATCCAGGGTGGGTCTGTTTAAATGCTTGTCATGAAGGCTGGCCAATTCTTTCATCTTCTGCTTAATCCGGCCAACATCATACTGAATCTAAGCAAATGAAGTCACAGAACTCCACTGATGCCAGGCAGGCTATGGTCTGCCTCCATCAGCTACACTCAGCATACAGAATTCGGTCTTCAGCAAACTTGTTGGCTTGCTGATGTGTGAGCAGCTTTTAATTCAAATTACCAGAAAATCACATTCTTCCTTGTTGCATGGGGTTTCAATTTCTTCCTATAATTCAGGTAGTTACTACCAATGTTAAAACTACAGCTAAAATCATTAACACACACATAGACAACTTAACCTAAAGCTAAAGTATTTCTAGAAATATACATTCAAGTGTAGCCAAATTCGTTTATATGACAGATATCTTAAAATACATTGTCATAATTACTTAAAAAAACAAGATGCTATGAAACTAACATGGAACTTACTTCATCCACTCCATCCACCCACTTAGGAGGTGGCCGTTTTGTCACACCAATCGCTGCTTCTGGATCTAAGCTGATGCCTGACACCAGTGCCATACGGTCATCAGCAAGCTACAGGAAAGTAAAGGGACATGAAAAAAATTATTCTAATCCAATTTAGATACAAATACTCTTACTCTCTCTTAAATGTTACTCCCTGAAAAGATACAGAAAGGAGTGAATGTTTACTCTCTCTTAAATGTTGCTCCCTGAAAATATATAGAAAGGAGTGAATGCACTTGCCTGTATTATAAACTTGCTTTTGATAACTGCTAGGATTTGGATTGTTTTCCTATCTTTTCATGCACCAGCTCTTAATTTCCTTGGACATACTTCAGAACGTAAATTTGACTTGATCTGGCTATAGAAATGTAATGAAAAAGTCAACAAAAGATCCTTAAAATAAAGACCTCTTACTACTAGTACTGTGATAGAACGGCATGAACCTCAATGATTCTTGTGATCAGTTGCAAGTGAAAAAAAAAACTAGGCAGTAAATGAAACAACTACAAAATGCTCAATAGTAGCAAGGTTTACTTAAATACACTTAGCTTATTTTGGAAATAGGGCTGATCCAGTTATCTCAGTCACACAATCATTAACCATGTGTTAAGATGTGTGAAACAACTGCCTAAAACCGCTAGCAAATTATCTACCATTTGGCAAAAGCAATCCTTAAGATCTCAATGCAATCTTACACTGTCATTTCTTTTCTTCAGTTAAATGTCCACAGGGAACATTTCCCCTTATTTTGAAATGGTATCGATGGTTCCTGTTTATTTTAACTATATAACACACTGCGGTAGAAAGCTTTTAAGAATGGGAGGGAAATCGGCTGGGCGCGGTGGCTCACGCCTGTAATCCCAGAACTTTGGGAGGCCAAGGCGGGCAGATCATCTGAGGTCAGGAGTTCGAGAGTAGCCTGGCCAAAATGGTGAAAACCGTTCTCTACTAAAAATACAAAAATTAACTGGGCATGGTGGCTTATGCCTGTAATCCCAGCTACTCGGGAGGCTGAGGCAGGAGAATCCCTTGAACCCAAGAGGCGAAGGTCGCAGTGAGCCATGATCGTACCATTGCACTCCAGCCAGGGCAACAAGAGCGAAACTCTGTCTCAAAAAAAAAAAAAAAAAAAAAACACACACACACACAAAAAACAGAGGGAAATCATGGGTTTGGCACGGTTAAGCTGTTTTCTTGCCTGCAGGCAGTGAATGGGTTGAAAAGATTTTGAGGTGCCCTCCAGAGCTCAGAATTTTTAAATGCCAGTTTCAAAAGATCCAAATGATGATCAAAATATAATGGAAAATAATCTATAAAAGCCCTTTATAGATAATACTTTGGAAATTTTCTAAATCACACTGTAGAGTTGGGTGAAAAATTCATATTGCTTTTCTTCCCTCTTCCTTGCATTTAACTAAATTTATTTTTTCATTCATTAAATACTTATTTGCTTTTCTAATAATAAAGGAACAAGACAAAATTTTAAAATCCACAGATGAAGGGGGAAAAATATCATATAAAGAAAAACTTAGAATAAAAGACCACTTCAAGTAATAGGCCCTAAATCCTAAAGAGTTCACAGTAAAATTCTTAAAAGCAAATTGGTATCTTCACCATCAACCTCCCTGCATGCCCTGGAGTGGTTCTGCCACCATCTGCTTCAGGCTTTCTGTGTGCTCTGGGGCACGTGTCCACTCAGGGAACGCATCTTAGGCAATGACCACGCTGGAAGGACTAGGCCCCATTCACTAATCCCAGCACGTCCAGGAGCCGTGATTAAGCCCAACGGTGCTCAAGCGTGGCACGGATGCTGCAGGGCCAGTGTCATTTCTTAAACAAATGGTGTGTCATCCAAACCCGCACTGTCTGGGGCTCCCGGGCCGTGAAGTGGTAATTCTCCACCACCACTACCTTCTGTTTGGTTTCAAGAGTTCATCAATAGGAATTTTACATTCTTGACATTATTTTAATCCTCATAAAAACTAGGTGAGTTAGAAACTATTATTCTAACCTATAAATATGGAAATTGAAACTCAGAAAAGTTAAGTCGCTTGCCCAAGGTCACAGAGCCATTATGTGACAGACTGAAACCTGGGTCGGCTGACTCCAGAAACCCCTTCCACCCTCAAAGGTGCCAATCACTCCACAGGCCCATAAACTATAACTGCAATTTGCTAAGAAAATGAATCAAGACAAGCCATCAGATTAAAACAACAAAACACAGTAGTTTGATTCATTTCCCACCAACTACACCAGGCACTATAGGACAGGCCGCCAGTGAGTGACGTTAGTGTCAGTAAAGATCATCCTCTCTTACTGACCATCCGTGGACAGAGAGGCGCAGACCTCACCCTCTACAGAGCAGGCACAGAGAGGGCCTGTGCCAAGCACTCAGAGGCAGACTTGTTTATTCCTCAACACTCCTGCTCCAAAGTCACCAAGAGGTACACAACTCTGTGGAGGACACACTGACTAAAAAGCAGGGGGACAAACCACAGGCCCAGCTCGCAGCACCTGCCAGCCATACATCAGGTGCTGTCTACAGTATTGCTGGACTGGAACAGAACTTGAACTCCAGCTGTTTATACAAAGTAAAATCTAAAATTGCTAAAGGACCTCTTCATGGGTCCTAGAATTTCCACTACACCAGTTTATTATCGAATCCACTATATTTTATTATTACACATTTCAATCAGTAATTATTTATAGTGATTTTAGAGTTTTTAAGCTCATGATCTTATTTTGTACTGTTTTTACTGTTTACAAATACACATTAAACTAAAGAAGACAGAGAGATGGTATCTATCTAAATTTACCTGCATTGGGATTAGTATCATTTTATCCAAAACAACAAATTATAAACCACATATGAAAAGTCGGTTGAAGTGAATACAACTCTTTGAAGCAGTACTTGATTTTATGCATGTGTTCCCCTCAAATTAGATGTAAATCAAAAGTGGGGAGAACACACTCTTTGTTAAGGGTCCTAAGGAAGCTTGCTAATTAGAGATTCCTACATGAACAGCATGGATGCCAGCCTGCTCAGCTGGTACTAGCTTTCCCACACATTGTATCAGAGTTTTGCCAGTAAGATAGAACAGCTGATTCTTTGGGAATGAAAACTTTAAATAGCGAATAATTTGTCTCTTTTATGATACAGTCTATAGCTATAGTTCATTATAATAAAGAAACACCACCCTATTGAGAAGAAATGTGTCATTTCTTTTAGCAGTATGGATTTGTAATGTGTATCACAGTATGTACTATTAAAAAACAAGACAGTATGTTTTGGGAAGGGAAAACAATTGTTGAAGATAAGCGTCAACTATTTGAAATGGGAACAAATATGGACATAAACAAATTTTATGTGCAACATAAGCACCCTTTTAATTTCAGAAACCTCACTTTCCATTTAAAAACATGTCTTCTTATTGTTGAAGATCCAGCATATGTATCAATTTTCAAGCTGCCATCCTATTTCATACAGATCTTAAAAAATGGCCAGGTTTCTAATTCTCTCTCCTTACCCTTACTGAATTTCAACATGGTGCCCCCTCCAAATATATGATGTTGGTTTGTGCAGCTGGCCATGGTGGCTCACGCCGGTAATCCCAGCACTTTGGGAGGCTGAGGCAGGCGGATTGCCTGAGGTCGGGAGTTCAAGACCAGCCTAGCCAGCACGGTGAAACCCCGTCTCTACTGAAAATACAAAAATTAGCCGGGCATGGTGGCATGCACCTGTAATCCCAGCTACTCGGGAAGCTGAGGCAGGAGAATCACTTGAACCCGGAAGGCAGAAGTTGCAGTGAGCCAAGATCGTGCCAATGTGCTCCAGCCTTTTATTAAGACAGAGCGAGACTCCATCTCAATACATAAATAAATAAATAAATTTGTGCTTCTGAAGTAAAAAAAAAAAAATCCATATTTTTTAAATAAAAATTGTACTTAAGAGAATTAAGAATTCTTGCCTCTTTGATATGTAGTTCCTCTCTCCAAGAACTACTGGGGTCCGCTACCCTAACCTAGAGCCATCCTTCCTGAGAGAAATGCAGAAAAAATCCAACAGATGTTCAAAACAGCACACCCAATGGCTTTCCTGCCAGTCTCACTAAAGGTATCTTTTGCCTTTGATCCACTTCAAATGTTGACATTTGTCCATTTAAAGAGTACCAGCCAGTATGGACAAGTTCTCCATCTATGGAAAGAACATACACATTCTCTCTTATAAATCTTGCTGTTCCAAATCTATGGCCCTCCTACTCTTAAAAACCCTGCCTTTCCCTGAAGGCTGATTTAGTGTAGACTAAGATTACAGAAATAGCAAAGCCTCTGTGGAGATTGGAAAAGTCAGCTACACCTCCTCCCCATCTAAAAAAATCAACTAAGTTTAGCCGTAACGCATTGGTAATGAGAACAATACCGATAATTCTGGACTGTCTATGGCAATGAACACTTGGAAAGCCCAGAAGGGACACTGAAAATCAACAGACTGGCAACTCACACTTCCACGTGAAACTCTGGGAGCCTGTATGATGAAGTCAGACTACTTCGCTAATAGACAATTAGGCTTAAGAAATCCGAGTTGTTGGAGAAGTGAATAAGCATGTGGATAAAAGAAAAAAGTGATGTCAGCACTACATTTTTCTAAACCCGTAATAATTTTAAAATAATGCTTACCTTTTCTAATTATGAAATTAGTAAATGGTCAAAATAAATACTTTTAAAATGGCATAGGATGACGCAGTGGCTCACGCCTGTAATCCTAGCACTTGGGAGGCCAAGGCAGGCGGATCACTTGAGCTCAGGAGTTCGAGACCAGCCTGAGCAACATGTCAAAACTCCGTCTCTACTAAAAAATACAAAAATAAATAAATAAATAAAATAGCCACGCATGGTGGCACGCACCTGTAGTCCCAGCTACTCAGGAGGCTGAGGCAGGAGAATCGCTTGAACTGGGGAGGCAGAGGTTGCAGTGAGCCGAGATCGCGCCACTGCACTCTAGCCTGGGCAACAGAGTGAGACTCTGTCTCAAAAAAATAAAAATAAATGATACAAAAAATATAGAGATAAAAACACTTGAGAATCACATCACCCTGATACTGTTGTTAAGTTTCACTGATTTTCCTTTTTTCTCAACTAACATACATACTCTGAGGGGAAGAAAAAGGAGGGGAGCAATCCGTCCCTCCCTGCCTTCTGTGAGCACTGTACTGAGCACTGCTACTGACCTGGCCCATGCCAGTCCCAAGAACAATCCTTCAGAGGAGCGCCGCTCCCTATTTCACCAACATGGACACTGGGGCCCGGCCCAGGCACTCCCAGATGTGCAGTCCTCCAGGCAGTGTGGTTTGGGGGCTTGACATTTGTTATCTTGTGACTTTTAAAATAATTCTTGAGTTTAAAAACTCCCAGAGATTTCTTTGTCATAAGACAGGAAGTAGATTAAAGACAGAGAACAAAGGAGAGGGCCAGACACTTCCCTGGGTAAGAGAACCAATGGTGGGCTCGGGTCCTCCTCAGGGAACACCTTACTTAGTGTTTTCTGAGAAGGAAAAGTGACATCTCCAGGGTACTCAGGCTAGAGGAGGAGAATGACAATCAAACATGGACAGACTGCAGGAAGCCTCTGAAGTGAGGCCGTCAGATGCCTTTACTCTGGGAGATGCAAGTGATATTCACTCAGGGACATTTGCTCAGGCCTCCCCTATAAAGGGGTGGCTAACATCTAATCCACTCTGGAGCTGGGTGTTCACTATTTCCAGAGATGCCAATGTGAGGCCCTGCGTCAGCTTCAAAGAAGCCTCTGGACACTGTCCCCAACCACACCCCCTGCTCCTAGGCCAGTACCTGGCACTTCAGAGTCCTGAACGCACAATCACAACCAGCTGAGTGATCCGACAAGAAACGAGTGGAATGAATGCACGAGGTAAATAAAATGTACGTCACAGACAATTGTGGAAGCCACACTTCATGAAAAAGATAACGGCACTGCACAAAAGAGCAAAAGAGGCAAGTGAAACGCACAAGGAAATGAGGTGGCCGTGGGCACCCACGATGAGGCAGCAACCTGCATTTCTAATAGCACTGGGGTGAGCGTGGAGGAGATAGTGCTCTCTACGCAGGGCCTCTGATCACAGAGCGTGAAGACTCCCTTTTAAGCCCTTAGAGGTGAAACATAAGAAAAGCAAAAGGGCCTGCCAAGTTCATGCAGTGAGTAGCCAGTTTCTGGAACTTGCTGCCTGAAAAAGGAAGTAGGAAAGACTGGAAATCGGTTCAGACAGCAGACCCCGAAGTAATTATGACCACTTATGTGCCCCTCCTTGGAACATTATTCAAATGGTTCTTCAACCTAAGTGGTTCCATAATTTGTTACCCTCCCTCGCATCCTATACACTTCCTTTTGAGGTCATAAGCTCCATATCTTCAAACTGTTCAGCCAGTAGCAACATCTATTTTAACTCAGAACGCCTGCTCTCCAAGCCCCCAAGCCCTCTCCAGGGCCCCGTGCCCAGGCGGGGAGCTGGCAGTGAGGTTCCTGAATGGGAAAGGAAACCCCCACACAGGCATGACCATGACACCTGGCTCAGTCAGCTACCCGTTGAGTGGTGTTTTTTTTTTTTAACTAATTGTTTTTAGTGGCAAAGTATACATGCACATGGTTTAAAAATATATATCCACCCTAAGAAAAGGGTTTGCAATAGAAAGGAAGTTTTCTATCCCAGATGTTTCTTGGGGTGTATCCACTGTTAACAGTTTCTTGTGTATCTTTTCAGGAATTTTTTAAGCACACACAAGCATAAATATGAGTTATTTTTCCTGAAAAAAAAAAAAAAAAAAAAAAAAAAGGAGCAGGAATCATATTATCCATGCTGCTCTGCATCTGGGTCTTTCCACTCCGCCATGTGTCTGGGGCTTATTCCACTGCAGCTCTCATGGATGGGCCTCACTATTTACCTGTTACAGAGGGTCAGAGATGCTACACAATATATTTAACCAGTTCCCAATGAAGGCTATTTAGGCTGTGCTCAGTCTGTTGTCATTATCAACTAGTTAAGGTTTTTAGAATATATAGGTAGATCTGAATCTACTAGTTAGGACCCCACTGGTTTTAAGGACAGTGATCCTCCTAATCCTACTTTACTATTCATACTTCTAAATGAAAACAAACAAGAACAACCCTCACCTCTCCATCACTCTACTTAAAAGGTCTATACTCAGGAAAAATATTCTTACCCCTTCAATGCTGAAACAGACAATAGACACAAACATTAACAACAGTTTTAATCTCATTTTTTCTCAACCCTTTTACTCCGGCTACTAAAATAAAGTGCTTTGAATATATATTCTCTCCACCTTCTGGGCAAGATGCTAGTAGCTAATAAAAAGGCCAAAGGCACCCCCAGCTAGGAGATGCAGAACTGGGCCCAGGTGACAATAGCTCCAGGTGCATCCACTGGGTGTCATCTCATTCCAGACAGGAGTGACAAGGAAGACCCTCCCACAGTTGCCGTGGCTACAGTCCTTCTCATTTAGGGCCTTCACAGACATGCTGGCCTTCTATACTGTCTACCTGAGGAAGTGCACGACTCACTTCTCAGAAATCAGGAAGCTACAGACATTAATTCTCAAAACATTCTGGCTTCCTTGAAGAAAGTGTTCAACCTTTACTGCTTCCAAAGTTAAGACACTTTCCCAAGACTAGTAAACGATCTTCCCAAAGCCTTTTTTAAATCATCAGTTCACATGGTGTGAAAATAGATTAAATTCTACATATTAAACTGTTAAAAAAATTATAAAGTAATCAAAACAAATGCTAAATATGTATAAGCTGTTAGCATTTTATATATGAGCAAAGACTTCAGGAAAAGTAGGTATTTTATAAACTCAAATTACCCAACATATAAAAATATTCAAAACACAATACCTCGTCCAGCTCCTGAAGAGACATGTTGTCCCCATCAGTCCCATCCAGTTGGGGAAAGCACAAAGAAAGCAGCATGGGACAGACAGACAGACAAGGCATGGTCAGTTGAGAAAACACTGAGATTTTAAGCTGACTAAATATAAAGATCCACTAAGCAAGGCATTTTAAAATCTCCTTTTTTTTTTTTAAATTAAGCTACATCAATATATGCTTTAATTTTTATTTACTGTGGTTGTTTTGAAAATGAGCTAGGAAACAAGCAAAAAATGACTGTAAATATTAAAATACACTGGAAACAGATAAAACACACTTGCTTTGGTTTCACTAAAATATGCTGTTAATCTGTTTCATAAACACCAAATATCACATACAATACCACATTCTATTTTCCCTCAGGAAAATAAAATAAGAGAGCAGAGCTAAAATGTAATTTTATCATGTTAAATAAATGTATATTTTAACATGTAAATCAGACCTGCAAATGCAACAAAATTAAAAAATAAATGACCCACAAAAATTGTCTGTAGCTGTATTCAGATAACATGTGAGTGACCACATATGTAAGGTCTCTGCAAATTACATCCCGCAGACACGGCTTCATCCCTGGTAGTAAGAGAGCTGAGAAACCACTCTTTCCCGGAGAGAGACACAGGTGGCAAAATAAAAGAAAAACTCTTACCATCTCTTGGTATGTATTATTATTAGCTAGAAAGCATACAGTTATTCATAAGGCTCTTATAAAAGCAAGCAAACGAGACAAAACAAAAGGTAAGAATAATTTTTTTCTTTTAAGGGGAGGGGGAAGGGAGAAGCATGACACCAGAGGGTTAAGTTTCAATTGAAAAGTAAAGGTTCTTTTTTAGATCAACATGGAACTCTATCTTCTGGACAGACATTTACTAATGACAGATAATCTAAACAACTAGGTCTTTTTTTTGTACAGTATTGATCACTGAAATAATTAGTGGTGAAATTCAATAATCAATTGTGTTTTTTTATGTTTAGCAGTAAATTTAGAAAATAAAACATAACTTTCTTATTTAAAAATAGTGCAAATGAAGCTGCTCTATCAGGGTCAAAATATTATTAAACAATGATAGCAATAAAAATGTAATCAAACTTTACTCCACGTAAAAATTCAATTAGATGACATTATGAAAAGCTGCAAATCCTCTTCATTCCTTCCACAATTTTCTATGAGAGCAAAAAAGAACTCTATACACACCCTGCCATAATAGTAGTACTAGACGATATTAATAAATCAAATGGAAAGCTGATTTAATTACCTTTTACTTTACAAAGAAAAAATGTTTTTATTTTTTAAAAGCTTAACATTAAGAGAACATTAAAATCTTTTATTAATAAAACATGATGCAAGACAAAATCCCTAACTTGAGTATCTCAGTCTTCTTCCTATTCTGCAGCGGCTCCCTGGCATTTAATCTTTGAACGATGTACTATTGCAAACCTCGGTTAAAATCTCTGCTGCACATGTGCCTATGCTCTTGGATTATTAACCGAGCACACACACCCTGATCTTCTGATTTCTACAATTATTAGTTGATAAGAGGTGAAATCAGAATCATGGGATTCTAGGGCTAGAAATAAGTCTTTTCTTACAAATAAGAAAACTAAGCTTCAAAATGTATAAATGCATTGCTTGAAGCCACAGAGCTTGTTAATGGTCAGACTGGGGACAGACCCAGGTGTTCAGGTCTCTTTCCACCCCACCCTCCAGCCTCTCTAATTTTATTAACAATTCAGGGAATTACTTGTGATAGGCAGCTACCACCACATCAGGAATATTAAATTAAGGTCACCTTTTCAAAGACCCTCCCCACCATTCTGCTATTTAAAAATAGAAGGCTTTCAAAATTCTGTCTGCCACCAAATTACCAGGAAATTTAGTCAAGACCTGAATTAAAACATTTAGAATTACCATCAAGAAAGACCAAAATAAAGCCAAATGAAAACACGTTACTACACATCATCACCTTCTAAATCTTTATAATGTCTAAATCTAGGTTTTTGACCTTCCAATGGCATGCAATCAAGCAAACACTGAAAACTCCAAGTAGCATGTGGAATTTATAGTCTAAAGAACTTTCTACATAAAACTGAAAAATAAGTGGAAACCCATCTGTGTTTACTCAGGAAGTCTGGAAAAGTTGAGCAAAATGAGTTGGAAACACAGGTCTATGCTATAGTGATATTTACTTTATTTCCGTTACTGCCAAAATAAAAGTTTGCTTCACTTTTATCCAACAAAGTACCCTTATTCTCAAAGTAAGCCTCACTGCTCCCATGGAATCTTTAAAAGCAGAAAAGCAAGTAGATCTAAAGAGAAATATATAATGATTTCATACTTGGATTCTAAAGACAGAGAACTAATTTTCCAACAGACTCAGCTTGTACTAAAACTTAGAATCTTCAATCTGCAAGTTAAAATTGACTATGTAAGGTTCATAAAGTGAGATAAAGAAAGATGCTAGCCTATTGCAAGAAAAAAAATTGTTTTAAAACAATAGGTCCTTCCATTTTCCAGGATCTGCAGCACAAGTTCTGAAAATGCAGCCAACACCAGAGTGGCCCAGGAGGTGAGCACGGGGCTCTGAAGCCAGATTTGCCAGAGTTCCAATCACAGCCCCCAGCCATCAGGTGGGTGACACTGGGCCAGTTTCCTACCTCCTCTAAAATCTGTTTCCTTATCTGTATCTGAGAAAAACAATAGTACTTATTTGATAGAGCACTGTGAAGATGAGCTGAGCTTACACACGGAAAGGGCTTAGCCCAGAGCCAGGCACAAAGTAAACTCTCCATAAATCTTAGCTAATATTGTAGTCAAGCCTGAATAAGGACCTCAGGTTTCTTATAACCATAGTTAATCCTTAATTTCCTTTTTCCTAAAGCACACATTTTATTAAAAATAATGTGCTTATGTTTCAAACTAATCTAAGACCAATTAACGCTAGCTTCCAATTATAGATTATGCATTATTTTAAAGCAGAGTATAGATTAGGCAGTAAACACTAACAAAGTAGCTCCAACCCCTATATTAGATCCATTCCCGGAGATCGAAGGAAACCACACAAATCCATACAGAATTTCATCAGATCAGAAGAGCATCTCAATATCTACCTTTCATTCATTTCTTTATGACTTTACAATTTGTTTTGAATAATTGTTTAGCTTCATAAATCCATTTCAGTTTCCTAAAGCCAAGCTGCTTGAATGAGTTGCTACCTTAAAACCTGCACTTGGCTGGCATAATAATGTGAAAGTTACTTTTGCACAGTACTGGGGCTACTTCTAAGGATTTCTGTCAGTAACCTTGGACTGACAGCTACAACACTGTTGACTATGAATTTCTCCTTTTCAAATTAAAGCTAAAGTCAGGAGAAACAATGTATTAAAACAGAACTTGAGAAAATACTGTTGAATCGATAGGGCTGCTGGAAATCACCTAACCCAAACCCCTCAGTTTACAAATGAGGCAAAAAATGTCCGAAAAGATTAAAGGCTTGCCTAAGGACACACTCTGAGCCTGCAGCAGAACAGGACTTAGGCCTCAATTCTCAGATTCAATTCTCAGTGCTCTTTCCTTTATTTCATGCTGCCCTGAGGCATGAACGTGATGGGGCACTCAAAACTGAGGCCAAAGTAAAATGCATGGGAAATACGACTGTATTTTGTTAGGAGTGCATAAAGTCAAACCTGTCTGTTTTTTTACAATTAGTTTTACTAACTTTAATACAACTAAGAACACAAAAAAGTAGAATTTTGCTCAGTTCTGGATGCTGAAATCTAAAAAGGATACAGAAAAACTAAACATCATTTATAGGAAAAAAGCATAACCACTCTGAGCCGGGAATGCTAGGCCTGGAAAGAATTCTGGGTAACAAGGCTGCAGGGTTACCAGACAGAAGGAAGACCCGAAGGAACAGAACTAAAAGCAGGACCCCAGGACACAAATAGTTGGGATTAACAGGCAAAGACTTTTTAGTGGTAAAAATCATGGAGCTGCTGGCATTTTCCATCATTGTCATACACCATGGCCAAATAAGATAGGCATGAGGGGTTATCACAAATGGGGACATTAGGCCAAATGACCTTTAGGTTCCTTCTGGCCCTTGAGGCTTTGTGTTTATCTGGTCACTGCGTATCCTCCTTAAATTCCTGTTTATTTGACATATTTGCCTGAATGCTGCAAAACCCTGTATGCACGCACAGGGACACACAATAACCCCACTACAACAACCAAATTCTAGTTTTTTCCCTCAAACTAGGATGCAAAAAATGCATGTTTAAATTTTTTGAATGGCATGGCTTTAGGTGTGCTTTGCTTTGAGGTGTATGATACACACTACTCTGCAATTAATTTCTGCAGCTTTTTCCTGAAATAAGATGTCAAAATTCAGGATTACAATTTTTTTTTTAAAAAGTCTGTTATTTTAGGTGTATTTTTAGTTGGTATCAAATGCATCAAGATCAAAGTCTACAGCTTTTTCTTCTAATTGGAAACTTAAAATTCCAGGTTATTATTTTTTAAATTAAGTTAAACTTAGGTTTAATTTCTTCCTTTCAAATTGCCTGAGTGTTAGACATGTATTTACAAATTGCCTCTTTTTAACTGTTTTACTTTACTATAACAAATATACTTACTTTAAGTTTCTATTTAAAAATTTTCAAACATGCAGAAAAGCCTACAAAATGGTAAAATGTCGCACACATACTCATCACTAGACTTAACAATGAGTAACAATTTGCCTTATTTGCTTCCTCTATTTTTGGAGGGGTTTAAGGACTTAGGTAAGATGCCTTGACATTTCACCACTAAACATTTCAGTAGGCATCTCTAATAAAATTAGCAAATGTAATGTATTATAATTAATTCCTTAATGTCACCTAATACCTAGTCCATATTCAAAATTTGACAGATACGATTTTGTTTGGTTTGCTACATGGCTTTGAAATTTACAAGTCAGAAACAAGGCTTTAAATTTTTTGTGAGCTAGATATGCAGTGAAAAGCATTGCTAAGAGTTACTCAATAGATTTTACAAATTGTGTTAAACATGGCTTTTGCTTCAAAATGTTTATAAAGCTTTTCCAACTTCCAGAAAAGTTGAAAAAATCATAACCTCTATTTAGTCTTGTTAGCATTTCGCCGTACTGTGTGCAGAATAGATTTTGTTACGAATCACCTGTAAGCAAAGTGAAGATGTAACACTTCAACCCTAAATACTTCAGAAATTTATGACATGCCATTTTTTAACACAATTAAAATATATAAATCTGTGTTTTATTTTTAAATTTGAATTCAGGCAAACTATGTTTGTTAGACTGCAAAACCTATTTTTGAGATAGTATGGATTGACTATAAGGATATTTTAAATGATATGACTGCTTTCAATGATCTGAGAAAGATTTTAAATGGTCAGACTAATATAAATATTAACATTTTCAATGGTATGACATTTAGAAAACATTTTTTAACGTTCTTAGAAATGTATTTTTAGTTGGGTTTAGAAATCTATTTTCAAAAAACTGTGAGTTAGCTAAATGTATCTGTATATACCCTGACATATCTATTTTTCCAAACTGTATACGTTAACTATCCATTTTTAATTATTCTGCTTAGCTTAAATATTTTTTAAAATTGCCTAACTTAGAAAATAATTTTCTAAAGTGGTCTGATTCAGAGATGCACTTTTAAAAAGCTTCCCGTCTCAGATACTAGGTTTTTAAACTGTCTGACTTAATCGGGAAAAAAAAAAAAACCCTCATGTTACCCAAAGGTTCAGGGTATTTTGAACCTTAATGATTAAAAATTGAAAAATAAACAATATGTTTTTCAATTAAAACTGATACCTTAGAAATCTTAATATGAGTTTCAGTAGTTTTTGAGGCAGCACAAAATCAAGTCATTTAAGGAACATGCAGTTCTTATTTAACATTACTGAAGTTCCATTAAGGAATTGAATTCATCCAATTTCTACTCGATTTCTTGGATTATTTCTTCTTCAAAATTAGCGCTAGAATTAGCCTGTTTCTATGCTACCAGACATCTTTACATTTATTTCAATATAATGTAATTCCTTTCCGTTTATAAATGTAAAAAAAACCCTTCAACTTCTTAATTAACTGAAATCTCACACACACTCTGTCCCTAGTTCTAGGCTGTTTGACCTGAGTTTACATGCTTTTATTCCTGAAACCGCTCACACGGCTTAAAATGACTTTTCTATCAGTTATATGGCCAAAGACATTCTCCACCTGTGACTTACAAAAAGGAGAAACTGTCTTTGTAGACATGATAATCATGACATATGGCAAAATTTTCCTGAAGCATTTAGATAAAGCCATAAAGAAAAAAATAAACTGGCAATACAGTCCCTAAGAGGTGAAATGAATGTTCCAAAATTGCCTAATATCAAGTATAACCCCCAAGAATGTGGTCCTGGGATGGCTATTTCCCGCCTGTTCCAACGCTGCTTCTATTCCAACCTAGTCTGCCTACAGCAGGTAGCCTGAACTACAGCCAGTTTCATAACTTCACTTTTCAATTGAAGACATTACAGAGCTAACGATCACTGTCTGGTATAGATCATCCAGACTCGCCCCTTATTTAACAGAGCAGTAAACTGAGGCTCAGAAAGGGAAAAGTAGCCCCCATTAAAAACAAACCCCAAACAGTAATTTTTCCAGGACCACCCTTAAAAAACGCTACTGCTAGGCTAACTAAAGGTTGTGGTTAATTAAAAAAAAAAAGTGCTATTTTACGGGGTTAATTTTCACATATACCTCCTCAGGCTTTTTTTAAAAAGTTCGAATGGAGAGGAAAGCTTAATTTCCTGTCTGGGAAATGGAAAGTGAAGAGGCTAGCACCTTGAGTCTCACAAACGCAAGCCCCCAGGAAGAACAGTGAGGCAATTATTCACAGGGAACAAGGCCACACAGAGGGCTGCGGGGCCGTTAAAAGAAAACGGGCGGAAAAACAAAACAAAACAAAACAACAACACAACTCCCTCCTCTTTGAGGGGAGGGAGTCGTTCATTTTGCAAGGATTTGGGTCTACGATCCGGCGACCCAGCCCTTAGGACCAAACTGAGGCTCATTACTGGGGGGAGGGGAGCTTCAAACAAAACGAAACAAAAAGGCTTCAGAAAGGCCCAATGCTTCCCAATGTTAGCGTTAAAACATATGTAAATTACAGGCGGCCTGTAGCGCAGTGACGCCAAGGCGGGGGGTGCGGGGGGGGGGGTGCTGCGGAAGTGAGGAGAAGACCGGGCAGAGGTGGAGCTGCGGCCTCACAGCACCGCTTCTTCCTCATCCAGGGCTACAGATGCCCCCTGACTCTAGCCAAGAGATCTTATTATTCTTAGTCTTATTATTCTTATCTTCTCTTTTTAAACAGAGAGACAGACAGAGACAGACAAACAGGCAGAGCCGCAGTGCACACGGTCCGTGTGTCGGAGAGGCCGCCAGGAGACTCACCGCAGCAATGCTACGTGAATGCAGAGGGCTGGAGGTGATGTGACTACTCACTTGCTCGGCTAACAGCTGCCGGTTTTGGATGGAATTATTCCGCAACAACAAGAAAGCGTCGGTTAAACGCCTGGTGGCCATGTCTCACCCTTTGCGACCCCCCTCTCAGGGGCCCCCCGCCCACTTATATTCCTGATTTATTCACTTTCTTTCTCGTGGCCCGGCTGGCCCACCCTTTCACGGAAGCTTCTCGACAAGGCCTCAGGCCTCAAGCCAAAAAGATGCAGCTGTGCGCTTCGCCAAGGCGTAGAGACCCCTCCCCAAATAACTACCTAGGCTTTCCAATTGTCTGACTCCCCCTACCCAGGGCAGACTTCGATCTCTAAGCACTTGAATCCCCCCAATCCTTGCGTAGCGATCCAACGTCCCAGAGACCCCACCCCAATCCAACCTTGGATCTACAAGCGTCTAACTCGCCAATCCGGCTCTAGACTGGGAGGCCCTGAAGCCCCCTACTCCCTGAGACCCCCCGGAGGTCTCTGCTCTCTACCCCTAACTTTGGCTCGTAAGCGTCTAGGCCGTGCCCTGAGGTCTGGCTGTGACTCAGTTTCCGCACCAGAGGCCTGGCCTAGGCCCTCTTTGGACAACCGGAGCCAGGCTTGGGGCCTGGACTCGAGGGCGCCTGCAGCTCCCTTCTGGGGACTTGTCTGAACCTGCTGAGGCCCTGCCCGACCTCCTGACCCCTTCCTTTCCTGGACGGCCTGGTCCTCCACTGCCAGCAGGCTGCCGGCCTGCAGGAAGACAGCAGGGCCTGCCTCCCCGGCCTTCTCACTCCTCTTCTCCGGCTCCCTCCATCCCCGGATCTGACTGCAGCTCAGCCCCGGACCGTTTCCGTGCTGTGGTCCCGGGTTCTGGCGTTCCCCCCTGGCCCTCTTCCTGTCCGTCCCTCGCGAGTGCCCCCCTGCGACGCTCGCAAGCCTTGCTCGCAACGTTCCGGGCGCGGGAGCTCCCTGCACTCCTGCCCCGGGGCACGGGAGTGCTCCGCCCTCTCCCGGGGTGCTCCTCGGGCGCCCTGTTTCGCCTCCCCCAACTGGGTCCAGGCACTAGGAGCAGGCCAACGAGCAGGCCTGAGCCTGGGGAGCGTGGCCCCCAGGCTGCAAACCGCTGCCAGGGCCCTTGGTCGCTGAATTAGAGTGGAAGTTGCGCGGCAGGCAAATTTGGGCTCCCCAAGAACTGAAGTTTTGGGCGCGGGGAGTTGGAGCGGGAGAGGAAAAGTTGGAGACGACTGCCTCTGCAGGCCGAGCACGCTCTACTGCAGGCGGCGGCGCTCGCTTTTTTTTTTTTTTTTCCCACTCTGGAAAAAGATGTATCCGACAAACAACCACGAGGAAATAAAAGGAAAAAAAAAAAAAAAAAAGGAACAAGAACTCCAGGCAGCCTGGCCGCGCCGCCGCTGGCAGTCGGGGGTCGTCGGGGGCGCCCGCCCTCCCCAGCTGCCGCTTTCTGTAGGGGGCACTGCAGGGTCGTGGAATCTCAAGTGGAAAAGTTCCCCGAAAACTTTGACACCTCCCACCCCCCTCCCCGCGAAAAAAATCTCTGTTCCCTGCCTGGGCCCTGGCCCTGCGACCCCCGCGCCCCCCCGTGCCCCGGGCCGGGTTTTCCACGGTTGGCCGGGCCCAGGGCGCCCTAAGCACCTCGACTTGCCGCCCCGGGCCAGGTCGGCGGGGTTCGTGCAGGGGCTCCGTGGGGCCGCGTCGGGCAGGGGCCGCCCGGGCCCGAGCACGGCACCCACAAACAGGCTGGCGTCCCGCGACGGAGACCCGGGTCCGGCCCGGAGCCGCCCGGGAGGCTTGAGGCCAAGGGCCTGGCCCAGCGCGCGGCCGGAGCGGGTCGGGGGCGCAGAGCTGTGCGGCGGCGCCTTCCGGGCCCCGGGCCTGTGCAGGGCCGGCTTCCCCTTGCGGGGCGAGGCTGCGGGCCGGGCTGCGGTGCGGGGTTCCAACAAAGGACCGAGGCCCCAGAAGCGGCCCCCACGCGTCCTTTGTTTCTGCGTGGAACAAACTTTACACACGTGTGTGTTTTCCGAGGGTTTCCCGTGTGCTGAGCGCTTGCAAAGCGGAGTCGCGCCCGGGGAGACGCGAAGCCGGTGCCCGCGGCTCACCCAGGGACCCCAGCCAGACAGCGGCACCCGCGGGGCGCGTGCGGGACCCCCAGGCGACCGGGGGAAGCACCGGTAACCGCCCCCCACCCGTGCTTTTTCTCTCACGGAGAATGTTCCCGCGCGTTCGTTGTGCAACTAAAAATTAATGTGAAACATCCATTGAGGCAAATAACAAAATGCATCCAACGAAACCCACATAAAATCGAGAGAGCCGCGAGCAGGGCTGGGCGAGTTCACTGTGAGGACCGGCTCTGGCTTCCGCGCAGCGCGGAGAGCAGGGCGCTCGCCCGGGGACGCTTCGCAGCGGTGGAAGATTCGGGCGACAGGGGACTGGGTCGCCGCGCGGGCCGGGCTGGAGGCTGCAGGGACTTGCTGACAGGCCATCCAAAGACAGAGAGGCCCTGGGGAGGGAAATTCGGGGAGCCCGTGTGCTTAGCGTAGCGCCCCGGGAAATATTTGCCCAATAAGGGAGAGTTTGTCCCCACACTGCGGCAGAACCCCCCTGCGAGCTCTGACCCCAGCAGCACGGCCAAGCCCCCCCAACCCCGCTCCCCCCTTTAGGGGACAGGTATTTGTAAATAACAACTGAGCTGGTCGTCGGTAGGAGAATCAGATTAGAAACATGGTCCCCACTCTCTTCCTATCTCCCCAGCACTCATCACCTCACAAAGCAGGGGGGGACCTGTTTACTTTTCCTGGCGCTCTCCCCCAGGCTAGAACGTGATCTTCTTCCTACGCAGGGACAGTGTTTTATTCATCTTTGTACCCACTGCCATCTCATCTGGCTTGGAACAGGCTCCGGATAAATATTTTTTAAATATGTGCATGAATTAATGAGAGACTCGAGATTTAGTCCCCAAACTCTCTGACCTCCCTCGAGTGACTTTAAGCCTTTAGAGCCCTTATCTGTTAAGAAAAAAAGAAAAAAATGTGGGTTTTTCGTAATCCTCGTAATCCGCGCCCTGTCTACTTCTCTGGGGTTATTGTGAAGATCAAATAAGGTAAGTGAAAACTCTTTGTAAACTACCAGGTGCTGAGCAAATATTATATAGGATGGTTATTCATTCATTCCCTCCGTTCAGGAAGCTTAGCAAAGTAATTCCTGGTCTTGTGTTTCAGCAGATGGTGGTCGCCTTTCCTGGTCAGTCTTAAATATTTATTACAGGACAATCTCATTCTTACATTTAGGAGATCAATCAAGCTTCCATTTCTTTGAGCGAAATGAACACTGCTTGCACACAAATAATGGAAGAAAAATCCTGGTATTCCCAAAACAGCCACCCCAAGCAACCCAAGAGCCTAACAGCGGGGAGGTCAGGAAAATCCAAGAAGTTGGCATAGCAGCCCAAAGGCAGCACCGTGCAGCTCTGACCAGGCCCCAAAGGCAGCACCGTGCAGCTCTGACCAGGCCCCAAAGGCAGCACGGTGCAGCTCTGACCAGGCCCCAAAGGCAGCACCGTGCAGCTCTGACCAGGCCCCAAAGGCAGCACCGTGCAGCTCTGACCAGGCCCCAAAGGCAGCACCGTGCAGCTCTGACCAGGCCCCAAAGGCAGCACCGTGCAGCTCTGACCAGGCCCCAAAGGCAGCACCGTGCAGCTCTGACCAGGCCCCAAAGGCAGCACCGTGCAGCTCTGACCAGGCCCCAAAGGCAGCACGGTGCAGCTCTAAGCAGGCTGTGTTTAGGTATGGGATTGTGTGCCTGAAATAGTGTTAACCAAGAGGGAGCCCAGAGAGGGCATGCACCCCTGGCTCCAGTCACGTCCATGGTCCATGTTCGCCCTGACCCACACTGGAAGGGAGTTGGGGAAGGATGTAAATCATTATATTTGAATGTTCCTTGGCTGTTTTATTTTCCTGTCAAGTGACTTAAGCTTGATTTTTTTTTTTTTTTAAAGCATTCCCCCATGGCCAAGTATGTGTTTCCTTGGAATTGAAATCTAGGTTGATGGTTTTACATTTTAAAAGCTTTCATTGTGACTCATTCTTGGCCTGGGCTAGGATTCGGTAATACTCCTCGGGCTTGGTGAGGCTCCGTGTCCTGTTTCTTGGGCTTCATACCCACTTTCTAACATTCTGCCAACGAATCCAATAAGTCACTTTTGGGGACAAGTGTTTCATTGTTTTCTTGTCATCTCATTCAGTGCAGGAGGAAGCCCCATTGAAGCCAGGCCATGGCTTGGGCAGGTGCAGGTTTTCAAGTACTGAGAGGGGATGGTTAGCTCAACAGGTCAGCAGTGGGACACACACCCTTTGGTGAAAACAATTTAAATGAGATAGGGCTCATGTAAGCCCTTATACAACCTCAGCATAGAGTAAGTGCGCCACAAATGGGCAATATGATTTATTACAGCAGTAGTCTTACTGTTGGAAAGCTCACGTGGGCTCTGCTCTCCCTGGAAGGCATCATAAACTCCAAAGAGAATGGCATGGTATTGAGAACTGAACACTTGGAAATCTAAGCACGTTTCCGAGCTTCTTGTTCTGGACCTTGGGAATCCAGATGTGTCTGCAGTGCACACTCATGTGGAAGAGGGGGCTAAACCATCTCAAAGACACCTTTTAACATTGGTCTTTCTCCCACCTATAGAAAGACAGATGGTTGTTTGCTTATCAAGCAGCAAAAGCCCCCAGGCCTAACATATGTCTCGTCTGCACAGATCTGACAGACAGATTCGGGCCAGGTTCGGGTAACAGGAGTTGTGTGTTCTGTGTCCCCAAATAGTTCCTCAAAACCTTGAGTATTTCCAACAACAGAAAACTCCCTATCTGGGTCTGTCTTCAGCTATGATGCCTCTCCCAAGAAGGGAGACTCTGGAGAGAGGCAACACTTTTGTTTTGTCTGGAGTCCCGTAGCTTTTAATACCAGACAATTCAATACAGTAGGCATTTCTAAAAATCTACCAGTGGCTGTGCCTATCTCTTGCCAGGCACTGCTGAAAGAATGAAACAGCAAAACTCTTGCCTTCAGGGAATTTGCATCTCCACTGTCTCTACCCAAATTCTGGTTCTCATCGTGTACATTTTCCCAGCAGCCTGCTAACAACCACCCGTCTCTTCCCTCCTCATCCTGCAGCCACAGTGACCTTTCCAAAGCATAAATCTGATCATGTCACTGCCTGATTGAGGCCCTGAAACAGCTCCCTCTGGCCCATGCCAGCCGATCTCAAATGACGCTCAGCAGAAAACAGGTGCTCTAAGTTGAACCAAGCTGGGCATCACTAATATTAACTAATGATGGACTTTTCTTGGTTGTCAGAAAAAAAAAAATGAAGCTAATTAATGGAGTAGTCTCCATCTTAAGTGTTTCTCTTCTCGCTTTCTCTTAAACCTTCAGTCCCTGCCACCACTTGGCTGTATTAGAATATAGTATAAGACTAGATCTGATTTATTCCAGAATCATGGATTTCAGTACAATTTTTTTCCCATAGATCAGTATTTCCTGGAGTTCTGCATTTAGGTTTTCTACACTTTCCACATGGCGGAGTGCCCCCTGGGCATTCAAAGCCCTGCCCAACAGGCCCCACCTAAATGGTGAGCTTTTTTCTTTCCAGGACTTGGCTCACAGGCCTTTCTCTGCCTGGTGGGGGTAGTGGCGGGGGATGTGTCTTGCCCCTTCTGCTTGGTGAACCCTTCATTGAAGACAGCACCCCCTACACTGTCAGGTGTGATAAATGTTTGCGGAATGGATGACTGGATGGATTAATGCACAAAAGGTGAGATTAACTATATTAAGTGCTAGAGAATACCAGACAGTCAAGACTCAAAATGGGTGGAGAGATTAGGGCAGTTCTCTGTCCCCCTCGCTCACCCCTTTTCAGCCACACTAGCCTTCCCACCATTCCTCACACCTCCTTAGCACCTGCTTTGCTCTCCTTCCTAGGTTCTTCAAATAACTGGCTCCTTCTCACCACTCTTGTCTCAGACTATTCAATAGAAAGTAATCCTCCTACCCTGTCCACCGTGTGGGGAGAGGACTCTCCTCTCCCAGGGCCCTTATGTCACCATCATACCAGGTGCCTGCCCATGCTTGGTCAAGTTCAAGACTGAAACAATGTCTAACATCGTGGCTTTTGGTCTTTGAGGCCAAGAAGAGGCCTCTTGGGTCACAACACATGCCAGCAAAGCATATCTGCATTTTACTTTTTTTCCAGGATGATGTGGACACATGTGTACTCAAATAAATCAACCCTCCCATCTTAACCATCTCCCTTGGCAGGAACAATAAGTTAATGTGCCAAGCCAGGACTGACCTGGATGACTCAAACCCTGAAAAACATAAAGGAAATCATTGTGTTTTTCCGCTAGCAGGTATTGAAACATAGCCAACTCACTCGTTTCTAGTTTTTTTTCCCATGGCCATGACCACTGACCTGCTCGTGGTAATTTGTGTGATGTGCAAGTGCAGGGCTGGACTCCAGCCTTCTCCAGATGCTGCCTGTGCAACCAGCAGCCCCTTATTAGCTATGTGGCCATGCATGGCTCAAGACTCCTTTGGTCACAAGGGACAGAACCCAAATCAAATGGACTTAAGCTTCAAAGCAAATGTGTTGGCCCAAACATCTATGCGTAGCTGGATCCAGAGGAGGAAACATATCAACAAGGAGTTTCTATCTCTCAGCTCTTTCTTCCCCTGTGCTGGTTTCATTCTCAAGCCAGTGAACCCCAGGAGGTGGCAGATTGCTCTCTGGAAGCTCTGCCCTGTTATCTCACAGGACAGCAACCCCAATAGATTGAAATTTCTCTTTTCCAGTGGTTTCAAAAGTCCTAGAATGGACTCTCATTGGCCTGTCATGAGTTATAGCCTTATCCCTGAATTCATTTTTTTTTTTTTTTTTTTGAGCCAGGGTCTTACTCTGTCTCCCAAGCTAGAATGTGGCGACACAATCACAGCTCGCTGAAGCCTCAACCTCCCAGACTCAGGTGATTCTCCCACCTTAGCCTCCCAAGTAGTTGGGACTACAGGCAGGTACCACCATGCCTGGCTAATTTTTATACTTTTTTTTTTTTTTTTGAGACAGGGTCTCACTCTGTCACCCTGGCTAGAGTACAGTGGCGCTATCATAGCTCACTGCAACCTCAAATGATTCTCCCACTTCAGCCTCCCAAGTAGCTGAGACCATGGACATGTGCCACTGTACCCTGCTAAGTTTTATATTTTTAGTAGAGATGGGGTCCAGGCTGGTCTCGAATTCCTGGGCTTAAAGAATCAACCCACCTTGGCCTCCCAAAGTGCTGGGATTACAGGCATAAGCTACCACACTCAGCCATAATTTTTTATACTTTTTGTAGAGATGGGGTTTCACCATGTTGCCCAGGCTGGTCTCGAACTCCTGGGCTCAAACTATCCACCTGCCTTGGGCCTTCCAAAGGCTGGAATTGCAGATGTGAGCTAGTATCCTGAAATTCTAAACTTAGCCAGAAAGTAGTGATCATCAGATGGGTCAGACCAGGATCACGTGACCACTTCTGAACTCAGGGAGGGTGCCAGGGTCTGATCCATCCAAACACAATGGATTATAAACTCGCCTCTTCTGAAATCAGCGTGTTAGAACCAAGAAAAGTGATGTTGGGTGCTCGCATGCAACAGATTTCTACCTTGGGTCTGTTTTCAACCCACTGTGTGCCCTTTGCACACTGCTATATGCCTCTCCTTCAAACCCACTCCTCTGGCTTCTGGAACTTTGGTCATGCCTGCTTCTCCTCCTTCATCATCCCTCTGAGGCCCAGCCCCCAAATTTTGATTTTCCCCAGTGTTAAGTCCTTGCTTTTCTGTTACCTTTCACCTAACCACAGTGGCAGGTCCCGCCTACCCATGGGCCTCCTGCACACACTCTACCCATGGGCCTCCTGCGCACACTCTACCCATGGGCCTCCTGCGCACACTCTACCCATGGGCCTCCTGCGCACACTCTACCCATGGGCCTCCTGCGCACACTCTACCCATGGGCCTCCTGCGCACACTCTACCCATGGGCCTCCTGCGCACACTCTACCCATGGGCCTCCTGCGCACACTCTACCCATGGGCCTCCTGCGCACACTCTACCCATGGGCCTCCTGCACACACTCTGCCTCTCATTCAGAGCATCCGTGTGGATTTTCCACTGCACGGAGCTGCCTAGGTGTCTTACATGCTCAACAGTGAACCACTGGCTGCCCATCCAAGCATGCTCTTCCTTCTCCTCTATTCCTTATCTTTCATTGGCACCCCTAAATAGAGCCTTTGGTATCATTTACCATCCTTGCTCCCATTTGCCCCCACCACCTGCCAATGTACCACTCAGGACCACATCGTGACAGATTCTGCATCCTAAATATCAACAGTCTGCTCTCCTCTCCATCTTCACTGCTCTTATCACCTCTTTTGCCTGGAAAATCACAACAGACTGTCTAGCTGGTCGTCACACCTCCAGTGCTGGTCCCTGGTGTGGAATGCTTTCCAAACCATCACCTTTGTAAAAATATCAATCTGTTCATGTTCCTTTCCTGATTAGATAACTGCTTTGTCTTCCTACTGCCTATTAGAAAAAAATAACTCTTTAACTTTGCTCTCAAAGCTGGATGTGTCCAGGGTCTTTCCAGCCACCCCTGCCTTGAATCCTGTGCCCTGCAGAACATTCTCTGCATACTCCGTGCTTCGACCTTTTTTTTTTTTTTTTCCAAGACAGGGTCTCGCTCTGTTGCCCAGGCTGGAGTGCAATGGTGCGATCTCGGCTCACTGCAACCTCCGCCTCCTGGGTTCAAGTGATTCTCCTGCCTCAGCCTCCCCAGTAGCTGAGATTACAGGCATGTGCCACCACATCCAGCTAATGAGGTTTCACCATGTTGGCCAGGCTGGTCTCAAACTCCTGATCTCAAGTGATCCACTCACCTCGGCCTCCCAAAGTGCTGGGATGACAGGCGTGAGCCACCGCGCCCGGACTTCATGTCTTCTTGATGGAAATCAAGGCTGATTCAGTCAGACTGTGTCACATTATCTCTGGAAATATGACTGGACAGGGGGTCTGGGTGAGTCTCATTTGATTCTCTCTGGGTGCTCCGTTTCTCCTGAGGAGCTAGCTATTCCAGAATCTGGGGACCCAAGACACATGTTATCTGTGTCTTCCAAAGGAGAGACTTCCATAGGATAGATGTTTTTGGGGTCCATAAAGACGTTAGAGTGATAAAACGTGGTGTAACTGAGAGGTTCATTCTTGCAGAAGCTCCAATCTAGGTAGGGTGCAGTAGGAGGATAAGAGGAGCTGCACTCCAGTGGACTCCCCCATCTAAGGGTGCCTCCTACTGTGACAGTTACCAGCACGATGATTTCCGGCACCTCCGTAGTGCCCCAAGGACAAGGTTGTTAACAGTCGGTACCGGGATCTGACTCAATCCATGAAAGAACCAGTTGACTGACCAACACAGAAGTATGGAGTAGCTACCATGAGCCCAGCCTTGTGGGAGATGCAAGAGTTTATAAAGAAGTTCTGCTCTCAAAGAACTCACAGTCTAGCTGGGGACACAAAACCAACAGACGGGAAACAATTAGTGAGCAACGGAGCTTGAAAAAATATGCCAAAGTGACTATAAAGGCAGCAGCAGTTCAGAAAGGGGAGAGATGATATTTCAATGAAAGCATCTTCATGGAGGAGGTAGGGGAAGACCTGTGCCTTGAAGGATGGAAAAGGGCTTCAGAGAGGGAAGGGTGTTGCAGACGAGAGCAAACAGTAGGAGCAAAGCTGAAGAAGCAGGGCTAAGAATAAGGCAGGCGAGAGAGCCTGACTGATCTGTACGAGCCTGGGCAAGGTGTGGACACATAAATTATAATGGAGCAACCAGGCATGGTGGCTCACGCCTGTAATCCTAGCACTTTGGGAGGCCGAGGCAGGCGGATCACCTCAGGTCAGAAGTTTGAGACCAGCCTGGCCAACATGGTGAAACTCCGTCTCTACTAAAAATACAAAATTTAGCTTGGCGTGGTGCTGGGTGCCTGTTATCCCAGCTACTCAGGAGGCTGAGGCAGGAGAATGGCTTGAACCCAGGAGGCAGAGTTTGCGGTGAGCTGAGATGGTGCCACTGCACTCCAGCCTGGAGCACAGAACAAGACTCTGTCTCAAAAAAAAAAAAAAAAAAAAAAATAGAATGAAGCAAGATTTGGAGGCCCCAAGAGTTAGGGGTTTAAATTTGATGTGTATTGAATTCACAAACATTTATTGAGTATCTACTGTGTGTCAGGTACTGTGAAATTGTGCAGGACATTCACAGATGAACAAGTCACAGGGCAAGTTGGACACATCAATAGCTCATGGTAAGTGTTGCAGTGCAAGTAGCTGCCTAGGAGGCAAAGTGGGGCAACCAGCCAACCCAATTTAGGAAAGATTTAGGTGGGCTTCATGGAGGAGGTGATATTTATGTTAATCCTATAGAGCACTGGAAGTCGGCCAGGTGTAGAAGGGGCAGGAGCATGATCTAGGCACGTGTAAGGATGTTCACTGCAGTGTTGTTTATCCCAGTGAAGAATGAGAAACAATTTAAACATCCAGCAAAAGCAACAAGTTAAACAAATTTGGTCCACCCACATGAAACTTCAGGCAACCTTTAAAAAGAATAAAGAATTTCTGTATATTTTGATTTGGAAAGATCTTCAGAATATAGTGTTAAGAGAAAAAAATCACAAGATCCAGAAAAAATGTATTGTATGCTATCTTACATGTGAGAAAAAAAGAAATATACATTTTGTTGGTAAATGACTAGGCCATCTCCGGAAAGAGACATGAGACATGTGGATAATAGTTGTTTCCAGGTAGGAGAATGAAGAGGGGAGTACAGCTGAGGCTGTGACTCAATCTTGATGTGAAATGACTCCAAAAGGAGGTCTTGCTTAAAGCTTGAGTCTTAGAAGGTGCTGAGGGTTACCCAGGCAGATGGGCAAGGAAGAGGGTTCTGGACAGAGGGGACAGTCCAAATGAGCCCAAGGGTTTAGAGACCCTGATGGGGGCTGGAGAGCAGATAGACTTTGGATAGGTGGCTGATAGCAGGCAGAGGCTGGACCCTGAGATTGGTGTGCCAGATAAGGAGTTCACACTTTAGTCTAAAACCACTCCCTCTCTTCATCCATCAGCGTTGATGTGGACCTATGATGGCTTCAGAGACTATTAACTTGGCCAGGCTCAACTGCATTTCCTGGAATTATCTTTCCTGCATGTTTGCAGTTCAGATGGACCACAGGGAAGATTCTTGGAAGGTTCTTGCAAGATTCAGAAGGCAAGAGAGGCTGCAGCCGTGTTTTGCAGTTGACACACGTTGCTGCTGATCTGCTGACTCACCTCACTGGAGTGAAGCAGCCTGCCACAACACCCGCAACCTTCCCCGGCAACTTCTTGCTACTTTTCGACTCCCAGCCGCGTGTATGTGTTCAGCTCTGTGATGAAGGGCTAGGCTTCTGCAGGACAGCCTCACCACTGTGGTCAGAGGCAACAAGAATAGCCACGGGCTTCAGGCTGCCATCCTGGGGCTCTAGCTTGTGCTCGTGGGTTCTTGCTCTCCCTACTTGACATCTGCCTTTCCTCTCGACTGCCTATCCTGTGGACCTGACACCAGCATCAGACTTGACACGCAGCCTGACAAAGACTGCTTACCCGGTTCCCACAAATGCATAAGCCAATTCTCCATAACAAATCCCATAAAATAATTTACATGTATATAACTCCTATTTCCACTTTTCCAGTTGAACTCCGGCAGATTTACCCATCCTGTGCTAGGCACTGTTGAGGACTCTGAGGATACAATGATGAACAAAACCAGTGTAATTCCTGTCTTCCTCTCCCCCACCCCACCATTCACTTTCTAGGAGGAGGAATCAGAAAATAAACAACGAATAAACAATGCAATCCCAGAGAGTGATAAATGCCAGGAGAAAACCAAAAAGAGTGGCCTGCTCGGACCAGGGGTAGTCCAGGGATGCTTCTCAGAACAAATGGCATTTGAGCTGAGCCCTGAAGGGAAGGAGGGGACAGCTATGCAGGAGCACTCTGGACAAGACGCACTTCAGGGCGATGCTCCTAGGTGGCATGAGCCTGGAGTCTTCGAGGAACAGAAAGGAGCCAGGCGGACCGGAGGGCCTTGAGGAGGGAGAGTGCGCAGGGTAAGCTGGAACCCAAGGCTGGCTCCAACTTTGTTGGGCTTGGAAGACAAAGCAGGGAGTTCGGATTTTACTCTAAGAGCATCCTGGAGTTAAGGGATCTTTCAAAGCTGGCTGAGTGAAAGCCCACACACAACTTTGCCTTTGAAAAGTGGGGATAAAATGTGGTCTTGCTCTGTGTGTGTGTGTGTGCGTTGGGGTGGGGGGCGATTTGTGTCTTGGTTTTTGCCTCGGCGTGACTTACAGACCTTTCCATCCTGCATCGGTGCCGGGAGAGCCCAGCTCCCTGCTGCTGTCACCAGAATTCCATCTTTCCAAGGAAATCAGGCTTTCTCCTGCTAAGGAGTTCTGTCCAGGACTCTGATAAAAGCAGTATGTGAAGCTAAATAACTCGTGTGATTTTACACTTCATTTCCTTGGGATGCCATTAGGAACATCAAGCACTTCTGTCTTTATTTGACACGATTTCCTACCCTGTTCTGCCTTGGAACAGAAGAAAAATGAAAAGAGAGAAATGGTATTGGGAAGTTGCATTGGGAGTGGTAGGGCAGCTGTTTCAAGGCAGGGCTTTTGGAGTCCAGCAGAGGGAGAGGCTTCCGAAACAGGACAGATGGCAGCCACCTTCCTAAGGGGTCACTGGTCAGCCTCACGTTCTCTGGCTCCTGTTCCAAGCCTCAGCATTTCTGTCTAATTGATTTAGAAATAGTGTATTTATTGGACAGATGCCTAGAGATCATGTAGCCCAGAGAAGGGAAGCTGTTTGCCCAAGGTCACACAGCAGCTCAGTAGCATAGTTTGGCCTTGCAGCTAGCTCTTTCGACTGCCAGAGCAGCCTGGAGCACCCCTTAGAGAAGAGTTAGTGTCTTCCCCAGGTCCCCTATAAAGACCAGCACCTCCTGCATTTGGTTCTCTGGGACAATTGGTGTCTTTTCTCACTGTGGAGATGTGATCACTTAGATCTTCATTTAGTTCACAAGCAGGGGTGGAGCAGGGTGGGGTGCACAGGCTGGAGGGAACCAACGCAGGAAGCATATGACAGAGTAAAAACACAGCCCACCCGGCATGCCGTGCCATGTGCCCTCACTGCATTGGATGAATGGGTCAGTAGGTGGATGGTGGTCACACGTGAGTGCTGGCTTCACTCTCTTCTCTCCCATAATTTAAAGACCTGAAGTTTCACCTCCAGGAAGACTTCCTGGACTAGTGGAAGATCAATCTTTGGCCTGAACCGGTTGCCTAGGCAACTTCCACTGTTTCTGGACTCATGAGTCCTTCTAGTAAGGGTCCCAGGACTGAGCCTCAATGGCCTGAAGAGAGTCATGTGCCCACACCTGTGACTACTTAGTGGCTATCACCAGGGGTGTGAGGCTCATCTGGTCTAGCCTGGTCACCTGCTCACGACAGAGCTAGAGCTGGACCAGGCCCTCCAGATTTGTAGACTGAAGCAGCAAGGTGCTGTTCTGAGGAAAATCAGGGTGCTGTTACCAGAACACCCTGGCAAGCAAGAAAGAGCAGCGAGCCCTACAGACGGCAAACAAGGATTTCCTTATCTCCTGGTCGGAACCACTAAGAACCGTGGAACCATGTGTACTTAATTCATGTCTGTACTGTCCTCACGCGGAGTGAGGGCTTTGTAAATATTTGCTGAGTGAATGAAAGAATAAATGAATAGTAAATGAATGAATGAACCTCCCGAGTGATAAAGGCAGTCTTTACGGTGGGCACGAGGCAGGGACTACTGTGCGCAGGGAACGGCCGCGGGCTCCACACTTGCTGTGATTGGCCGGCGAGACAATCTCGGGTGCCCAGGCTGTTTGGACAGCACGCAGGCCCACAGCAGGCAGGATGGCACCCCTGCCAAGGGCACTTGGGCTTGAAGTTAGAGCAGGGAGGCTGGCGTGCTGGTGGCAGGGCTGAGGCTCAGGGTGCAGCTCAGTGTGAAATGAGGGCTGCTCTTCTCAGACCTGTCAGCCTTGGCCAGCGGCCCTCGTCCTAGGGAAACTTTGGAGGCAACAGATGGATCTGGAGTGACAGGAGAGAGCCCCTGGCCATGCTAATTTCCCTCACTCTGCGGAGGCTGAGCTGGCGCAGATCAGAATGGAGAACCGATAGGCATTTCTGCCGGGATAGGGGTGGTTGCAGAAGGCCCGTAGAACATCCGGGAGTGAGGATGGGGCAGCATCTCTATGTACCCTGGAGGCGGGCCTCAGCCTGGCTGGTGTCCCCTTGCTTTCCTTAGTCCAGCCCTCCAGGTCCCAACCAGCAGGGCTGGGCCAATGGCAATGGCAATGGAACTGAAGATTTTTGTTTTCAACGCAGGAAGCTCCAACAGGCAATCTTCAGCCTTGGGAAGGGGTGGGCAGAAGGGGCCACCCATGTCCGAAGGCGAAACAAGGCTGCTTTGGGATGCGTTTCCCATACGCAGGGAGCCGCTTTTTCACAGCTTTTGGGTCTTTTAAAATGAGAGGCACATGGAGGGTGGAAGAATTTGGTGGTCCCCAATGACCTACGAGGAAAGAAGCATTCCCAGGCTCTTGGCTCAGGCTGACGAAGCATCCAGTTTTTCAAGAACCGGCCTAACTGGGCTTCCCCTAGTGGGGAGGCAGGATGCCGCAGTTTCTTCTGTGCTCAACACCGAAAATGGTCTGTCTCACTCAGCTCTCTCTTTTACAGACAAAGAAGCCGTTTCAGAGAGCTCGGGTGACCTGAGGTCATGGAGAGGCAGAGCCAAGATGGAACTCAGGTCAATCTGGCTCAGTGCCCACCTCCTGGCCACTCAGTCATGTCGATTTGGGGGAAACCTACCAGCATCACCCATGATAATCTTAGTTAAGGCCACTCAGCTGAGAGCACCTTGTAACCAAGTCCTTGGGGACCTCACAGAGCTGCGAGGAATAGGAGCTGGACTCAACCATGGACAGATATTGACAGAGCAGCTACTATTGCCAGGCAGGGATCTGGCTGCTGGGGATGCCACTGGCAGCCAGACACAAGTTCCCTGCCCTGTGACAGACAGGAGACACACACCAAGGGTGATCAGGGAAGGCTTTCAGGAGGAGGTGACATTGATGCAGAGACCAGTAGTAAGCCATGAAGCTGTCGCAGGGAAGAGTGTCACAGGGAGTGGGAAGAGCAGGGAGGGGAGGGAAAGCCGTGAGGCTGGAGTGTGGCAGGCGCCAGAGGTGAAGAGCCTGCCAGGCCGTGAGGACTTCGGGTTTGTTGAGTGTAGTCAGGTACTGCTGTTTCCTGGAGTGTCTACATGTGGGCGTCTCAGGGGCTCCCTCTTCGTCTCTGAAATGCTTCAGGCCCCTGAAGGGCTACGGTTCCTGAAGGGAGCAGTTCCTCCAGGCCAGACACAGCCATTCAGGCCTTCCCAGCTACTGCTATGGAGGTTTGGGGTGGCCTTTCCTTTTAATGTCAGTCTGGTGAGCTCCCACCAACTGGGCCGTCTCATCCGTACATCCTGATGGTCACCTGTGCTTGATACCACTTGCGATGAAAGGATTCCAAAGCCCTTCTCCTGAAATTTCTACAGAACATCTCTCTGTAACACACGCACAGAGGGCAGCCAGGGAGATTTACCAGTGAGAACCCTGCTTCCTTCCCTCCCTCCCTTCCTTCCTTCCTCCCCCCCTTCCTTCCTTCCTTCCTTCTTCCCTCCCTCTCTCTGTGCTCCCTCCCTCCCTCCCTTCCTTCCTCCCTCCCTCCCTCTCCTCCTCCCTCCCTTCCCCCTCCCTCCCTTTCTCTCTCTCTTTTTCTTCCTTCCTTCCTTCTTCCCTCCCTCTCTCTGTGCTCCCTCTCTCCCTCCCTCCTTCCTTCCTTCATTTCTTTTTCCCTCCCTCCCTCCTTCCTTCCTCCCTCCCCTCCCTCTCTGCTTCCCTTCCTTCCCTCCCTCCTTTCCTTCCTTCCCTTCCTTCCTTCCCCCCTCCCTCCCTCCCTCTCTCTCTCTCTTCCTTCCTTCTTTCCCTTCCTGCCTCCTTTACTTCTTCCTTTTCCTCCTTCTTTCCTTCCTTTTCTCCCTCTCTTCTTCCCCTCCCTCCATCCTTTCTTTCTTCCCCTTTGATCTTTTTTGTCTCTCAGCAACAATGGACCTCCAGTCGGCCCTGCTTTTTTCCCAGGAATGTTTATGGCACTCTTTCCCACTTGTTTTTATTTCCAAACGTGTAACAGGCCACCCATCAAAGGATGGAATAGGGAAGAAAGTGAGAAGAGAGAGGTCGAGGGAGCAGTCATCGGGTAGCTGCTCCTGGCCTTTGAGTAAGCCGTTTGCCCACTCGATTTGTCAGTTTGTTTGGCCCTCGATGGGGAGGCATCCATCCTTGACCCTCGGAGAGTCCTGAGAGACAGGAGGAGAGGGGTTCTCCATGGCAGTGAGGGGTTCCCTAGCAGGGACCCTAGAGAGAAACGGCTCCAGACCAGGCTTTCCCGGCTCGGTGCTGCTGACAGTCGGGCTGGTCTGCTGTGGGGCCGTCCTGTGCACTGTAGGATGTCTAGTGACACCCCAACCTTAAACTGTGACAAACAAAATTGAACCCAGACTTGGCCAGGTGTTCCCTGGACACAAAATCACCACTGGCTGAGAACCACAGGTCTCCGTGTCCAGAGGCCCTGCAGGGTGCCCCATGGCCAGTGGCTGTGTGGACTTGGTGGCCCATAAGAGGCTCTCGGTGACGCGGGGCTGCAGCACATCACACGACATGGAGCAGATCCGCCAGCGAGGCCCCGACCCAGGAGAGACTCTGCCCCACAGCAGCAGGTGTGAGGCAGCCCCCCACTCCTGGGCCAGGAGCGTCATCGCCCAGAAGGCCCGTGTGGGTGTCCTGGAGTGGGTGTGGCCTCCTCTGATTACTCAGAAAGGCAGCAGAGGTGCAGAGAAGCCTCTGGGGCCTGCTGCTCTGTGTCCTGTGGCAGCATCAGCCCCTGCGGCGGAGGGAGAGATGCCGGGACAGGCAGTAGTGTGAGTGTTTCCAGCCATCAGGTTCTGTAGGGGAGCACGCAGTCCCAGGGGAGGCCCACTTGGGTCCCAGCGGACCGTTAAGAAAGCTCTCCTCTATGGCTGCCCGAACTGTGGTGGGTATGGCCTGACCTTGACTTCCTGTACACTTTCATTTTTCATTTTTTTTTCCTGGTTCTTGGCTCTGGAAAAAGTGGGAAAACATATACAGTGACCATACTGTTGACGTCTCAGTCAGAGAAGAGGAACGATTTCACAGTAGCTGGGGGAAAGCGCTGGATACCACGTGCACTCATAAATCACGCCCACGTTTATGCATCTGCGGATGTGGGGCCGCAGATATTTTTCCTTTCTGAAGAAGAGAATTTAAGCTCTAGAAACTCTGACAAGGCCCCAGTAAATGGGGGCTTTTCTCCTGCCTGCTAAGGGCAGCTTTCAGAAGAGACGTTTGTCAAATGGAACCCGAGTCACCTTTTCCTGCTCTGCTGGATGGGCAGGAGCCGGGCACACCAGGGCAGGAGTCTCCCCTCTGAAGACCTGACCCCTGGGGAAGGCAAGCAAGATTTTCTTGCAAAAAGTTCATGGAATTAGAGACAAGCAAGGTGTCTTCCTGGGGACGCTCGTGGTACCGTAGCAGCAAGGGCCGTGGCAGGCACAGCATAGGGACTTGACAGGCATCGAACGAGTGACTTCGTGTTCCCAAATTGGCAGGATGGTTGACTTCTGTGTGCGGAACATTTCCCATCGCCCATCTGGCAGCCACGTGCTTCTGCCCCGTCACTGTCACTCCCTCTCTGAGTCGAGCTCGCAGTCACTAGGCTGCGAAATGACTGCTGAATACACTATCGATCAAACAGCACATGTTTTGAACATCTATCATGTATATGCCACTGGGTTAAGACCTAGAAAGTATATGGGGCTTTGGGGAGGGGAAGGAGGTTCTTTTAGGAAGGAGGGCAAATGCATGGCACACCTAACCCCACCCTCCCCTCCCATGCTCCTAGCAGACACTGCTAAACCATCACCACATGTGGCGCTTCAGAATGCTGGTTGACAGAGAGCTCTGGGCTGCTCCTCCTTGGGAAGGGCTTTCTGTGATATGGCTCTGGGAGGTAAGGGGCCACCCACTTGACTAGCCAGATGTGCCACAGGGATCCTGGTGATCAATGGTGTAAAAGACATCACAGAGCAATCACCCACATGTCACCCTATTCTGCTATTCTGAGTATTAGAGACCTTTAGGAGGTCATTACAGCAGTGGCGGTGAGAGAATTAGAGGCCTTTGGGAAGACACCCACCCCTCATAATACAAAGAATCTTAAGAGGCAAAGTCACAGATGATGACGGCCAGTTGAGACCATGACAGTAGGCCCAGGCTTTCTGTGGTATGGCGGCTCACCTCCACAAAGGCAACCCTGAAAGACTTCCTGGAGGTGGTGATGTGCCATTGCGTTAGCAGTTTCCCCTCTCCTAGGTGAGACAGTGCCAAATTCCTACTCCTTACCGGAGCCTTCCAGACCTTACCGTTTTCCAGCCAAAGTGGCCTTGGGCGCATGCCTAGAACTGGCCAAGCCCTTCCCCACCTCAAGGACTCTGTTCTCTGGCTGCCTCGGCCAGGAATGGTCTTACCGTAGCTCATTTGATGGCTGGCTCCTTCCTGTCCTTCAAGTCCCCAAGTCCCTTCCTCAGAGAAGCCTTCCAGCCACACTCTCTCCTGTAAGTCTCTGTCCTGGTACCTTGTTCATTTCCTTCATATGTGTCTCTTCTACTAGGATGTGAGCCAGCCTGGCCTGCTCACCATGGTGGGCCTAATATCTAGTGTTAGGCGTATTTAGGTCCTCCACAAATATTTGTCCAAAGAATGAAGAATGAGTGCACCTGCAGTGGTCTCCACGGGAAGTACCGGCCACAAGGCCAGGGCTCTCAGGTCACTATAGAGCAGTACTTTGCGTTAAAAGTATTTTACCGAATCCTGGTTGCTGCTCTGAAGTTGCCCATAACTCTTCCCCTGTGGAAAGCCGCACAGCAACTTGTGTCCCCGGCATGAGCTCATCGGTCCTCTGCGAAGTTACTTCTGCATCTCCCCCGACCCCAATCAGTGGGGGCTCCGCTTTCCCTAGGTAAGCACGGGAGGCAAGGACTGGTGTGGCCAACCCACTGGCTGGTGGCTAGAAAATCATCCACAAATCATGTATCCTTGACATGGAAAAACATACACATCAATGTATTCACTTGGCCCAGGCCCAGTTCTAGAAACCAGAAGTCTGAAATCAAGGTGTGACCACGTTCCCTCCAAAAGCTCTAGGTGAGGATCCTTCTGGCCTTTTCTGGATGGTGCTGGTTCCTGGTATTCCCTGGCTTCTGGCCGCATCACTCCCATCGCTGCTTTGTCCTCACATGGCCCTCTTCCCTATGTGTCTTCTGTCCTCCTCTGTTCTCAGAAGGACACCATCATTGCATTTAGGGCCTACCCTAAAACCAGGATGATTGCGCCTCAAGATCCTTTACTAATGACATCGGCAAAGAACTTATTTCCAAATAAGCTCACTCTGAGGTTCCAGTGGACATGGAATTTGGAGGGACTCCCAGGGTCATCAGGGCGTTGGCTGGCTATGGGCAGATGTCCCTGGGTACCCAGGACTTCCCGCAGGCCCAGAGGACCCCAGAAGAGAGGCCAGCATGGGCAGCCAGACTGCTGCTGTTCAAGTCCTCCTGGTGGTCCTCACGCCTCCAGCCCTGCTCCTCCTTGGCATGGAGCTCCTTCTCAGTGGGGTCTACTTGCGCCCCCTCACTTTCCGGAATAGCTTTAGAGAGGCCACACATTGCATTTCTTTTCTTTTGGGGCCCGGTGAAGATAAGGTCACCTTGGATTCTATCGTCTCCATCACCATCATCAATTTTCGCTTTGTATTTTGCTGTGTATGTGTGTTTTAAAAATTTGTTTTGTTTCTTAAAGTCTCACTAGGGCCAGAGAGTGTCTTTAGGGCCTTGTAACATTTGCTGCAGGCTGACAGAGGATCCATTGTCCACGGGGCTGGGGTCTTCTGGGGAGATGTAGGTCTCCTTTCTCCTGGGGCCTGGGGCTGGTCTCAGCTGCCCTCAAACCAGGCTTTGCTGGGAAGTGGGCTGCAGAGTGGACTCAAAGAGAGTCATAAACCCCAGGCGGGAATGCAGCATGGGTCAGAATGCTTGGGTTAGAATGGAACAATTGACAGCCTGGGAGATCAGCCTTCTCCTCTCATTCCAGGCCTGACTGTCACAGGCCTCAGATGCAGGGACTGTGAGGAGCTCAGCCTGGAGGGTACGCAAGACCAGGCCTCCTTTTCTTCCTGTTAGGGTCAGTGAGCAGGGACAAGTAAACCAAGGCTCTGCCCTCATGGAGCCCCCCATCCATGAGGCCAAAAACATGCTAACAGGAAGCCCTGATACAGGGTGAGGAGGACTGGGGACAAGGGGAGTGGAGGGAGTGGAGAGACCCTGAGCTGGGGTCCAGGGGGCCAGGAGGAAGGCTTCAGAAGGTCCTGGCTTTTCTTGCTCTCCTTTGCCCTGCCCACCCCCACCTCCCTGGTCCAATCCAGGTCATCTGGGCCACTGTGAAGGCCCCCCACTGGACTTCTGGGTTCCCTCCTGTACCCCTAAACATTCTCCACACAGGAACCAGAGGGAGCTTTTATAAAGAAGGTGGAGGCTGATGTGGATGAAGTTATATCAGATCGTCTGACTTGACGTGACCACAGCAAAGTTTCCATCTCTGTATCTCCCTAAATCCACCCAGCTCTCCGACCTCAACCTTCTGTACTGTCTCACCTTATTCCTTAGCCAGTGAGAGGAGTAGCTGGGACACGAGTGAGTTCCAGCCATGATGGGTACGGTTTGCTCTGAGCTCCCCCAGCCCAGCCCACTCCCCTTTGGAGAGCTCCTTCTCTTCTGGCATTTCTCTGACTACTTTGGGGGAGAGGTTGACAAGGATCTCCACCTACAAATCCTCTATTCTGTGAATACGGTATTTGTATTTGTATTCACACACCGCTCTGGAGACCAAACCAACCAACTTCACCTAGACTCGAAGGATCCTTGACACCGACCAAGGGCCTTTGAAGAAAAGACTTCTCACTGAGGGGATACGTGTCTCCCTTCAGTAGGAAACAGAGCTAGAGTTTCCAGCTTGATTCCAGATGGCTTTGGGGAAATTCACAGGTACCATTTTCAAGTGGCTTCAGCAGCACCAGGCACAGTGTCCCACACATGGAGGGTGCTCACTAGCTATTCTTGTATACCAGATAATAATATGAATAACAAGGTAAACACTAGTGGCTCTTTCTTGGGCCCTTGTGAGGTGCCAGTGTCTGTGCTAAGCATTTTGCATGCTAAACACTTTACCTGTAAAGGCAGGACACAGTCCTACCCTCTGACGGTGATGACCAGACGTGTACGGACCATGGGCACAGGAGACGGACATGGGTGGACATTTGCACAGCCCTCTGGAAGCTCACATCGAGTTAGAAAGACAAGATATTGAAAACTGCACTGCTGATAAGGGTTAAACAGCCGTTTGATACAACAATAGAAGAGATACTCAAGGCAGGGCATGACTAATTGCCTGGCAAATCATAGGGATGATAAATGTTTTAGGAACTCAGAGGAGGAAGCCGTTTCTCCAAGCAGGGCAGAACAGACAGACACCAGGGGGGTCACTGTGCCCTTTCAAAGGGGGCCCATAAGGCTGCTCTCTGAGGAGGTCATTGTCACACAGTGGGGGTTGGAAGGGTGCCCTTTGACCGTTTTTTCTTTTTAAGGACTAGGTCAGTATTCAGTCACCCACTTGCCACAGTCTACCCACACTGGAGTCTTCAGGAAACCAGCTAGTTCAGGGAATTGGAGGAAGAGCGAGAGCATGCTCTTTATTTCCTTTCCCACTGTTTCAACCTCTCCAGGACAAGCCTTCCATCTGCAATCTCCCCTCTAGAAAGTGGCACTGGAATTTGGTGTTCACATCATGTGAGAAAAGGCTGAAGACACTGGCTTGGAGTCCCAAAAGCATCTGGGCCATCTCTCCCTTGGCAGATAGATAGGTCCCACATAATTTTACAAAAACATATCATTTTCATGGTGGTGGTAAGACTGATACGTGTTTGGATTTTGCCCGAAATTTCAAGAGGCTAGAGCTGAGAAGTTCCTTTGAAGCTCTCAGAGCCCTGAATTGTGTTCTGTTTGGGTATCTATTAAGAAAACAGCCATTTCATCACGGCTCGTAAAAATTGGTTCATGGATGCCCAAGGCTTTATCTCATTAAATCCTGTCGCTATCTGTAAATGGTGTTCAGGCTGTTTCTCTGTGAGCAAGGTTATCTGACTGTTTAGAAACTCCAACCCTGGATGGTGAGATGCTGCTATCTGCAGATTTGGGAGAGATGACTGGCATTTCCCAAAATGCAAACAATCTCAAAAAGCTCATAGGCCTGGAAGTGCGGCAATGGGGCAGGGGGCAGCTGCTGCCCAGCCCAGTGGGGGCTGCTCTGGGCTCTGGCTGTCCCCAGCAGTGAGAAAGCAGGTGGCTGATGATAAATCACAGGGCTGTCATCTGCAGAGGCTGGCTGGTGACATCACAGCTGGGAAGGGGGCTTCTGGAGCCAGAAGAGGCCCACAGAGAAGTGTGTTGGTGGCTGAATTAGACATAATGGCTCTACACACACTGTGTCTCTCTTTTCCTCTTTCCCCCTCAAATCTGACTCGAATTTCTCATGAACAAACCAACATCTGCAAAAGCACATCCTTGTCGCCAGGGTTAAGAGCAAGTAAGTGATCCTGGAGCCCCTCCCCGCGCTGTGATGCAGTATTAGAAAGTGGCCACCATGGAATCCTGGCCAGTGCAGTGCTAGGGGGCAGTCAAGGGCCAGGCTTTGGGGTCAGAATTCGGGTCAAGTCCGGCCTATACCACTGGACTTCGGACGAGTTACTCAGCCTCTTTGTCTCAGTTTCTCCACAAGTAAAGTGGGCTTGAGATGAGGACAAAGTCAAACAGTGCATCCCAGGGTCTGGACAGGAGCAGCCATGAGTGGGGTGGTGTCTGCAGGATGAGACCCTCACACTCTGGGAGGCTTCAGCCTTGCTGGGACAGCAGGTACTCTTCGACTGAATCCCCTCTAATTTTTGTCCAAACCATCTAAAGATTTGGGCCATGGTGTTCTTTCCCACAGCCCTCCCAAGGACAGGCAGAGGACAGCTGCTAGAGAAGGGAGTGGCATGGGTCAGCTTGCCTAGAAGTCAGAGGGATGCAGGGGGCAGAGATGGGGAAGGCTGAAGTGCCTATGGGCTTCCTTGGTCTGGCCAGGACCTTGGCTTGGCCCCTGAAAATGGCCCAGCAAGAATTTCCAGGCTGGACACGATGGCAAAGCTGAGAGGTAGCAAGAGCCTGGTGTTTACCGCATAGCCAGGAGCAGCAGTGGGAGGCAAGCGGGGGAGGGGAATGGGGTTGGGGAGTCTGTTGTTCTTTTAAATTAAAAATAAGTTCCACATGTTGATGGTCCCCGAGGAACACGGACTCGGCATTGAAGGCCCTGGCAGCCATGTGAAAGCAGGCCCTTGGGAGGACAGGTCTTAGGGAGAACAAGGCACCAAGTATTTCATCAGTTGTCTGAGTCGTTAGAGGAAAACAATATTCCGTGAGTCCCCTGGCACACAACGCCATCAGGACATGAGGCTGGAAGGAAGTAAGAAGAGAGCCTTCCAGAAACCCTAGACAGGATGCTCCTCAGTGATGAGGTTGGGGAGAGAGAGAGAAGTTCCTAGAAACAGGAGCAATAGTGGCTGCTCCACAGCCCCCAAGGCCCTTTGCCCCACTGGCCACCAGTAATGAGACTGGACCTGGTCTCCACAGACACTTTCAGAGGCTGCCCACCCCTTCTCCCCTCCTGCCAGGATAGAGCCCAAACCCCTCATCTGGCCCCCAAAGCCCTTCAATAGGGAAGCAAAAACCACAGTGAGAGGAGCATGGTTCCAGAGCTGACATGCCCAGTAGGACGCCGGCTCCAGGGGCTGCTGGGTGGCCGCTTTCCCTTCAGGGGATCCACTTCTTCAGCCATGTGGGCATCATGGTGGTGAATCCTTCCCATTGAGTCCTTGTCATGAGCACTGAGTGGCAGGACACCCACGGCTTGTAGAATGCTGCCTGGCACATATAAGTCATATAAGTGCTCATTAGCACACAGTAAGTGCTCATTAGCAAAAGCTTCTAGGATTAGCTTTCTAGGCTTTTCTGCACGCCCAGCGATGTCGCATGCACAGGTTGCCTCTGTTGGCAAGTTCATAAAGATATCACAAACCACATTCTGAGGATACGCCAGGCAGGGGACAAACACACAACAAACGTCATCTTATGCCATTCCTTTGCAAGGTAGGTCCCCTTTCACTTGCCAGAAAACAGGGTCCAGAAGTGGAAGCGGCTTGAGCAAGGCCACATGGCCAGAAAGCTGTGAAACCAAGATCTGAACCCAAGACTAAATCTTCTTATCCACTTCCCTTTTTCACCTCCTCCTCAAATGACTTTCTCTGCCCCGTCACCACTGCCATACCCATGAGCACCTCCCCCACTCAATTGTCCTGGCCCACTCCAAGGCCAACCCCACCTGGAGCCATCTTGGTTCACTCAACTGGAACTGGGTGTCATTCTTCAGCTCCTCCACTGGCTTTGCCCTCCTCCATCTTGCACTACAGTCTCCTGGAGCTGTGTCTGGCTTCCTTCCAAGAAAAGGACCCCCTGGCAGGTAGCTGGCACCCAACCCATAGTGTTTAGTGGAATTAGGAATCACATGAGTCTCATGGTCTCAGAGGGCCGCACTCTGCTGTTGTCCATGGGTGCCACAGACTCTTCCAGAAGAGCCACTTCCACAGATGCAACAGGCCTTTTGAAGGAGCCCAGTTCTCAGCATGAGCCAGGATGGTCAAGGTGAGAAACCTATGAGCCCACACTTCTCATTTCCTTAGAATTTCTTGGACTCTGTGAAGAGGAAGGAAAGGAAGAAAAAGAGAGGCAAGGAGGAGAAGAAAGAACAAAAGAAAGAGAAAGAAGATGAGGGAGAGCAGACACAAGGGCAAAGACACAGCAGGAGGGAGTGAGAACAAGAGAGTCAAGAGGAAAAGACACAGCGAGAGAGACAAAGCAGCCTCCGACTGCGGACGCGCCAGCAGCTCATGCACCCCCAAGAAACCCGGACCTAACACCAAGCTTCGGTCAGCCTTGAGCTGGGAGCCTGGGGGGCTCTGGCTTGGCTACAGAGGAGAAAATCACCCCAAGTTCTCAGTCAAGGGGGGTACCAAGCCAAGGGGAGCGTGCATGGCAGGGAGGCTCAAGCCAACGTGTGGCCTCCTCACGCAGCACTGCAAGGACGCATGGAGCATTGATTCCCAGCATGGCATTCCCAATCAGAAATAGCCAATACCCAAACCTCTTAAAGCTCCTGCCTCTAATAGCAGCATTTCTTCCACTGTCATCAGTGGTAACACACTGATCTATAAAAGGTTTTAAAAGTGCTACAAATAGCTCCTCCAGTCCCCTGAAGTCAAGCTTATTGGGGGAAATGGCTGACTTGATTGCTCCCTGCACAGTGGCATCTGGATGTGATGAACAGAGTGAGCTCATCTCAGGACTTTTAGGGCAGCCTGGGTACTTCCGGAGTTGGGTGGAGAGCCCCCTGGGCTAGCGGCTGCCTGGCCACTGTCCCTCTGCCCTTCACTTCCTTCCTCTCTGGGGTGGGACAAGGGCGAGGCAAGCAAGGTATCATATTTAAGGTGGCACTCACTCACAAGGGGTGCTGGCACAGGGTTGGACTCTGAAGGTGAGCGCCCCCTTAAATTAGTACCCTGGGCATCTCACTTGAGTGGGAGAGAAGGAACACAGGGCTCTGCCCACATGGCCTCACTTTCCTCATCCATAAAATGGGATCACCTATCCCCATCTTGGCAGCTATTTATTGACCTCGTACATTGCACCAGATACTGTTCCAGGTGCTGGGTTTCCAGAGACAGGAAGTACATCTGCACTCAGAGCTCACAGTCCGGTGGAGCAGGCAGAGGGAGGGAGGGACCCCAGCCAAGCACCACTGTGTTGCATGTGAACTCCAGTTTAATAGGTCCAATGACTGCCAGGTGGCCAGGGATACAGGCTGGTGCCAACATCTGTAAAGCATGTGGGAAGGGTGGGGAAACCGTGTCCCAGCAGTGATAGAAAAATGCAGGGACACCGGCTGAGGGGAAGCCAGTGAGGCCGGGCTGCAGAGGGGGAGGGCAGGGCAGGTCACGCCACCCAGGAAGGTGGGCCTGCCTTGGGTCACACTGAGACGTGCAACTTAGGGGCCCTCTCCGCTGTCACCCTTAAGGCTCACAGCCACTAGGCCACTTCCCAAACAATCTGTGATCTGGACAATTCTGAGCTGTGTCTCATCCAAACCTACCTCTCCCGTGTCACTGGGTGCCTAGTCTCTTGCTAAGTGTTGGCAACACATTTTTACCTACACTAAAGAGTCATTATGCTGCTACTATTTCTTCTAGAAAACATAGGTCCATTTTCAACAGGGCAGGCTTTCTGCCTGCTCTCTCGTCTCCAAAGGAGGCCCCTAATGATGGAGATGTAAGTCTGGTCTGGGCTCAGCCAAGAGCAGAGGACTCACGTTTACCATGCTCTTCCCAGCTCCCTGGCCCTCAAGGATGTTTCCAAACTTGCTCTTCTTTTCCGAGCCGGCCTCCATCCTGCTGGTGGGCACGTTAACACCAGCTGACAGATAACAGGCATGCACGTGGAATCACACCTTCCTGCTTTCTGAGGATGGACAAGAGTCTGGGGCTGGTGCTCCATGACATCTTCCTCTAGAAGCTTCTGGGCCGCATCTAGAAGAACAACCCATCAGGAGGAGAGAATCAAGATCCACCCTCCCGATCACAGCCTACAGGTTCATCTCTGCAAGCGCACCTCTCACCGCCTCCCCCTGCTCTCCAGCCCTGCCGACCTCCCTAGAATATGGAAGCACGTTCCTGCCCCAGGGCCTCGGCTCGGGCTGCTCCCTCTGCTCAGATGCCCTCTTTCAGCAGCTCTCCCAGTTGCTCTTTCTTGCACCATTGCACCTACTTTTCTGCCTTGCTGTTCACACGAGCCTTCACTCAGCATGCATCTGCTGAGTGCTTACTGTATGCAAGCCCTGTACTCAACACAGAGACGCAGCAAGATCAGCATGGCTCTGACCATATGGGGTTTGATTCAGTACACAAATAAGCGTGGATGGTCATTCCAGGCAGTCCTAGTAGCTCTGAAAACACATGAAGCACGGCCCCTTGATGTCGGCTCTGCTTCTTCTTATTTGTCTGTTTCTGTTTGCTGTCTGCCCTCCCCCTGGACCGTCAGCTTCATGAGGTCGGGGGTTGGTGCTGCCATTTTCTCTCTAGAAGCTTCTGGACCATGCCCAGAAGAGCAACCCATTGTGGAGGGTGGCTGCCCCTGGTGGGGATGGGGGCAACTTTTCCCATGAAGAGCCTCCCAGAGTCTCAGGCCTCAAGCAAGGCCAGAGAGGCCCCACTGCCCGCATCTGGGGGACACCCCAGAGACATGGACTGGAAATGGTTCGAGCCTGGCCCACAGCCCACGGAGCTTCTGAGAAGAGCAGTGCTGGGAGCACATCTGTCTGCCCTCGGACCCCCGGGTTCCAGCTGGGCACAGCGTCCACTGGCTCTTCAATCCCTTTCCCATCGTCCTCAAGGAGAGGAGAGTTTAATTCCACAACGGCCCGAAGCATAGGTGTGGGTGACTCAGAGCGGGCGGATGAGAACAGGAGGCCAGCAGGGATTCCGGCTGAGTGCGGCCCCCGCAGCCTCCGGCTCAGCCAGTGACTCACTCCAGACACTGCGTGAGTCAGCGGCTCTGCGGCTCTGGCCAGCTCTGACGCCCTCCGCACACTAATGAGACCCCAGCAGGACAGAGTACATGGAGGATGGGGCGCTCAGGCAGAGGGCACGGGAGGGCACACACCCCCCAAATGCACACACGTGTGTGCACACAGTTCACACAATCACACGCTATCACACACACTCGTACACAGGTGCACACACACACTTTCCAGTGCACACATGCATGTGCACACAGTATACACACACATCACACGCTATCACACACACTCGTACACACATGTGCACACACACCCTCCAATGTACATACTCATGCGCATGGTTCACACACACTTCACACACACTATCACACTCACTTGTACACAGGTGCACACACACACCCTCCAATGCACACACTCATGCACACAGTTCACACACACTTCACACACTATCCCACGCACTGGTACATACACACATGCACACACACCCTCCAATACACACACACGTGCACACAGTATACACACATCACACACTATCTCACACACTCATACACATGTGCACACACCCCCTCCAATGCACACGCATTACACACAGTTCACACACACTTACACCCACCCATATACACACATCACACACACTCATACACACATTCACATCCACATTCACAAACACACCCTTGAATGCACACACTCATATGCACAGGGTTCACACCCACCTCCATGCACCCTCATACACACTCATGTTCACATCCACATTCACACACATGTGCATACACACCCACATCTACATCCACACTTACTATACACACATTCTCATATGCCTACACAGCCCCCTCCCTCTTTCCTTCCTTCCATCATCATTCCTTCCTTCCTTCTTTTCTTCTCTCCCTCTCCCCATGCCTTCCTCCTTTCCTTCCTGGTTAAGCACATGGGTTTTGGGACCAAGGTCATCCTACCCCAGCCCTGCCAACCAGCGATGTGACCACGGACGTGCGGCTGTGCAGCTCTGTCTGCCTTGACTCCTCATCTGTGAGACGTGGAGACTGTGAATGCCCCTTCCTAGGATGAGCCTCCATGTGAAGTGCTGATCGCAGCTGGACACACCACAGCACACAGCGTTGGCTCTGGCCCCTGTGGTCAGGATCAGTCACTGAGCTGTGCTTCCGACAACCGTCTGCTGGATGCACAGTCTGAGCTGCTCAGTCTGAGCTGCACAATCCTCCTCTTTGTAGACCCAGAGGCTGGGAGTAGAGACCACAGGTACACAGATGAGTTACACTCCAGACAACAAGTGAGCCACCGAGCTGGCACCAAGTGGGGTGGGCGTGGGAGGCACAGAAGGCTTGGGTTTGGGGGAAGAAAACCATAGGGGTAATGTGGAGGAAGGGTTGACAATGATAAACAACCGTTCAGCTTTCTCGTTACTGCTGCCAACAGTTCAGGGAGGGTGGTCAGCAGGGATCTGAGAGCTGGGGAGTGGCCTTCAGCCAGAGGTGACCAGCACTGAGCAGGAAGAACCACTCAGAGGTTTTTTGTTAACCTCCGGGTGGAGGAGAAGGGTGTCTTCTTGTACTGACAATGCTCTTTTGGTTGTCAAGAGCAGAAATCCACTTCAGTGTGGCCCCAGGAAAAACTGGGACTTTACTGGCTCATGAAAGTGCATATCTGTGGTGATAGGGTGGATTTCAGGCATGGCGAGACCCAGGAACATCAGAGCTGCCACCAGGAATCTAGGTCTTTCTCTACTCTGAGCTCTGGTTTCCTCCACATTGGCTTCATTCCTAGGCAGGCTCCCCCTGTATGGGGGATCATGATGGGTCCCGACTTGCAGCCACCCCAGTCGGCCTTCCCACAGAAAAAGCTTGTTTCCCTACAGTCCTTCCCAAAGCCATGATCGCATCTTCTTAACTCACCGGCTCATGTGCCCATCTCTAAGTCAGCCCTAGTGGCCAGAGGATAGAATGCTCTAATCAGCTCTGGGTCATGAGCTTCACGCAGACATCATGGGTTGAAAGCTGGGGAAGGGTGGTCCCTAAAGAAAAACCAGCGCACTGCCACCGGAAGAAGGGGATGCAGGGCTGTTGGAACAACAGAGTCCATCTTCTTTAGTAGCAGGGCCTGGGAGGCCTGCTCTCTAAAAGACAGAGAGATGGTGACTGGTGGACTGGGGGAAGATGGGCTGAACTTGTGAGTGGAGAGCAATGGGGAGATGGGGACAGGCTACGTCCCCATTTAGAGACTAGATTTCATCTGGACAGATTTCAAGATGTGGGTATGAAGCGTTAAGGTTTGTGTTGGTGGATGGAGCTCCTTGGGGTGGGGGTACTAGACTCCATAAGGAGGGTGTGTTAATTTTCTGGGATTACCACACCAAATTGCTACAAATTGCGTAGTTTCAAACCACAGAAATTTACTGAAGTCCAAAATGAAGATGCCGTCCAGACCGTACTCCCTCTGAAGGCGGTGTGGAAGGACCTGTCCCTCCCAGCTCTCTCCCAGTGTCTGTTGGCTGCGGGGATCCTGGCATTCCTTGGCTCGTAGACACATCACCCCCAGTCTCTGCCTCAGTCTTCACACGGCCTTCTCCTCATGTCTCCTCCTTTTTAGCTTCTCAAAAGGACACCTGCCATTGGATTTAGGGCCGTCCCCAATGTAGGATGATATCATCTCCAGATCCTTACCTTAGTGACATCTGCAACGACCCTTATTCCAAATTAGGTCACAATCCAGGTGGACCTATCTTTTGGGGAGAAACAATTCAGTGCACTTCAGGGGGGCTTGATTTTTGAGGGGCATCTACAAAATGCTATGTTAGCGAGAGATGAGAGTTCTGTGGTGAGGACAAATGAACACACCCACTTATTTACTGATTGATTCTAAATGTTTATTAAGCATCTGTCAAGTGCCAAATGTTCAGTGATGTGACAGCATCCTGCCCTCACGCTGCTTACTGTCCAGCTAAGACACCAATGACACAGAAACCGGCAATGACATGGCTGAGTGGACGCCATGCACAGATGGCGCCTCCTCCAATGAGGGGGGAGGTTGGTACAGAGGCCAGTGAAGAGTTCCTGGAGGAGGAGATGTGGACCATGACCATGTGGTGAGGGACTAGACGGGAAGGGCTGATGGGGAGAGCATTCGGGGAAGCCCAGGAGTTAAAGTCAGGCTGCGCCCACCAGACGCAAGCAGCAGCTGCCTGTGCGTCTCCCCAAGGCCCACAGCTCTTACCTGATTGCGGCTGTAAAGCACACGCTGGTACCTGCAAGGCCATCCCTTCCCACCACCGAAGGACACCTGCATGTGAATGTGTGTGCACGTGTGTGCGTGTGTATGTATGTGTGCGTGTGTATGTGTACATATGTGTGTGCATGTGTGTATGTGTGTGTGTGTGTGTACGCGACGCTCTAGCTCAGGGGCAGGGTTTCTGTGTGGGGTGGGGTTCCTAGGGCTTCTGGCCCCGACTCCAGGATTTAGGCATTCCCATTTGCTTGCTGACATATTTCATTGTCCCCAACCAAAGGAACGTGTGCACAGAGGCCGTGTCATTCCATAGCAATGGTTTGGGAGCACAGTTGTCCTCAGTGGCCCCTGTAAATGTCTTGGCTTCAATATGGAGCCTGAAGGATGTTGGGGTGGCCAGCTCTGCCAGCTAGACCAGGCTCTGTGCCACCGTCCCCAAGGCAGGAGTCCAGGGGCCTCACTGGGGACCTGCCTGGGAAGCTCGGCTTCTCCCACCCCAGCCTCATCCTGGGCAGCGTGGAGGGCACAGACAGGACTGCAGAAGGCTCCTTTGCAGGGTCCCACCAGCTGGGGCTTGAGGGGCCCTGAGGGTTGGTTTCTGTCCCAGGAGGAGGCTTGGCATTTCTGTGCCTTCATTTCCCCAGCTGCAAAGCATCATGCAGGGCATGGCCCCTGCTTGCGAAAATGCTTAACGCTACTCTCACCACTAGCTCTAGCTCGGCTCTCCCAACCAGCCTCGAGACCTCGGGCAAGTCCCTGAGCCTCTCTGTGCCTCAATTTCCTCATCTGCAAAATGGAGATAATGACAATACTTACTCATACAGTTCTCCTCAGCATTACATAAGCCAGTCCATACAAAGTCGATGTATATTAAGTGCTTACCACGCCATCAATGAAACACTCAAAAAATTACTATTACGATGATGATGATTTTTATTTTTACTGTTGCCCATCCTTTAGGTCTTGGCAAAAATGTGGCTGTCGCCAACCACTTTGTCTAAAATAAGTGGACTTTGTGATTACCTCCCATCGTGTTCTTTTTTTTTCCTTCATGGCTCTTGCGCATTTGTAATGAGATATTTACATGTGCAAATTCTTTTATTTCATGTGCTTCCTCTACCAGACTGTGAGCCCCGAGGGGGTGGGGGCTGAAATGTGCTCCTCACGGCAAGCTCAGGGCCCTGTACAGCCCCAGCGAGTGGTAGAAATCAATAAATATCGAATGAAAATAGTCCTTGGATGATCGAATGGCTTTTGATCTGGTTTGATCAGGCAGCTGTGCCTTGCTGCACGGTGGCTGCACCTGGCCCCTGCAGTGCTCCGCCAGCCCCGCCTGTGCTAAGGGATGGGGCTGTTGGAGGAGCCGAGAGCTACAGGAAGGCCCTTGCTGAGAGGCTGAGAGGCTCTGGCCCACCGCTGACCGCACGTGCTTCCGGCCTGCAGGAGCGGGGACAGACTCTGACCCCAGAAGGCAGTTGCTCCTCCGTCCTCCTGTCCGAGCTTCATGGGGAAAGTTGGGGCAATTTAAGCCTGTCTGGCAGCAAGGGGTTGGGTCAGGCGAGTCCAAAGCTGCTGCTTCCCTGGGGGTCTGCTGGGACACACCCCAGTCCCTTGTCCTGGGACTCGACACCCTTCAGGGCTTCCCGCCCCAGTTCCTTCTGCCCCTGCCTCTTTCCCAGTGATGCCTCTGAGCCTGGGCAGAGTGGCCCTGGGCTGCTCTTGCTGTTGGCTCCAGCTCTGGCAGGGGCTACTCTTGAAGAAGCTTGTCTGAAGTCCAGGGTAGGCACCCCAGGTACAGTCCATAGAGAGCAAATTGCGCAGCAACCAAGGGCCGGGGCAGCACATGCCTCAGCATGGGAACACCAACCGCGAATCGTCTCAGTTACACAGTCCATGTTGTGACAAGCTGGGATAGATCTTGAAATATAATGAGTGAGCCAGGCCTGCCGCGTTTCTCCTCCCAATGCCTCTGGAGCCAGCTCTGTGGCTCAAGACCTCCTGCAACGGTCTTCATTTTCATACATTCCAAAGGCGGAACTGTTTTTCTTTGCTGACTTGTTCAAGACATCTAGATTAAGAAAGAAAAAAAAAAAAAAAAAAAACCTCCTCACATCCCCAACACAAAATCAACAAACTGACTTTTTTTCTCAAGAGTCCGAACAGAAACAAGTATGTAAGTATCCAGAAAACATATCTGCCATTAGCTGAAGCCTGAAAGACAGAAAGCAGATGACGGGGTAGGGGGCAAGGGAGGAGGGGAGATACTCGTGCAGCTATTACAGTGACACTTTATGTAAAGCTGGGCACTTGGCAGAAACCCAAATGGTGACCATGGATGAGACCATATGCTTTGGCCAAACCCCTGAGTCTCTCAGGGGCAGGAATTGTCCTCCAAAGGAGAGCTTAAGACCTTGAACAAAATAATTGCCACATACAAGAGTGTTTGTTGTAAGGAATCTAGAAGCCCCATTGAACAAAAATCTAATCGTGAGGGTTGGGGTAGGGAGGTGAGCAGTCATCTACATGGAACTGTTCTCTCAACAGTGGAGAAGCTTCTATTACCAAGATGGAAAATACCAAGATCTTAACACACGATAGAGCCTGGTGCTGTTTGGACAGAACTGACTGAGCCCCAAAGGGGAAATTCCATACAAAAGAGATGCAGGAGCAGTTAGAAGCCCACTGCACGGTCCACAAAGGTGCTGCTGACTGCTTCTGAGAGTCCTGTCAGTGGCAGACATCACCTGTTCTCATCTCTGTGGTTTGTATGGAATCGTCACAGACACAAGCTGTCCTGCAATTTAGGGGCTGCTTGCACAGCTGGAGGGACCCTATCCAACTCGAAAATAAGATTACCTTCACCAGGTCCCACCTACCTAGAGGGAAGGCAGAGAGTACACACAATCCCACCTCTGGGCCTCCCGCTGATGGACATGATGCCTAGCATACAATCAGTGATCAATACACACTTACGAAGTGAAGGAAGGAAAACATGCTGAGCTTCTTATGCCTCCCTGTCTTTCTACGCAATTCTTTTTGTCTTTCAGAGCCCTCCTAAAAGGACACTGACTCCATGTGTGTTTCCGCCTCTTCCAGTATGTGCCCTGTGTCAGTGTTGGCTTCTGTGTGTTCTGTGAGGGTGAGGACCTCTCCTGGCTCTCACCTTCAACCCTCACCTCACGAGGAGGAAGGTGCAGATACTCCATAGGTGCTTAGGAGTGTAAGTGTTGAGTGACTGCTGACAAGAAAAGAGGAGATACGATCTGATACACTTAGACTTCAAATCCAAACCTTGAAAGTCCCACCCAGTGGGGGACTCTTGCCGCCTTGAGAGAAGCACAGCTGATGTACGGAAAGCAATATTGTAAACATAACAAATAAATACAAATCAAAACCACAAGAGACCATGTGATGCCCATGGCTGAAATAAAAAAGACAGACAATAACAAGTGTCGACAAGGAGACAGAGCAATTGGAACCTTCATTCACTGCTGATGGCAACATAAAAGGTGCAGCTGCTTTGGAAAAGGATCTGGCTGCTCCTCAAAAAGTTAAACACAGAGCTACCACATGACGTACTATTCCACTCCACTCCTAGGTGCATTCCCAGGAGAAATGGAAACATAGGTTCACACAGAAACTTGCAGACAAGTATTCATAGCAGCAATATTCGTCCTAGCCAAAATGTAGAAATAGTCCAAGTGTGCATCAGCTGATGCATCGCACCAACAAACATGGTTCATCCAGATGACAGGGTATCATCCAGCCACAAAAAGGAAGGAAGCGGTGATCCAGGCCACAGCATGGATGAACCCCGGAAATGTTATGCTAAGTAAAAGAAGCCAGACACAAAGGAGCACATATTGTATAAATCCATTTACATGAAATGTCCAGAATAGGGAAGGCCATAGGGACAGAAAATAGATTTGTGTTGGCTTTGAGCTGGAGGGGAGGGCAGAAGCAGAATGGGGTGACTGCTAACGCAATGGGCTTTCTTTTGGGGGTGAATGCTCTAAAATATAGTCTGATTATGGTTACACAGCTCTGTAAATGTACTGAAAGCCATCGCAATGGGTGAATTGCATGGCCTATGAATTAGATCTCAATGCAGCTGTTAGAAACAATGGTGGGTTCAGGTCTGGACTCAGCCACTTCCTCGTCTTGTGACCTCAATGCTCCTCTCTGAGCCCTGAGTCCTTCATGGCACAGCCACGAGATCTGTCTCGAGGTGGTTGTGGGAGATGAAATGAGATACTCCACAGAGAGGACTTGGCTCCCAGCTGGGCAGAGAGCGAACCCTCGGTCCACTTACACAGCACCTATTCAGGGAGTGCTTCCTGACATGCCCGGGGACTGGAGAGGGACAAGATAGGGTCTTCCCTCTCACACTGATCTGCATGGCTGGCCCACACCTCTCAGTTCCTCAAACCTTCCAAAGAACACCAGCAATCAGAGATGCTGGGTTGCTCCATCACTGTTGGCCAAATGACCTCGGGAGAGGAGAAGCAGAGCAGGGTTTGGGGAGCAGACCCCCACGTCTGACAGCATACCAGCTCAGAGCATGGCGAGAATTCCAGCACAAGGTGCACACATTTTTTTGCCCATGGCTGTGGTGACCCTGCTGTGTGCCAGCCTCAGCCCCACAAGGTCACCTGAGCTATGTTCCTGGTCCCAGCTCACCCAGCCTCTTCAAGGAAGCCGTTACCTGCACCGTTTGATGGGTTAGGGCCCCTGAACCCAAACATAGCCCCTTGATCTGCCTCCACCCCACTTTCCTTGCCAGGTCTCTAAGATCTAGCATTCCGTGGGCCCCTGCCCTGCCTCCATGGCCCCAGAAGTGCCAACCATACTGGTGCCATGCTGCCTCCAGCTCCGAGCTGGGGTGTCCTATACTCAGCCAGTGGCTTCTGCCTCTCCCCTGGTCCTTTCCCCCTTTCTCTCTCCCTTTTGCATGGAAAGCATTTCACACTCATTCCTCTAAAAACAGCGTCACGGTTGGGCCCAGGCACCAACCTGAGCTCTCCCTGCCCACCTGCCTCGCTGCTCTTGGTCAGAGGAAACACATTAAGGAGAGGAAGAGCGTGTGGACAGCTGTCCTGGCTACTCTTTCCTGTACTTCCCTCAAAGCAGCCCAGCCCTGGCCTGTTGGGCCGAGGAACCGTTTGCACCCTGCAGACAGTGGGGATCCCAGGCGTGGGTTCGTGCTGCCTGCATTCTCGGAGTCCACAGGCCCGGCGGACACACACATAGTGTCCATGATGACCAGGAAAGCACACCATGGTCCGTTGTGGGGCTGTGGGTGGTGATAGTGGGGAGGGGGGGTACACTCTGGGATCAGCTTGACTGTGGGTCCCCTGCCCAACGGCCGTGAGACGCTGGCTGAATGGCTGGGCCACTAAAACCTCTGTTTCTTCATTGGTGAAATGACGATGGCTGTTGTGAGGTCACAGTGAACAAAGGCAAGCAAAATGGCTTCGCCTTGCACCCGGAGGACACTCCGGTGATTGGCAGCACATTGTTGATTGACACATATACTGCTGAGGTGGCACACACAACCACATGGTCCGTGTCTCTCATTTCTAAACAAACATGAGCTCATGCAAGGACCTGGTGCCAGGCAACTTGGATCTAGGCCCACAGTGAAGAGGATCCTGGGGCCAGAGGGGAGACGCGAGGACGAGGTAGGGGCTCACCTGCGCCAGGCACAGTTGCAAATGCCTTACGTATACCAATCACCCCCTACTCCCCACTGTGACTCTACAGGGGAGGCACAGCCATTAGCCTCATTTGACAGACAAGAATGGTGAGGCTCAGAGAGCTGAAGTCACTGCCCCAAGTCACAGAGTGAGCTAGTGGCAGAGACTCATGGAAGTTGTCCTCCAACAGAAATCCCAAACAACATGGGCTCAGGTCCGAGGTGTACTGCTTAGGAGCTTGGTGGCTTTTGGGGTGCCCCTTGCACTCCTGTGCCTCAGCTTCCTCACCTCGGGACAGAGGTGCATGTGCCCACTTCTGACTGAGCCTCCAGGGTGGAGGAGGATGAAGGGCTGCAGGGCTGCACGTTGCATATACCCCAAAGTGGCGGAGCATCCCTACTGCCTTCGGTGCCATTGGAGCACCCAGGGACGCATGGGTGAGGCAGTGAGCCGCCCGTGTAGCCTCACCTGCTAGAGACGGGAGCACATGGAGGCCCTTGTGCGGCCCTGAGCAGTCAGGTGGGTCACCCTGTGAAGAAAGGGCAAAGCAGCCTCACTAGTGACCCCGGGACCCAGGGAGGCTCCGTGCACAGGCTGCCGGGGCTACTGCTGCTGCCGGAGCCCCTCTCCCAGGCCAAGCCTCTGCCTGCTCCAGTGCGGATGTATAGGCAGATGTGTGAGGGTTGGGCTGCTGAAGTTAGGGCTCTCTGAGGCCCCTGTCATGTCAGGGCGGCTCCCAAGCAGCCTGTTCTCTGCTGCCAGCAGCATCTCCCACCCCACCGTGAGGCTGCAGCTCCCTCCTCTCATGCCCCTAAGGAGACAGGCACCCTGTTCTTTGCGTGTGCTAAAGCACCGCACCCCTATTTTTGCCTAGCTCACTCCCGCTTATCTTTCCTCCAGCCCCAGAAGGGCCCTGTTGACCCCTAGCCCCATTCTTTGCCCCCAAGACACTCTGTCCTTTCTTCCCTAGCTCAGGGCTGCTGGGAGAGCCTGATTCGTCGTCTCTCTACCCACTAGACTGCAAACTCTGAGGGACTTGTGTGTTGGGGTCTCTGGGCCCCCAGCATCCAGTGCTCTAGGAAGAATTGTGGAAGGACAGGAGGCAGTGGGGAAGGAAGGTTTCCTCTCATACCAGCCAAAGCCAGAAGGGCCCAGTGAGTGTTAATCAAAGAGTCCTCCCTGGAGGAGGTGGCTGATGGGGCCTAAGAGGTCTGGGCCCAGCCTCAGGACCCATTGTCTGCTGCTGTTGCCCAGCTTCATGTCTGATCCCCACACAAACCCTCCTGCCATTGACCTCTCCCGGGGCTGGGGCCGACACAGCCTTGGGCCACTGTGTCCCGGGAGAACCAGGGCCCGTGTCAGGCCTTTCCCTCCTTTTCACCGGCCTCATCAGGGCATTTTTGGAGAAACAAATTCCCGGCATCTCAGGGCTGTGGGCTGCTGGCGGCCAGCTTCCTGGTTTGCCCAAGACTAAAGCAGGCCCAGGGGCCTGGCATCTAATCTGGGGACCCTGATGGTGTTGGCCGGCCGCGTAATTGGCATGAGGTGGCAGCGGCAGCCACTGTGCCAGGGGACAAGTCCATGAGGCTCCTGAGTACCTGAAGTCCGGGCCTTATTTAATTTTGTCCTTTTCAATTAAAATCACCCCTCTCTCCCTTCTGCAGAAACAGACAGGCTCAGACAAACATGGAGTGAATTTCGTTCCAAGATGGTTCCCCACCACCTTTTTTCTTTTTCTTTTCCTTTTCTGTTTTCTTTTTTCTTTTTTTTTTTTTTTTTGAGGCAGGATGTTGATCTGTTGCCCAGGCTGGAATGCAGTGGCACAATCTCAGCTAGCTGCAGCCTCAACCTCCCGAGCTCAAGCAATCTTTTCGCCTTAGCCTCCCAAGCAGCTAGGACCACAGGCATATGCCACCACGGCTGGAGAATTTTTGTATTTTTTGTATACACAGGGTCTCACTATGTTGCCCAGGCTGGTCTCGAACTCCTGGGCTCAAGTGATCCTCCTGCCTCAGCCTCCCCAAGTGCTGGGATTACAGGCATGAGCCATTGCACCTGGCCTTTTTCCCATTTTCTTTCCTGAGTACATATCTCTAACCTTTCTCCCTGGAACATTAATCAGGGTCTGTGCTCTAGGAAGCTCCCACCTCTTCTTCCCTCTGTCCCTCTCTTCCTTTTTCTTTTTTTACTAGGGAATGGCCAGTGGCTGTGTCCTCAGAGGGTGGGGAGGGAGAAGCAAGCACCACACGCGGTGAATACAGCTTCAAATATCTGGAGCTTCGGGAAGCCAACGCCATCCAAATGGTGTCTTATGTTAAAGCAATAGAGGAAAAGTGAGAAAACTTTTCTACCTCCACCTCCCACCCAGCCCCCTCCTTAAAAGGAAAAAAAAAAAAGGTTTCTGTACACTCAAGTTCCCACAGTGATACAATGTAAGTTTTTAAAACAACACAAACATTGACCTTGGCAGATGGCCCCGTGGAAAGAATAGGCATTATCGACACAACGGAATGACTTAAGAAGACAAGGTGCCTCCCCAAGGAAGCAGAGAACATGGCGGCTTTGCAAGAGTCTATTCACAGGACGCCAGAGTCAACAGGCCCTGACCCCTGCGGGCCTGAGGGGGCCCCAGACAGCCCCTCCCGCAGCCGCCTCCTGGAACTCTCTGCCCTTGGGTCCTCAGGGTGCCTTCACTTGTTGATTGTGACCTTACGGATTTAAGAACCCAGCCGGGGTGTGCTTTCCGCCAGGCACGGGGGGCCACAGTGGCACCCTCTGCCCCTCAACCTGGCGGGGGACACAGGCACGCTTGGTGGCCAAGACTTCTGTCCCATTTAGGATTGAGGAGCAGATCCTGGGGAGCTAGCCAAATACTGTTAGCTGATCAGTGAAAGCTCTGGTCACTAGAAAAGAGAGAGGGAGGAAGAGGGAGGGAGGGAGGAAAAGGGGGGAAGGAGGGAGGGAGGGAGGGAGGGAGTCTTCCTCTCAAGCCAGCATGGGTCCGAAATCCAGCTCTGCCCTTTCTAACCATGAGACCTTGCAGGCGTTCCTCAAACCACGTTTGTGACACGAGAGCCAGTGACAGTTCCTGGCTTGCGGGTTGTTGGAAGGCAAAAAGGAAGCTACTGCTTTACAAACACACACTTAGGTCAGAGCCTGGCCCAAGGCTGGCACAGTGACTGTTTTACCATGGGGGAACGAGGCCAGGAAGGCATGGCAGGCAGGTGGCTCCAGGTGGGACCTGAGGGAGGCCTGCAGGTTCTGGCCGGGGGCTGTTGGCAAGAGTCCTGCCCCAGGCTCCAGCTCTCTGGAAGTGAATGTGTGTTCCCTCCATGCCCTGGGAGACACCAGGCTGGGCCAGAGCCAGTCCTGGCCTCATGGACTGTCTGCAGCACAGAGCATTTCCTAGGACCTCAGGGCCAGGAGCCCAGGCCTGTACTCATCACCTCTAGAGAGGGGGAAACTGAGGCCCAGAGAAGTCGTCACCTGCCCAGTTCAAGCTCAGTGTCCCCCACTGGCTGGAGACAGCCAAGAAACCCTGTGCAGCCCCACCTCCCTCCCCTGGCACCTCCACCTGGGGGCTCAGTGGCAGGGTGCATGCCACATGGTCTCCAGGCCTGTGCCCCATCCAGCCACGTCCCAGCCAGGCAGGGTGCTGCTGTGGCCATCCTCTCTGGGGACCGGGCAGAAGGAAGTTTCCACAGAGGTGCTCTGAGCTCACAGAGCCTGAGGGCCTCCCAGGCCTTGTCTAGTCGTCAGCTCTGATTAGTGCCACCTGTCCTGTTTATCCGGATTTGCTGCCTAATCAAATCCTGAGTCCCTTAGTCACCTTGCTTACGCGTCCAGAGGCAACAGACAAATTTTAGGAAAATGCTCCTTGCAGAGAAATGTAAGTGCCAGGGCCTGAGCAGTGTTGCATTCCTGTGCCCTCTGAAACCTCCCAGGCAGAGTCCTTTCCCTGGGTCCTGGGTAGGGGTTCCAGAAACTTCCCTGAGATATTGACACAAAAGGAATCTCTGCTGTCAGTGTCTACAGCTGTAAAATGGGATGGCAACCGCAGCAAATGACGAGCGCAGCCAAGGTCTCGGTGGGCTTCATCCCCACAACAAGCAGGTACTGAGGGCTGGCGGGGCCCTGGACTGGGAAGTGGCGGGCAGGAAGCAGGCAAGACAAAGCCCCCAGCCCATGGAGCTTGTCATCTTTCACGGGGAGAAGGACAGGAAACACGCACACAGAGAATGGTTGTTCGTGATTAGAGCAACACAAAAATGAAACAGGGATATGATGACGAGAAGACCTGGGGAGGGGAGGGGAGGGCGTGTGACGTCCACTTCACCCTGGATGGTCTGGGAAGGCCTGTCAGGGGAGGGGACGGTTGACTGGGGGACTTGGAGGCTGAGAAGGCCCCAGCCACGGGGAGAGAGTTCCAGGCAGTGGAATGGCCTGTGCTAAGGTCCTGAGGCGGGACAGGCTTGCTGTGTTCTGGAGCAGTGGGTGGCCAGTGGGCTGATGAGCAGGGATGGGCGGGCAGGCTGGACCACGTGGGGCCTCGTAAGGTCTCCGTGGGATCCCAGGAGAGCGAGTCTTCACTGTGGGTCCGGACCAGGAAAGCGAGGGGCTCACCGTCTGGGAAGTCGTGTGAAGGGGATAGACTCCTCCCTCCCCACCTCAGCCAGGTCAGGCATGGAGAGGGTAAGGGGGCAGCTGGCCGCAGTGGCCCAGGCTCCCTGCATGTGGAGCTGGGTTATGCATGGAGGACACGTTGCTCTGAAGTCAGTGCTCAGATAGGGGTGTTCCATAGAGTCCTGAGCACCCTGCCACTGTGCAAAGTGCTTCACGTGCTCGGTTGGTGCTCCTGCCCTAGGCTGGCACCCGGCCCCTCCTCTGGAGCCCAGGACAGCCCTTAGTGGTTGAGGCTAGAGCCAGACCAGATGCCCAGGAGAAGCAGTTAGGGGCCAACCTTGAACCTCACCCTTCCTTACAGTTTCCCCTCAATGAGCACCATTGACCCCCAAGTTCCTTGCATGTCATAATTAACAATCTTAATCAATAATAATCATAGCTTGCATTTACTGAGTGTTTACTGTGTGCCAGGCACTGAACTACACATACCACACAAATCAACCCATCTAATCTACACAAAACTGCACGAGACAGGTGCTCTAATTAGCTCTGCTTCCAGATGAGAGAAACTGAGGCACAGAAAAGTCAAGCAACTTGCCCAATGTCACACAGCTGGCAAGTGGCAGAGCCAGGAAGGGACCTCCAACAGTATGGCTCCTAAACCCAAGCTTGCAACCAGTCCTTCCTCTGTGACACCTGCTGTGAGTAGTAATAACAGCAAAGCAGCTGAAGTTTGCTGAGCACCTGCTGTGTTCCAGGAACCATCTTTGTAAGCTTTTGCCATTCTTCACCCCTGCAAGGAGGCTTTTAAGGCATTTTTTCCTAATAGCTCTCTCCGATGACACTTTAACGCCACAGGTATACTGGGTGTCTGTTTAGGTACTGTTCAGGTATCCATGCTTTAAATGTAAAGAGTAAAATATGTTTTTCCCCCTTGGGAAGCAAATTCCGTCCTGTTGGGACTGCATGCTCTGCCCAGATGAACTCATTCATTCCTCAACAACTCCATAGGTGAGGAGGATGATGATTCCTGTTTTGTGATGAGCCTGAGGTTCAGAGAGGTCCAGGGCTTGTCCCAGGTTGCATGGCTCGGCAGTGGTGAAGCGGCCCCACCCAAGTCCACCTGTCCTGGTGGTAATGCTGAAGTCAGTCCTCCAGCCTAGGCAGGCCACAAACCTACACCAGAATCATCTGATCTGGGGCCTCTGACCTTTCTGAAACCAAATGCCTCCATGCCCATGTGTGTGCGTGCTCCTAGAAGCAGGTGATTTCGGGAGCCCCTGACCCAAAGAGCGGTCTGGAACGGCTGTGACACTCGTGCGGGCTTCGGAAAGACAGCTTGATCCCGGCTGCGGACTGAACATAGGATGTATGTATGTGCTCTATTACCTGGCTCCATGTGCCAGGTGCTGCACCAGCCCAGGAGTTCCTAATCAGGGTTTTTCAAGCATCGGGGGTCTACAGGTGGGCTCCCTGAAATGGAAGGGGCTCATTGGAGGTGGTAGGTGCTTCTGGGAGGCCCACTGTGGCCTCTGCAGTTGGAAAACACAGTCACTGCCCCCCACCACACACCCAGACCTCCCGACTGGCACTGCACAGACACCCTGGCCCCTGTCTTTTGCAGAGAGGACGTTGAGAGCACGGGGGAGAATCGGAGCCAGGTGGGACTGGTTGACTTCCCAGGCTGGGCCCACTGACCTTCCTTCTGAGAAAAACGCTTGTGGCAAGTAAATCCAGGCCTTCGCCCAGCACCCAAAATAGCTGGCATCTCTGGCCTGGGCCTCCACGTCCTGATGAACAATGGGGCATTCTGCGGCCCCAGGCCTTCCACACAGCAAGCTAGGACCTGCTGAGCCCATCCCGACAGTGACCCCGGGCCCCAGGCCCACACATGCGACCCGAATGGCAGGTGTGGGCTGCCTGGTTTCCTTCAGCTGGGGCAGGAAGTGCCAGGCAGCAGTCTCAGCCCACGAGGCAGGGCCTGGGGCAGAAGCTAGGAGGGAGTGAAGAATGAACAGACAGACAGACAGCGAATGAGGCCAGACCCTTAATGGACCCTGGCTGGGACATCCCCCAGGAAGCTTCCCTATGATGATGGGGACAGCGCTGTGTCCTAAAGCCTCCAGGTGCTGCCTCGGTGTCTCCAGGTGCTGCTGCTGTGCCAAGGGCCACATCTCCCATGGGTGGTTTGTAATGGAGCTCAGCCACCTCTCGGTCCTCACTCCCATCCTCTCAAGCCCCTGCTTTGGGGCCTGTGGACCTTTGCAGTTCCCCCAGCTCAGGGTGCAAGTTCATGCCCTAGGACCTCGGCACTCACCGCTCCCATCCCCTGAAATGATCGTCTTCTGGATATGTTTCTGCTCTGTTCCAATGTCACCTCCCCAGAGAGGCTTCCCTGGCCAGCTCTTCCCTCTCTGCCTTCGCTCTACTTTCCTGGCGTGGCACCTGTGTGGACGTGACACGATGGGGTTTGTTTACCGGGTGATCACCTCCCGTGCTCGCACAGAGTTTGGGAAGGACCGGGCTTTGCTGATTTTCTCCTTGTCTACCCAGGTGCCTGCACATAGGAGGTGCTCAGCTGGCATTTTCTGAGCCAATGGCTTAGGCTACTGGTGCAGTTTGCATGGCTGTCCCCATCATTCCACTTGAATGGTGAGCCAGTCCGTGCCCTTGCAGAGAAACTCAAAAGAAATCCAGCATGGCCTGAGTGTAGCACGCATCGGGCAAGAAGGGGGGACCCTGTGAGCCAGGGTCTGAGCCGCGCTTTTCCCTCAGGCCCTCGGAGGCCCTCAGGAGACTTTTAAGCAGTGGGTGTCTTCGCTGCAGAGTGGAGAATAACCAGAGGAACCAAGACCAGCCAGGAAGCTGTTGAGATACAACAGGCAAGAGACAAAGGTGACCTGGCCGGGGAAACAGCAGGGCCACAGTGCGACGTGGAAAGATGTGGTCCAGCGGGACCCAGGGCCTCCCTGGAGCCCTCCAGGTGCAAGTGATGATTCCTGTATTTGTTGCCGTGTGACCTTGAGTGAGATGTTCAACCTCTCTGAAACTCACAGGGACGATGACAACAATAATGCCAATGATACTACTAGGGGCCTGCCTGTGTGATCAGAGCCCTGGAAATGGTAGTTGTTATTGGCTGAACCATAGGAAACTGCTGTTTTATGTAGATCAAACAAGTCCAGTAGTGACAATTTCCTAGGGCTCAACCTAATAGTATTAACTGTTCAAGACATTTGCTATAGTTGCAAGCAAGGTAGACTTCAATACAAAAATGTCAACAGGGTACACAGAAGGACATGCAGAATCATGTATGAAAGTCATTAGCAAACTCTTAGCATGATGCAAATGTTATTTACAAAGATACATGCAGAATTCTCTTTGAAATAAAGCCCAAAGCTTGGTGCCTAAAGTCAAGAGGGGTGAGAGTTTGGCCACCCAAAGAAAGCCCTCAAAGGAGGACCACATCTTTTCAGGTGCAAAAAATAAGGTCTTACAGGTGCTCCAGAATTTATTGGTCTTTTTTGGGGGGATGGACTCACATCAACCAAAGTCACAAGAAACTGATGTATAATACACTCTATGCCTGCTTATCTGTTTGAAAGGGTAAATGTGACTCTCCATCAGATTGGAATCCTTGGTTCTGCTCCCCATGACTTGTACTTGTAGCTGTGAAGGACACCAGGGTTGTACTTGTAGTTGTGAAGGACTCTGGGGTGTCAACGGGCCTTCAAAAGGCTGAAATGAGAGCGGAATGAGAGCGGAAGTCGGAGAACTACCACCCAGGAGATGGAAACATTAAGTGACAATCTACCAGGCCCTAAAGGAGTCTGACCAAATAACTGATTCACAACAGAACCCACCAGAAATCATGGCCTGAGACTTAGCACCTCTCTTTCAGATGGTGTTGGCTAAATGCCCATAAATCCTTGTCCCCTGACCCCCTCCTCCTCTTCTGGGGTCTTCATGAACCCTTCCCTTATCCTCCTGGTAAGGACCCTCTCCCATTTGCACGGGAGCTCCCACAGCCTGTGGCAGGAGGGGTAATCGTAGACCAGGCCAGAGTGAAGGGAGGCAGGACAGAACTGAGGGCTTGGAATTCGCATGTGGTGCTCACCATGCTCCGTCTTCTGCTCCTTCCACTGTGGCTTATGTCCCCGCTTAGACGCATTTACTTGCACGTGACATGAGCACGCCAAACCTGCTGCCAGCTAGTTGAGGGTTGTCCTTTAACATCCTTGGAAGCCCTTGTTTGGCTCAAATGTGGGGTGCGGATGGGGAGATGTGGGAGGTGAAGGGTGGAGAGTGTGGGTGCCCGCTGCAGGCTTGGGATTGCGTTTTCCCTTTGGCCTTTGTTCTGCCACCCGGTGACATCCTTGTGTCCTCTGGGCCTGGGATATGAGCCTGGAAGCAGGATGTGGCAGGGAGGTGGGTGGCGGGATAGGGAACCCCCTCTCTTCCCTGCCACTGACCAGGTTTCGTCCCAGGTCTGCAGGGTGCCTTGGGTCTGGCCCACGTGCTCAGCCCATCCTGGTAAGCAGGCAGCTTTTGTCGGCAGGAGTGCTGTAATTGCCGTGTAGCCTGAGGACCCTGTGCTAGGGGCCGAGGGAAGCCAGAGTGAGCCCGGTCAGGATGAGGACTCCAAGCATAGGCAAGCAGAGAGCTCACTTAGCAAATGCAGTGTTTGCGACAGCGCCAGACACAGGGATGCTCCATGTGCCGCAGCAAGGGCTGCTGTTGTCACTGTCTTTCCGTGACATCATGATTCACAGAAGCACTGTGCTCAGCAGTCCCCAGCTGTGGCCTCCATCCAGCCTTGTGGCAGCCTGGGAAGTGCTCCTGTTTCCATCTCTCTATAAGAAACTGAAGGCCAGAGAGGCTCAAGAACTTGCTCAGATCTGAGTAGAGAAGATGGGATGTGAACCCAGGACCGCCTGACTCTGCACCCCAGGGCTTTAAACCATGTTTCTGAGCGGCCCCACCATGCTACCCACCCCGGCCCTGACAGGGAAGGCAGGGAACGTGTTGTGTTAACTGGGGAGGCGAAGGGAAGACCTGCTCCTCCATTCATCCTCAACTCCTGAGCTTGGCCCCAAGGAGACACTGCATGTGTCTCCAAGTGTGGATGAAGGACCCTGAGCATCAGGATGTCCAGGAAACGAGACAAAAATGCACATGCCCGGGCCTCACCTCGCCTCCACTGACCCTGAATCTCTGGGTAGCTGATAACTTCCCCAGGTAGGGAGTTAGCAAATGAAAACACAGGATACCCAGTTAAATTTGAATTCCGAGTGAACAATGAATAACTTTTTAGCATAAGTATGTTCCAAATATTTCCTGGGATATACTTACATTAAGGGATTACTCATTATTTACCTGCAATTAGAATTTAACTGGGTGTCCTGCATTTATCCTGGCAACTCTTTTTCCAGGTAGCACAGATGCCTGAAGAACAAGAGCTCTCCTATGGACTCATACCCTTTAGGAGCCCAAATTGAGCAGGTCCTTGTGAGTCCACTGCACGCTGACCCTATTTCAAGTTCATGGCTCCCACATTAGAAACACAGGTGAGGTCCCTCCCCTCAGGAAACTCACATTCCAGCTGCACCTCCCAGGGTCCCTGCCGGCTTTCACAGGTGGGAAGACTGAGGCCCAGACAGGGCAGGCTGGTGGAGGAGGCCCACAGGCTGGTTGGACCCCCGGGGGGAGCCCCTGCCCCAGGCAGGCCTTCCCGGTAGACCAGGGCCATCTGGGCTCAGACTCCAACACCTGGCATCAACCGAGCGAGAAGCGGCTCACCCTGCCCCACTGGGACCGCTTCCCGCCCGCGTTGGCCAGATGGATGGGCAGAGCTGGGGAGCAGGGGGGCTAGGGGCTGCACCGGAGCCAGTCCAGATACCTTTGCAGGGAATGGAGCAGCAGTCAGCTCTGTTTTCGTTCCAGCCTTGGAGAGCAGCCCTTTCTGGGCAGGGGAATACATACATACACATAACTCTCACAGCCCTGGGGCTGTTTCATTTCAAAGAAACCTAAGGTTCGGAAAGAATCTAATTAAGCGTCTCCTCTGCAGTTTTATCTTGCATGAAATATAATTGCTTGTGAAACTTGGCTCATCCCCGACCAGGAGCCAAGGGGTCAGCAGCTCTGCCGGGATTTGTGTGCGTGTGGGTGGAGGAGGCCATGGGGGTCCCGAGGGGCTTTTTGGGAGCAATGCCAGAGCTCATGAGTTGGTCCCCTCTCCTCTTCAATCCAGTAGCCACCCCACCTCATCCAAAGCCCCCTCATTGGTGCTGAGGAATTTTAGGAGTTGACTCTCTTCCCCCAGGTTCTAGAGGCGGACAGTGCAGAGTCCCAGTCCCTGGACTAATTCTATGACCCTGGCACATCACTTCATCTTTCTGGACATTTATAAAATCCATAAAAAGGAGCTGATCATTGCTTCACTGTAGGATTGTCACAGGATTACATGAAACCCAGCGCCCAGTGCTCCATGGATGCCATCCGAGCTATGGTGCTGCTCTGATCAACTTTCATTTTTGTGTTGGCCCAGTGTCATTGTCCTCACAAGAAGCCCCATGAAAGCAGGAATTTTCTTTTGTCTGCTGTGGAATCACCAGCATTTAGCATCTGGAACAGCTCAGGCTCCAGGAATGTTTTCAGCAAATGAATTCATGAGAAAATGGATGTCTTAGAGTCTGGGAGAAGCTAGAGTATAGTTTCAAGGAGCTGATGACAGCCTGGAAGGAGAAGGGAGATGAGGGACTGTGTGGTCCACAAAGTGCTTTGAAAAATATTCCTGCCTGAAGATGGGATCATCAGCCCCATTTCAAGGTAAAGAAACTGAGGCTGAGAAGGGAGAATCAAATTCACTCAGGATGCTCTTCGAAAAACACTGTTGAAAAAATGAAAATACAAACACGGTTTCCAGTTACCAAGACAGTCTTCAAATAGTCTCACATATTATTGTTCATTCATGCCCTTGTACAATGTCCTCCTAGATTGAATAGGGCTGACCTGTGTTAACCTAAACAGGTTTTTGTAGAAATGACCATGTGTGACTTCTGAGGCTAGGTCATGGCTAGGCCTGGCTTTCTCTTAGGTGCTCACTCAGGGGGAAGCCAGCAGCCATGTCGTAAGGACGCTCAAGCAGTGCTCTGGAGAGGCCTTAGGTGCTCACTCAGGGGGAAGCCAGCAGCCATGTCGTAAGGGTGCTCAAGCAGTGCTCTGGAGAGGCCCGTGTGGAAAGGAGCAGAAGCCTCCTGCCAGTGACCAGCACCACATGAATGAGCCACTTTGAAGGCAGATCCTCTGAACTTAGTCAAGCTCTCAGATGACTGCAGCCCTGGCTGGTACCTTAACTGCAAACTCATGAGAGACCCCAAGCCGGGACCACCTAGCTGAGCTGCTTCTGAACTCTTGGTCCACAGAAACTGTGTGAGATAATAAATGTATATCATTTTAATTACCTAAGTTTGGGAGCAATTTGTTATGCAGTAGCAGATACTTAATAAACAATGCACAATTGGAAAAAAATGATTGCCAGACACATACCTAACAACACATATATTCAGAATATAGGAGGAGCTCTCTCAGCACAGGAATCAGAAAAACAACTGAAGAAAATGGGCAAAAGATTGGAACCAGCATTTCACAAAAGATATATGAATCGACAATAAACACATGCTAAACATCATTACTCATTTGAGAAACTTAAATTAAAACCATACAGAGATACATCTACACACTTATTAGAATAGAAAAAATAATTTAAATCTGACAATAGCTAGTGCTGATGAGGATATAGAACAACCAGGCCTCCCATTTATTACCGGTACAAATGTAAAATGGTGCAGCTGCTTTGGAAAGCAGTTTGGCAGCTTCCTATAAAGTTAACCATATATTGATTTTATGACCTGGCCATCCCACTTACAGGTACTCACGCAAGAAAAATGAAAATTCGCGTTTACAAAAACTTGCATGTGAATGTTTGTAATGGCCTTATTTGTAGTTGTCCAGTCTGGAAACAACAAAATGTCCCTCAACAAATTGTGATATATCCTTGCAATGAACACCGCTCATTATTAAAATTACGGATACAGGCACCATGCAGATGGATATCGGGTGCATTCTGCTGAGTGAGAGAAGCCAGACTCAAAAGGCTAAGTACTGTGTGATTCCAGCTCCATATGATCCACCACATGCCAGGCTGGAAAAGGCAAAAATAGGAGGACAGAAAACAGACCAGTGGTTTCTGGGGGCCAAGGACTGAGGGATTTTAGGGGCAGCTTGACTCCAAAGAGGCAGAGGACGCTTTCCGGAGTGATGCCACTGTTCTATATCTTGACTGTGGCAGTGGTCACAAGATTGCATGTGTTTATCACAATTCCTGGAACTATGCACCTAAAAAGGGTGAACTTTAATCTAGATAAATTATACCTCCGTAAACTTGACCTTTAAAAAATCTGCCATTTGACAAGAGTGTCAAAACCATTCAATGGGGGAAAAGAATAGTCTCTTCAGCAAATGGTAATGGAACAACTGGACATCCACATGCAGAAGAATGAAGTAGAACCTCCTACCTCATGCCGTACAGGAAGTTGATTCAAAATAGATCAAAGAGCTAAATGTAGGAGCTACGACTATAAAACTCTTAGGGGAAAACATAGGAGGAATTCTTCATAACCTGGGTTTGGCAAAGGATTCTTAGATACTACATCAAAAGCATGAGCAATAAAATAAAAAATAGATAAACTGGACTTCTTCAAAACTAAAAGTTTTTGTGCTTCAAAGGACCCTATTAAGAAATTGAAAAGATGACACAGTAAATGGGAGGAACTGTTTGCAAATGATATGTCTGATAAAAGACTTGTATCCAGAACATATAAATAACTCGTACAACCCAATAATAAAAAAGGCAATCCAATTTTAAAAGGAGCAGAGGATCTGAATAGACATATCTCTAAAGAAGATCTATAAATGGCCAATAAGCATAGGAAAAGATGCTCACCATTGTTTAGGGAACTGCAAATCAAAACTACAATGAGACACCATGTCACACCCACTAGCACGGCTAGAATCTAGTCCAATGGCAACAAGCATCGGCTCTCAGAGGATACGGATAAATTAGAGCCCTCCTGCGCTGCTGGTAGGAATTGAAAATGGTGCAGCTGCTTTGGAAAACAGTCTAGCAGTTTCTCAAATGATTAAACATAGAGCTACCACATGACCTAGCAATTCCAATCTTAGGTATATACCCAAGAGAAATGAAAACATACGTTCAAGCAGAAGCTTGTACATGAGCATTTATAGCATCATTACTTATCATAGCTGAAAACAACCCAAATTTCCATCAACGGATGGATGGATAAACAAAACGTAGTATAGCAGACAATGGAATATTAATTATTCAGCCATAAAAAAGAATAATGTACTGATACCTGCTACAACATGAACTTCAAAAATACTCTGCTAAATAAAAGAAGCCAGTCACAAAAGGCAAATATTGCATGATTCCATGTATATCAAAGTCCAGAACACAGAAATCTTTAGAGGCAAAAGGTAGCTTAGTGGCTGTTTAGGGCTGGGTGTGGGGCATGAGGATAGAGCTGTGATAGTTAAATGTTACACGGTTTCCTTTTGAAGTGAAAGTCTATTAAAATTGACTGTGATGACAGGTGCATGGATCTGTAAATATATTAAAAACCATTGAATCGTATGCTTAAATGGGTAAAATGTATAATTTATGAATTATAACTCGGTGAAGCTATTTTTTTTAAAAAAGAAAGAATAAAAAAAAGACACCCAGGCCCTGTTGGGCTGAAGATTGAATCACTAAGTAAAGGCCCAGGCAAGTCTGCTGCACTGAGAGACGTCCCTAATGGGCCACGTATCTTCCTGGCTAAAAATCTGTCTTAATGGTGTTATTTTCAAGGTATTCTCTTCCTGTATTTTTCTCCTCTGTGGAACATGTGCCCCCAAAACCAGAAATTTTATTTTGGGGGGTGGACTTGGACCAGCCCTTGGTCTCTGTAACACACCTCAAGTGTGGCCTCCAAGGTACAACCTGAGAGAATCCAGGAAGACTCCGCCTCCACGCACAGCAGTGGGCTGTCCACCAGGTGCTGGCTGTGACTTCACCCTGCGGTTCTGCCAGACAGCTGTGTTAGCTGCTGTGACCCCCAGGGAGGGGGTGAGATACCAAGGCTTTGGGTGAAGAATTAGGTCATCCGATTGTTTTGTCTCCTTGGCAAAGAAGAACCAGGGACACCTGGAGATGCATGGGGCCTACCCGCTCTTTGCGGGGGAAGTTAAGTCTGATCACGACTCGGGTCCTCTGATGGTTGACTGGAAAACCAGGTGACCTAAAGCAGGGGCGCTCAAAAGGTGGTCCCCTAGCAGCAGTAGCAGCTCCTCCTGGAAACCCTTTAGCAACACATGTTCTCGGGCGTCACTCCAGACCTGCTGGGTCAGAATCTCAGTGTGGAGATCCACACGGCAGTATGTGTTCTTATTTTTATTTTTAATTTATTATTATTATTTTTTTAAAGATGGGGTCTCACTATGTTGCCCAGGCTGACCTCAAACTCCTAGGTTCAAGTGATCCTCCTGCCTCGGCCTTCCAAAGTGCTGGGGTTGGAGGTATGAGCCATCATGCCCGGCCCTAATCTGTGTTTTTAGAAGCGCTCCAGGATATTCTGATGCAAGCTGAGAACCACTGAACTAATGGACGGGTTCATTCAACAAATGCTTACTGGGTACTCCCAGGTGTAGCTTGAATTGTGGGAGGCCCAAGGGTTAAATACAGTGGAGAGGAAGTACAATGGATTGAACGGTGGCCCCCAAAAGACATGTCTCAGAAACTGGTGAATAGGACCTTACTTGGAAAAAGGGTTTTTGAGACTTGTTTAAGGAGACTGAGATGAGATCATCCTGGATTACCCACTGACAAGTGTCCTTGAAAGAGTCAGAAAAGGGGAAGACACACAGAAGGCCACGTGAAGATGAAGACAGGGATTGGAGCATTGCAGCCATAAGCTGAGACACACAGAAGGCCAGATAGATAGGCAGATAGGTAGGTAGATAGATAGACAGACGGACGGACAGACAGACAGATAGATAGGTAGATAGATAAGCAGGCAGATAGGCAGGCAGATAGATAATAGCTAGATAGATCAGATAGACAGATAGATAGATATTAATAGATAAATAGGCAGGCAGATAGACGGACAGGCAGCTAGATAGGCAGGTAGATAGATAGATAGATAGATAGATAGACATTAATAGATAAATAGGCAGGCAGATAGATAGATATTAATAGATAAATAGGCAGGCAGATAGATGGACAGGCAGCTAGATAGGCAGGTAGATAGATAGATATTAATAGATAAATAGGCAGGCAGATAGATATTAATAGATAAATAGGCAGGCAGATAGATGGACAGGCAGCTAGATAGGCAGATAGATAGATAGATAGAATGATAGAGAAGCAGGCAGATAGAAGATAGATAGATAGATGGACAGGCAAATAGATAGGCAGGCAGATAGAAAGGCAGATAGATAGATAGATGTTAATAGATAAATAGATAGGCAGGCATATAGATACACAGGCAGATAGGCAGACAGATAGATGATATATAGATAGAGGAATAGATAGATATTAATAGATAGGCAGGCATATAGATAGATAGGCAGATAGATAGGCAGACAGATGACAGATAGAGATAGACAGATAGATGATAGATAAGCAGGCAGACAGGCAGGCAGATAGATGATAGGTTGATAGAAGATAGGCAGATAGATAGATATAGAGATACATAAAGAGATGGAGAGATGGGGAAAAAAGGAAGAGAGAGAGAAAGAAAGAGAGAGATGAATAGAGAGATGGATCGCCTCTCAGGAGCTGTTGGACTGAAGGCCTCAGGGCCTCGCTGGCTGGTGGCCAGAGACAGCAGCTTCTTGCCACATGGGCCTCTCTGGCTTCATCAGAGTGAGTACATGAGAAGGGCCAGAGAAGGAGCAAAATAGAAGTCAGAGTTTGCTGCAACCTAATCTCAGGACTGGCCTCCCATCATTTTCGCCATCTCCTACTGGGGTGGGTGGAAGTCAATAGGCCCAGCCCACACTGGAGGGGCGGAGACTGCACAAGGACGTGACTTACCAGCATGGCTGGGAGCCAGTTTAGAGGCTGCCTACCATGCTGGGAGAAAACCAAAAGTTTTATTTAGGATATGATAAGTTTTCGATGCCTCTGAATAATCTATTAAGATTGCAGCATGGGTGAGGGTAGATAGGTTGTTGAATGTTGAATGAATGAATGAATGAAGGAAAGAATGGAGAGATGAGTAGGTGGGCTGATAGATCGATGGATGGATAGTCCACTGCTAAAGGCTGGTTCTGACAAAATCACTCAAAAGATCCCTGCCCTGGGTTCCCCAAGGATACGTTCTTTCCGAAGTAGAGGCGTTCATAGCATTTGCCCTGTGACAGACCCTCCTGCTTCCCTCCCCGATCCCCTTCCTGCATGGATTGAGCTCTTGGGAAGATGAGCTCAGAGGTGGTTTTCTGCCTGGACAAATGGAAACATGGGCTTCCATCCTGCGAAAGAAACATATCAGTGTGCTGGGCTCCACAGAGGGAAGCACTGGCAGCCTTAGAGAGCCGCTGATAGATCCTGGAATTCCACCCGCCAAGTCGTCAACTCCAGGCCAACGAGCTTGAATTATGACAGAGGGATTAGGAGCCGGTGGAAACTTGGAGGTCACCCATGAAGACATCTGAACATTTGTTTTGTAGCTATAGCCTCCTTTTTCAGCTGCGTGGTACACTTAATCCAACATGAAGTATTGCATATTAAATGCTCTCCCTGACTATGGATCTTCTCCTTTTCAAACGATCCTTGGCACCCAGTGGGTACTTTCTCTGATTGCTCTTGGCGTGTGTGATTGTACGTGGCTCAAGCCAAGCCTTTTGCATTTTGCACTTCGTTTTCTCTCAGGAATCTGTGCTGGGATGCTGGCTGGAATGAGAGCTGGGGAGCCTGAAGTATGCCCCGTGCCTGTCAGTTAAACAGTGAGGCAGCCCCTCTGAGACGGGTTCCCGAGTGCTGGAGAGCAGGACCGACAAGATAATTGGTGTGGGAAGGGCAAGACAGACGCTTTTCCAGATTAGTTGGGCTACCGGGGGTGAAGACGCTGAGCTTCAAAAGAAGCCTCCCAAACTTAAGGCTATTAAGTTATTATGGCTGATTACATTCAGAGGGGCCTCGGATGGCAGGCCTCTAATTGGCAGCACTCCTGTGATTCTTATGGGAACCGGGCTGGGATGGGGAAGGCTGAGATCACTGAGAAATGCAGCCCCGCCCGGCAGAGGCCAGATGAACTGGGGACATGAATTATTATTCTGACATCGTGGCAGGCCCATCTGCAATCCCTTACAGTCTTTTGTTCCCAGCGGCCCTCGGCACAGCTGACCCTGGGCTCTTCGCAGGCTGCCCCCATCCACCAGTCGGGGGAGGCCAAGACAAAGGTCAGGGGGCTGCTGAGGACCGGGAGTCTCCATCGGCCTTGCTGGCCACACACCCCCCCGCTTCCCTCCAATTCTTCCTCCATCCAGAAATGTATATTGAAGACTCAGAGGCGGTGAGGAAGCCAGCAGCTGGCGAGATGGAGAAGGGCTCCTCGTCAGAGAAAGCTGTCTGCATACCAGGCTGAGAAAACAGAGACTAGCAATGGAGCCCCGGAACTTCCCAGAGGAAGAGGCTATGGAGCGTTACTTGCATAGCAACCCTACTGTTTTCATTTCGGTTGTATGTTTATGTGGAGTGCCTTGGGGGTGTCTCATTTTATAGGTTTGGCTGCTACAACAGAGAGTCCTAAAAAAATTATGGCTGAAACAGCACAGAAATCCATTTCTCTCTCTCCCATAAAGGTCCAAGTTCACAGTCCAGAGCCGGTGGGGCAGCTCTACCGTCATCAGAGACCCGGGTCCCTTCTACCTCATTTCTCCATTTCTCATGCACACGGCTTCCAATTCAAGATACAAAATGGCTGCTCCAGTTCCGACCATTACATCTGCATTCCAGCAAGTGGGAAAGAATAAAGGGGCAAGGAATGGGCTTGCCTCTTCCCTTTCAACAGCATGATTTGGAAATGGCTCAGACCACTTCCATTCATATCACATTGGCCCAGATCTACATGTGAGCACGTCTAGCTGCAAGGCTGGTTGGGAAGTGTGCTCTTTATTTCTGGTGATCATGTGTCCAGATACATTCTATAAAATTAGAAGAAGGGAAAAAGAGCAGTCGATTCCACAGACAAATTTGATGGAAGCAGGGTGAAAACAACAGCCTCCAGCTTGAGTCTCTCTTGGGTATGTCCTTGGGCTGTAGGGGTGACACCCTTCCTTTCTGTTGGCATTCAAGGTAGTATGCAAAATCCTCCTTGTCCAGGCAGACTTCTGGGATGAATGACTCAGGTCATTGGCCAACTGGTCAACCTCATCTCTCCCTGTAACCACCCCCCCAGACCCCCTCCCTCCACAACCCTCTCTCTACCAGGTGCTTGGCTATTTTGGAGCCCAGGCATTTCTGTCGAGTCCGTACCAGCATCCGCAGCAGACTCTCTGTTTCCTGAGCCAGAGATCCCATTGACTCTTTAGTGTGTACCAAATCCACACTGCCAGCCCCATACCTACATCCCCAAGCGCTAAACACCTGGGACTGAGTGCTCTGATCATCTGTAGGAGAAAGCATACCCTACCATCTCAGTGTTCAGAGCTCTGCGAGGGCAGGGACCTCATCTTATTTACCGTTTTATTCCCAGAGCTCAGCACAGGCCTGGCAGGCACAGTCACTTAGTAAGTATTTGCTAAATGAACAAAGACCATCTTGGATAATGATAGTAATAATAATCATCATTACACCTGATGTTTACTAAGGAGTTCCGTGAGCTAAGTAAGCATTATACAATAGTCATCTAAAGTGGGAATTGGCAAACTTGTTCTTCAAAGGCCAAATAGTAAATATTTCTGGTTTTGTGGGCCAGAAGTTCTCTGTTGCAACTGTCTGTCAGTGTAACATAAAAGCCGACATAGGCAATGTGTAAATGAACGGGCATGGCTGGGTGCCAATAAAACTTTATTTACTAAAGTAGGTGCAGGCCAGATTTGGCCAGTGGGCCATAGTTTGCTAACCTCTTATCTGAAACAGAAAAGAATGTCCCAAATTGAAGGTGAAGAAAATCTAGAGGTAGCTCCAGCTAAGATGTGCATACCTGGCAGATTGGGTAGGGCACTGGGAGACTCACTTTGGGGGTTTGGGGGGTCCTGGCCTGACTCAGTCCCCCTATCTCTGAGGGCCATTTCCTCTTTCCTCTATGGAAGAGCGGTGGTACATAAAATGCTGCCCTCTGACCAAGGTAGTTTGCACCAGGGGCAGATGCCCAACCCGAGGTGGCATGTGGAGTTGGTACACAGCCCTTCCTTTTTTTTCTTTTTCTTTCTTTTTTTTTTTTTTTTTTAAGACAGAGTCTTGCTCTGTTGCCCGGGCTGGAGTGCAATGGTATCATCTAGGCTCCCTGCAACCTCCGCCTCCCAGGTTCAAGCGATTCTCCTTCCTAAGGCTCCCGAGCAGCTGGGATTGCAGGCGCGCCCACCATGCCTGGCTAATTTTCTTCTATAGTTTTAGTAGAGACGGAGTTTTGCCATGTTGTCCAGGCTGGTCTCGAACTCCTGGCCTAAAGTGATCCACCCACCTCGGCCTCCCCAAGTGCTGGGATTACAGGTGTGAGCCACCGTGTCTGGCCTGAGACACAGCCTTCTGATCCATTTCGAACTAAGGGCACAGACATGGGAGTGGGGAGGTAGAGGAGGTTGCAAAGAGGACCAGCGTGGCTGGCAAACTCCCGGAGACCCCCTGGGATTCCCGTTCTGCAGGCCGTGACATACCTGGCTGGGAGGCAGGGGGGCACAGCCACCCCCACTGCCCTGCTTTCTCCTGCTGGAGGCTCCCAGTCTTGCTTTCCATGGGCTCATTTTTCCAGAAGAGCTCAGGACTTTACCCAGCTAAATGAAGAATGTGGAATACTTGAAATTTCCACTCACACACTCCCGGAAAAAACACATTAACCTTTAAGAAGGGAATAATGGCTTCGTTTTCAAGTGACCTTATGGATTAACCCTCGACAAGCACTTTCTGGGGAAGAACGATGGCCTGTGGCATGGATCCAGTGGGTGCGAAAGCTGAAAAAATAAAAGCCGGCGGTGTCGTTTTGTTCTCCCTGAATAAAAGCAGAGAATTGCTGACTGACAACAACAATAACACCACCACTCCTCGCTCCTGCAAGACACCGAGTGTGTCTGACAAGCAGATTGCCTGCTTCAGGACAAAGTCAAGGCTGTCCTTCCCAGAACCTGCTGCCGACCAGCCTGGGGCTGAGCCAGCAGCCTGGGCATGGGCAGCACAGCCCTTTGCACTGTTCCCATCGGGCACCCCACTGCCAGGAGAAGTTTCCTTCCTCCTCACAACAACCTCCCCCAGGAAGAGTTTTCCCACCAGCCTGATCTGCCGAACCCATCCTCGAAATATGAACCCCATAGTTTATATACTGGAGAAAACGACCGAATCTACACTCCTTTGGGGAATTTGCAAAGCATGTTGGCATAGTAAAGGCTCTGAGAAGTCCTGTCAGAGGGAAACCTGTTTAACTTTGTTGAACACCATCATTTCCCAAATTATTCCACAGGAAGCACCGCCCCCCGCTCCCAGTCCCTTTTTAACATTTCTCAGATAACACCTGTGAATGTCTGGCAGAACTGCTAATCCACGGAATATGCTTTAGAAAATGCCAGCCATGGAACATAACCTCTCCAAGACCATTTGAGCTACAGAAAAGACCAGAGCTCACTCTTCATCTCCTATCCATTCATTCATTCATTTATCACACACATCTTGACTCCATCCATCCATCCATCCATCCCTTCTTCATCCATCCATCATTCATGCATCAACACAGGTTCTCAAAGCCAAGCACCGCACAGGAACAGAGGCAAACTTGAGTGCCTCTGTTTTTGCCAAGCTTCCCAGGTGGCAGGGAAGATAAGAAATGCCCCCGGGTTACAGAATATAAAAGGCGCCTACATGGCATTCCTGGATGTCAAAGGCCCAACTTCCAAAGATGTTTTTCGAAAATTATTACGGAGATGACAATTTTGAAAGACTACTAAAAAGTGTCAACATGTAGGCAGTCAAGAACAAGCTTCTCCAGTGTGAAGAAGAAGGCTGGAAGGAGGAAGAAGGCTGGAAGGGTGGAGGGGGTGGGACCTTAGCTGTCTCTTCATTCCCACACTGTGGTCCGGAGTTGGGTTTGTGCCTGGCACTGTACTAAGACCTGCACCTACCCCTGTGCCTCCTTCATTCAGCAAACATCTAGAAGGTGCTTCCCACGAGCCAGGTGCTGGGGACACCATGGTAAACATGGCCTCGCTTGCATCCAGATGACCCGGGAGACCGAATCTCCCCCAGTAACCCTCAAGGAGGGCTCACGGCTGCCAGAGTGAGGCTGAGAGGCTTGCTCCAAGCCACAAAACTAGAAGACAGAGCTGAGACTACAATGCGGGTCCCCCTGGCTCCCAAGCCTGTCCTCTGTCTGCTTAACCAGGGGGCAAAGAGACAATTGGTTTGAAGCACCACCAATCCCACTAGAAAATCAATGACATGCCCAAGAAAGAATGACGTTTGCAGTGGGCAAGCTAAATGCTGTGGTGGATGCAAAGGTGGAAAAGCAGGTACAGTGAGGGGGACAGAGAAGACTGCAGGGACAGGGGCTCATCTCCTGATGTGCCATCTTCCCTCATCTCACCCCGGGGCCCACTCATTTCATCACGGTCCACCCCTCTCAGCACACTGACTGCTAATGAGTGCCATCCAGCCAGCAGCCCCGTTTGTCCTCCTGGCTCTTCAAAGGGAAGCTTTGAGCAGCTCTAGGCAAGACCCTTGCTCTTCACTGGTTTCTCTGCCTCCTTTTTCACATAGCCGCCATGCCTTTGTCACTCTGGAAGTGCACAGGGTGGAAGGTGGTGCTGCGGGCAGTTTCTGCTGCTGTTAGCTGCTGGCTGGTGCCATGAAACCAGCAGACAGGGCTCGAATCAGGACGGTGGCTCCACCATGGCCCCAGAGATGCCAGCTCAGCCCAGGTAGCCGCAGTTTGTATCCTCACGCCTACTGCTCCTCCAGCAGCCCTGAAAGCATAGTGGAAAACGTGCCCTGTGGTGTCACAGCATAGTATTAGTTTTGCAAATGGAGTTTGTATTCGTTTCCTCTTGCTGATGTAACAAATTTCCACAAACTCAATGGGCTACAGCAGTACAAATTCCTTTTCTGACAGTTCCGGAAGTCAGAAATCGTGAACTAAGATGTCCACAAGGCCACTTTCCTTGGGGACGCTCTAGGGGAGAATCCATCTCCTTGCCGTTCCCAGCTTCCAGAGGTCCCTGCATTCCTCAGCTGCTGGCCCCTTCCTCCACCTTCAGAGTCGGCAGTGTCAACCCTGACAGAATCTACTTTTCTGATTCCGACCTCCTGCCTCCCTCACATTGTCATGGCATTGAGCCCACCAGATCATCCAAATGATCCCTGTCTCAACATTCAGATGACATCTGAGAGCCTCTTTTGCCCTGTAAGATGACACATTCACAGGCTCCAGATGTTACCTGTGGACATCACTGGGGTTCCATTACCCAGCCAACTAGAGTCTCCACTTCAGGCCTCTGGGCCTGTCTGGCATCTCTGTCTGACTCCTGTGGACACTAGCAGGGTCTGGGGGTCTGGAGGGCTGCAGGCTGACAGTGGGGTGCCTTGGAAAGTGAGAGAGGAAGTTGCACCTTGCTCTCCAGCCCCGCACAGTACATGGAGAGCCCCTCCTGGCCATGAAGCACTGAATCAGGCCACCTGGTTGTGCTGGCCTTGGTCTCAGTTTCTCATGTACAAATGAGGCTCATAATAGCACCTACCTCGAGTGGCTGTTGGGAGGATGGAATGATGCAAGCCCAGGGCATGGTAGAAGCACAATTCAAGTCGGGTGAATGAACAAGTTGTTCTATGCTAAGTGATTATTGCAGGCTGGAGCACAGCACTTCCCTTGCAAGCCTCTCTGTCCTCGTCTGTAAAATGGGTGTACTCCCTGCAGCCCCCCACTTCAGAGGGCTGCTGGAGTTCCACAACCACAGACACGCAGAGGTGTGGAAGAAAGGCCCCTTGATGAGCACGAAGTGTGAATGCTGGCTATGATAGCACAGCCGGAGAAGCCCAGCCCTTTCTTCATTTCCTGAACCACCACCAAAGCCCCTTCTTAGCCCATAATGACAACAGCCACAGCACAGCTGATGGTCGTTTTTGAGCCTTTGATAATTTGCCCTGTGCTGGGCACTTGGCTAAGCACTTTACAAAACATCTCAGTTCTCGGCCCAGCCTGGGAGGGGTGGCAGTGTCTTCCCCTTTTCCCACACGAGGGTATCAGGGGTGAAGAGACACAGCAGTGAAGTGACCCACCTGGGATTTGAGTGCAAGTTGCTTTGAGTTCCAAGCCTTTGGTTTTAATGCATGTTTAATGCTCCAGCTTAACGCGGTGACCAGCAGCTGCCTGGCACGGGTACAACTCATTCATTCATATATTCATTCACTCATTCATTCCACACATAGTTAGTGAAAGCTACTATGGAAAGCCAGGGTCTGGGTTTGCACAGTAGTCAATAACTTTTGGAGGGAATGGGGGAAGGGAGTGCAATAATTAAAACCCGCAAAGTGCCTACTAAGCTCTCAGCATCAAGATGTCAGGTGCTGTGAGCACCCTGCGTTGGGCACCGGGGTCGCTGCCCCATTTTACAGATGAAGATGTGTTCCTTCCAATAACAGTAACCACAGCAACTGAGCACACGGAGGCACTGGCAAGGGATGTGCCTTGCCCCATGGCCCACGCTGAGAGCCAGGATTTCTGCCCAGCTCTCTTTTCTTTCCACCTCCACGAAGACATCCCATGGACGCCTCGGGCACCTCTGCGGGCCATTTCTGCCCCTCTCCAGCCTCGAGCTGCATAAACACTGCCGGCTCCCAAAGACCAATCGATTCTGTCCATAGCCCTTTGCCTAGCAACCCAGGAGGAACAGATTCTCTCTTGCAGGCTGTGTTGATTCTCTGGCTGCCCAGAAACCTGCTCTCTCATTCCTCTTCTCTCTCTCTCTCTCTCTCTCTCTCTCTCTCTCTCTCTCTCTCTCTTTCTCTCTCTTGTCCCAATAGTCTCAACTGGCATCTTTTTGTAAAAAAGAAATCACCCTTTTTTCCACCAGGCTTGGACCCTTCTTGCTGTATTTCTCTTCCAGTGTTACTGTGAGACAAAGCCAGGCCTCACGTGTCTCTCCAGGGAGATACCGTCAGATTGAAGGGTTTGTCCCCAGGGCTTTGGGCAGTTTTTCATCTATTCACTCGTCCCATAGACACTTTTTGCACACTGGCTCTGTATTCAGCATCTGCTAGGCACTGGGGCTATGGTACAAACCAGGAGGACAGGATCCCCAGCTCCACAGTTTACAGCTCTGGGCAGGGAGGGCGATTTGACGCCAGTCCCCAGAGCCCCAAATGCTTTCCCTTGGCCTCAGGATGAGCACATGTAGACAAAGCGCTCAGAGCTGAGCCCTACAGTTAGCTCCACAGATGTTCTGCCATGCAGCAAGGGCCTCTGGAGTGCCTTGGACCTCATTCCCCTACCCTACCAGTAGTCCTAGGGCATATGGGAATTGTGCCCTGAAGTTCAGAGAGGTTAAGTAATTTGCCTGAGGCATCACAGCTAGTACATGGTAATGTTGAGACTCCATGCCAGGTTGCCCAATTCCAGAAGCTCCTGGTCTTATTATACCACTTGGTATATGGCCCACAGCTGACCCAGAGAGGAAAGACTTGGGTCCTGCCCCAGTCCAGGGACCACACAAGTCAGGAGACCCAGAACAGAGGGGCTGTTTGGCAACACAGAGACTCCAAAAAGTTCAAAGTAAAAGGTGGGTGATGGCCCTCCAGGCGGCAAGAGGGAGCTGAGTGGGGTTGCGATGTGAGCACTAGACAACAATCACAGGGGTGCCCATCACAAGGCTGGACATCGCTGCTGAGGGTGCTCCCGCCCAGTCTGTGCTGCCAGGGCAAAGCCATCAGCTAACAGGACCCTCGCCACCCGCCTCTGCCACAGCTTCTGTTTCTGCATCTATTTCTCAAACGGGATTCAAGGTAAAAACAATCCAATGGGGGTCACTGTTTTTTGAAGAAAGTTACCACTCAGCGTGAAGATCCATCAAAAATGTTTTTTAAAATATGAAATACATCTTTTAAAGACACATAATCTTTGACCCAGCCCTTCTGCTTCCAAGAATTGGTTCTAAAGAAATCATTGTGGACATTCCCAAGGGCCCATAAACAGGGATATTCACTGCGGCATTGTTTACAATAATGAAAAATTGGAAACAACTTAAACGTCCCAAGGAAAATAGGTCAAACAAATGAGAATACATTCACACAATGTAATACTGTGCAGGCAGTTAAAACGGTGGCATAGGAGGCTCATATTTATTGAGAAGGAACAGTGATTATAATAAATTGTCAGGGGAAAGCAGAAAGTCATGAAACAGTAGGTTTAGAAGAATCTCATTTTCATACAAAATAGATAGCGTATAGAAGATAGATAATTGACAGATAAATGATAGGAAAAGATAGATAATAGATTATTATTTATTTATTTTATTTATTTATTTTTTTGAGATGGAGTCTCACTCTGTCGCTTAGGCTGGAGTGCAGTGGTACGATCTCGGCTCACTGCAAGCTCCACCTCCCGGGTTCAAGTGATTCTTCTGCCTCAGCCTCCTGAGTAGCTGGGATTACAGGCATGTGCCACCACGCCTGGCTAATTTTTGTATTTTTAGTAGAGATGGAGTTTCACCATGTTGCCCAGGCTGGTCTTGAGCTCCTGGCCTCAAGTGATCTGCCTGCCTCGGCCTCCCAAAGTGCTGGGATTACAGGCATGAGCCACTGCGCCTGGCCTGGATAATAGATTATTGACATATGATAGAGAGATAGAAAGATAGGTGACAGATGGATGACAGTAGGTAGATGGTAGGTAGATAGATAAATGATAGGTAGATAAAGGGTAGATAGTACATAGATAACAGATAGAGGATTGATATATAAATGATAGATAATAGATGATTGATAGATGATAGATAGATGGTAGATAGGTCAATGATAGATGGTAGACAGAGTAGATAGATGATAGATGATTGATAGATAAATGATAGATAATAAATGACTGATAGACGATAGAAAGATAGAAAGATAGATGGTAGATAGGAGATAGATGGTAGATAGAGAAATGATAGAGAGATGGTAGATAGGAGATAGATGATTGATAGATGATAGATAATAGATGATGGATAGGTGATAGATAGATAGATGGAAATTCAGAAAATATTTATTGTGCCTCTCCTCTGCACCAGGCACTGTCCTGTCCTATGTCTCGAGGATACAGCTCTCATGGAGCTTACATTCTCGTAGAGAGATTTTCTAGAGAGATTTTATTTATCTGGGCCAGGATAGCAGAGTCTTCAGAGTGCACGTTCTGAGAGACACTGACTGAACTATTTTCTAGAGAAATGCTGTGAGGTCTGGGATGGGCTCCTGACCATGTGGGCTGAGAAGACCCCGGCATGGCAGGCATGGATGGCTGTCACAGATGGGTGCTGGTGCAGGGAGCCTCGTCGGACGACTCCATCTCCTTTTACATATGTTTAAGACTTTCTGAAATAAACATGGGGACAAGCTGGGCAGGGGGAGTCGACCTCCGGAGTGAGACTGTCTGGTTTCCAACCTGGCCCCCAACTTTGTGAGCTGGGTGAGTGCTTAGCTCTTCCTGGTGCCCGAATCCCTCTTTCAGGGCTGTGGTGGAGACACAGCCACAGCCCTCAGCGAATGGGGGCTGGAATGTTGTGCCCATTTGTGTAGCAAAAGCCAAGAACGTGAGCATGGCTGCTGTGCAAGGAGTTCGGGTGATTTTGATTTGTGATCTGTACCTTCAATGTTGTTGTCAATGACCACGGATAATTTGGATAATACAATGTAACTGGGAGTGAAATGATGCTTGTCCCAGATCCTCCGTTCCCCCTACCATCCCACCACACACACTCAGAGTAGCTGCCCAGGGAGGTCCAGGATGGGGTGAGGAGCAGGAGGGCTTCAGCAAGAGGTCCTTCTCCATGCCTACAGCCCGAGGGGAGAGGTGGACTGGGGCACGGCCAGAGCCCAGCCCAGGGGCAGTACTTGGTCCCTCAAACCTTCCAACCTCACTCAGCAAGCACCTACTGGCCTAGGGTCTGGGCATGGAAAGACTGGAGACCCAGATGCCTCCCAGGCTGGTGGCTTACAAGTGAACTGATAGGTGCAGTGTCCCAAGAATGGCTGTGATGGGCACATTGGGAGCCACGGAGGTGTCTGCTGCAGACTCCAGACCCGGGGAGGTGGGGTTGTTGATGGTGTGGGCTTTGGAGTCCAAAGACCCACATCTGAATTCCAAATGCCAACTTTCTATTTACTCTCTGTGACCTTGGCCATAGAGGCTTTTCCCAGAGTTCCAGCCCACAGCCCACCATGCAGCACAGTATCCGAAGTACGCTCTATGTGTGGATGTGGGGGGTGATCCTCCCTGGAGGTGCTCCAGGGTGACTGCTGTCTCTGGGCAGATAACTATGCACACCATGCCGCCTCCTACTACCTCCTCTTGGAGCACCACCATGCATACGTAGAATCAATGCTCTGACAAGTCCTGCAGCATAGCCAGCTGTCTAACTTTGCTTAAAGCTGCATTTAATACTTGGCCTGAGGCATCACTGTCTATAATTGAGTCCCCAGAAGCAAGCCCTGAGATGAGAATGGTGGGAGAGCGCTTTGGGAGGCAGCCCTTATGGAAGGGACCAGAAGGGGAGTGGGAAATGGGCCTGGGAGAGGAAGGGGGATGAGCAAGAAGGCTGTAACAAACCAAGTTCCATGGAGGGTAGCATTGGCCCACCACTGTGGCAGACTCTGGAAACAGTCCCATCAGGGCAAGGGAGCTGAGGTATTTATACCCTCACACCCACATTCCCTAGTTAATTGGTTAAAGCTGCCCCAAGGCAGGGGATGTGAATTTCCAGACACTTCCTGCTCATCATGTTGGCAGACGAAATCAATTCTGGAAGCATGAGAGCAGCCTTTAGCAAAGAGACCCAGGTGCTGGAGCCTGGGAGTGAAAGCTCCCGGGAACAGACATGGAAGTGCTAAAGGGACTTGAGACATGAGTGGAGCATGGGCAGTGTCAAAGCTCTGACAAGTCCTGCAGGACAGGCAGCTTTCAAACTTTGATTAATCCAGCTCATCTGGCCACAAGCCCTCTTCTGTTCAGCCTCTATCAACCACTTCTGGAAGGAATATTCCACAGTACAGGCACGCAGATTTTTGTGGACGACACAATCTGCTCTCCTTTATTTTTAACTTTTCGGTTTATGCTAATATTATCTGCTCCACTGCGAGTGCCTTACAGGCAGAAATGATGACCTCTTCCTTCCTTCTTGTGTCCTCCAGGCCTGACTCCCCCGCAGAGGAGAAGCAAAACAATCTCTTAGAAGCAAATGAATCAATTCACCATTTCTTGAAGCTGCAGAGTTCTATAGCTGGCTTGGGGCAGGTGGGAAAAGAAGAACTCTTCTCCCATTGGAAAATCTAAGGCATACATAAATTTAATGAAGTACAAACTTTCTGTACAGATGGAGCATAAACAAATGACGTCACTAGATCCACCAGCCATTCATTCAAGCTGTGGACAGAGCCCAGCGGCCGCAGCACCGGACAACTGAGTGCTTGGGGAGGCTCAGCCCTGACAGCCCCTGCACAACCCAAATCAGTTGAGAGGTCACAGAGGTGAGGCCACCAAGGGCTTCTGACCCTTGTGGCCCTCCCAGGGCTACCCTCCTTGAGTCCATCCTTCTGGTCAACCAGCTTGGGAGCCTTAGTGAGTGGCAGGGTTGTTGCTAGAGAGAAAGCCCTGGAGTCTTCTCTGCTCTAATGACTTAAAATAAAGTCCAAACTCCTCACCAGGCTCCCTGGATTCCACAGGATTTGGCCCCTGCCTGCATTTCCCACCTCTCCACCGTCTTCTCTACCCCTGGGTCAGCTCACTCCAGCATCCATTCTGTTCCTTGAAACCACCGAACTCATTCCTGCCTCAGGGCCTTGGCACTGGCCACTCCTCTACCTGGAAGGCTGTGTCTCAGCTTCCCTGGCTAACTCCTTCTTGTCATTTGGGCTCCAACATCCCCGCCTGGGGTGGCCTTCTCAACCAGCACTCCCACCCCCTCACAACCTAGCCTCTCAAGCTCATTTATTTTCTTCTTAACACTTTCATTTTCTGACATTCTTTTTGTTCATTTGTTTACTTAAACAAAGCCTGGAATGTGGCCTCCAAGAGAGCAGGGACCACATCTGTCTTTGCTCACGACTGTATCCCTTGATACCAAGAACAAAGTAAGTGCTCAACAAACACTCGGAAGGAAGGAAGGAAGGAAAGAAGGGAGGGAGGAAGGAAGGAAGGAAGGAAGGAAGAAAGAAGGGAGGGAGGGAGGGAGGAGAGAGGGAAGAAAGGAGGAGGGAAGAAAGGAGGAGGGAAGGAAGGGAGGAGGGACAGGAGGGAGGGAGGAAGGGAGGGAAGGAAGAAGGGAGAGAGGAGGAGAGAGGATAGAAGGGAGGAGGGAAGGAAGGGAGGAAGGAAGGGAGGGAGGGAGAAGGGAGGAAGGACAGATGGGCGGATGGATCATACCTCCTGTGACCTTGCCTCCATTGAATGATGTGAGCTTCTTGGGTGAGCCAGGGATAAGGAGTTGAAATTGTCAAAATGATTTATATTGGTGTGTGTATGTGTGTGTGTTCCCCAAAAGTACAGAACCATAGCAAAGATGAAGTTCTTACAATATGCCAGGTACGATTCTGAGCATTTTCGCTACGCTTTAATAACTCAAATAATCAACAACCCTCTTAAGTAGGTGTTACTGTACACCCACTGTAGAGATGAGGAAGCTGAAGTTCAGAGAGGTTGGGTATCTTGCCTGAGGTCACACAGCCCAGGGCAGCCTACTGCATTGCCAGCAGGGCAGACTTCCCTCGGCACCTGCACCCTAACCTGCTTACACTGCCTGGCACCAGGATGGCCCAGCCATGGCTCCTCCACACAGGTGCCTCCACCACTGCCACACTTTGAGACTCTGAGCTGGCAAGTGCAAGGCCTACATTCATAGCTCAGTGACTAAGAGTGAGCTATTTTATACATCTCTGGGGACCTGTGAAAGGTGAGCAGCCCCCCAGAGCTCGCCGATGCACCGGGCCACAACTCTGGCATCATTTCTGCAGGGTTTTATGACCTGGCGTGTGGACTGCATCTGTGGCACTGTGGAGGTGTGAGGCCTGCATGGTTTGCAAAAGAGAAGGACAAGGAAAGGCCGGCTCAAGTGGGCACATGTTGAACCATGACATGGGGCAACCGTGGGAAGGAATGAATTCCCAGGAAGGTGGGGGACATCACCCCACTTTCTTCAGCAGCTCGACCCCTCTGAGGGCTGCGTGGTCGTCCACCTGTGCTGGGCTCCTGGTCCCAGCACATGGGGCCAAGCCCCCAGACACAGCACTCCAAGGGTTAAGCCCCTTCCCAGCTGCTCCCACCGCCCTGCTCCTGCTCCCCTGGGGTAACGAGGGAAATGTCAGCAGAAGCGATTGCTGGGAGCCCTACAGAGAAACTGCCCTATTGAATTTTTAAAATTAAATCTATTTATAATTTATACCCTGCCTGCTTCAAAAAAGGATTTGAGGTGGTTTACGATAAACGACACATAAACTGGAAAGGCTGTTAAATAGAAAGAGAAAAATCAAGAACACCACACAGAAGGAGGGGGAGAAAAGCTCCCAAATCCCCGGGCTTAGGGAAACGGTAACAGATTAGATATGATAGTTTGGCTCCCTGCGTCCTGGCAGCTGAGGCAAAAAGGGAAATCATCACAATGGGCCACGTAACTCTGCCTGGGTGACTCGCAGAAACTCAACACACTTTCACAGTGACAAGCAGGCAGCCTCGCTGGCTGCGGGGAGAGGTACAGGGCGTCTGGCTCTGCGGTTGGCTGACTGCCCCTTCCCAAACATTTCTACACTGCCCCTTGGTCATTTCCAGCAAATGGACGCCACCCCCCGGCCCTGCTGGCCCCAGCCTTTCCTCCTCATTGTTGGTATCATCTTCCAGATCCTGGGTCAGTCCTTAAAGGGGATACTGCCCAGCACCCAGTCCCCCTTCTTCTGAAAAGCAACCCAATTTTACCATTCTCACCTGTTCACAGCACACACACTTTGGATCTTTATTAGTTCATTTTCATGCTGCTGATAAAGACATACTTGAGACTGGGTAATTGATAAAGAAAAAGAGGTTTAATGGACTCAGTTCCATGTGGCTGGGGAGGCCTCACAATCATGGTGGAAGGTGAAAGACACATCTTACATGGTGGCAGGCAAGAGAGAATGAGAGCCAAGTGAAAGGGGAAACCCCTTATCAAACCATCACATCTTGTGAGGCTTATTCACTACTACAAGAACAGTATGGGGGAAACTGCCCCCATGATTCAAATATCTCCTACTGGGTCCCTCCTCCAACATGTAGGAATTATGGGAACTACAATTCAAGATGAGATTTGGGTGGGGACACAGCCAAACCATATCAGATCACACTCCCTGACACCCAGCTCTGGGAATGGGCATATGACCCAAGACAGTCCAATCAAATTCAACCCCAGGACTTCCACGGAAACTTTTAACAAAGTGATCTCTGCCCAGGGGCTTGCTGACCTGAGGAACGTAGGCAACGAGCTGCTTCCAGCCATATTTCCACCACCTGGGGAGAGACTGCCTGAGAATGAGGCTAACATAGAAGAAAGCAGAACAGAGAGAAGGCAAAGGGAGGCAAGTCCTGATGACATCACTTGAGCGCCTGGATTCAACCATTCCTGAAACCATCATTCCTGGTCTTTTCTGGTTAAGGAGCCAATAGTGTCCCTCTTCCTAGCATACACCTACTTGAGTTGGGTTCCATTTCTTTGCAAACAAAAGCAACCTGGCTAACCTACACCTTCCATTTCCACCGCTTTGAGACCTCTCCATCCCATATTCTACCATCAACTTGGTTTCAGCTAAACGTCCCAATGGGCCACCTATCTGTCCCCCAACCCCAGGCCTCCCGGCTCTTTGGCCTTTTGCCCAATGACCCTCCTTTCCCTGTTCCTCCACTTCTCATCCCCTCACTCCCTTTGCTACTCATTGGATCCTGAATTGCTTCATCTTGCAGCCTCCAAATCCCCCCTCTCTCTCTGTCTTGTCTCTCTCTCTCTCTCTCTCTCTCCTTCTCTCTCTCCGTAGCCTCCTTCTTCCTTTGCTTCCAGGAAACATGCTTTTTCACCTCAAGAGGCCCCCTGAACCTGACTCTTCCACTTTCTCCCAATTCATCAGCACCACTTTGGCCTTCCTTCTTTCTAAACTGAGCCCCATGGAAATGATGTGACACATGACAATTCAGCTCATGCACCATACCCTGCCTGGTGCTAAGCACGTGCCACACATCGTCTCATATGGTTCTCATCACAAGCCTAAGAGTAAGAGTTCTTCTTGTCCTCGGTTGACAGGGGAGGAGCTTGAGGATTGGGGAGGTGAAGGCAGCCAAGGCCACATCGCTGAGCAAGCAGCAGGGCTAAGATTTGATGCTGGCTCCCCAGCCAGCACCTTGCTCTCTTGTCCCACCCCATCTCTCCCATGAGCCTTCATCTCTGAAATGTCCCATAATCATCTCTTCTGCACATGGGTGTCAGGGCACACCTGGGAAGCTGAACAATCACACGGACTGGCCTGTTTCTGACTTGCAAGGTGATGCCTGAGCACCCCACCTCTCCAACCTCTCCACAGCGAGCCCCTTGAGCAATACTGAGCACTTTGCTATTCCTCCTGTCTCTTTACTCCCATAGTTGCCTCTTTCTGGAAGACGCTTTTCTTCCTTCTTACCTGACTAATTCCTACTCCTTTAAATGTATGAGATCCAATTAAGGCCAGGCATGGTGGCTCACGCCTGTAATCCCAGCACTGTGGCAGGCCAAGGCGGGCGGATCACCTGAGGTCAGGAATTCAAGACCATCCTGGCCAACATGGTGAAACCCCATCTCTACTAAAAATACAAAAATTAGCCGGGTCTGGTGGTGGGAGCCTATAATCGCAGCTACTTGGGAGGCCGAGGCAGGAGGATTGCTTGAATCTGGGAGGTGGAGGTTGCAGTGGGCCGAGATGGCACCACTGCACTCCAGCCTGGGTGACAGAGTGAGACTCCATCTCAAAAACAAAACAAAAAACACATTAAAATGACAAGGCAGTGGCACTCTGCACCCATGAGATTGGCAAGGAGCTGTCAATGTCGATAATACCTGGTGTGGACAAAGAAGAGTGGGAAAGACATCTCACTGCTTCTTTCTGGGGTCACACGTCCCACCAGCCGTCATGGAGCAGTGTAACAAAATCCAGGAAAACTTGAAACGTGTAGTTACTGCAGCCCAGCAGTTGTGGGTCCACAGAGGTATCCCAGAGAAGCATTCGAGTGGGTGCCCGAAGAATCAGAAGCTCCAGCTTAGGGGTTCCTCCCCCAGGCAAGTTTGGGGAGCCCCACCACCAGCCTCCCAGCAACTGTGTCCCCTCCTGCTGCCACAGGAGGCTCCTCCCTCTCTGCTTCTAGCAAGACGGTCTACCTGCCCATTCACAGCCACGGTTCTCCACACACCCCACCAGGGCCCTGGGGTTGCCTCCGCTTCACATTGGCTTTCCTAGCCTCTGGTTCCAGAGAGGCACTTGAAAAACATTAATGCCCCAAGTTGGAAAACTCTGGAGCCAGACGAGGGGCCTCTGCATCAAAGCCAGACCACCCTCCTCAACAGGGATCAATAACCTGGAGCTGGAAGTGAGTTGCGTTCGGGAAATAAGCGTGACGTTGGATCCAAGCTGCCAATTAGCCTGCAGTCCCGGCCCCCGCTGGCGGGCCTGTTTGCTCAAGGTGATGGTTGGCTTGTGGAGGCTGTGAGCTTTTTATGTGTCAACCTGCGACCTCTTGGCCCCTTCACTGGGCCATTTAGCCATCTAAATCAAGACATCTCGGTCCACAGTGACTGTTAGGTATTCACGCGCGGGGCCGCCTTTCCTCCCCTTGTAATCTAAATCTAATTTATTGGCCCAGGGACATAGGGAGCAGCCTACGCACGTAGCTGGTGTGCAGTGAAGAATATAATATACAACCTTCCGGTGTAATAAGGCTCTTTATAGAAGGTATTATGTAGGGTCTGGCTTGGAGCGCCAACGAAGCCGTGATTAATTCCTGCCTGGAAAATATCCACGTTGCAGCCCTCAGAAGGCTCCATGGGGACGGGCAGGGGGCTTGGCGCCTCTGAATTCTCACGCTGGTTTTAGATCTGGGTGGTTTATAAGATTAGATGTGCTTAAGCTCCCTGAGGGCAGGAGCCCTGTTTTATGGGCACCACTCACCCATCCAGCCATGATGAAAGGTGTTCAATAAACTCTCGCTGAATTAATCTGGATGGAATTAAAGTGAAAAGTTATTCTTTATGCACTATGACTTTGAGGGCTGGCTTCCTCAGCCGACGAGGAATGGTGCCCACCTGCTTCTTAAGCCCTGCTAAGCAAGCTGGCACCTCACCGAATTGCTGTTGCCAGTTGGCCAGAGACAAACTCTTGATTTGTTGGGGCCTCAGTTTCCACTTATGTGCTGTGGGACAGTGGTGTCCCCAGGGTGAGAGTAAGGGCCACTCGGAGGACATTCATGCAACATTCATGGTACTCACTGCCAGGTGCCCATCTTCCCTGCCAAACACTCAGGGGCACACACCTGACTCAGTCATTCACGCATTCATTCATTCACTCAACAAATATCACTTCTCCTAGATTCTAAGATGCACAGTTTTTTTTACATCACGTGTCTGAAACCAGGACGTCTTGTAACATTGACATCCATGGCATACGCCAAAGTCATAAACTGAGGTCCGTAGCCCAAATTCTACCTATCACCTGTGTTTATAAATAAAGTTTTATTGAAACGCAACCATGCCCATTGGTTTATGGACAGTCTCTGGCTGACTGCATGGCAGCAGCGGGGTTAAGGGTTCCAGCAGAGATAGCACGGCCGCAAAGCCAGGAGTACTGACACCCTGGTCCCTGATATCACCTGATGGTTAAGTCCCTGCAGTGGGATCTGTCAGGGTGGTGGTTACAACCAGTACGGTGGCTTCAGGCACAGGCAGGGCTGGATTTCAATCCTACTTCCACCTCCCACCAGCTACGTATCCTCTGGCAAGCTACTGTCTGAGTCCCAGGCTCCGAATCTGTAAATGGGGTTGTGGAGAAGAGGAAATAAAAGCATAGACAGGAAGCACTGAGTATGGCGCCCGGCACGTGGGAAGCACTCAGCATGACAGCTGTCTCTTCTATTATTATTGTTGTTGTTATTATTATTAATGCAGGCCAGGCACTGGGCTGTAAGGGGTGGGGAGAGAAAGCATGAACAAAACCACCTGTCTGCTTACAAGGTGAACTTGACAACCCAGAGCTCAAGACAGGGAAGCAGGAAAGTGAAATATGGAGAGGTAGATCCTGTTTAGAGGATCCCAGAGGCGGCCACTGACCCAGCTGACAGGTAAGTCAGGGAGGGCTTCTTGGAAAAGGTGAGGTCTACACTCAAATTGAGGGATTCCTAGGGAGGAGCCAGTGTTTGAGCTGAGGGTAGGGGTCTTGAGAACCTGCCAGTCCTGGGTTTCAATCCCCATTCCAGTGCTTCCTGGCTGTGCAATCTGAACTAAGTCCCTTATCCACTCTGTGCTTCCGTCTCCTCAATTATAAGACACGGGTGATGACTACAACGATGACGGCTTCTACTCCTACTAGGAATAAGAATAACAATGCCTCCCTCCTGAGGGGGCTCAGCAGCAGTTACTGCACAAACAGCTATCTGTCATTTTGTATTTGCCTGGCTCTGGGAACAAGGGAGGAAACAGACATATGCCTCGTCTTCGGGAAGGGAAAAAGAGCAAATAAATGAGTAAAGAAATGCACAATCATACATTTGGGTAAATGCTCTGAAGAACAGACGGAGTGCAGTGATAGAGCATGGGGGAGGCAGGATGGGGTGGGATTGAAGACAACAGACGAGGGCGTGAAAACACTCGGAAGGGTGCTGGGCACAAGTGGCAGGTTTAGCTCAGCCGGCAACCCCGGCGGTGCCCTTGTCTACCACCCCCCGCCTCCGAGCCCTGGAGAGCGAGTCCAGCTCGGTCCCTTACACTCGTTTGTCGTATCGCTCCTACTGACCGGAGGCGCCAAACCAGCCCAAGAGTGATGTCCCCCGCACAGACAAATTTCATTTGTCTTGCTTGCAAATTGTTTTCATTTCAGAAGTTTGACTTTACTGCTAAAATTTAAAATCAGGAGAGAGCTCAGAAAAACCCCCAATTTCCAGCTTTTGCCTAAAAAATGGGAGGATCTGTCCATTCTGGGCCTCTTTCTCTCCTGGCATGAGCAATCTAGTTTGCCACACTCCCCACCCTTCCCTTATCTCACACACCTGTCTGGCGCCCCTCATTTATATTAACTACTTGCCTGGCCCCTTTAGGTCCCTGAGTTTGCAGCCCCTACACCAGATGCTGGAAACTCCACGGGAGCTGACCTGTGCTGGGTACGACCCATGGCTACTCACATCCACGTCCACACTTCTCTACTTTCTCTGGGCCCCAGGAGGCCACTCCGTACGGACCATTAGCAGGTCCCTGTGCCTTCTGGCCAGAAGAGGCACCTGCGGGAGACCTGGGGGGATTTACTTTCCTGGCTGTCTTCTGGCCGGGTGGCACTGGCTCCGGGTTGCTTTGCTAAAGGCCGCAGCCCCTCCAAGCGCTCCTGCCATGGAGCCACCCTCCCAGGGCTCTGGCCATGGCTCCACCCCTGCCTTATGTCCCTGGAGTGGGAACTGCTCCCCCCGTGATCAGTCCTCCTGGACTGCACCAACCCTTCATTGCTTTTTCTAAGCCCTGCCCACATCTGCACACCTTTAATCAAATCTCCTCAAACAACACCACTCCTCCCTGGCCTCTGATCCCAGCCCACCAGCCTGGGATGGGGTACACATAAAGTTGGGCATGTGGGCAGTGCCCACATGGGGCGGAATGAAGGGATGGACTGCTGCAACCGTGCTGTCTGGGTTTCTCCTAAGACTGTGTCCTCAATCAAGAAGCTAGTCACCTATAAACCTGAGCCCTCACCAACAATCCCCCCACCACCTCATCAGACTCAGGGCGGGGTCCTTAGAAATGTCTCCCATCCAAGAAATTGCATCCTTCCTTTCCCCAAATTCGCTGGACCACTTTAAATGCACGTCTCATCTGCTCTGAGAGTGCATAAACAAAGCCCGTTTTCAATCATGTCGGGGACATGGTGCCAGCCCTCATTACCAGGTCTCCAGGAGGGAATTACAGCTGGCATTAGTGTTTCAGCACAGTCACAGAAAGCCCGTGGCAGGTGCAGTCAACATCGTGGCCTGCCTTGTGCGGCCTTTGCTAGCTAACAAGCTGAGCTATCACAGAGGCAGTGAGGCCCGGCCACCTGGCCTGGATGAACAATTTCCTACACCTTTGAGGACAGAAATAGATAAAAGAGCACCCCCCTTCCCCTGCAGCCCCCTGGGTGTCAGGTGTCCGCAGAGCCTTGTTCCCCAGCCAGTGCTGTGTCCTCCCAGAGGCCGAGCAGCCTTTAACCAAGTCATGGTGGTGATAAACCTCGGCGTGTCCAGTGCCTATTGCATAGGGTTCGGTGCTGAGTTGTCTCCATTTTACAGAAGGACTGAGGCTGGAGTCCACACGGCTCACTCCGAATTACAGAGCTAGCCGGAGGAAGAGTAGTGGTTGAGACTCCCCAGCCCGCAACTGTGACCCACGCTGGCCATGATTCCCTTGACCCCTGAGGGAACCAGCCCAGAACTGCCTGGCAGGGCCTCTGGGAGCTTGGAGCTCTTCTTAGAGACCCTGCCTGTCCCACTGATGCTGACGAAGAGGCCAGACTGTAAGGCGGTGAGGCGTGAAGCTCAATACCCATCCATGGGTCACACAAGCCATCTGCAGATATCTGCTTCCATGAGGCTCCTTGGATGGCCTTGGGGAGTTGATGGAGGTAGAGACGAGGGCAGCCTGGCATGGGGGGAGATGAAATTCCGACACTAAATAACCCAAGCGGAGCAGCTGCTCCATTTCTGCAGGAGCAGGATGTGAAATGAAGCATGAGCTTGGGGACGGCTCCTCCAAGGCGCCTTGTGAAGGACATTAACCACGCTGGAGCCCGTGCACTCGTCCCTACACTGCACACTATTGAGCACATACTAAATGCTAGCCTGTGCTAGGTGCTGGGACTAGAGACAAGCAGACAGAGGCCCTGCCCTCAGAAAGCTCTCAGTTGAGCGAGGGAGCACGGACAATAAAGCTAAGGTCCTGTCCATGCCAGGGCGACCTGTGCATGATAAAGGTTGTGACGGCAGAACCTGGTGTTCCAAGCTCCAGAAGGAGACTTAGTCCAAGATGCACATCCCAAACAGCAAACACGCCTTAGAGAAAGCAAAGGGAATGCCACTCTTTCACTTGCATCTTTTGATAGACAACAGTAAAAGCAGCATCGAAGGGAGCCCAATTCACAACACAGAAAAACATTTCTTATACCCTATTTTCTCCTCTCCCCCAACTCTGCCATCCCGCATTTCCCTGAGACTCTTATTTGCTTAACCTCCATCCCCAAAACTCACTCTTGCCCCAGCACTCCACAGCTCTTTCTTTTTCCTCTTTACTTTCTCTCCTAGCCCCCTTTTTTTTTTTTTTTTTTTGAGATGGAGTCTCACTCTGTCACCCAGGCTGGAGTGCAGTGGCATGATCTCGGCTCCCTGCAACCTCTGCCTCCCTAGTTCCAGCGATTCTCCTGCCCCAGCCTCCTGAGTAGCTGGGACTATAGGCGCACGCCACCACCTCCAGCTAATTTTTGTATTTTTTAGTAGAGATGGGATTTCACCATATTGGCCAGGCTGGTCTTGAACTCCTGACCTCATGATCCACCCACCTCAGCCTCCCAAAGAGCTGGGATTACAGGCGTGAGCCACCGGACCCAGCCTTCTCCTAGTTCTTTTAAATGTAGGTTTGCAGGCTCTCCCCAAGGAAAGGAAGGGGCATTTCTCTCCTCCTTGCCCCTTTCTCAGCTCATGCTGTGAACCTTGGCTTGTAGGAGGTAGCCATGCAGCTCAGTTTACCTGGCCAGTCCTGACATGCACCTGGTGCCCTGAAAAAATGTTTAATAGCTCCTCCTCTCACTCCCCAAAATGGCCCCGTTTGATCAATAAATTATATAGTCCCTCTATCAGTATATCACCTCCTGGTGAGGCGCATCACCTCCTCCAAGCCCTCTCCATATATGTCTCCTGATATCATCCTCTTTCAAGACAGCCTACACTTCCTCCCTCGTGGGGCTTCTTACTTTGAAATTTATTGTTTTGTTTGAGGTCAGGAAATCTGTTTCCTTTTCCACCTACACTGGGACCCATACAGTGCTTGGGACATTGTAACCACTAAATACATATTAGTGGGTGGATGGATGGATGGATGGATGGATGGATGGATGGATGGAGAGATAGATGGAGGAAGGGAATGAGGGAGGGAGGGAAAGATAAGTGGCAGGATGGTGGGTGGTGAGATGGATGTTTGGTGGGAGAAATGGTAGAAGGGATAGATAAATGAATGGGTTTTAGGGAAACCAGTCAGGAAGCTAGTGCAGTCATCTAAGGAAGATAAGGTGGTGACCTGGGAGGAGTTGAAGATGGAGATAAGTGGGTGATTTTGACATGTCTTCTGGAGATGGACTCAAATGGACTTGGCCATGCTCGGTGAAGAATAGACATGAACTCAGGCTTCCTGCTTGGATCCTGACCACAGCCTTCACTCCCCAAGCACCTTACCTGACAGGCAAAATCCCTACTGTTGCTGTTTCTTGAGGTAGCAGCTTACTGTCATGAAAATAGTTTCAGAGGCGAACTGGAATGAGTGACCCACACCAGTTCCAGGAAGCAGGGCCTGTGGGCTGGAAGAGGCAGGCCTCCAGAGCAGCCTCCACCGGCCTTGCAGGTGCCTCTCAATCACTCCTCCTTAAAGGCACAAGAACCCTTGCTGGTTAATAAAGAGTCCTTAAAACCCTCCAAAGGTGGAACACCACTCCCACGACACAACATCAAAAGTTAAATGGAAAATCTGGGATTCCATCTATCAGCACAGAGCTCAAGCACCTTCTGTTCGGAGTGAAGTGAGCGGCCACTCTGAGCTTCAGTTTGCTTCTGTGTAATACAGAGATCATAGCAGTACCTGTCTCCCAAACCAGTTGGAAGATAATGTGAGAACACGGTCACATAAGGCTCCAAGCAGTGCCTCCCTGACCCATGCGGCGACTGCTGTTTGTGCTGGGGCTTTATACACATATATAAGGACATATTTATTTTATCCCCATAACCAGCCTCCAGGTCGGTCTTTCTCTTTCCGGTTTGCTGATGAGGAAACTTATACTTGGAGCACCCCCAGCCTCCCTCCAGTTTTGTGCAGACAGCGGAAGTGGTCACTGCAGGCTCCACATGGATGGGCCAGGTTGCTGTGCCCGGCCTGGACAGAATCCGATGTGTTTCATTTTCTGAGTTGATCCAGGACAGGAGCCAGTACACTTTTCCTGCGAAAGACCAAACAGTAAACATTTTTGGCTTTGTAGGCCGTTGGGTCTCCGTGGTAACTATCAAACCCTGCCCTTGTCCCACAGAAGCAGCCATAAGCAAGACATCCACAAATGAGCGTGGCTGCATTCCAATAAAACTTTATTTACAAAAACAAGCCCAGGCCAACCCCTGCTCTAGCACAGAGAATAAAAATTCTTTAGGTGTACATTTTGCTTCAGATATCAGTTGTCGGGTTTGTACACGTCCAAGGGTTAGAATTGGGCAGTGAAAGCAGCCCATGTCCCAGTGTTTTCTGTGAGAAGGCATGTAGCGAATTCCTCCCTGACAGTTCTCCTGGGGAGGATGCTGAAGTGGGTTTTCTGGTTGAATGTTAAGCTCTCCAAATTGCTATGTCCGTGGAGATATTTTCTTCCTTCCCTCTCTCAGCATCTTTTAGGAAGCACAAACCACTCTTTCTTTGTTGGTGGGCGGTAAAGGCAGCAGGCCAGGGGATTGAGAGACAGGTCACCTCCCAGAATTACTCAGTGGCCACCATCTTAGAACCACTTTCTCCTGGGAATACATGCATGATGTGAATAAACGTGATTTTCAGTAGGAAGAAAGTTCAAATGTGTTCTCTAAAGGGGCATGTTACTTCTGGATGCCAACTTGCTTCTTAGAAATGTTTTTTCCGGCTGGGCATGGTGGCTCACGCCTCTAAATTCCAGCACTTTGGGAGGCCAAGGCAAGTGGATCGCCTGAGATCAGGAGTTCAAGACCAGCCTGGCCAACATGGTGAAACCCCGTCTCTACTAAAAATGCAAAAATTAGCCAGCTGTGGTGGTGGGTGCCTGTAATCCCAGCTACTCAAGAGGCTGAGACAGGAGAATCACTTGAACCCAGGAGGTGGAGGTTGCAGTGAGCCAAGATTGTGCCACCACACTCCAGCCTGAGTGACAGAGCTAGACTCCATCTAAAAAAAAAAAAAAAAAAAAAAAATGTTTTTTCCAGAAGGCGGGGCTAGGGGGTGGTGAGGCTACGAGTAAACCTTAGGTCTTCTGTCTTCTTTCCATTGAGCTAGTGGCTTCCAATGCCATCATGCGTAGGTAGCAGGAAGGAATGGGGTGGAGGAGGGGAGCTGAAAACGGATTTTTTGGAACTCTGGGCACATTTAGAACAGAATTGTAACTGTATAATGTTATGGTATCATTTAACTGACATGTCTACTTTGGAATGTTTATAACTACCGTAAATCAAGAGGCCACCAAGCCAGGGCAGCGGCCACACGTAGACATTCCAAGGAAAACGTATAAAATAAATAAAATAATCACACAGTATCAACATTCCATTCCTGGCTAGAAAACGGAAAATGTAACTGCCCCTGCAAAAATGCAAGCGCCCAGAGATGAATGTGCTCGGAGCCGAGGCAGCTGGGGCCTCCTCACGAGTGCTCAATAAAGATGTCAAGTGGGAAAAGGTTAGGAAGTCAGTAAGAACAAAATGTTTGACCCAGTCGAGCAGTACTGGCCCTGCTACCTTGGTTTGCGAGACCCTAACATCGGCATTCCTCCTTATGGTCTATGGGCGACTGTGATTTTCTGCGTTGCGGGGGCATAGTCCAAACAGTTTTTGTGACTTCCCTCTTTATGACTTCTGTCCAACTTACATTATCTAAAGAAAAATAAAGATTTGTTATCCCCAAGGCATAAAATTCTACAGATTTACAAACTGTTGGATTTCTGACCTTAGTGATTGTTTTTGGGCTTAAACTACTTTTCTTTCTTGACCAGTGGCTTGTAAAGCACACATCAAAATGAATTCTGGCTAGATAAACATCTGGTCATTAAAACTGTGCAGGTCTTTGGTTTGAAGGCAGCCGCTGTAGCATTCTTAGGACACCTGGTACTTCTCTTCACTCCAGACTCTGGGTGCATGACAGCAGAGGCCCAGCCATGAATCCTAAAACTGTAGGGTTTCTTTTTGTTTTTTTAAGTGGTAGCAAAACTCTTTTGAGCCGTCTTTCTTGTCTTAGAGCCTTTGAGGTATGTACAAGCTTGGGTAATAAAAACTACCAAAAGTTAAAAATTAATAACCACAGGGACTCCTCACATCTTGGAGGACTTTGAAGCAGTCTTTCTCCCAGGAGAGGATCTTTGCTTTCTGACAGCACTGGAAGAAAATGACCCAGTCGTTTCCCCTAAAATTAAGAAGACTGTTCTGAGGTATTTTGTAGACATTCCGCTTTTGTCTTTTTGAGTTTAATGTTTCTTTGTTCATCGAATGAGGAAAATGGACAAACTGTGGATTCTTCAGAGCTTGGATTTGGGGTAGGGAAATGCATTTTTTTCCTCTGATGGCCTGAGAAAGGTTTAGAAAGTTTAAAGGTACTAAAGCCCCCAAACCCACAGAAAAAAGAATTTCCAAGGAGGGCGGTAAGAGTCGCAGAGACAGGGCACACCCCAACCATTTCAGCCTATAGGTGAGCTGAGCTTCCTTCCCCCTGGACCTTAATTTGAGAAGAAAAAAAAGAAAAAATCTTCAATCTCATGATCTAGAATTCATATTTTTAGCCCAGGACAGAAATGCAAAGGATAAGTGCGGCTATTCGACCAAGTCTCCCTTCTTTCTTGGTGCTTTTCAAACCACGTTGGTTCTGAGAGTTCTTTCCACATCTCTGTGGGCTTGGGTTGTAAATGCCTGGCTCCTGGGACTGTCAGTGGCTGGTGGGGGGTGGGGGAGGGGGGCTGGGGTCTGACTGATGACCCCTACCTTTGGAGCTTCTCAAATGAGGGTTCCATCCACGATCAGCAGACGGCAGTGCTCTCTCCCCTCTGGCCCTCCCCTGAACGCTTTGCTCCCTGTCCATGAATGGGAAAGAAAGTATGCCTGCCAAGTACTCCATTTCCAAACAGAACAGGCAGAGATATCGCTTGCAGAATTCCAGATGTTGGTATTTGTATTATTGGATCACAATTACATTTCACAAAAATTACTGCAAAGAAAAAAGAAATGACTGCTCCCTAGAAGTGAGATTTATTGTCCGTTTCTGTCCTTTGTCTGCCTCCTCGCATGGCCTCATCTCTCACTGGGCCTCTGGTGATTTATTATTTCGGGGACCCCAGAGGGGACACAGTACTGCCTTTCTGTAAAGGTCACGTGGTGAAAGCCAGCTTTATCCGGGTCAGAAATTGCCCTCAGACACCAAGGGGAAACCCTGGATGAAGTTAATCAACATCCACCCCATGGCAGGTCGGTGAGCCCACGCTGGGCGGGAGAGGATTGACCTCGTGGTGGTCGGACCTTTGCACCACCCGCTCCTCTCCAGATGAAGACATTGATGTTTTCATATCATTTGTGGTTCTGATCTGATCTCCCCTCCCAGAAGAAATCCTAAAAAATTAATGCTGTATGGAATGATGCTTTCAAAAAAAGTCATTTCGCTTAGGCCTTTGTTTTTCTCCCATAGATGAGGGGAGGGGGGACCTCACATTTCTCCATAGCCAGCCCCTGATCTGCAAGCTGAGGTCCCAGGGGTGCCCAAGTGGGAGTTCAGGGCCTGTTTAGCATGACCACCACGCGGACAAAAAGGTAAAGGGAGCCAAATGGCAACTCGACCTTGCCCCATTCTTCCGGTTACGAGGCACCCGCAGGGGTTGTCCGAGGTGACACTTCTAAGCTTTGGCAGCCTTGAAACCCACTGCCATACCAGCCACATCTGCGAGGCGACTACATGACCTTGGAGGAGGGAGGGAGTTTCACCCACACTGTGCTGGCCAGGACCCACGTGCACACACTTCACGTTAACCAGCCCACGGCACTACAGGGAGCATCTGCAGGAAGACTTTGTTCCGAGTCAGAGGGCCCCCAACCCCCCCAAACTTCCCTTTTTCTCCAGTTAAAGGGACACAACCAGGTAGGTAGAGCTGCCCAGGAAAAGCCTCTTACGCAATGACACGAGGGAAGTGGTGTGAGCAGTAGAGGGTTCTTGCAAATCGTCCTTAATTCCATTAATAAATGCCTACAAACCCCAAACGCAGCGTTGCCCCTTCCTTGGCTTAGGAAAAAGAGTTAAGAAAGATCATCAGCAGAAATGTGCTGGCCTATGTGGGTCTGGGTCTGGGACTGGGTACCCAGGGCCGGGGCTGGCAGCCTTTCATGGAACTAAGCTGGAGGCCCCAACTCCCGGGCACTCCGGATGGAGCTCTCCTGCGGCTCCCAGCACCCCGACGGCATGGGCAGAGGAACACGCCGGGATCGGTACAATTATGGTGACTGACTGTCTGCAGCTCGATATTAATCTTTCAAAAAGGCTCTGCTTTGTAGGGAAGGTATTAGGTGGCTCCAACAACTTCTTAAAAACGTTCCTCTTTCTTTACAGAATGTCAAGTGAGATTTCAAGGGGGAATACTTCATAACCCAGGTATGTTTTCCTTAGGGCAATAAACCGCCATTGAATTTACACGCCTGCCCCCCAGACCTCTGGATTTCTAGCCAAAACCTTCATCTGTTTTTCAGAGAAAAAAAAAAAAGGTTGGGGGAGGTGTTTTCTTCAAATGCACGGAAGGCCTCTCCTGGGTGGCAGAAGGAAAGTTAGGCAAACTTTATAAATCTAGCGGGAGAGCTGTTTTTGGCAGTGCTGGAAAGTGGAGTGGGGTTTTTCTGTCGGCCTCACTTAAAACATCACCAAGCGGGCCCCCCGACGGCCCCGGTGTGCGGAGGGGTGGGTGGGCGCCCATGTGTGGAGGAGGCAGGCTGGCTGTGGCTCTGGACAGCCACCATCCTGTCTCAGCCCCCACAAGGAGGGTAGAGTGGGAGAGGGTGGGACTGCATGAGGAGGGAATGCTGGAGTTAAGTAAGGAGCAACAGCTGCAGTCCCGGGGAACAAAACGAGGCAGGACCCAATGGATTTCTCATCAACTGTGTGGGAGTCATTGGCAAAGGGAGGTGTCCGCACACCCCCAGCTCGACCCCCTCCTGCAGCAGCACCAGCAGGGAGACCCCACAAGTGCGGCAAGCTCGGTGCAGAGATGACCCCCATCCATGGCCGGTGGCCAGGAGGGTGGCAGGTGAGGGCTCTCTGGGGGAGGAACGGGTATCTTGGGAGACCACAGCTGTGCAGCTGGGAGGAACAGCCAGGGGCCGGCGCCTGCTTTCTGCTGAGCGGTGGGACTCGCCCAAGGTCACAAAGTGAGTTAGGAAGAAATAATCAGCTCCTGGCTCTGTCCCTAACAAGCAGAATCCTATAAAAAAGAAGAAAATGACTCTGGGGATTTGAACAAAGAAGCCAGGCTATAAATCCACTCTCCATACAGCTGCCGGTTGATCTTCCTAAAATGCAAATCGGATGCAGGCCCACGGCCCCGAGATGCCCTTCAGAGGCATCCCAGGACCCTCGGGAGAAAGACCCGAATCCTTATCCATGGGCACAGGGCCAGATGGTTCTTGGCCCCAGACATCTGGACCCACTGCCAACTCCCCTATGTCTATACCCCAGGCATGAGGCCCCCTTGGAGTTCTCTGTTTTTGTCTGTCTCTGTCTCTCTCTCTCTCCCTGTTTCTCTCAGCCAGAAACTCATTTATTTATGCAAAAAAGATTTCTCAAGCCTGGCCTTGATACCTGGCCTCATGCTGAACACCCAGGATACGATGGTGCACACATAGTCCCTGTCCTCATGGGGCTTCCAGTGATGTGAGGGAGGACATTCACCAAATAATCACATAGATATTTTCAATGTAAATGTATGGGCCAGCGCAGAAAGGTGCAGGGGACCTGAAGGGCATGTAAGAAGAGGCCCTTCTTTAGAGAGGGGTGGGGGAGATCTCTGGGAGCCGCAGGGTGGCTACAGGGGGCAGGAGGCACAGGTGAGTCCGAGCCTGGAGGCTGAGAGGAAGGAGGCCCCTGTCCAAGGGGAACAGTGCAGAGCAAGGAACGATGTCTCCCAGTATCCAGGCTCCCGGCCTTCCCCGCCATGGATGCCACCCACTGCCCTACCCGACATTCGCCTTCCTGACGGCCCTAAGGCTCAAGTCTAGGCTGGGGCTGTGAGTCATGACGGACCACGACAGGTCACAGGCACCGAGCCCTTCGAGGGCAGCTGCCCCTCTTCCCTGTCCCCTTCATTCCCACCACAACCCGTGAGGCAGGTGCTGGGAAACCGAGGACAGGAGAAGCTCAGAAACGTGCCCAAAGTTACAAATCTAGTAAATGGCAGAGCTGGGATTTGAACTGGAGGGTGTGGGGCTTCTGAGGCTTCTTTCCCCACCCTCTCCTGCCTTTCATCCCTGCACCCCAGCACCTGTGCTCTGGCCAGCCCACAACACTGGAGACAATGAGAGGAAGCAAATGAATGAATGAGCCACTGAGGAAATACAGTTGGCTCACACTTCTCTGGGTGATGGCTGGGCCTCTGTTCATAGGGCCCGTGGTGTCCCCAGGCTGAGAGGTGGAGACGGAGTCTCCTGGAGGGGCAGGAAGGAAGTGGATGCCATCAAAGCCGTAGAAGAAACAGTGTCTTAGCTAATTGCCTGGCCTCCTGAGAAGTCGCACAGCCACGACCAGCCCAGAGGTTGAGCTCCGCATTGAAGAAGAAATGTTGATCAGCTCTTAGGGATATGAAAGGATGCCCTGAAACCCACTGACAGGCTCAACAGAGGCATGGGCTGGTATTGATCTGGACGAAATCTATTGTTTTGGAGGAGGGCATAGTTAGAGGAAAGACAATGTGTTAAGACTGTAAATTCGGGGGTGAGGAATAGACGAATAGGAAGAGAAATTGGCAGAGAATGGAGAATACACATCCTCACCCGTCAACAGCAAGGCGAGCCAGGACCCAGCCAGGTTTGACCAAATGAGCCAGGCGCTAAAAGGCCCCATGCCCAGGTGCATGGGGGCTCAGTGCTGCCAGAACGCAAATAGCCACAGGCAGATGGAGGCCCCACAATTAGAGGCAGTACCCTCTGAGGTCCATCCAGCCTCCCCTGCAGGATGGAATGAGGCCAGGTACAGGAACAGGGGCAGCTTCATGGGCACGTGGCTATGCAGCCACACAGGGCCCCATGCTGAGCAGGGGCCCACACTTGGTTTAATATTTTTTGAGGGAGCAACCTTGCATTTTTATTTTTCTCTAAGCCCTGCAAGTTCTGTAGCCGGTCCTGCTCGGGAGGGAAAGGCAGTGGACAAGGAGGACGTCTCCAGGGATGGATGACAATGATGTGCTCAGGCATACGTGGGTTCTGCCACTGCTTTATGCCTTCCCGCTGCAGCCATGGGACGAAGATTCACTGGGTGTGTGTGATTTCACATTGCCTCGCCAACTCACCACGAAGGGGGTGCACCTGGGAGACAGTGAGGCACATCTGCCCATAGTTTGGGTCACCTGTCTAAACTTAATACTAACTGTGGCCACTTAATCCCAGTGAGGAAGGCTGAGACCCCTCAAAGGTAAGCAGAGAGGCAGAAAAGAGCACGGGGCTTCAGAGGACCCCTTATCGCCTGGGAAAGGCAGAACACCCCTGGACAGCACCAGGAAAGCTGGAAAGTCCATCCTTTGTCCACTGCCTGAGCTTGGAGCCCTACCCTGCCCCTCCTGCAAAGGAAGGTAGCTGAGACCTCACGGCGAATGGCCACTAGTCGGCACAGCCTTCATTGCATGAGCTGCTTGCGTCCCAAGATCACTGGCATGAGTTCCCTAGCCAGGGCACCTGGGCATGGTGCCTTCCAGTGCCCACTCACATGATCAAACCCAATGCTTGCCCTGGCATTCAAGGCCCTGCATAACCTAGCACCACATTCATCTTCCAGCTAGCGCTCTCCCCTTGTCCCCCAGGTCACCACTGGGCTGGTCCCCTTGAGCACTTCTCACTGGGCTTGTGGCTTTTCTCTACTGGCCAGAACCTCCAGGTTGGGATCTTGTTCCACCTCCTCTGGGAAGCCTACCTGCCCCCGCAGCTCTCTCCCCCACCCTCCCTCTGTTCGTGTCTGTCTGTGGGCAACATGGCGTCAACTTCTGAATTCCCTTCATACTGTCAGCTCCGTGATCAAAGAACACACTGGAGTCAAACCTACTTGAATCCCAGCGCTGTGCCAGAGCTGACGAACAGTGGTAAATGAGAGTGACAGTCCCTCCCCAGCAGACAAAATGAGGTAATGCTGGCAAAAGGCATAAAGAAATGAAGGTAAGACAACAGTAAGAATGACAGTCAGTGTCCTTGCTGGGATGAAAGCACAGCAGATCAAAGTCACCTTTAAAGAAAGGCAGCTACAGGCCGGGTGCGGTGGCTCACGCCTGTAATCCCAGAACTTTGGGAGGCCGAGGCGGGCGGATCACGAGTTCAGGAAATCGAGACCATCCTGGCTAACACGGTGAAACCCCGTCTCTACTAAAAATACAAAAAATTAGCTGGGCGTGGTGGCGGGTGCCTGTAGTTCCAGTTACTTGGGAGGCTGAGGCAGGAGAATGGCGTGAACCCGGGAGGCGGAGCTTGCAGTGAGCCGAGACTGAGCCACTGCACTCCAGCCTGGGAGACAGAGCGAGACTCCATCTCAATAAATAAATAAATAAATAAATAAATAAATAAATAAATAAATAAATAAAGGCAGCTACAGCCGGTGCAGTGGCTCACGCCTGTAATCCCAGCACTTTGGGAAGCTGAGGCGGGTGGATCACCTGAGGTCAGGAGTTCAAGACAAGCCTGGCCAACATGGCGAAACCCCATCTCCACAAAAAGACAAAAATTAGCCAGGCATGGTGGCGTGTGCCTGTAATCCCAGCTATTCGGGAGGCTGAGGCACGAGAATCACTTGAATCGGGGAGGCAGAGGTTGCAGTGAGCCGAGATCACGACACTACACTTCAGCCTGGGTAACAGAGGGAGACTCCGTCTCAAAGAAAAAGAAAAAGAAAGGCAGCAGCTGCAGATAGAAACATTGACAAAAAATTATTCTGACAGCCTGCTGTCAGACAAGCTAGAAAAACTGTCTAAACTGGACACAAGCACATAAAAAGACATAGCAACCCGAGACCATGAAAGACCAACACAGCCATAGACCCTGAAGGGACCAGTGTGGCCACAGCAGACCCACAAGTACAATGGAGTTTATGACCAGCAGTTCTCTAACTGCCTTCCATAGTGGCGCATACACCACGCAGGATGCTGAGTCAAATGACAAGAATATATTTAGCTTGTTAAGAAACTGCTGACTTCTTTTCCAACCAGCAATGTAGGAAAATTCCAGCCCTTGGCTAGGATAACGCCTGTAAACCTAGCACTTTGGGAGGCCGAGGCGGGTGGATCACCTGAGGTCAGGAGGTCAGGAGGTCAGGAGTTCGAGACCAGCCTGGCCAACATGGTGAAACCCTATCTCCACTAAAAATACAAAAATTAGCTGGGTGTGGTGGTGCATGCCTGTAATCCCAGCTATTCGGGAGGCTGAGGTGGGAGAATCACTTGAACTCAGGAGGCAAAGGTTGCAGTGAGCTAAGATCACACCACTGCACTCCAGCCTGGGCAACAAAGCAAGACTCTGTCTCAAAAAAAAAAAAAAAAAAAAAAAAAGAAAAGAAAAGAAAAGAAAATTCCAGTCCTTCCACATCCTCGTCAACACTTAGTGTTGTCTATCTTTTTAATTTTAGCCATTCTGGCAAGCATAGTGGTATCTCATTGTGCTTTTAATATTCATTTCCCTGATGATTAACGATGCTGAACAACTTTACATGAATCGTTTATAACTAATTAGCTATCCATATGTCTTTTTTGGTAGAATGTCTTTTCAAATCCTTTGCCCATTTTAAATATGGGTTATTTGTCTTTTTATTATTGAATAGTAAAAGTTATTTATATATTAGATACAAAAGTCCTTTACAGATATGTGCATTCAAATATGTTCCCCCACTCTGTGTCTTGTCTTTTGGTTTTCTTAACCATGTCAGCAGTCCTTTTTTTTTTTTTCCAAAAAGTTCCTTCATGCCCCTTTTTAATCAGTCCCCTTTCTCCACCTCCTATGTGTTTACCTTTTCTGGAATGTAAATATCATGTAAATGGAGTCATACATTTTGTAGCCTTATAAGCCCAGCTTCATTCATTCATCATAATACCTTTCATATTCATCTGAGTTGTGGGTATCAGCCCTTCATTCCTCTCTAACATTGAGTAGTTCCAGTAGGAATTCCATCATATGGCTGTGGCACGGTTTCTTTACCCATCCATCAGCTGATGGATATTTGGGTTGTTTCCAGTTTTTTGCGATTATAAATAAAGCCACTGTAAACATCCACATATATGTTTTTGTGCACATATGTTTTCATTTCCTTTGGGTAAGTACATAGAAGTGGGATGCTAGGTGTTATGGTAGATGTATATTTAACTTTATAAGAAACTGCCAGGCCAGGCATAATGGCTCATACCTGTAATCCCAGCACTTTGGGAGGCCAAGGCAGGAGAATTGCTTGAGGCCAGGAGTTCAGGACCAGCCTGGGCAACATGGCAAAACCCTGTCTCTACAAAAAATACACACACACACACACACACACACAATTAGCCAGGTGCAGTGGTGCACGCCTGTAGTCTCAGGTACTTGGGGGGCTGAGGAGGAAGGATTCCATGAGCCCCGGAGGTCATGGCTGCAAAAAGAAAAAAAAAAAGTACCAAACTACTTCCCAAAGTGGCTGCATCATTCAGCCTTCCCATCCACAATGTAGGTGAGGTCCAGTGGCTCTGCGTACTCACAGCACTTGATAATGTCAGGGTTTTTGTTTCCATTTTTAAGCTATGATCTATCTTGGTGACTAGTCCACATATGCTCTAAAAGGAAGTGTGTTCTGCTGCTGTTGGGTGGAATGACACTTAAAATGTTCCTTAAACCAAGTTGGTTGATAACATTGATCAGGTCTTTTACATCTTTACTGATTTTCTTTCTACATTTATCAATCCAGGGATGTTGAAATTTCCAACTGTATTGTTAGATTTGTCTATTTCTCCTTCCAGTTCAGTTGTTTTTGTTTCAAGTATTTTGAATCTCTGTTATTTATATGCATACATTTAGGAATGTTATGTCTCCTTGTGAATTGACCCCTTCATCATTATAGAATTTCTCTTTTTAACTCTGATAATATTTCTTGTTTTTAATCCTCCTTGATTAATACAGCCACTCTGGGCCTACTTTTGATTAGTGTTTGCATAGTATATCTTCTTCCATCATTGAATTTATATCTTCATAGTTACTGTGGGTTTCTTGAAGATAGCATATAGTTGGGTCTTGTTTTTATATCCAATTTGATCATGTCTGTCTTTTATAATTGGAGTGTTCTGAGTATTTGTATTTAATGTTACTGATATGGTTGGATTTATAGCTACCCTCTTGCTAATGGTATAAAGCATTTTAATGACTCCATTTCATTTCCACTGTCAACTCATAAATTAGACCTCTTGTTTAATTTTACTTTTACAAAATTGCATTTTTAATTACATAGTCTTCCTTCAAATAATATTATGCCACTTTCATACAATGTAGGAAATAATAGATTTCCATTTTGCCCTCTCATTCTTCCTTCCTCTGTGGTCATACCTTTCACTTATTATACATCCCACTACACATTGCTATTGTTTATGTTTTAAACAGCCAAATCTGTTTTAAATTAATTTAAAAATGAAAAGGCATATTTACGTACTTATTTGTTATTCTTTCCTTTCTTTTGTAGATCTAAATTTCTATCTGGCATCATTTTCTTTCTGCTCTAAGAACTTCCTTTAATGTTTCTTGTGGTGCCAGGTTTCTTCTGATGGATTCTATCACCTTTTTTTTTTTCTTGTCAAAAAGTCATTATTTGGCTCTCACCTGAAAAATATCTTTGACAGGTATAGAATTCTAGGTTGACAAGTTTTTTTCTTTCAGAACTTTGACAATGTCATTCCACTGTCTCCTGGCTTACATTTTCCCTCTGGCTATATAAAAATTTTTCTCTTCATCACTGGTTTTCAGTAATTCAAATATGATATATGTTGCTGTGCGGCGTGGTGTGTGTGTGTGAATCTTGTTTGTGGCTAGTTGAGGCTCTTGGATCTTAGGATTTATAGCATTCAACAAATTTGGAAAATATTCAATCATTATTTCTTCTCATTTCTTTTCCTGCCCTCTCCCCCTACTTCTCACCTTGAGACTCAAACTACACATGCTTGATACTGTCCCACAGGTCACTGAAAGTCTATTCATTTTTTTTGTCTTGTTTTTTCTGTTTCATTTTGGATCATTTCTATTGCTATGTCTTAACATTCACTTCTCATTTCACCCTATTTCCAAATCTGCTGTTAATCCCATTATATTTTTCATTTCTGATATTGTAGTTTTCATCTCTAGAAATTCCATTTGGTGCTTTTTATCTCCTAAATTCCTCTCTTCACTATGTTCATGTTTTAAGAATAATTGAATACGCATTTAATAGTTGTTTTAATGTCCTTGTTTGCTAATTCTATCATCCTTGTCATTTCTGAGACTGTTTCTCTTGACTGATTGTCTCACATTGTTCAACTTAACATATTGAGTAATTTTTGTTTGGATGCTGAACATTATGATAATTACATTACACATCCCACTACACATTGCTATTGTTTCTGTTTTAAATGGCCAGATCTATTTTAAATTAATTTAAAATTTAAAAATAGCATATTTACATGCATATTTGTTATTGTTATTCTTTCATTTCTTTTGTAGATCTAAATTTCTATCTGGCATCATTTTCTTTCCGCTCTAAGAACATTTAGACACTTCAATGTTGAGTGTCTAAAATTTTGTTGTCTTCCTTCCAAAGTGTTGGGCTTTGCTTTGGTAGGCAGATAATTATAAAATAAAGACTTTGGGGGGCAAAAACTTTTTCAGACAAATCAAACTTGTGGTTCAGTTTGACTCTTTGGAGACTTGTTTATAATCTTGATTAGGGTGGGTCTAATGTAGCACTTACTGTAGGAATAATTTAGGCCCACTGCTAAGGTATGGCTCTTCTGGTTTCTCTAGTGAATGCTCTCATTGATCTATAAGGACTCCTCATTCTGGTTAATCTGAACTCAAATGCCTCTGTATCTTTTGCTTGGACCACACAAGTCTCCTAATTGATCGTGGCCCTGGCCCAGCTTTGTCTTTCTGTACTGCAGCCAGGGTGAGCCTTCAAACACCTAGGACTGGCCATTTCATCCCCCAGTTAAAAACCTTATGAGACTTCCTGTCACCACTCCGGGGAACAAAAAAGGCAGAGGGGACAGATACAATATTTGACCTTCATGATCTGTCTTATCTACCCCTCCACAACACGTCTCATACTTGATCATCCACCAGCATCAAGCAACTTGCAGCCTCCAAACTCCCATGTGACTGCAGACCTCTGTGCCTGCACCCAGGCTGTCCTTGCTGCACCACGAAACACAGATGTGCCTCCGAGGAAGTAGAGTGTGTGCTGGCATTTCCAAAACCATTTGGATTGAGAAAGGGTCAGACAAATGATGGGGGTTAGAATTTGCAACCAGAGAGCCCGAGACATCTTCTCTCCCCCTGGATCACTCCCCTGGTGTTCATGGGTCCGGAGTCATTTGCCCATCACTGGAGAAGACCTTCAGTCAGCAGTGTAGCCATGGGTCCTCATTTGGCCCCTGCCAGTACACAGTACACATCTGTGACTTGGCTATCCAGAGAAGTCTGACCCCCAGGAGCTGGTGTCGGGGCCTGGGAAACAGCATTTTGACAAGCACTCTGATTTTGATGTGTACCAAAGTGAGAGAACATCCATTCTCTCTGTTACAGGCAAGGACTCTGGAGCCAGGCCTGGCTTCTGGTGCCAGCTCTCAGGTCACCTTGCCCTTCCTGGCCTCAGGGCCTTACTCTGTACAATGGGATCATGCCTCCCTTGGAAGATGGTAAAGTATACAGCCCAGGTCCAGCAGGCGTTCAACCCAGCCCACCCCTCCCTCTTCCCTTTTGACTCTTCCCAAGGCACATCTGCTCTGGCCTCCAGGGCTGTCTCTTCCCTATCAGGGGCTAGCAGGGGCTTCCTTGCCAGCTCCCAGGAAGCAGTCGACAGCAGTCACTGCACAGACGCTTCATATATTCCGTGGGGCGGATGGGGTGTCTTGCTTTGTGGCGACACATGGACTGAGTTCACACAGCAATTTAAGGAAACCAGGTTGACAGTCCCGCTCTGATAATGCAAGCAAAGGCCTGATCTAGGAGGGGATTGTAGGTGGGCCAGCCCCATACCCTCTCCCTGTACCAGCGAGGAGCAGGAGAGCCGTTTAAGGCAGCGTGGGCCGTGTGCCCACACGCAGAACTGGAAACCCTCCCTGCCTGCCGTGCCCTGCTGCTGTTCCACTGCTTTGGAAAAAGCCATCCAATAAAATCAATATGACCTGTGGCAGGAGTTGACCTTCCCAGCCCTGGCGAAGGTTCCAGATGACTGGACAGGTTCCTGGCAAATCAGAATTTCTCCTGCACCCAGTGAGGGCAGGTTTGGAGGTGAAAAAGCCATAGACTACTGTGATCCCTTCAAAAAAATGAGGCGATGCGCTCAAGTGATGCCAGCTGTGAAGCAGACTTGAGGGGTGGCTGAACTGCTCTTCGTTGGAAGCCTCAGGGTTGTGAGCCACACAGATGGCCAGGAAGTTACGGGGTGGAGGGAGGGGACTTCATCACACAACCCCTGGACTCCAGGGAACTTTTCCTCAAAGCAAATGATAACTTAATGAGGTGAAAAACTTGGGCAGTTTTGAAACTCAAGCACAAGGGTCACCCCCACCCCCTCTCCTCCTCTCCCCACCCTCATTGAGCCAAGGGCACTTCCACGGGTCTATGAGCTTTACTGCCCAGTGGTTGATGCTTAATTCAGCCACTAGGGAGGGCTGGCCATGGGGGTTGAGGGGCCGTGGAGAACAGCGACAGAGGTGGATTTCACCTGAATGACGGCAGCGGCCGGCCACATGGCTGTGACTCAGGTCCAGTTTCTCCCTCTCCACCTCTTGCCTTGGATAAAGTCCATGTAGGTGACACCAGAGTGCTGACCTGGCTGCCATTTGAAGGCGCTGTGACCTGTGATGAGCCACTCAAACCGTAAGTCAACATTTATCTGTAAGGAGCCATATTCTGCACATCCAGAAAAGGTGAATTTTCCAGATGAGAAGGACCTTGAAGATTTTCTACTCTGGCAGTTTCCATCCTCACTGCTGAGTGCCACTTTTGTTCTTTTCCCCGCCAGCCCTCATGTTTTCAAAGATTGTGTTGCCCAAACTGCCTTTGTTAAGTAATAATTTGTTTTCCAATTGTTTAATTAATCAAAGACATAAATAACTGCCAACCTGAGCTTTTAATCAGTGTAGGGGGGAGAGAGGCCAAAAGCTGATACTTATTAAGCACCTGCCACGCACCAGCCGCTGCCCCCGCACCCTTCATGCTGTCCTCCCACAACCCCTCCGTGCCAGGACATGGAGGGACAGAGAAGCAGTTCTCCTTCGCCAAGGTCACACGGGCAGCCAGAGGCAAAGCCAGGACCAGCTCCTGAGTCTGCCCAATGGCAAAGGTCCACTCTTTCTACAGCTGGCTACCACCTCTTGTCTTGCCACCCTGGGGTGATGCAATTCCAGCCCAAGGCAAAGGAAAGGCATTTATATCCGCCTGAAATACTGAAAATGCCTCCTGTGTTGAGCCAAGACTCTTTCCACTGCAGATGACAGAAGCACGACTCAAACGGACTCAGATAAAACAAAGGATGTGGGGGCTGGTTGGCTCACATAACTGGAGTCCAAGGTGGGTCAAGCTTCAGGCATGGTTGGATCCGGGAGTTCACACAGAGCTGTGCACCCTCCCCTCTGTCCTGCTATCACTTGACTCTGCTTCTGCTTCTCTTTGCCCTGGTCTCCATTCTCCCCTGCTTCGGATTTCCCCCACCAAGTCCAGACATACATGCAGCTGCCTCCATGATAGCTAAGATGCATCTTTCACACAACATGGCCGCAACAGAACTCTTTGGCTTTCCCTGTCCCCAAACCTGTTTCTCCCCCACCTTCCTGCAGCCCAGGAGTAGAGCCACATCTCCCAGCTACTCAAGCCCCGTTTAGAGCGGTCCTTCTTTCTCCTCTTTCTCCCACAGCCACATTCAATCCAGCAGTAGGTCCTGCCGGCTCCACCTCCACACCAGATCCCCAACCCTCCTCTTCCCTCCAGCTCCTGGCTGCTCCACCCCTGATCTGGTCCCTCCATGACTGTGCCAGCCCCTCACCGTTCTCCTAGCTTCTACGCTCACCCCAACACCCTCCCTCCACTCAGCAGCCGGAGCAAGGATTTCAAAATGAAACACAAAATCTCTCACCTCAAACACAAAATCTCTCAAGGGGAAGGTCTAGACCTTCCCCTTGCTTTTCACTGCACTTAAAATAAAACTGAAACTCCTTCCTGTGGCCACAGGCCCCAGTGGTTGGACCCCTGCCCACCTTACCAGTGACTTTCCTTACCACTCCCCATCTTGCTCAACAGCCTCTATCTGCACTGGCCTTTCTGTCTCTCAAAATCTGTCGCCTCCTGTTAACCTCGGGGTCTTGGCACCAGCTTTCCCTCCCTAGCTCTTACTTCGCCTGGCTCCTTCTTGTCATTCATCTGAGTTCAAATGTCACATCCTTAGGAAGCCTGTCCTGACCACCCTGTCTAAAACTGTCTTCCAGCACATCAGCCTATCGCCCCCAAGTACTTAGCACAGTGTGTCGTTATCTTATTTACTTCTTTGGCGCTTACTGCCTATCTTCCCCCATTAGGATGTAACCTCCAGGGGTCAGGGTGCCCGGCAGGTGGGCCAGCCCCTATACCCCAAGCTCAGGACCTGGGTCTCCCTACATAGCCCACAGCCATGTTGAGTGTTGAGCACATGGCCCTATTAGGCAAACGGGTGGTTTCTCTGCAGAGCCCCAAGGATCTCATCTCTTTCTGGTTATGTATAGAGATCTTGCCAACTCTGTTGCCCTGTGGTAGAATATTCTGGGAAGTCAGCATCTGGGGCCCCCAGGTGAATGGTGCTTAATACTGGACAGTGGTTTCTTTCCAGCCCCAGTGCAGCCAAAGACAGGTTCTCAGGGCCTCATCTGTGGGCACTGTGAAGACAAACACATTTCAGCCTCTGATTCTAAATAAACTAAATGTTTCTGAAGCCAGCACCTAAGGAAACTCATGCCGATGGAAGAATTAAGCCTCGTTAGAGATGTTCTTGCCAGTAATGTGGCAGCTGAACAGCAGCCTTTTATTGGTACTGTAGTCTCTACTCAGCCAAGCAGAGACAAAGAAGTGGGGCAGGATGGCTCCCCCAGCATGCCCTTGTCGAACCTCTGGCCCTCTGCTCTCACTGGTCCCCTGCTGGGATCCCTGGTCTCCAGCTTCCACAGTTTTATGTCCAAATCCCTTTTCCTGGGAAAAATGCCCTCAAGGACTCCCCAAAGGAGAGGAGCTTTCCCCGTTTCTTAGCTTCTAGAATTTCATTTTCTCAAAGACAAAAATCACTTTTCACCCAGAAGTCTGGTTGTGTATGGGAGGTAGTCTTATATTAGACTAGAAGCTCCCTGAAAACATCTAGTCTTGGGTCTGCCAAAGTCCTAGTATTGTGTACAGGGTACGGAAAGCCTGGATGGCTGCCTGCTTATATGTACAGATGATAGGTGTATGGATGGATGGATGGATGGATGGATGGATGGATGGATGGATGGATGGCAGACTGAATGAATAAACAGATGATTGTTTGAATAAGTGGTTGGATACGTAGTTGACTGGATGAATGGATGGTTGCTCACTGCCATTTTTAAAGCTGTTCTTGATGACAACAAAGGTAAAAGGGTAATTGAATCAGGTTAAAGCATTGTATCCCAAACCGATTTCCACAAAATCCCCTGCCTATAAGATGTACCTTAAAATAAGCACTCATCCTTAAGTACATTTGAGAAAGGCTACATACTTTAGCCTCCTTATGGGCTGGTCATAATGCTCATTAGCATGCTAGCCCTGAGAATTCCTTCAAAGAGGGAATGTGTTTGGCTCAAGGTATTTTGTTCAATGTTGGCTTCTTGTCTTCATAATGAGCTCATCACAGAGCATCCCTCATCCAAGCTCTTTTAAACTGGTTAATATTCCAAACAGGTGAATGAGATGGTGAAGACCCCAGGCTGGGCAGCTGGATGTCTGCTAAGTGGAGATCAGGGCTGGGCAAGAGGAAGGCACTGGCTTCTGCCCATCTTCCTCCTTCCCTGTACCAAGGCTGGCAGTGGGAGGTGGTTGTCTCACTTTCCTGAGCTTTCACGACCCAAGACTGAGTCATCCCACTTTATTTTCCCTTTGTTACATTGGCAAGCATTCAGATGGTGTTAGCTGTAGCTATGACACAATGCCGCAATGATAAAATACTACCTATTCTCCTTGGAACAAGAGGTCAGGAGGAATCTGATCATTTTTCCTGAAGAAATCATCTTACATTTCAAACTAAAGATTCTCCAACCTCTTCAATGACTACAGAATACAAAATTTTAAGATGCAAAGACTTAGAAATGGAAGGAGAAGTCTACCTGTTGGCCCCTTCCCTACTCCCCATGAAGGGGGAGAGGTGGGCTATATAGACCCTCTTGGGGCAAGGTCTACACTGTGGATCCTGTTGGGGACCATTCCTGGTGAAAAAGTGAAGCTGGCCTCCCAGCTCTTTCTGCCTCCCCTTCAGAATGTTTCCCCTGCTTCCATCCCTCCTGATGCAGGAACCTTCTGCTGACTTCTGGAATGCCCCAGAGGCCTCAGCACATGCCACCCTTTCTGTCTAGCACGCCTTCCCCACACTTGCAGGGCAGCCTCTGGGCCTCCTGTGGAGTCAGCTCAGCTGCCCTCCAAAGCACAGTACCTCTCACCACCCTTGTCTGCTTCCCTCTTTCTCTCATGGAGTGGATTCCAATCTGGAGTTGTTATATCTGTCTATTGCTTTCTCCTTGCAGACTACACAGTCACAGCGGACAGGCAGGGTTCACCATCCTCACCGGTCCCTGACACAGTGCCAGGCACATGGTGCATGCTTAGTAAAGATTCGCTGAACTAGTGACTCCCAAAGAGTGGCATTTTCAGGCATAATCGCAGGGCTATATGTTTTAAGTGGTGCCACCATCACCTCTCAGAAATCTACCAGCCCATAGTACCATCCAGGTCATTCATGAGGCTGGAGGAAGTCTTTGGAGTGATAACCTATCTTTCTTCTTTCCCTCCTTCTGACCAGCTGTGGAGCTGGTAGATCTGAACATTTATTCCAGAAAGAATCTTGCTTCTCTCCTGAGAAAGAAAATGCCTCTTGCAAGAGCCAAGATGAACAGCTAGAGCAGAATGCCACACTCGGGGCTTCCCTCTGAAATGCCCCAGCACGCAGCACGGGCTTCCAGTGACACTGTCCAGAGCCCACTGCATTACCCTAGGAAGAGAAGGGCCACGCTGGGTTGTGGCCTCAGGGCCTGTGGTTGCAGGTATTTTAGTTCTATGGTTTAGACGCTGAAGCCTCATCCCACTCCTGTGACCGATCCCCACTGCCCAGTGGGTGACGTCACACTTGGAGAAGCCTGCTCTGTAATCAGACCCTCTCGTGGGGCCGGCTGGAGACATTTCAGAATTCTCTCTTGCTGCTTCAAAGCCTTGGGGCTCCCCTCACCCCTTCCTTAATTAGAAAATAACAGAGGGAGGCAGTTACACAATTTCAACAGCATAATCCTTTTCTGCTTGTGGCTTTGCTCTCACTCCTTGGAGAATCCATTGTTAGCTTCCAAACACCCTAAAGCAATGAACAGTTCCCTAACTTCCAGTAAAATCCTGCCCCAGGAAAAGTCTACCTTGTGAGTGCCTGACAGACAGGGGTGGTGGAGGAGCTGTGAACCATGATGCTTCTTCCGGCTGCCTCTGCTTTCCGAACTAGCCCCACATCCTACCATCAGCCACTCTGCAAGTCAGATTGTTCTCTAGATACAAGGCCCCCAATCCCAACTCTGAGCCTTTGCACATACTGCTTCCATTCCCAGAATGAGCTTCCACCCTTAGTGAACTCAAGGACTCCTACACATCCACCAAAACCCAGCCTCAATATCCCCTTTCCAAGAAGCCTTCCCTGACTGCCCCAGCAGATTCTGGCATCCTTCTCTGGGCTTCCACAGCTCAATGTGTATAGCCCAAATTGTCCTCCAGCCCAGCAATGTGGCAAGATCATCTGTACAACCCCTGTATCAGGCCACATCTTAGGGGTTCCTGGAACATCATGGGCACCACCAGCTCCTACTCCCCTCTGGCCATGCACAGCATTTGGAGTTTTGGGGTTGAGACCTGAATTTGGCACTGATTCCCTGCCCAACTCTAGGCAAGCCAGTCCACTTCTTGGGCCCCTGAATTTTTTACCAGTAAAATGAGGGACATGAATCTGCCTCACAGGATTGTGATGGGGGTTGAGAGAAACTCTGAGTGTGGAAGTAAGGAAGAAGGGGCACCTTCACCTCTTTAATAATGAATCAAATAAGAGGCTAGTTATTCCTGCTATCTCTCCCTTTCTTCCTGTTCTCTTCCCATCTCCTCTGATCCTTTCCACTCCCTGCATCAAACAAATGGGTTCTGTGGGAAAATTTCACCAGTCCACCAAGAGAAGCACCGGTTTGAAATCCCCGAAGCCACATGGCTGTGAGGGTTGAGCCTCCCTCTGGGTGAGGCTCTGCTGGAGTTAGCAACAGAGTCCCTGCACCATTTCACCACTCTGTTAAGACCCAATCGATCTCTCCAGCAAAACCTCCTGCAACAGCAAAACTGTGGCAAACAGATTATAGGAGGATTAATCACCCCTGCCCCCGCACTCCCGCAGCATTTTGTACCTACCTCCTCTAAGTACCGTTAATCAAACGATGTACAGAGGGCCTCCTCCACCCCCAGGGTGACTTTGCTTTGTGCTGTAAGACACCACTCAGGCGTTACCTCTGGGGGAACCTCTGCCAGGCCCCCTCTCCTGGGCACCTGCTCAGGGCCAGCCAAGCTCCTCTGCAACCCCCATTGTCACACTGTCTCATTGGCCTTGTCTGTTAAGGTCTCTGTACTCCTGGGGGCGTAGGTGTCCAGGTATCAGGGTGCTGTGCTTGGAGACCGGTTTCACAGCTTCTCCAGGGCCACTTAGACCTACTCCAGAGACTTGTATTGGAAAATTCAAGTCCAGGAACACTGCGTTTCTTGAACCCCAGAGGCATTTACAGAAGAACTGAGCCTTCTGTGGAGAATATGAGATACTTCATTGACCCTCTCTGAGCCTCAGTTTCCTCATCTGCTCAGTCAGGGCCATGACTCTCTACCTCACAGGGTCCATATGAGCTGTTGTATGTAAGGCCCAAACATAGAGCCTGGCCCCTCTGAAAGCTCAAAAAATCCGAGGGAATCTTGTTGCTATTATCAAAACAAATGCACATCCAAGCTTTGCATGGGACAAAACAGGAGTCCCAGTGGGGGAAGAGAGAAAGCTATTCTATTCTGATGGATGAAATACAGTAGCATTCAACTATTACCATCATTTTAAGGGGGTGAGGGAGGGATAAAGAGCTAAAGATGTAGTTGCCCTTGGGGGGGAATTTCCACAGCTCAGCCCCTCACTAACACTTGAGTTGGATTCCCCTCCAGTGGAAGGTTATCAGCAGGGAGCCCGTGGCAGCGTTCACCCCATGTGACCAATGAGGAATCTGAAGACCAGAAAGGGCCTGCCCTGAAAGGGAATGGAACCCTGACGCAGGCCACAGCGCAGAAGGACCTTGAAAACACGGCGCTAAGTGAGAAAAGCCGGACGCAAAGCACTACATCCCCTATGAGTCCATTCAAAGGAAATGTCCAGAACAGGCAAATCTGTAGAGACAAAGCAGACAGAGACTGCTCAGGGCTAGAGGGAATGGGGGGATAGGGGATGATTGCTGAAGGGTATGGGGTTTCTTTTTTGAGGTGATGAAAATGTTCCAAAATGGACAGTGGTGACAGTTACACAACTCTGGGAATACACTAAGAAGTGTTGAGTTCTACACTTCAAATAGTTGCATTGTGTGGAACGTGGATTGTATCTCAATAAAGTCTTTTTAAAAAGAAAGATAGGCCGGGCGCAGTGGCTCACACCTGTAATCCCAGCACTCTGGGAGGCTGAGGTGGGCAGATCAGCTGAGGTCAGGAGTTTGAGACCAGCCTGGCCAATATGGTAAAACCCATCTCTACTAAAAATATAAAAATTAGCTGGGCGTGGTGGTGTGTGCCTATAATCCCAGCTACCCAGGAGGCTGAGGCAGGAGAATCACTTGAATCGAGGAGGCAGAGGTTGCAGTGAGCTGAGATCGAGCCACTGCACTTCAGCCTGGGCGACAGAGTGAGACTCTGCCTCAAACAAACAAACAAACAAACAAATAAATAAATAAATAAATAAATAAATAAATAGAGAAAAAAGAAAAGGAAGGGCATTCGCTCAAGTTCAAACAGGCAAAACGTCTCATAGGCAGGACTCAGCCCCAATCCGCCTATCCTCATTCATGCCCCCGGTGCCTGTCCTCCAGCTCCAGTCCTATTTCTTCAGCCCCCAGACTTCACAAACAACTCTCAGGTCTGAGCACTTGGAGAACCTCTATCCCGAGAACACAGCCTACCTCCCCATAGCTCTCACCCCACCGGGCCCTGTTTCCAAAAGTGTGAGTCAGTGATCCGTTTTCTGATCACATCCACAGTCCGAGGCTGTGAGTTTCCAATGGATGGTACATTCTAGAAGCTCCCCCCCCCTCGCCCAACTCTGTGAGCACCAGCTTATCTGATCTGGCGCAGACGACTATAAATAAACAGTTAGAGACTGCCCTGTCTGATGAGCCATTTTCTGAGATCATATGAACTTGCTTTTAAGTAGCAGCTTTTCACAGATCGGTTGCTATGAGGCACTTTATTAAAAACCACCCATTTGCAGCTAAAATCCAGCTCCAACCAAATCCAATTTTCGTATCTACTGCTTTTTTAGACATAATGATCAGGACATCGTTTCTGTTTCTATGGGGAAGAATGGATTCAAAGGGCTGTTTTTCTGTGTGTTTTCTCTTTCCTAACAAGCAAGTAGACCACGCATGTTTAAGGCGGCTGTGTGCCATGGCCCTGGAGACCTTCAATAGAGACCAAATATTTATGCTTTGTTAGCGCATACAGACTTCTCCGGTAATGTTGATTAGTGCTAGAGGCTTATCCAACCAAGGTCAGGGGCTTGTGCCCCCCTAAACCGGGCCCATTAGCTTCTCTTAGAAGTAAAGCTTCTGCTTCATTGCCGCCTGGCTGCAGCCCACACACCAGCCCCTCTCCCGCTAACAAATATTACTGATCATGCTGGAGATTGAATGGAAGACAATGATGGGCGGATGGTGCTGTGTACTGGGGCCAAAACAAAGAACATGCCCTTTTCATAATGGGTCCTCCCCAAGACCTTTGTATCATTCAGCCTTTTTAGAAGCCCAGAGACAACATGCATGGTGGTGAGAGGCAGGGACTCAGCATCCCCCAGGGTGGACTCTTGCTGGGCTCAGGCGGCCCCTGGCTGGGTGATGGCGGGTGTGGCTTTCAGAGCCTCCATGGCTTCATCTCCACTAAGGGTGAGAGCAGGCCTGTTTCAGAGGATTGGGGCAGGGGTGAACAAGGGAACAGGCACAGAGCACTCAGCACAGTGTTTGGCACAGAACAGACGCTCAATCCACAGCCGCCACATGGTGACGATAATGATTATTAATACATTTCCAAGGTGGCCTATGTTTATTGAGTGTCTTTTCAGCACTTCGTTTTTCAGTCATCAGTTGGTTGGATAATTTGCAATTCACTTTAAAATTCGTTAAGAGGGTAGATCTCATGTTGAGTGTTCTTATCATAATAAAATGAAAAAGAACTGATTGGAGTTGGAAGCTATTTCTTGGAAGCCTTCTGTTTATCAAATCTTCCCTCTGATCTTTCTCCCCCATCTCCTGGGTTTGAATACAGGCACACTCATTTAATAAATATTTGTAGAGACCTACTGTGCAACAAACCCTGCAGGGAAAGGGGAAATTCAAATGAGCAGGATCCAGACCATGCCCCGGGAGCCCCGGCAGCTACTCAAAGAATCAGACAGAAACCGAATCCCGAGACCAAATATATGTATAGCCAGAATGTACATTGAGCAGGTCCAGAGGAAGGGAAGGGGGGAAGGAAGGAGAGGCCCCTGCAGAAGAGCAAAGGCTTACACCATAGAGAAGAGTTGTCCATGGGGACAAGTGAGGGGATGGATGCATGGCAGGAGAAGCAAGCGACAAGAAGTCTGGGGGTGGAACTGGAGCTCAGATGTGAAACCTGGAGTTAGAGACCAGGGGGCCACTGTGATCTGCAAATGATGGGAGGGGATGCTCAGCCAGGTAGTGTGGGCCACGAGGGAAGAGCTAGGCAGGAGCTTCACGTGTAAGGGAACGAGGAGGAAGTACTAGGGAGGGCAGCATCCCGGCACAGGGATCCTTCCAGAGGGGACCCTAAACTCCATATGCAGAAGGTCAAGGGAGCTCTCCCTGCAGGCCTCATTGCCATATGCCAATTCCATTGCTCACTCTGTGTTTTGTAAGGGTGGCTTGTGCTAGTCCTGATGTTTTCCTGTAGGGAGCCCTTACGGTTCTCTACACCCCTTCCTACCAGACCAGCCCCAGCACCTGGGCCACTTACAACAACCTTCTCCCAGAAAGTGGCCTCTGGACTTCAGTGTTTGGGGGAGGGGGTTGGAGGGATGATAGCTCACTACTTAAAAAAATTAAAAGACACAGCAATTGGGCTGAAATAAAACTCTCACCTCTGCCAACAACATCAAAGTAGAGATTAAAGGCTGATTTTCAGATTTAAAGGCACTGTGCTGATGGCTTTGGGTGGGACCCTGTTTCTGCAGAATTACTGGTAATAGCAATTCTAGAAACAGGTTACAATAACAGCACTTACCAGAGATACACTATGTACTAAGGTCTCTGGATGATAAAGTGGATGGAAATAGCTCATTTCCATTCCCAAATTCACTAACAGAGAGAGCAGTTAGCCAGGGCAGACCATGGGTAATGATGCTCGGTTGTCTGTGAATTAATTTCTGGACAGTACTGCCAGGAGCTAATGCATTTTTCAGTGAAGAGGAGTTTCAAGAAATCTTAATGCTAGTGTGGATTGGTTAATCATTATATTTACATCATCTTGGTGGGGTGAGGGGCCAGCTGGGGTTAATGGACATTTTGGAAGATGTGAGAACGCAGCCTTGGCAGGACAGAGATAGGAAGCCATCCATTCCACCCCGGGGCTGAGAAACTCTGCCTGTCCTCTGGACTGCTGAATTGCTGTGCGGTCATTTCGGAATTAAAGATGGATCTACTTTCTGATTAGCAGAGTTCAGCTTCTTTTGTGAAACTTCTCAAACAGTTTTATTCCCTGGTTACCTTCACATTTATTCTCGAATCTCTATTTCGTGGAGAGGTTGGTGTCAGGGCAGAATTGATCCAGCAGCTTACTGTTAACGTGATTTATCAATAGCAGTGTGAGATCGTATACAAATGTGGCTTAGCATTTTGATGTCTTGGCCATGCTTGATGATAAGGTATGCATTACTATAAAAATAAACTTACTGTGGCTCCTGAATGCCTTTGTTTTCCTTTTGCCTGCACAGCATTCCCGGGAAATGATTAATAAGATGTTTCATTTAAGTACCAAGCAATCCAGAAACCGAGCAGGAACACAGGCACCTGGATGCAGGAAAGCTTGAAATTAACAGGCAGCCATAGAAAGTATAAGATTAATTTCATTTCCTTTTCTTATCTTATGCTCTCTTTTATGTCTTTCCCTATGTAAAGGGGGAGATTAATCCAGGAATGATCTTTTTGTTGGCAATTTTATATTATGTTTGACTACTTAATAGAAATCTGAGCTACAGCGAGGCAGGATGCAGAAAGCGTATCCCGAAGGAGGAGAGGGAGAAGTCATTTTGAGCACAGGAGGCAGATTTCACAGCCAGTGTCAAAGCTGGGAGCAGGAAGAGTAAAGCAAACACCACGAGGCATTCATTCATTCATTCATCTATTCATTCATTCCACAGATATTTTCCCATAACGGCCACAGAGCCAGGCTGGGGAGCCTCCGTCATCCAGCCTGCTCCTTTGGGCTGCACCTGATCAAGTTTTTAGGGTGATTTGGAACCAAAATGAAATTCAGTACAATTCAGAACATATTTATTGAGCAGCAGCCATATGTTCAGCATCATCCCGGCTGCGTGGGGAATATCAAAAGGGGGGAGACATGGTGGCTGTCACCAAGGATCTCGCATCTAATTGGGGAGATAAGATACACACACAATACAAGGCAATTATGGTAAGAGCGTACATTTAAATACCACTCTCCTGTTTACCCACATTTCATATCAGCCTCTCTACATTGTTGGAGCCTCTCAACAACTTGGGGAGGGAGGGGGGCAGATATGATAAGTCTCATTTTGTAACTGAGGGATCCGAGGCTCAGCGGGGTCGGGAGGCTTGCCTCAAATCACCCAGCCATAAACAACAGCCCCGGACGTCAGCCAGGGTCGCAGGCTCCCAGCCTGTGGTGTGTTTCAACTAATCAGTTACACTGATTAAATGCCCGGTGGGGGTGGGTGGGGGGCAGCTGCCGGGGCTGGAGAGCTGGCCCTAGCCAGGCCTCCAGCGGCTCCTTTCTGGGGAAGTACAGGTCATGTCAGCCTTGCTTTGAATCCTGCCCCAGTTTTCCACCAAGGAGCCCGATGGCAGCAATGAAGGAGAGCCCCCTTCTCTTATCACCCTACTCCTGTAAGAATCCTATTCCACCTAGAGGGAAAAGAATAGGCAGTGAGTCCACTCAGGTCATCTTGAAGGCAACCCAGGGAATACGTGGCTGACTCAAGAACCCTGGACGTCACAGATTGGTGCCGATCACATGCAGACCACCATTTTACCATCAGGGCAAGCATCAATTTTAGGGTACCATGTTAACAAGGGCACAGATGATGCCAGAACCCAGCTGTCCCCAAAATCCTGGCACAGGGCAGAGCAAGCTGGGGCACACCGTGGGCACTACAGTTGAGAACCTGAAGGAATGAGCCAGGCCCGCCCTGGCTCTCCAAAGGGTGGCCTTCTCGGGCGCTCAGCCTGATTTTGCTCAATTTCTCCTCCTGCCTCTTGTGCTAAGTTAGAAGGACAGATGACATCATTCCTCCTCAGGCCCATTAACCACATGGATCGATGGCAAGAAATAAAATTTGGATTCTTCAAAAATCTCCACAGCAGATGGCCCCAGGAGACCAATTGCAACGAGATTCCTAATTAAATATAATTAAATAAGCATTAAGAGAGAGACTGATGCTCCCCTCTCCACATTACACCACTCTGTGCCAAAGAGTACAAAATTGAGAACGCCATTGTCCGCAAAAAAGCCACAAAGATCATTCAACTCCAGCCTCTGATGACCGAGCTGGGAAAACTGAGACCGGAGGGGCTACAAATTCAGCCAAGGTCTGCAGGATGTGGGGCTGACGACAAAAAGCTGACTGAGAAACTGACTCATGCACAAGTGCCCATTCTGGGGTCATGTTGTTAGCATCTAAAAGGCCCGGACACTTGCATGCTGGGCGGCCTTGGGCATGATCCTTTAGTCTCTGGGCCTCTTTTTCTTTCTTTCTTTCTTTCTTTTTTTTTTTTTTTAACTGAGTCTCACTCTGTCACCCACGCTGGAGTGCAGTGACGTGATCTTGGCTCACTGCAACCTCCGCCTCCCAGGTTCAAGCAATTCTCCTGACTCAGCCTCCTAAGTAGCATGCCACCACGCCCGCTAATTTTTGCCTTTTTAGTAGAGATGGGGTTTCATCATGTTGTCCAGGCTGGTCTCAAACTCCTGACCTCAGGTGATCCGCCCACTTTGGCCTCCCAGAGTGCTGGGATTACAGGTCTGTGTGTCTTTTCTTCTTCTAAGATCAGTGCCTTAGAAGTATGATGTGAATCACATCCATAATTTTTTATTTCCTAGCCACATTTTCAAAAAGTAAAAACAAATGGGTACACAATCAAAAGAATACAATTTTCGTTATACATTTTATATCACCCAAATCCCAGCATGTAATCAATATAAAAGTTATTGAGTACTTAACACTTTTTTTTTTCACCTCAAGTCTGAAATCTGGTGAATGTTTGACATTTACAACTTGTCTCTGTATGGACTGGCCACATTTCAAACGCAGTAACGAATGGTGACCATATTGGCCAGTGCGGGTCCAGAAGATGGGCCTGAGATAGTCTCTCACAGGTTGTTGTGAGTTGGGTTTTGTTTTTGTTTGTTTGTTTGTTTTTAAATAAACATGATGTGGCTGGGCATGGTAGCTCAGGCCTATAATCCCAGCACTTTGGAAGGCCAAGGTGGGTGGCTTGCTTGAGCCTAGGAGTTCAAGACCAGCCTGGGCAACATGGGGAGACCACATCTCTACAAAACTACAAAAAATACAAAAGAATTTAGCCAGGCGTGGTGGCATGTGCCTGTGGTCCCAGCTACCCGGGAGGCTGAGGTGGGAAGATTGCTTGAGCCCTTTCAAAGGCAGAGGCTGCAGTGAGTGGTGATTGCACCACCGCACTCCAGCCTGGGCAACAGAGTGAGAGTCTGTCTCAAAAAAAATAATAAAATAAAATAAACAATTAAGAAGATAAACATGATGTGAAATGTGCTTAGCAGCATCCTCACGTCTCATTAGCACCCAGTGAATATTAGCTACGATGATTATCAGAAAGCCAGTGTCCACACAGTTCATCCAGAAAGCACGACAGTCCATGGCTCCTATTTACCAAATCTTCTCTTTCAATTCCCTTCCACAGACACAACCCCTAACAGAACAACTGTGGGGGGAGGGATTTCTTTAGTCTCTGGGTAAAGCTATCAAAAACAAATGGCGGCTTCTCGAGCTCGCCCTTAAAGCAATCGGTGGATCCCAAGATTAAAATTCAACTGCAGCCAAATTGTGTTATAAACGGCTTCACTCCACCTGGGGTCTGGACGCCAGGCAGATGTAATCCCCTCTCCTGGGCATACACTGATGGAAACCCCGCCTCACTGCACCAGCCAAAGCCTTTAAATCAGCCGTTATTCCCGGCCTGACATGAGAGTTACAACAGGGTTTTACAGGCCCTCTGCAGGGCTCTCTAAATTTTGTGGCCGTAGCTTCCTATGGCTAGCAATCCAAATAAAAATAGTGCTATTGATCACAAAGGCATCAATAACGTCAGCCCTAAAGCTACCTGTGCACATTTCTAATTGTCCTGTCCTTTTTATGTCTTTAAATATTACCATAAGCTCTGAGAGATTCGCTACCTCTGATTGGGAAGAAGGAAATCACCCCCTCCGCTCAGTCCCAGGCATTGGAAAGCAGTGGGGAGGAAAACTCACGCGCTAGGAATAACTGTGAAGTCCCTTTTTGTAAAAAAGAAAATAAAACACTGGCTCCCATGTTGAGCTTGGCATTATAGTTCGTCAGGAAATGCCGCCCAATTATGCCTAATTTCTCATTGTTTTTCCGACCGGTTTGCGTCCCAGCAATTACGCCTCGTTCGCAGTAAGAGAAAAGTAAAATGCCCAGCTGGTAGACTGATCAGAAAGCCGACAGCCAATAAATTAATCAAGAAATAAGGAATGAATGCTGTGTTTGATGTTTGCAAATCACACATGTGGCTCTCCAGATGCTTGGACTTAATTTTTACCACCACAAAAACCAAGAAAGAGGAAACTGGGAGTGACTCCAGCAGCTAAGCAAACCCTCCCCAGCAAAGCAACTGTTCAGCTACCTCTGGAATCTTCTCACCTTCAGCATACTGCCAAGAAAAAAGAGCACCCCCACCCACCCACAAACCCCCAAGAGCCTTAGGCATGAACCTTTCTGGGGTCCACGCAAGTGTGTGCAATGTGGAAGAAAATTATGGGCTCCAAAATTCAACAAGAAAGCCACAAAATCAAAATTAATAAATGCTTCATTAAACGCCTGCCAACTATAGCAGTGCAGCCTCCTCACTGCTTGCTGGGTGCTGTATTGATGATGTCGTCGTCATAAAAACTGCATTACGTTTGAGAAAACCATTGCAAGAATGCCTAAGGATGCCTATTGGTTGTGGGGCAAATCACAGGTAATTGCAACTTTGATGAATTACCTGCTGCTAGATAATTTAAGAAGCAAAATCATTAAACTCCTTTCAAATATTTTTACTGCAAACAAACTATAGTTAGTGTGGGCGTATTTTAATTCGTTTGATACGATGGGGAACAAGGCTGCCAAATAAAACACCCCCCTGGACCTAACAAGAGGCCAAGGTGTGTGCAGGCTTAGGCCGCTCTTCAGGTGCCCCCCGGGGCTGGGGGCCCGCTCCCTCAAACAGGTAGCTCAGGAAGCCCTAGCCATCTGCAGGGATCCGGTGGCTGTGTTCCAGTAAAGGCCAGCAAAACATGTCCAGTCTCCAAAGGGGACGGACACCATCATCTTTGGCATTCATGTCACGCTTCAAAGGCCAGAGTCCCCCGCTCCCCCTCCTGCAATGAGCCACCCGTTTCTGCCGCTGCTCTCCTGCGTGTCCACGGCTGAGGGTGCGAGCTGGTAATTACATGCTCGCTTAGGCAGGGACGCTTCCAAGCAGCGCTGGAGAGCTGATTAACCACCTGGTTTGTGGGCACAATTCAAAGGGGCACCTGGGAGGCAGGCCACAGTGACTCGTAGCACGGTTGCCAGGCGGATGTGTGCACAAGGGAAAAAAATGCTCCCGTGTCAGGACAGCTCCATGCTCTGCCTTCCCAAGGTCTCACCCACTCAGCCAAAGACCCTGGCACTTTGAAGGTTCCCTGTGGACATGAAGGCACCCTGGAAAGGGCTGTGGGACCAACAGCTCCATGAATTGCCACCAGGGTGATTTTGCGCCCTCTCACCCAGAAGCATTTGGCAATGTCTGAAGACATTTTTGGTTGTTGCAATGGGAGAAGGGGCTGCTCACAGAATCCAGTGGGTGGGAGCAGGAAGGCTACTAAACCTCCCGTGATACACAGGTCAGTCCCCACCACCCCAGTGACTCAGCCCCAAAGATCCGTCCCCACCACCCCAGTGACTCAGCCCCAAAGATCCGTCCCCACCACCCCAGTGACTCAGCCCCAAAGATCCGTCCCCACCACCCCAGTGACTCAGCCCCAAAGATCCGTCCCCACCACCCCAGTGACTCAGCCCCAAAGATCCGTCCCCACCACCCCAGTGACTCAGCCCCAAAGATCTGTCCCCACCACCCCAGTGACTCAGCCCCAAAGATCTGTCCCCACCACCCCAGTGACTCAGCCCCAAATGTCAGTCGCACATCAGTTGAGAAACTCTGACTTAGAGAACCATCCAGACCCAAGCGGCCTGCCTCTTGAAGAGTCTTTCCTGGGGACTGCTTACAACTCAGGAGGGCAGGAGAACTGAAGGTGGGGGCCCTGACAGTACACCCAGGTCTCCAGGCTGGAGGAGAAACTGTGTGGGGTCTCTTGGGTTAGAGAAAACCTCCTTTTTTTTGGCAGCCCTTGGAGCTGGATGTATTTTTGATGGAATCAGACCTCAAATGAGGTTGTGAATCACCAACTTCAAGAAGAAAGAGCTCTCCCGTTATGCCCATAAGTTAAAGACGAGGCACCTTAGTGCTCTCCTCAGGAGCCTCAAACCTCCAGCGATGGGTTCCCTGTCTTTTCTCTCTGTGAGCAACATTCCGTCCTTTCATGTAGATTTCCCTTTTAAGGAGAGTTGGTTCTGTCTGGGGCCAGTTTAGATTATTTTTTCAAATAAAAGAACATCAGAAAAGATTAATCATAGCCCGAAATGGAAAGGGACGAAGCTGCAGCCTGTCGTGACCTTCTCGTTTGCTTCGTGATAGCCTGCCTAGCCTTGGATGGAGGCCGGGGCTGGAGTGGGTGGTGATTTTTTCCAAGTGGCCCTCAGCTCTGAACCTCACTCACTGCAGTGGCTGTGATAACTTCTTGGATTTATGAATAAAGTGGCAACCTTAAAAATATTCGTTTGGAGTTTCACAATGGAAGTAGTGATGATCAACACATTCAGCCACTGTGTGATCAGATATAATTTGGGGGCTGTTGGTGGAATTGCCTTGTGTTGGCAAAGGTATGAGATTAGCACTCTGAAAAAACAATAACTAATTCCCGTGTTCCTAGGAGCAGGGTAGATATTAACTCTATTTTCCAGGAGATGAAACTAACATAGAAAGGTTAGGCAAGCTTTGCCCTGCTCCACAGAGAACTGGCCCTGGAGTGGAAATTAGGACCCCAATGTTGCGGGCACCAAACAAGGGATCAAACCTTCATCCACATGACAAATTACAGCTTGAAAAATCCCTTCATCGGTGCTCAGGCCTGACAGCACCCCATAACCACTGATTCGAATGGAAATAAGGATGGAGAAGAGAGGAGAGGGCTGCAGAGGAGAAGGTGGGAGTGGGGAGGGCCCGGATTCCCAGCAGGCATGAGAGTGTGTGAGCTGCACTGAGAATTTCCCCTGATGCGAACCTCCAGCTTTTTTCTAGTTCCAAACACCCTCCTTGTAAATAGGAGGATCTGAGAAACATCTCTGGAAGCAAAGCCCCATCAGCCAATTCCAGGGCTTACAGCTCGGCTGCAAGATGCAAGGAAGAGCCACGATGGATGATTCTTAATGGTGGGAGAGGAGTTCTGAAAAATGACCCTTTGCTTTCTTTCATAACTTTTCAGGAAACGCTGCACAATTATCCTTCTCTTTCCTTGCTTAAAAGTTGAACTGAGCCATTAACCTCAGCAAACGAACACAGGAACAGAAAACCAAATGCCGGATGTTCTCACTTGTAAGTGGGAGCTGAACAATGAGAACACATGGACACAGGGAGGGGAACAACACACACTGGGGCCTGTGTAGGGGGATAGTGGGGGAAAGCATCATGATAAATAGCTAATGCATGTGGGGTTTAATACCTAGGTGATGGGCTGATGGGGGCAGCAAACCACCATGGCACACGTTTACCCATGTAACAAACCTGCACATCCTGCACATGGATCCCGAAATGTAAAATTAAAAAAAAAATTGAACTGAAATTAATTTTTTAAAAAACGAGCTAGTTGTAAAAGAAAACCATAATGTCCCACCAGTGGGTAATTTCTTCTTGATTAAAGATGGGGGCTGTTGATAAAGCTGATGCCCACTAACTTCATAACAAATGGAGATCCATGTCTCATGCTCTTTTATGACTTGAGCCTCGTCTGGATGGGTTTTCCGTGCAAGGAGGGAACATTTTAGGATGTGATTTTTCTTGTAAGAAAGTGGAACAAAGTAAACAGGAGTGGGATCACTGGGAATTGGGGGATGGGGGTGGGTACCGTGGATGAAGGTGGGTACCATGGTGGATCAGGCTGGCAAACCCCAAAACCTCTGAGGAAGCTTAACAGACAAACAGACATCACGTGGAATGAGGCAGTACAAGTATACAATGACAACTCTGATGAATTCTTGCCAAAAAAGTCAAATATGAACATCATCAAACTTCTAGATCTTACTGAGAGCTAGCTACAGGTTTGCAGGACACACAGGGGACAGAGGAACATATCAGAAGACACCATCCCATCAGCAAAATCAAGATTATGGCAAAGGCTACAGGATGGGTGATATGGTTTCCAATAGAAAAATAAGAAAATAAAAAAGGGAATGGAGATTCACTAAAGATTTCCAAAACCAAATCAACCAAATGCAATGTGTGGATCTTCTTTGGATCTTAATTTAAACAAAGCATTTATGAGGCCATCAATGGAATTGCAACATTGACTGGGTATTATATGATATTTTAAAATGACTGTCCATTTTTGAGGCACAGTAATGGTATTACATTGTAGTGAATGACTTGTGAATGAAATGATAGGATGTGTTCACTTTAAAATAGAGGTGGGGAGAGAATATGGGAATTCAGTGAAACAAGATTGGCATGTTGATAACGGTTTAAGCTGGGAGATGGTTACATGAGAGTTTACTATATGATTCTATTTTTTATAGACTCAAAAATTTCTGCAATGAAATATGGGAATTTGATGAAACAAGATTGGCATGTTGATAACTGTGGAAGCTGGGAGATGGGTATATAAATTTCTGCGGTGAATAATTAAAAGAAGAAAAGGTATCTAGAGATGGCAGGATAAAGAGACCAGCATCTATTTTCCAATGATTGACTGCTATAGACACCAAACTTCTCAAATGTCTGCAAGGGGCAAGTGACAGAAACAGGGATAGAGCAGTCAACAGTTCCAATAGGGCCCTGCCCTTGTGAAATTCAGCCTGGTGGGAGACATAGACGATAATCAAATAGTCACACAAACACATGACTGCACAATGGTGTGTGTTAGAAAGGTGAAATAGACAAAGCACACAATAGCATGGCCTAACTCAGTTTGGGGTTCAGGCAAATTGTCATTAGTCATTGGTGCAACCCTCCAAATATCTCAGTTCTCTCTCCTTCTGAGTACAAGATGCGACTGAACTTCCTGGCCCCTGTGGTCAATGTGGCCTGTGACTAGTTCTGGCGAGAGTGGGAGACACATAAGAGTCATTCCTGGTGAGCCTTAATCCCCTGTGTGAAACCTACCAGAGCCTTTTTTCCCTCTACCACTGCCTATTGACAGTCCAGGTAGTGGCTGGTCCATGGACAAGGTTCTGGAGCAAAGATTCAAAAGTATCATGGTGGCAGATCCCCTAGCCACCCAACAGGGAACATGTGGCAGAAAATATGTTCTGATGGTTTAAAGCCACTGCAAGTTTGAGGTTGTTCATTACTGCAAGTCAACTAAGCTTGTGCTGACTGATACAGAGGGCTTCCCTGAAGACATGATTTTGGAGCTGAGACTTAGAGGGTAGGTAGGAATTAGCCAAGGGTGATTAGAATCATAGGTGATGAAAGGAAAGGACATTTCCAAAAGCAGAACCTCAGTGAACATAAACGATGATAAAAAAATATTCACGCTCACCCCGCCTTGCCATGTGCTCAGCACTCTTCTAAGGACTTCACATTAACTCCTCACAACTCTTGAGGGGGGATTATTATTATTGTCAGCACCATTCGACACTTGAGCGGTGAGACCGGGCAGTGTGGCTCCAGAGTCTGTGCCCTTAGCTCTGAGTCACACTGCCCTGTGTCAGATTCCAGGACAAGGAGAAGGACACTCTAGAGGCTCTAGTATAGCTGAAGGAGAAGCCACAGAATGGGGTGGCCCAAAGACAGGCCAGAGAACTCAAAGGCCTGAGTACCAGAACCTCTCAAAGATGCTGACCTATGAAGACGGGGATGCCAGGAGAGTGACAAGATCAGATTCCTGAACAGATTCTCTTTCATAACTAAATCACATACAAATGACAGAGGAGTCATATCCAGACCTGTAAGGTATTACAAGTCCAGAGAGAATACAAACACACCTATATAAAAATGGGCAAAAGACTTGAACAGGCACACTTCATAAAAAGATGTCCAAATAATCAATAAGCACATGAAAAGAGGCTCAACCTAATTAGCCATCAGATAAATGCAAATTAAAAGCACAGTAAAATACTCTACACACTCAGAGAATGGAAAAACTAAAGAAACAAAAATAAAACAAACAGAAGACCCCCAGACAATGGCACATAATCCAAGGGTATAGAACAGCTAGAATTCTCATACACTGCAGCTGGGAATGTGGACTAGGACCACTGCTTTGGAAAACTGGTGGTATCTATAGAAACTGAACCTATGTATACTCCATAACACAGAAAATCTGCTTCTGTCCAACAGCGGTGTATACGTGGACAGGAATGTTCATACATGTGCTGTTTGTAGTAGCCCCCAAAAAGGAAACAACTCAAATATCCATCAACAGCAAAATAGATAAATAAATTATAGCATATTCATAAATAGAATATTGTACAACAAAAATAACAACAGAGCTATACCCACACACAACTACATGGTTGTGTCTCACTTTAAAAAGTTATGCAAAAGGAGCAAGACGCAACAGAATATAATCTGAGTTACTCCATTGAAAGACAATTCAAATGCAGGTAAAATGAAATAATAATGTGAGATGTCAAAACAGTGGTTCTCTTGCTGGGGGTGAGGGGGACACAGTTTCTGAGATGGGACAAGGAAGCAACTTCTTGATCTGGGTTGAGGTTCCATAGAAGTGTGCTATATGACCATTTTATTTTAAAAATTGTTATAGCTTTAGGGGATACAACTGCAGTCATTACCTCCATATACTGCATGGCAGTGAAGTCTGGGCTTTCAGTGTACCCAAATCATCCGAAGAGTGCACTTTGTACCCCACAGGTAACTTGTCAACACTCAACCCTCTCCCACTGATATGGTTTGGCTGTGTCCCCACCCAAATCTCATCTTGAATTGTAGCCCACATAATCCGCATGTGTCATGGGAGGAACCCGGTGGGAGGTGATTGAATCATGGTGGTGGATTTTTCCCCTTCTTGTGACAGTGAATAAGTCTCACTCAATCTGAAGGCTCTATAAAGGGCAGTTCCCCTGCACATGCCCTCTTGCCTGCTGCCATGTAAGACCTCCCTTTGCTCCTCCTTTGCCTTCTGCCATGATTGTGAGGCCTCTCCAGCCATGTGGAACTGTAAGCCCATTAAGCCTCTTTTTCTTTATAAATTACTCAGTCTCTGGTACTTCTTTATTAGCAGAGTGAGAACAGACTAATACACCCACCCTCCCACCTGCTGGAGTCTATAGTGTCTATTACCCTCCTCTGTATGCCCATGTGTACCCACTGTTTAGCCCCCACTTATAGGTGAGAACATGCAGTGACTTGACTTTCTGCTTCTGACTCATTTCACTTAGGTAATGGCCTCCCATTCTGTCCGTGACTTTGTGACAATTCTTTGAACCCCTTTTCAGTGTGATATTACAGTTCAATTTGGAAAAGAAATCACTCTGGCTGCCAAGTACAAAAGGATGAGGACAGGGTAGAGTGGGAGCAGGGAGACCATTTTGGAAGCTGTGACAGTTGTCAGGTGAGAGACAATGTTGGCCTGGACCTGAGATGGCAAGGGGGATGCGGAGTGCATGTGTATCCTGACCAGACCAGACAAACCAATCATGACACTCAGGTTTACGCATGCTGAACAACTTTGTCCTTGTTGCTTTCAAGAGGATATCTCATTTTTTACCTAGGTGATCTGGCCTTTAAGTAAAGATTAGCCACCTCCTGGTTTCCCCAATCAGAGAAGAATCATTTCAGATGATTTTAAAATACACAGATAGGGATGCACACCCCTAGTGAGACAAGAACCGCAAAGAAATCTGGAGCTGTTTTTAGGAATAATCATATTGTTAGCAATAATGTTGGTATGTTATTTTTTAAATAGATTGATAGATGGATATGGCCAATAAGCAATTTTTTAAATTATTTTCAGACGAAAAGAGAAAAAAAATGCCAATATAAAATCAAAGCAGGGCCAGGCATGGTGGCTTATACCTGTAATCCCAGCACTTTGGAAGGTCGAGGAGGGCAGATCACCTGAAGTCAGGAGTTCGAGACCAGCCTGGCCAACATGGTGAAACCCCATCTCTACTAAAAATACAAAAATTAGCCAGGCATGGTGGTGGGTGCCTGCAATTCCAGGAGGCTGAGGCAGGAGAATCGCTTGAACCCGGGAGGCGGAGGTTGCAGTGAGCCGAGATCATGCCATCGTACTCCAGCCTGGGTGACAGAGTGAGACTCCATCTCAAAAAAATAAAATAAATCAAATCAAATCAAAGCAATCAAGTATCCATAGTCAGGACCTGATATGCAGGGTTTGGCTGGGACCCACCCCACCACACTAGGACCCTGCCCGGGGGCCGACGCTTGCGCCTGTCCTAGCTGCGGTGGGCTTCCACAGCCCCGCCCCTCCAGCCACCACCCCTTCCCCAGGAAACTCGCTCATCCTGCAAACCTCCACTCCCCAAGCCCTCAGACTCTAGATCCTTCATAAGTCCTCACCCTGTGAAGTCACCACTTGTCATCAACCATGTGTGTGTGTGTGTATGATTGTATGAGCGTGTGTATGCGTACGGGTGTGAGTATGCAAGTGTGTGTGAGACAGAGTGTGTGTGTGAGTGTGCATGAGATGACTTGCTACCATAGGCCCCAGTCAGTGCCCCCACCACCATCACAGCCCTGACATTAATGATGCATATTGAGTGAAATTTTGAAGACATAATAATCGCTAATGTTTACCGAGCACTTACTATACACGGGGCCATTTGTGAGTCTCCTCTCTGCATCCTCGCAGCAATAAGAACAGCTCATATTTATTGAGTCCACACTGTGTTCTGGGTCCCAGCCTGCAAACATTACATGTAGTACCTCATACTCTTCACATCACTTCTACACCATCTGTGCTGGTCAGTTTAATGTGTCAACTTGGCTAGGCTCTAGCACCTAGTTATTCCACAAAGCACTAATGCAGGTGCTGCTGTGACGGTATTATAGTTATCATGGGTTAATGTCTGCAGTCGGGGACTTTAAGTAAGGATTGTCCTTAATAATCTGGGGATCTCATCCAATCAGTAGAAAGACCTCAATAGCAAAACTGAGGTTCACTGAGGAAAATAAAATTTTGCCCCCGGTCTAGTCCACAGCATCAGCTCCTGCCTGCAGGCCTCTAGTCTGTCAGCCTGCCCTGCAGATTTCAGCCTTACTAGGCCGGACTCCACAGTCCCACAGCCAATTCCTTAAAATATACATATTTAAATTCCTGATTCTGTTTATCTGGTATAACCCCTACCAATGAACCATATAAATTTATAAATGGAGACTCTGAGGCAGGGGCAGATTTCTAGAACTCGCCCAAGGTCAGTATATGCCAGAGCTTGGATTCAAACCCAGGCATTCAAGCTCCAGAACTGGCCCCCTTAATGACCCACAGCACTTGGTCTCCAGCAGTGAGATCTTCCTTCCCTGCTGCCCTTCTTGATTAAAGAGAGGTGCCAGGGCCAGGGAGGGAGGGTGCAGAGAGGATTGTGGTGGAGGAAGTGCAGTTCTACTACAGCAAAAGTTGAGTTAGAAATTCCTGCCACAGTTGGATATGGGTTGAGTTGGGTCAAGGATGGCAATCAATAAGGTTAATAAAGCATAACTTGAGTTTTTATTCCCCCTGTCATGATGGATGAGGCCTTTGAAGCAACTAGCAGAGGCCTCACCCTGAGCATCCAAGAAAGATTTGTGGGCACATTTGTATGAAGGATCTCCTTCCAGCTCCCATGAGTGTTTAAGTTGACTTGCTTCAAACCAAGATCAAAGAATAGGCTGGAGATATTGTTTCACCGATTTGTATAAATCAGCCAGACAAACTGTGGCCTCGACAACTACTGATGTTTCTCCAGTTGGAGGTAAGTTGTTAAGAAACATGTCAGGCAGCTGCAAAAATCTGAGTGCCTCCTTGGGAAAGAAACATCGAGAGGCATTGATCACTTGCCGCCTGACTTTACCTTAACTATTTCTGAAGCCATAATTGAGAAGGCCTCAAGGTCCACTTTTCACATATCCTTCAACCTTTCAGAATGGGTTTGAGTGATCATTTTTAACACTAATGCCTGATATGTTTGTAGAGTTTCCAAATGGTCACAGACATGGTCTTGTTTCGGCTTCACAACAATCATAGGAGGTGAGGGAGGGCAGCAGAGATTTCTGCCATCTTGCTAATGAGAAATTGAGGCTCAGGGGTGTCAAGGGTCCAGCCCAAGGTCACCCAGACACACAGCCATTGGTTCACATGCAGGGACTAAGCTGGGGGGGCGTCTATTCCAAGCCATACATACTTCTCCCATCTGTACATTCCCTCCTCACTTTGCTGATGTTTCCTGGGGGCTTTCTCCATGCCTGGTCTTGGGCTGGATATTTTCACTGTCTCTCACACTCTTTAAATATTTCCTTCTTTTGCCTTAGAGTATGCTTTGAATGGTGGTAGTAGTGGCAGAAGCTACTTTAGAGAATTCTACGAGTGAACATTCTCATAAACACACACACACACACTTATGCCAGCCAGAGTCCAGGAGATTTGGGAATCACACAGAGAAGAATCACCTCATTTCCCAACTGCATCTGGGACTGTCTTCCACACTGCAGAGATGGTCTTTAAATCCATGTAAAGTAATAACATTTGTTAATTTTATCAATTTAGTGGAGCACTTAACATCAGCCAAGCACTTTTTATATACTAGCTCTTTTAATTCTTTGGATAATATTCAATCTCCATTGTACAGACAAGGAAACAGAAACTGATGCTCAAGGTCCATACCTTCTCCAAAGTCACACAGAAAATATGAGACAGAATGCTGACTCCAAAGCCCTGTTGTAGGTGCTTTGTACGATTAACCTTGCTTCATAGTATTTGCTTTGCTTCATATCATTAATATATTAAAGGACACATTATTTTTAGTGGAGAAAGTTTATTTTTAAAAGAAGTTGAACTGCTTCAGATGTAGAATGCTGGAAAGACCCTCCTACTCCAATAGAAAACCAAGCCAGATAATTTGAAAATTTGCAACTTTTCTTTAATCCAGCAGAGATCTGAGTTACAAGGCAACCAGCTAACCTGAAATGTAAGGAAAGATAGGTACCTCTAAGGAGAGTATTCCAGTCCTGGAATACTTGCTTACCTGGAGTAGGTGCCATCAGATGCTGGCAGGAAAAAAAATAGCTAGAATATTTAACAAATTGCTAAAGGCTGAGCGTGGGCTGCTGAGACTATATGGCACTTCTGAGAGCCACAGACATAAGATGAATTCACTCTATATGCAGGCTTGTTTCCATAGCTGAACTGAGTGCCCACAAAAAAGATAGGAAAGGGCAAGATGAGAATACTGAGAAAGCATCCCTTGCAGCATAGGACTGGGGAAGGAGGACAGAAACCACTGCAGAAAAAGCACAGATCCTCACCTGGATCTCCCTAAAATGTCTAGGGGAAGGGCAATGAAACCTACTGCCATGAGGGCACTAATGAAAATTATTGAAACTGACTGAAGGAAACTACAACAGCAGCAAACCACCCTCACACTATTCCTGGTGTATAGTAGGGCGGGCAGGAATGCATCCTAAGCCCAGACCAATAGCTGGGAGCTAAACAGAACCATGAAGTGCCTGGCTAAGACTGAGACAAAATAAGCACAACAGAGAATATTCCCCAACCCCTACTACCAGGCAAACAGATATAGAGTAGCAGGTAACAGTGGTCTCTTCCCGGGAGAGGGACAAGAGACAGGAGAGAGACTCAATCTGTGGCAAAGCACAAAGGAAGACTAAAAGCTGAGGGTGGAGCAGAGGTTGAAAAAAATCCTCTGGCAAACCAGCGCCCAACTTAAACTCAAACTAACATAAAAGGACTTTGAAGCTGGCAGCACACTGGGAGCAACTATAGCCAACAATGAAATCTAACACATCTGAATTCCTAAATAGACCAACTCAACTGCCCATACTGAAGTCCTAGCAGAAATAAAGACATGCTCCATTCCCAGATGTCAAAACCTCAGTATCTATTGTCCTACATAAGATGTCTGGCTTTCAATAAAAAAATGTGAGGCATTCAAAGAAGTGAGGGGAAAAAAAACCACACTGTCAAGAGACAAAAGAATCAACAGAATTAGACACAGCTATGATACAGATGATGGAATTATTAGATAGGAATTTTAAATAACTGAATAAAATGTTATAGACTGTAGTGGAAATGAGAACACCATGAATTATCAAATGGGTAAGTTCAGCAGAGGAGTAAAATGATAAGAAAAAAATCAAATGGAAATTCTTGAAATAAAAATCATGCTCATAAAGATAATGATTTTGACAGACTCATCAGTAAATTTAACACAGGTAAGAAAAGAATCAACTAACTTAAGATAGGTCACTAGAAATTATTCAAGCTCAAAGAGGAAAAGGAGCTTTAAAAATAAGCAGAGTATCCAAGAATTGTGAGACAATAACAAATGGTCTAGCAGAACAGTAACTGGAATTACAGAATGAGAAGACAGAATGAGGCAGAAAAAAATATTTGAAGAAATAATTATCTAATTGACATTTATAGAACACTCCACCCAAGTACACAAGAAACATTAACCAAAGCAAACCATTTTATGGGCCATGAAACCAATATTAATACATTAAAATACAAAAGATGTACATTAATACATTAAAATAGTTGAAATTATACAAAAAGCATTTTTCAAAACTAATGACAGACACAAAACCACAGATCCAAAAAGTTGAGAGTACACCAACCAGGATAAATTAAACAAAAACAAACACCTAGAAATAGCTTATTCAAACTGCTGAACACTAAAGATAAAGAGAAAATCATAAAGGTAGACAGAGAAAAATAATACATGCAGAGGAACAAAGATAAGAATTACATCAGACTTCCCCTGAGATGTCAGGCAAGCCACAAGACAATACAAGTGCTAAAACAACAACAACAAAAACTATCAACCCAAAATGTATCCCAGCCTGTGGGCCAAATCTAGCCCACCGCCTGTTTTTGTAAATAAAGGTTTTTACTGGACCAAAGCCACACAAGTTTATGTATGTATTGTCTATGGCTGCTTTTACACTATGACGGGTCCAGAATTTGTGGCCTACAAGACCTAAAACATTTACTATTTGACCCTTTACAGAAAAAATTTGTCAATTCCTAATCTAAAAGATAACTGACTTTCAAAAAAGTAGTAGCAAAAACAAAAGTAGTAACAAGCTGTTGTGTACTCATAGCATACATAAAAATAAAATATTAATATATGACACCAATGACACAAAAGTGTTGGAGAAAAGAATAATTAGCATATTTTGTAAGTTTCTTAGACTAGATATAAAGTAGTATCATATTATTTGAGGTTAGAATTTTTAATTAAAGATTCATGTTATAAAACTTGGGTCAACAACTAAAAATTTTTAAAGAGACATAAATAATAATAAGCCATTAGTGAAGATGAAACAATCATAAACAAAAGAAAGGAAATAATGAAGATAAGAGTAGACATTAATGAAATTGAGAAAAGAAAATAATGAAGCCCATAGCTGCTGCTTTGAAAAAAAATAATAAAACAGATAAACCTCTGTCAAGACTGACCAGTGGAAAAGGACAACACAAATGATCAATATCAGGAATGGAAGATTGAACATTGAAAATCACCTTACAAAGAATAGATAATCCTATATCTATTAAGGAAATTTAAATGCATAATTAAAACTTTTTTTTTTTGAGATGGAGTCTCATTCTGTGACCCAGGCTGTAGTGCAATGGCATGATCTCAGTTCACTGCAACCTCCCGGGTTCAAGCAATTCTCCTGCCTCAGCCTCCCGAGTAGCTGGAATTACAGTCGCCTGCCACCACGCCCAGCTAATTTTTGTATTTTTAGTAGAGATGGGGTTTCACCATGTTGACCAGGCTGGTCTCGAACTCCTGTCCTCAGGTGATCCACCCACCTCGGTCTCCCAAAGTGCTGGAATTACAGGTGTGAGCCACCTGGCCAAAACTTTCTAAAAAGAAATCTCTCACTAGCAGTCAGCACTTGTGAAAAAAAAGGAAGGAAGGAAGGAAGAAGAAGGAAGAAAAAAAAAAAAAAAAACTCCAGGCCCAAATGGCTCCACTGGTTATTTCTACTGAATATTTAAGAAAGAAATAATACCAATTTTACACAATTTCTCCCAGTATACAAAAAAAGGAGGGTGCGTGTTCCAACTCATTTTATGGGATCAGTATAACCCTGATATCTAAACCAGACAAATACATTATAATAAAAGAAAACTACAGACCAATAATCCTCATGAATATAAATAATATCCTTAACAAAATGCAAGCAAAAAAAAAACATATATAAAAAGGATAGTACACTACAGCCAACTGGGGTTTATTTAAGGAATGCAAGGATAGTCTGACATTCAAAAAACTCAATCAATGTAACTCACTGTAATATCAATATTCAATGTAATATCATCAAACTGAAGAATAAAAATCAAATAATCATCAGAAGAGATACAGAAAAAGCATTTTATAAACACATATTCATGATTAAAAAAACTCTCAGGAAACAAAGACTAGAGGGGAACAATCTCAACCTGATAAAGGACATTACAAGAAAACTTACAACTCTAATGTCATACATAACAGTGAAAGACAATGCTTTTCCCCTAAGATTGAGAACAAGGGATGATACCAGCTCTCATTCCTCCTGTCTAATACTGTATCAGTACAATAAGGCAAGGGAAAAAAAGACATCCACATTGGAAAGGTAGAAACACAATGGATAGAAATTTAAAATAACTATGAATAATATGTTACAGACTCTACTGGAAATGAGAACATCATGAATTATCACATGCATAATTTCAGCAGAGGAGTGAAACTATAAGAAAAAAATCAATTGGAAATGCTGGAAGTAAAAACAACACTCACACAGATAAAGAATAATTTTGATAGACTCATTAGTAAACTCAACACAGGTAAGAAAAGAATCAACTAACCTGAGGATAGGTCAATAGAAATTATTCAAACTCTATTGCTAGATGACATGATAATCTACATATAAATTTCAAACAGTCTATTAAAAAGCTACTAAAACTAAAAAGTGAGTTCGGCCAGGTCACGTTAATAAGATCCATATTCAAAAATTAATTGTATTTCTGTATACTTGGCAATGAAAATTGAAATTTTTTAAGATACCACTTACAATAGCACCGAAACCTATAAAATACTTAGGTATGGATCTTATAAGAGACATGCAAGCTCTATATGCTGAAAACCAAAAAGACAATGATAAAGGAAATCAAAGACCTAAATAAATGGAAAGACATGCCATGTTGACAAAGACAATATTGTGAAGATGTCAATTCTTCCAAACTGATTTACACAGTCAGCATAATTCTAATCAAAACCCATGGGAGGCTGGATGTGGTGGCTCACATATGTAACCCCAGCACTTTGGGAGGCTGAGGCAGCAGGATCCCTTGAGCCCAGGAGGTCAAAGCTGCTGTAAGCCATGATCATGCCACTGCACTCCAGCCTGGGCAGCAAAGCAAGACTTAAAAATAATGCAGAGTTTTTTGTAGAAATCAACAAGCAGATTCTAAAATTTTTATGAAAAGATAAAGAAAAAATAACAAAAGTGATCTTGAAAAAGAAGAATAAAGTTAGAATAGAACTATATATATATATACAGTTATATATATACAGTTATATATATATACAGATATATATATACACATATATGTATATATATGTATATATATATATATGTATGTATATATATATATATATATATATATATATATATGTATGTATGTATATAAAATATTTTTTGGAGACAAGGTCTTGCTCTGTTGCCCAGGCTGGAATCCAGTAGCACAATCATAGCTCACTGCAGCCCCGAACTCCTGGCTCAAACAATCCTCCCACCTCAGCCCTTTAAGTAGGTGGGACTACAGGCCTGTGTCACCACGCTCAGTTAATTTTTTAAAAATTATTTTTTGTAGAGATGGGGGTCTCCCTATGATGCCCAGGCTGTTTGTGAAGTCCTGGCCTCAACCAATTCTCCCACCTTGGCCTCCCAGAGTGCTGGGATTACAGATGTGACCCACCACAGCTGGCCAGAAGAATATATTTTAAATAAAGTCACCCTACCTGATTTAGTACAAAGGTAAGATATTCAAGAGAATGTGGAATTAGAGAAAGGGCAGACATATAGACCAACGCAATAGACTATAAAGTCCAGATATAGGCCTATACAGAGTGGGTCAGTTGATTTAGGACACAGTTGCAAAGGCAATTAAGTAGAGAAAAAGTAGTCTTCTCAACCAATGGGGTTGGAATAATTGGATATTTATTTTTAAAATGAACCTCCATTCATATATCACACTATATCAAAATATTCACTCAAAATAGATAATAGACTTCAATGTAAAACTTTAAACTATAAAACCTTCAGGAGAAAACATAGAAGATAATCTTTGTGACCCTAGATTAAGTAAATATTTCTCAGATATGGCCCCAAAAATATAATCCACAAAAGAAAAAATTGATAAATTATACTTGATCAAAATTAACAACCTATGATCTCTGATATGGTTTGGCTGTGTTCCCACCCAGCTCTCATCTTGAATTGTAGTTCCCAAAATCTCCACATGTCATGGGAGGGATCTGGTGGGAGGTAATTGAATCATGGGGGCAGTTACCTCCATGCTGCTGCTCTTGTGATAGTGAGTGAGTTCTCACGAGATCTGATGGTTTTATAAGGGGCTTTTCCCCCTTTTGCTTGGCATTTCTCCTTCCTGCTGCCATGTGAAGAAAGACATATTTGCTTCCCCTTCCTCCATGATTGTACATTTCCTGAGGCTCCCCCAGCCTTGCTGAACTGTGAGTCAATTAAACCTCTTTCCTTTATAAATTACTCAGTCTCAGGTATGTCTTTATTAGCAGCATGAGAACAGACTAATTAATACAATCTCCAAGAGACATCATTAAGAAAATTAATAAGAAAGCTAGCAGAATAATTTGCTAATAACATATCTAGAAAAGAACTTGTATCCAGAATATGTAAATACTCAATAAGTTCAATAATAAAACACAAACAATTCGAATTTTAAAATGGGCAAAAGGTTTGAAATCTTCACCAAAGAAAATATAGTGATTTTAAATAAGCCCATAAAAAGGTGTTAAACATCATTAGTCATCAGGAAAATACAAACTAAAACCACAGTGAGATACTAGTACATACCCATTAGACTAACAAAAACAAAAAAAAAAATCTGACAACATCAAGTGCTGATGAGGATATGGAGCAACTGGAACTCTCGTACATTGCTGGTAGGAATGCAAAATAGTATAGCCACTCTGAAAAACAGCTTGGCCATTTCTTACAAAGTTAAACATGCATGTATTAGACAACATAGCAATCCTACTTATCGGTACTTACCCAAGAGAAATGAAAACCCATGCTCATGAAAAACTTGTACGTGAATGTTTATAGGGGCTTTATTTGTAACTGCCAAATCTGGAAACAATCCTAATGTCCCTCTACAAATTATAGTGTAGGCCTACAACTGAACACCACTCATTATTAAAAATGAATGAACTACTGATACAGGCACAATGTGAATGGATATCAGATGCATTCTGCTAAGTGAGAGAAGCAAGACTCAAAAGGCTACGTGCTATAAGATTCCATTTATGGGACATGCTAGAAAAGACAAAACTATAGGAAAAGAAAACAGATTATTAGTTGCAAAGGACTGAGGGTGAAGAGAGGTTGTCATCCCCAAGGAAGGATTTAGGGGTGAAGGAACCCTTCTATATCTTGATGTGATGGTTGCACACTGGATACATTTATCGAAATTCCACAGAACTGTACACTAAAAAGACGAGACTTTACTGCATGCAAATTATACCTTAATGAAAAATGAGTAAAAAACAGAAATGGGAAGCAGTATCTTTCATGGCAAATGGAAGATAACCATCTTTTGTTTTAAAGACAATGAAAACAAAGCATTGAAATAAAATTTTGGCTAGATACCGCTCCCTGGTCACAAGCTCTGAGCCTGAGGACTGCTTTACCTCAGTAAAGGAGAGCTTGACAAGTGTTAAGTGGTGTCGAAGATACACCAGCACCCAACAGAGACTTTTTCTTTCACAATACAACCAAGAAAAGATTCAATGATAGTTCGTGGCTTATCTACATAGCACCTGAAATCATTTCTGCCATATATGGTGGGAAACACATCTCAGGCTGGGCCTCCAAGGGAAGCAGCCTGGCTGGGTCCCCAACAGCTTTTTGCCAGCCTTCCCTGCCCCCTTCCCAGAGCATGCACACTTTGCAGCCTCCTTCCTGGTCTCCTTCCCCAGAGTCTGTACATTTTACTGCCCCCAAAGTTGAGAAAGCATCACTGCCTGGCAGGGCCCTAAGCTTCACTCCTTCTCAGGAAATCTGCACTTTCACTAGCTTTTGGAGCCAGAACACTTCAGAGGTTCTTCCTCTCCTGGTACAGCTGCTGATGACTGAGAACAGACTTCTGAATCTTGAGGATGCTCAAAGCCCTCCGTCAGCCTTCATCGCACCCAGAGAAAGTCCACAGCTTCACCCCATTTCCACCAGGGGCTCATCCCCACCCTTCCCAATACGCATTTGTTGAATGAATGACTGTGTGATGGGCTTTTCTGGTTTCTAGTTTTCTGTAATAAGACTGTATTTTACCTTGTAATAAGTAAAAAGAGAGGAAAGAAACCTGCACCCCAGATGACGGAAAGTTGTAGGGTGGAAAAGGCGAGTGTATGGCTTCTCACAGCTGAGGACCATGCTGGACGCTGTTCATCTCCCTTCAATGTGCCTGGGATGTTTAACGGGTGAATCATCTGGGTCCAGGTGGAGAGAGGCTTGCTGAGATCATACTGGTGGATGGTGGTTCAGCAGCACTGGAGCCTGGACTCCTCACCCATGGCATCCTGCCTCCTCCTTCCCCTCATCACCATGAGTCAGCATTATCCAGCACGGCCCTGTGCCAGGCTCTGGTCTTGGGGGCTTTACCCACATCATCCCATTTACTCAGAACAGCCGTCCAAGACTGGTTCATGTGGTACAACAAATGTACAAACATCAAAATCACATACATGACGGTGAGCCACCCCCACGGACCTGTGTTCCCCCAGGGAGCAGCAGGGGCTGGCCCCTGTCCCATGTCCACACTAAAGCAGACCTTACTGTGGGGGCAGGATCACCAGCACTGGTTTCTTTGTTCCCGTCCCCTGCCCCTTTTACATTTTTTGTAGAATATAGATATTGAAATCCACCATACACTCTCTTTTTCAATAAGCCACGCAGCCCTGGAGACACAGCTGGACCCTGTGGATTTGGCAAGATGCAGGAGTAAGCCATCTAGAGCCACCTTGGGGACTGGCTTCCAAGGAGATGCCCACTGGTTCTCGCCAACACATGCAGACACCCACTGGCTTCCCACAACGTTCAGGCTGAGGTCTGGGCCATGGCGCCCCAAAAATGCTTTCTGTTCACCTTTGGTGCCACCAGGCCACACACATCTAAGCTATGATAAATATGGTAGCAAAGAAGACACAGGGAGGACTGTCACGCACACCATCCTGTATCACCCAAGCTCTCTTCCCACTTCATGGCTCCTCCACGACCCGCAGAGTCCACAAACAGGGCCAGGGGCACTCAGACCCCTCATGGTCCTCGGCCTTTGGTGGGAGATCTGGTTTTACTTTGTTCAAATTGTTTGCTAAAACTAATGGCATGTTTCTTAATTTCCTGGAGCTTGGGGAAAACAGGCCAGAAAAAAAAAAATCAGCCTCTGATTCATTTTCTCCCTTCCTTCCCCAAATGAAAGAGAAAACTGAATGAATGCCTGTGGTTGACAGATGTGAGTATCTTAAATCAAAGTCCTGCTTCCCCCTGTGGTGTAGAATCTTGGAGGAGCCTTCGAAGCTAGCTCCTTTCAACAAGTTTCAATAAAAGTGCCCTGCCATCAACAAAGGCACAAGCAAGTCTCAGCCCCATCAAATCCAAGCGTTTGTCACCCTGAAGCCTGGTGGGAAGGCTCTTGGGGTGGGGGAACCAACGGGAGGCCGGGGGTGGAAGGAACAATATCTTGTTAACCTTTTTTCTTAGGGGCAGTTTGCAACTTCACTACCACCCCAACTTGCATTTACCTTGGCCTGAAGAATTGGGACGTTCTGCAGTAAGGTCCATAAATTCCTTTTTTAAGCTAGCGTGAGCCAAATGTAACAAGCAGCTGTCCAGACCTGTTTAAAAAGAATAAACCCCAGCTAAGCGCATAAACAACAGCCCACTGCCTTTTATCATACAAACATGGCGGGAGAGCCAAATGCGCTACAGAGCCTAAACACAGATTCTCATTGTTATCTCATTAAGTCCATTAAATAAGCAGGAAGGAAAATGCTTTCACATGTTGAGCCTGCTTTAAACTATCAGGGAACAGATTAGAGTTAATTAATGCTGTGAACTCTGAAACTGCTAGCCCTGGGTGGGGGGTGGGGGTGGGGGTGCTCCCAGTGGAATCCAGGTCTGCACCTGTCACAGACATGAGTTCAGAAAATCTAAGTGGACTCTGACGTGCACCTCCCTCCCTCCCCCGGCCCTACGCATCCCCGGTGCTGGAATCTTCAGTGCCTAATCTGTAACTCACGAATCAGGATCAAGAGATAAACCCCCACCTCTGAGACAGACAGTCGGTAGACTCCAAGCAGAAACTGTGCAAAAGTCTCTTGCCGGTGCTCCGGAAATTGCCAGGGGTTCCAGGCCGCAAGGCGAGACGGCTAAGTTGCTTCTGACAAGTTGGAAAGAGCTTATCAATTATTCATGAAACTGGATAAACATGGATTTTATCTTGTAGCATGAATCAAGAGATAAAAATTCTATTTCAAGAGGGAGGGGTGGAGACTAAACCCTGAGTGTTAATTGTAAACTGAAAAAAAAAGAAGAGGGAAGGAAGGGAAAAATAAGGTCTTAGGCTTGGGTTGTGGTGTGAGCACTTGTCCAAGATCCCAGCCCCCAAATTTTGCTTCTCCAATTCCCCAAGACCCCAAACTAGGCAGACAGCCAGAAGAGAAACAGAGAATGCCGTCTGTTCACCTTGAATTTAGCTAACCTGCTCCCTGGGTGATACACCAAGCCTCTTACTGGTGTAACGTGCCAGCCGGAACAGAACCACTTGCAAGCTGATGGTGGGGGGATTGTAAACCCCCAAACACCACCTCTTTTAAGGTATTTCTGTTTAAAATCAATGTGCTGCTTCCAGACTGAAATCCAAAGCAGAGGAAAGTATACAAACAGCTGCCTAACAAGGCAGAAGGCTCAAAGCAAAACAAAACAAAACAAAGGCAAATCCAATATGCAGGATATTTTGGCCAAAAAATAAGATTTCTTTTTTCGTGTCCTTCCCCTACTACCCGTAGCGTTGCATCTAACAGTTCCTTAAAGACTAGGAAATTAACCCAAAAGATGAAATTGAAGAATTAGTGGTTTATTAAGGCATTCACATTATTAAATTTGACTGTAGATGAGAATATTTATATGTATATGTGAAATTCATCCATCCGAGTGTTAGCAGGAGTTGTCCCCGGGTTGAAGGACGATGCGTGACTTTCATTTTTCTTCTTTCCACTTTGTATTTTCTAAATAGCATATTAGGACCACTGTTAATTTTACAATGAGAGAGAAATAATAAACTTAGTGCTTTTAAAATCCTATATGAGGAGCATATATTGATTTTTATAATGGGGGCTAACAATAAACTTTATAACTGACATAATTTGAAGCCACACATGTTTCCTGACTTTTCTTTTTCCCTCCTTCGACAAAAGCCTCTCAAAACAAGGAAGCTGTCACAATAGCTTTTGCCTTTTCTTGCGACCCAGCTGGTGGATGGCGGCGGGGGGAGCCGATGGGTATGGAAAGGTGAGACCCTGCTCCAAGCAGCTCTTCTGCACACACAAGCAGACATCAGAGAATGGGCACCGAACCATGCTCTTCTGCAAGCCCTGGTGGATCTACATCACTCCGGACTGTCAGTGCCACGGCCAGAGGGACCTGAGTGTCTGGGTGACACCCAACCACCATTTTGGCCATCCCCCTGCCCCTTGCTGTGCCTCAGTCTCTCTATAGTCTCTTTTGCTTATCATACTTTTCGGACCGCAGACACAGAAAGTTGCATGTAACATTACTGAGTCCATGGCATGCTAACAACCTTGGTCTATGTTGGGACCCTCATCTGTCTTATTTTATTGTATAAATTTTTCCCTTTGCCCCTCTTCCATCTCCACACCCATTTCCTTCCTTCTTCCTCCTGAAAGACATCCCCTGGAGTATGTCTGATGGATTGCCTTAGACACACACAAGTTAAATGCATGCAACACTTGCGTGCAGGTTTGTGGTCTGGGCTTACATGAGTGCCCTTCTGCTCAGGAGACGATGCGCTTTCCGGATCTGTCTACGTCATCGCGTATCTCATTGCTCCAACAGCCATGGATCCCTCTTTGCAGTCTTCACAGTTGATAGACACTTAGAGGCCACCACTTCCCACCCCATGAAGCGCACTATGGTGACCCTGAGATGACACGGGGGAGGAGGAGGCTCAGAGACTGGCCTCTCTGCCTCCCTTCCCTGTCCTCTCCTCTCTAGGTGGCTCCCAAGAGGCCATTTGAAAATGAGTGGACCTGGTCTGCAGAGGCCTCCCAGCTCCAACACCCTGCAGTGCTGAGCCCAACATGGGGTCTTGGGTGATGTGAGCCACTCATCCACAAACCTACCCAGTCCCCTCAGAAATAATGGTGACATCTGCCCTCTTACCAAGGACCTGCAGCCCACCAGGCTCCACAGCCCACCAGGCCCCACACTGAGGGCTTTACTTGTGTCATCTCATTGCATTCTCCCCAAAACCTGAGGATTCTCCCTTTGCAGGTGAGCAACACAAAGCTCAGAAGGCTGTGCCCAAAGGCCCAAAGTCATGTACCTCATGAAGGGCGTCACCAAGACATGAGCCCCATTAGACGCCCAAAGCCTTCCTTCTGCCATGAGCGGGGCAGCCTCTCCTCCATCCTGCATCAACAGAAGCCCTTGCTCAGGCTGAATTTTCTTGCCTCCCAAGTAAAATGAACCAAGCCAGCCCATTCTTTCTACAGACCATCTGCAAGCCCTGGTGGGTCTATATAGCATCAAACGGTCAGCTCCACGACCAGAGGGATGTCTGGGTGTCATGTTGATGAAGCTATTGGTGCCAGACCCAGCTGCTCAGCTGCCATTCCATAGCCTGCTATGAGTGGCTCAGGCATCAATGAGGGGTTTGAGCTGGGCTGGGGACCCAGAAATTTAACAAAAACAAATCCCCAAACCTCCCAGGCAAAGAAGGCTGGCCACATAAGAGCAGGCATTTGCTCTTCGCTCGACAGCACCTGCCTCTCACGCTGGTGCTATGGCTGTTCACAGGAAGAACACAAGGCCCCGCCTTTGTGGGAAAGCACCTCTTAAGTGCAGGGATTAAGATGTGTCTCCACCGCTTGAGTTAACACACTAATGAATTGTTACTAATAAATTAACAAACCATTCAGTGTGAGCACCACCCCAGAGCAACAATTATGGCAACTGGAGTGTTAGTCATCCACCCACCCACCCATCCACCCACCCACCCATACACTACCCTTCCATTCACCCACTCACTCATCCATCCATCTATCCATCCACCCACCCATTCACCCATTCATCCATCTATCCATCCATCCCCCCACTCATCCACCCATTAACCCATTCACCCACTTACCACCCATCCACTCATCCACCCACCTACCCACCCATCCACCCATTCATCTATTCATCCATCCATCCATCCATCTTGCTCTCCATCCACCTATCCATCTATTCACCCATTCATCCATCCATCTACCCACCCACCCATCCACCCATTAGCCCATCCACCCATCCACTCACCCAGTCACACATCTATCCACCTACCCACCAACCCATCCATTTATCCACCCACCCACTCACCCACCCACTCATCCATTCATCTACCGAATTCATACATTCATTCAAAATATATTCACTTAACATTTATGTGCCAGGTGCTAGGATAAGCCCTCCAATGCCATCATCCCCCAGCCCCCACCATACACACAATAGCCAGATAGAGCAAGAATACCTATACAGGTTTAAGGGCTGGAGGGTGAGTTCCCAGACAGCCCAAGGTATTTCCACAACCTGCCTTCCCAGAGGCAGGTGAACAAGATGCCATTCAAGACCTAGGTATTTTAGGTTCAAGCTGAGGAGCCAGTCTTTCCAGCCCGGACCAGGTTTCCATCCAGGCTCCATTGCATACCAGCTGTGTGACCTTCAACTTCTCACCATGTGGTTTCAGGGCCTCAGAAGACTGGATCCTGCACCCAGTGCTCAATTCCTGGACATGGTCTTCTAATTCCTACAGGGTGGCACAGCTTCATCCTATTTTACAGAGGAAGAAACAGATGCAAAGGGAATTGCAGGGCCGGGACTAGTGGGAGGCACCCAGGGCTCAAACTATGAGAAGGCATTCACCTGGAGGGGCTATCTGCACCTATGCCCACCCAAGAGTGAGTGCCTATTACATGGTGAGCCCTGGGAACAAGTTCGCCTCCCCCTAGCACCGGCCATGGTGAGTGGCTAAGTGGTAGCATTATGATTTGAAGTCAGGTCTTCTGATAAACCCAGTGCTCATTCTGTGATAGTTCATTTGCTCTCTCATTAATTCACTCAGCAAACGTGCAGCGAGCCCCCACTATGCACAAGGCATGTGCTAGGCTCAGGGGTGCACCAGGCATTTCTGAAGGACAGAGACTTGCTTTCTCTGCCTCAATTTCTTCATCTGTAACATGCAGGTTGTTATAAGGATCTGGTCGACTCTGGGCCGAGCCAGCATGCTCACTCTGGAGGCAGAAATGGTCACCAAGAGGGGCCCAGCCCACCCTGGCCTGTCCCCTGCTTCATCCAGAGCTACCCCTGCCTACCCTTCTTGGCCCAGGAGGCTGCCTGGATGTTTATTTGGTTATTAGATAACCAGGCCTGGGCACCATTTCTTTGATCAGTTACCCCTGATAACAAGCAGAGGAAACAGACCATTTTATAGCAAGATTTTGTGGGGTGATCTTATGATCCCATGGTGTTTTTAACAGGGACAAGGATGAAGAGGTAGGCATTTGGAGGGGAGGGGGAAGGAAAAGAGGCCCTGCTCTGCAATACTTTCCTCCTGATTCCCCCTGGACTTTGATTCTGGGGGAAGGGGTGGTGTGGGAGATAAACGTGGAGCAAGAAGGCTGGGTCCCACTCACAGACATCTGACTCAAGGCCGCTTCCCTCACACCCAGCAAGACCCCCTGAATCCTCCCAAAACCTCACCCGCAGCAGCTCTGACCACCCAGCGAGGGCCCCTGCAGTTAACAGCCCAGGAAAGCCCAGCTACGGAGGCCAAGATGCGATAATGCCCACAGACGTGACTTAACGGCCAACACAGAGCTGAGGCTTCTCCCCAAAACAGCCTTATGATTGCTGCCGTTTCAAAAGCTCTCAAGCGATTACTCGGTAAGAAAGAGGTCAGGAACCAAGCGTATATCACCCTTCCCTGAGCAAAATGCAAGATCTGGATAACATAACTTTTTTCTTTTTTTGATTAAAAATAAATATATGTTTGAAGACAATAAATGAGTTTTAGCTTCGGTTCCTTCTTTTGCTCTTGTTTGATCTGCTTGTGAGTTGAGGACAGCCTTGTTCAAACACTATTTGTCCATTTTCTTTGCTTTTTTCTATTTGTGGGGTAAAATCTGTGTTATCTCAACAGGGTCAGCTCACCTGCATTGCGCTTCTGTTTCCTCACCTGGAAAGTGAGGAACGCTGGACCCGTCAGTCTCCAGTGCCCTTTACAGCTGCCCACACCCTCCCAAGTGTCGCCCCATCACAAGGGTGAGGATGCAGCAGGCGCAGGGCCCACCTGTAACTCTCAGCCTCAACAGCTGGGGTTTAGCTAGGATGTAGAAAAAGCACTTTTTTTTTTTGAGACAAGGTCTTGCTCTGTCACCCAGGCTGGAGTGCAGTGGCACAATCATAGCTCACTGCAGCCTCGACCACCCAGGCTCAAGAGATCCTCCCACGTCAGCCTCCCGAGTAGCCGGGACCACAGGCATGTGCCACTACACCTGGAGGATTTTTGTATTTTTTCTAGAGATGGTGTTTTGCCATGTTGCCCAGGCTGGAGAGAAAAAGTACTTTGGAGTCGTGTTTCCCCCATTATTCACACACCTCTTCGAAAAGAAGCCGTTATTATAAAACAGGCCTTTTCTTTTGGGGTCCTCAGATTTGGAAAGGAGCAGAAAACCCAGTGAGACAGGACGTGTCCTGGAGACACAGCGCGGTGGTTGGAAGCAGGGATCCGGGAGTTCTGCCACCTTCCAGCTGCCTGGCCTCAGGACAGTGGCCCAAACTCTCTGAACTCAGTTGCCCCAGTTTGTAAAATGGCCTGACCGTAATTCCCACTTCTTGTCAATTTGTTCAGGTATAAAGTACATGCATATAAAGTACTCAACCTAACTAGTGCCTGGCCCATGCCACAGTCTCAATAATTATCAGCAAATCCTCTCATTTATAAATAAGCCAGTACAACTATTAATACACAAGCATCATACTTTGTGGAAAAGTTCGTATCTCTAACAGCAGTACAATAAGTTCTGAAAATACTGAATTATGACCCTATGTAGGACATCAATGTAACACCCATTCTCCCCACAAAATGCCACTAATGCGTGAACCCCCATCAGCCGCCTGGGACTTTGAAATACCCACATCCGGAAAGCCCAGAGACTGAAGTCTCAAATGATTATGGCCAGAATAGCATGTAGTTTTAACTTTTTTTTTTTTTTTTTTGAGATGGAGTTTCACTCTTGTCACACAGGCTGGAGTGCAATGGCATGATCTCAGCTCACTGCAACCTCCGCCTCCCAGGTTCAAGTGATTCTCCTGCCTCAGCCTCTGGAGTAGCTAGGATTACTGACGCCCGCCACCACGCCCAGCTAATTTTTGTATTTTTAGTAGAGCCGGGGTTTCACCATGTTGGCCAGGCTGCTCTTAAACTCCTGACCTCAGGTGACCCACCCGTCTGGCTCTCCCAAAGAGCTGGGATTACAGGTGTGTGCCACGGCACCCGGCCTTAGCATGTAGTTTTTAAACTACCCATAATTGTAAATTTTGTACATTGAAAGACCCATAATTGCCACAAATAATCACAATTATGCAAGTATAAATAATCACCCTGCACAACTCTCCTCTTGCCCACAAAGTTATCCCTTTCATGAGAATTTAATATGTGACAATGGCCATTGTCTGCCAGGGAAAGCTCATACCGATTTCAGTTTCAGCAAGGCCACCTCGAGTCTCATAGAAACCAGAAAAAAAAAATGTCATTTTCAGGAAGCAAATTGATCGTTTTCCTCACATTTCCATTTGCGTTAAGATCATGGTGTGGCCTTGCTCTGGACTTTTTCCTATTCCCTGTTGCCTCTGGAGAGGAGGAAAGCTAAGGATGGCTGGTGGGCCCACATCGGGGGTCCCTGGGTGGATTGAAGGGCTCTTGTGGCTCCTGGAAGCCTCGCCCAAGTTTCTGGTAAGAAATCAAAAGGTGAGGTGGTGTCCCCTGTTCCCCTGTGGGATGATCAGCCCACAAAAGTGGGACAAATGAGTCTATAAAATGCTTCAGAGGGGCAGGTGGACTGCTCACTCGTGAGTCCCGGGAAACAGGCCTGGCCCAGTTCTCCAAACCTTTCCCCAGGGAGACCGCATCTCTGTCTTCTCTCTTCTTCTCTCTTCTCTCTTGTTCTCTCTTCTCTCTCTTCTCTCTTCTCTCTCCCCCTCCCTCCTCCTTCCTGGTTCTCTTTTTTCTGTTGATTTCACTCCCTCCTTTCTTTTCCCTTTCTCTTTCCTCCCCTTTCTCTCTCTTTCTCTGCCTGTTTCCCCTTTCCTCACTTTCATTTCTCTTTCTGTCTCTTTCTTTCTCTCCCTCTCTCAGGTCTCTCTTCTCTGTCTCTCTTCATCCTCAGTTTTCCCCTCTCTCCCCTCTTACTTTCTTTCCCTTTTTCCTTTTTCTTTCCATCTTCTTCCTCTCCCTCTCTGGGTTCGTGGCAACACAAGGAAACCCGCACATCCCCAGCCCGCAGCCTCGCCCCCTCGGTCCCACTGCAGTTACCCGGTGATCCATGCAGGTGGGAACAATCCAGTTAACTTTTCCCATCCGAGTGATTCTCTTTCTCTTCTTCATTCATAAATGCCATAACTCTCCCGGTCCTCCTTTCCAAGGCTCGTGCACTTGATTTCAAGGCTTGCCTGCCACCCAGGGTGCCACCAGAGTCCCAGTGCCTGGGTTGGGGGCTGGAGCGCACCCTTTGGGATCCCCCAGCCTGTCCTCCGCCTCACGGCTGCCTCGCTTCTGAGCTGCCACCCTCAGCTGACTCACTCAGATGAGATTTGGGAGGGAGGGGGGCAGGAGGAGGAGTTGCGAGAAGGAGGAAAACCCGCCTGGTCGGGTCCACACTTTGCCTAGATGCGTTTGGGTGTGGTGGGGAGCGGGTGACGGCCTCATTTACAGACAGAGGCCGGGGCTGGCTTCTAGGCGACCGGGTTGGCCACTTTCACTGCGCTTCTGGGTTTGCTGGGATCCAAGTTGACGCGACTTTTCCAGGAGTAGCTGGAAGACCTGAATAGAAACTTCAGGGGTCCCAGGACTGGCGGGGCTTAGAGGAACTCCCCGCCCCGCTTGCCCTTCCAGGGAACGGCCTGGCTAGGGGTGCGCTTTGACGCAAGGAGCGCATCGCTCTGCCTTGGCCGGGACCAGAGCTTGGGGGAGGCCTCCTTGCCCACTGCGAAGACTTTGGGGAAGGCGACGGCCAGGGGACGGACATCTGGGGGAGGGCTGGGGGTCTGAATGGCAGGAGCTGCACCAGGGGGCTGTGCGCGCTGCGCGGGTGTGCGCGCCTCGCCGGGGGCTGTCTCCACCTCTTCTGGCAAGTTGGACCTATGAGTGCGCAGCTCCGCTTACAACTATCAACAGCCGGGAAGGCTGAGCGCGTGTGAGCGCCGAGGGGGGCGCAGGACCCTCGCAACTTCTTCGCAGGACTCCAGCCTGGCCGCCGGCGCCCGCAGCCGTCCGAGAGCCCTGCGCCCGCGCCTCCCCTTGCGCACCGTGGCAGCGCCCGGCGGGCGGTCCTGCCAGCCCCGACGGGATGCCCGCAGCCATGCTCCCCTACGCTTGCGTCCTGGTGCTTTTGGGAGGTAGGTGCCACCCTCCCCCACCCGGCAAACTGGCTGAGCTCGGAAGGGAGGGAGCTCGCCGTCTAATGTCCCCTAAGGGCCCTTGGGGACTACGGCCCTGGGTCGGCCCACGCGGCTGCTATGCTGCGCCCTGCGCGCCTTTCTCCAGTCTCACCTGGCCGGCACCTGCGCGCCTCCAGGAGCTTCCTGGGGCCTGCGGGAGGGAGTCGCGTCACCTCGCAATATGAGAGCCGCTGCACTCTCTGCGCCAGTCGGGGCCTGGCCTGTAGGTACCCAGAGCTGCCCTTTGTGCCGGGCCCAGTGGGACCGGGGCCTCCAAGAAGATGCAGGAGGATCCCAGGCCCACTGAGACCCCCATGGTGCGGGACAAGCCCGGCTATTCAGACCAAGGTTACTGGGGTTGTTTTTGCCCACGGAATCCTGACCTGTGCGGGGTCGGGGCTTCTTCCTGCAGCAGGACTCGGGGAGAAGCTAGGGAGCGCGCAGTGACCCCAGGCTCGAGTTGTGCCCAGCAGGCCTGACAAAGGGGACCAAGGGGCTTCAGGAACCCCTGGTAGAGTAGTCAATGCCTTCTCCAGGACTAAGGGGTTCCCTGGTGGCTCTTCGTGGGGGTGGGGAGTAGGGTAGACAAAACTGTACAAAGGCCAGCTGACTGGAGTGTGCCATCACAGGGGCCCAGTCACCACTGACAAAAATGACAGTAACCACAGTTGAAGTGTGCCCAGCTGGGGGCTCATCCCCAAGCACCCTCACATTATGAATGGCTGAGAATTCTGGCCCTGGAGTTAGACCACCTGGCTGGGAAGCCCAGATCAACATCATATCAACCCGTCTGGCTTTGGGTAAGCATGGCCATCGGCTCTCTCAGCCTTGACTTTCTTTCCTGTCAAATGGGCTCACAAAATCCCCTCCTCCGTCTGGGATGATTGTGAAGATTACGAGAGCACGTGCAGGAGGATCACTCCACTTGCTGCCTGGCACTGAGCTCATGTTCAGGGAATGGCAGCCGAGAACCCCGGGGTGAAGAGGGGCTGCGCGGTCCCACAGAGCACGCTCTGCTCCATGTATAGGCAAGGAGCAAAGTCTAAGTCACCTCGAGGAGCTCTTCAATCACAGTCTTTTCTTCCCAGCCCCCAAATTTCTAAACAAGCTGTTTTGAGAAGAACTGGCAGGGGTCTGAAGGAGGGTCAGGGGAGGGTGCCTCCGCAGTTTGAAGAGTTGCAGATTCACCTGTCGAAAGGGACATTCATCCAGGGGCCGCTTCCCCTGCCAGTCTGGGAGCGAGAGGTGACACAGCTGTCCTTGGCCACAGAGTTAGTTGATCATCAGCATGAAAATAGACCACCTCACCCCTGCTGGTTCTTTCGAAAGGGCAGGAAAATGCAAACTGGAAAGGGTGACAAGGGGGCCAGCTGTGGAAGCGCGCCTCTGCTGGGTGCTGAGATAGGGAGGACAGGATGGGGAAACCGGGTGTCCATCTGCTCTCATCCGCCTCCTCCAGGCCGTTGCACCCAGTGGGAATGGAACAGTCTAGAGTGGTGGGACACATGCCCCAGGAACCTGCAGTCTCAGTCACAGCACATGGCTGTTGTCTTTGGCAGGCCGGAGCTTCCCGTCATGCCAATGAAATCACTGTGAGTGTAGAGCCGTGGCTGGCTCTTGGGGAGTCTTGCTGCCCAGCTCCTCGGTGACCTTTCACCACAGCAAATCAGACAGATTCAACAGCAGAGAAGCCAAGAGTGCCCGGGGGCCTGACGAGAGAGGGGGGCAGCCTGCCCTCAATTCAGACACAGCCACCAGAAAGGGGGAGGGTGCCGTTCAGCCTGCCACTGCAGCTCCCAGCTCTACACCGGGCACTATTTTCCACTGAACGCTTCTTTGAAAAGCTCTTTTCACCGCTGGCTACATCACCAGGTGATGAGATCCTTTTGCTTTAGTAAAAGGAAACAGGACCCAGTTAATCCTTCAGCTACTGACATAATTTAGGTGCCTGAGCTGGGCACGCCTGAACTTCATGTCTCCAGGTTCCAGAAACTATATATATAATGGCACACCAGCCACCCCACCAAGAGAATTCAGATTGAGTACACACACGTTAGGGGTTCTTAACCTCGCCGCTATTGACATTTGGCACCAGAGGATTCTTTGTTGGGGATGAGGGGCCCGTCCTGTGCATTTTGGGGTGCTTAGCAGTATCCCTGCCCTCTTCCTACAGATGCCAGTTGCACCTCCTCCTAGTTATGATAACTGAAAATGTCTCCAGATATGACCACATGTCTCCAGGTGATAAAGTGGCCCCCAGTTGAGAATCACTGGTATGAACAGATCAAACCCAACAGGTAGTTTTTCAGACGAATCCGTCAAAATCACTGGGTTAGACGGATTTTGTTATTCTTGCTCTGAACGATCAGGAAATCAAAGGCACAGTGGGGCCCCAAGAAAAACAACATAGCTTAGGTAGTTTCTAATTTGGACGTTGATTTTTCCCATTTGCTCTCCCTCCCTCTTGTATCTGAACATGTCCGCATGGCGGCCGCAGGAGCCAGGCTGCGGTATGGGTAGTCACCCACTGCAGCGAACCTTCCTTCAAACCCTGTCAGGCCAGATGTGTCTGGTGCCAGTTCTCCAGCTGCCAGTGTTGGTTCACTCCACAGCAATTTCTGGCTTTTAAAAATCTCATTACTCAACAATTTATGCTGGAGGGGGAAAATGAGAAACCATAGCTGCTGCTTTTTTTTCGAACTTGTATTTTTTTTTTCTAATTTCAGCTCTGCTTTTATCTCTCGCTATATACTTTGCGATGGCAAGTTATCATTTACAGTCAGATTAACTAGGTCAAAATCACAAGCTATTCCATAATAAATTAGTTGATGTGGAGCTCTGCCTTGAAACCCAGAATAAAAACTAAGAAGAAAATTACTTAAATACACTCATCCAAAAATCTAATGTGAATAGAGACCCGTAATCGTATTAGTTACTTAAAACAAACAAAAAAAATTATCAATGGAGACTTCCTCTTGCTACTGTGTGAAGTGCTTCTCGAAGATGAATCACTGTGGCCAGCTGTGCCACTTATCTTCTGACCAAGGCTGTAATCTCAAAATTCAAAACAACCAGCTCCAGGCAAATACAGCAGCTTCCTTGATTTCAAAACCATCTGGATGGCAAAGCAGTTAGAAGCTACACGTGAAGAAATATTTTTGCAATATATTGGAAGTTAACTATGCTAATGAAAGCTTAAAGCCAGAATGAGCCCCTGATAAAACTTCCAAAATACAGTGGTTCACTGCCAAAACCAGCCTGGAAAATGAAGATCAATAGCCCAATGCAAAGGGAAGGAGAAGCCATTAAAATTGGTTTGAGCTTGAGGGCAGCTAAGTTGAGTTGGGGGGCTCTTGAGAAGGAAGTGAATTCTGAAGTTGGCACGGAAGGTGGTTTTGGAATTAGGCAGACCTGGTTCCCACCCTGGCTTTGTTACCTTCCTGTTCTGTCACCTGGACCCACACAGCCTCCCTGGGCATGTGGCCCAATCAGTGTGTTGGGAATGGTGATAGCTGTGACATCAGAGAGTGCTGGAAGTGTTCAACAAGATGGTATATGGCCAGGACTTAGCACTGAGAACCTGGTGAACCCTCTGTGCTGTCCCTGCAGGGAGTCAGATGCTGCTCTAAAGTCTCCAGACCTGGGGAAGAAAGTGTCAGCGCCCCTGCTCTCAGGAAGTTGCCATTTCAGCTTGAGCTTGGACACGTCACTTAGCATCTGTCTCCTTTTGGCAGGTGCTGTATTTTCTTCCCCATGAGAGCACCTTGACTATTAAAATGATACCAACAGCAACAAAATTCATAATTCTTTGGGTTTAACCCTGACACCATGCAGGTCCAGGCTCCACCCTTCTTGCTGCTGTCTCCTGTCATTCTGCCCCAGCCCTGCTGCCAGTGCTACCATCATCAATTTCCTTATCTGCAGAATGGGGATGATGACAGAGCTCACTGCTGGAGTAGGGTGAGCTTGCTAAAAGGAAGAATTGGGCCGGGCATGGTGGCTCACGCCTTTAATCCCAGCACTTTGGGAGGCCGAAGTGGGCAGATCACCTAAGGTCAGGAGTTCAAGACCAGCCTGACCAACATGGTGAAACCCTGTCTCCACTAAAAATAAAAAATTAGCTGGGTGTGGTGTCAGGCACCTGGAATCCCAGCTACTTGGGAGGCTGAGGCAGGAGAATTGCTTGAACCCGGGAGGCGGAGGTTGCAGTGGGCCAAGATTGCACCAATGCACTCCAGCCTGGGCAACAGGGCGAGACAAAAAAAAGAGGAAGAATTGTCTAGCAGAGAGGCAGTGACAGAGTCCCAATTCAGTGGACGTGTATTGTGTGCCCTCCTGTGTATGTGCCACACACTGGTGTGAGGTGCGGAAGACAGAAGGACCAATCAGATAGCTCCCCACCTTCATGGAAAATAGGGCAACTAAATCTTAAATGAGCAACTAATTACAAGACTGATGAGCACTTTACCAAGCAGTTTTAGGGGTATCTAGCCCAGGCTGGGAGGTTCAAGAAGGCCTCCCTAGAAAGGTGATATGTAACCTGGAACTTGAAAAACTGAATGAGGAGGAGGCAGAACAGACAGAATTCCCGGCAGAAGGACTAGTATGTGCAAAGCTTAGATGCAAAAGAAAAGAGAGTGAGGGACCAAGGGGTGGAGAGTGGACAAGGTCAGGGGTTGGCAGGGGCTGGTTCCTGGAGGGTTGTGGGGCCTCAGAAAAGAGTTGGACTTTATATTAAGAGCAATGGAGTGTTCACTGAAGGATGTAAAGCAGGGTAAGAATGAGATGCCTCTAGAAGTAGTGAATTCCCGATCACTGGAGGCATCCAAGAATCTAGCTGGATGATGCGAGTAGCACTGGCTAGGAGTTGGCCCAGATTTGCTTCCAGCCCTGAAAGTCTCTAACCGTAAGCCAGCACATGTGCTATCAATGGCTGTTTTGGTCCCTCACTTCTCCCTGCCCCCATTCAGAGCCTGGTAATAATGACAGTGACAGTGATGGGCTATACTTACTGAGCCTTCTCTGTGTCCACCAGGGCCCAGGCTCAGCTCCTGACTTACAGCAGCATTTGAGGTGAGTTGTTAGTCCCGTCTTACAACACTCTTGGAAGGTGGAGGTTTTCACTCCCGTTTGACAGATGAAGAAACTGAGGCCCAGAGAAGTAGGTGACTTGCCCAAGGAGAGCTAGGCAGGGGTATAGCTAAGACTCATTTGCAAACTGGAAACTTGGACAGGCAAAGCTAAAGGTACCGTCTGTGCCCATTGATATCATAGTGTCGTCTTCAGTTTCATCATCAGGGAAACGAGAAGGATTTTAGTACCCCTGAGTAAAGCCCAATCCAAAGGCCCTGACGTGGCTCACAGCACCCGGCCCGCCCTGGTCCTGCCTGCTTCCTCACTCAGCACCAACTACCTGGGCAGCTCCTGGCTTGGCCTCCACATAGGCAGCACGACTCCCTCAGGGCCTTCACGCCCTCTTCCCTCTGCCTGGAACATTCTTCTGGCTCCTTCTTCCACTCAGGTATCTACTCAGATGTTACCTTCTCTGAGAGGCCTTCCCAGAAGGCTAAAGGAAGGCTAAAATTGACTCGTTGACTCCACACACACACACACACACACACACGCATGCACATGCACACACACGTGCGCACACAGACACACATGCACACTCACACACACTCACGCACACTCATGCACACTCACGCATGTGCACACAGTCTTTCCCAGTACCCCGCTCTGCCTTTCTGCACGGCACCCCTCACTCTCCATACACCGTGGCCTATCATTACCTGTTTCCCTGTTTACAGTCTGTTCCTCACTACAAAGTAGGCTGCACAAGAAGAAGGCCTGGCCTGTTTTATCGACAGTTCTTTCCCGGGTCCCTAGAACAGTGCCTGGCACATAGTAGGTACTCAGTAATCGCTCATATACCCAACATAGTGTAAGCAGTGGCAGACGGGAACCCCAGTCACAGCTGCACTGAAGGGCCCTGCCGCAGAGGCCCTCCTCAGCTCCTCCAGGGCCTCCCCAGCCACCTCCCCTCCGCCAGTCCTCTGCTCCATTGTCCTCATCTCTTCCCCCCACCACCAATGCCAACATCTAATCGAGGATGTCAACCACTTCAGGGGGCATTTTGAGATTTAAAAGCCTTGTATGCTGTCAAGATGTAAAGCACATCAGCTGGAGTCTCTCTTGATTTATGGACACAGTCTCAGCCATGTTCACTCTCTCTGTGCTCTCCCCTCCCTGTGCTCCTTGATCCCCATGTGACAGTCATCTCCACACACTTCACAGATAACCTCTCTTTCTTCTTAGGGAGGATAGTGGCTGCTGGGCTGGAAGCACCACCATGAAGCAGTCACTCAGAGCCCACCAGCCTGTCCATCAGCTGCATTCCTTCCCACCACAACCTCCATATGCATGCATAGGCTGTTTCTTCTGCCTAGAACTCTGTTCCCTGCTGCCAGCCTCCCCTTCACCTGCAAATTTTAGTGGAAATACCTAGCAGTGGAATTGCCGTGGCAAAGTGTGTTTGCTAAATTCTCCCACCAGCTTTTTTTCCAAATGAGTTGTACCAGCACCACCCCCATGGGTGACCTAGGAGAGCACTCATTTCTTACATCTTCACTAACCCTTGTATTATTACTTCTTAAAAATCATGCCAGTGGCAATGCTTGGTGGTTTTGATTTGGATTCCTATAATTATGAGCAAGGAGAAGCAAATGTTTGTGTGTTATAGACCTCTCATATTGCTTTTCCAATGAACTGCCTGGTCACATGTTTGTGCTGTCATCATATGGGAGATTCAAACCATTTTTCTTATTGATTTGTAAGTGCTCTTTATATTCAGAAAACTAGCTGTCTCTTGTATGTGTTGCAATTTTTTTTCAGCTTGCTGTTTTTTCACCCAAGCTTCCTGAAACAGAAGTTGCTGTTTCTCTTCTCTTTCATGTTCACTCCATTGAAACCTGTGCAAGGGTGCATGGGCTATTAGCAAGTGTATATATTCCCCAGAGGGGAGAACAGATGGTCAGATATTCCTACCATAAATTACCACTGTGTGTGTGTCGGGGTGTGTGTGTGGGGGTGTGGGTGGGTGTGCGTATGTGGCAGAGGGAGAAGGAGAGGAAGGGAAAGAGTCAGGGAGAGGGAGAAAGACCAACTTACCTCAGAGAAAAAAGACAGCTAGAACACTGTGCTAGCACATTACTTCATTTCATCCTCACAACCTCTCTATGCCATGGACATTGTATTACCTCATTTTCACCCTGCTGATAAAGGCATGCCCGAGACTGGGCTATTTTCAAAAGAAAGAGGTTTAATGGACTTACAGTTTCACATGGCTGGGAAGTCATCACAATCATGGTGGAAAGTAAGGAGGAGCAAGTCACATCTTACAAGGATGGCAGCAGGCAAAGAGAGAGAACTTGTGCAGGGAAACTCCTTTTATTAAAAACTATCAGATCTCGTGAGACTTATTCACTATCTCAAGAACAGCACAGGAAAGACCTGCCCCCGTGATTCAATTACCTCCCACCAGGCTCTTCCCATGACACCTGGGAATTGTGGGAGTTACAATTCAAGATGAGATTTGAGTGGGGACACAGCCAAACCATATCAGATACCAGGCACTCAAGTCATCCAGCCAGCAAGCCCAGCAACCCAGATTTGTGGACCACCAAGCTTCTTGCCTCAACTGCCACCCTCCAGTGAAAGTTCAGCTCCAAGTTCATGCAAATACCTCCCTGCCCTGATGCCTTTGAAAGCACCATGAATTAAAGCAAAATCTGGGCACCAGGAGACACACACACTCTGAGGCATCTGAGCTGACTGTTTATATAACATGGCTTAATGGGGAAGATTGCAGTAGAAGACCACAGACATGCTAACAAGAACAGCTTTTTAAAACCCCAATTAAATGTTAATCTGAGAGTTGTTGAAGAGAGAAGGATCCTAATTGTTCATCTGCAAAGACTGCAGAATGGGCTGGGCTCCGGAATTCAATTGCCCAGGCTCACATTCCAGCTGCTCCATTGACTGCCCCACCACTTAATCCCTCCATGCCTCAGTTTCCTCCTTTGCAAAATGATGTTTAACCCATGGGGCTGCTTGAGTAGATAAGAGTGTCCATGTGGGAAGTTCACTGCACAGCAGACACAGAGCAAGTCCTCCGTAGATGTCACTCATACCATTTGCAAAGGTGACAGGACACTGCCCTACAGATTCCAGCCTTTGGACCTGCTACATTGCTTCTTCTGGGTGGCTACAAGGCCACCTTCTCCTTCTGGGATATCAGGAGCTTGGCTGGAGAGAAAGAGACAGAAATGGTGTCTGGATGGGTCAGAGGAAGATGGGGGTATACAGAAGGGTAAAGAGGTGAGAAGCCCAAATTCCTGCTTCCAGAGGTGCAAGGGGACTCAGGTTGCTTTTGCCTGGGGATGTATCCAAAGGGCCCACTCTGGTGGCTAGGACGGTACTAGGTGTTTCTGGGAAGTGGGGATTTGGGGAGTTTGTGTTTGTTTCCTGGGGCTGTCATAACAAAGTACTATGAAGTGGGGGGCTTGGAACAACAGACATCCAAAATCAAGGTATCAGTGGGGCCATGCTCCCTCTGAAGCCTGTAGAAGGGAATCTTCTTTGCCTCTTCCAGCTTCTGGTATTTGCCAGCAGTCCTTGGCATTCCCTGGCTTTAAACCCATCACTTCAGTTCCTACCTCCATTGCCATGTGGACCTCTTCTCCCTGTGTGTCTCTATCACTGTGTCTCATCTCCTTTTCTAATAAGTACACCAGTCATATTGGATTTAGGGCTCACCCTGCTCCAGTAGGACCTCATTTTAATTAGTTACACCTGCAGTGACCTTATTTCCAAATAAGGTCACAATCTGAGGTACTAGAGTTAGGACTTCAGCATATATTTTGCAGTGTTGCAATTCTGTCCAAAATGCCTAGTGTTGTATCCAAAGGGCCCACTCTGGTGGGTGGGATGGCACCAGGTGTTTCTGGGAAATGGAATTTGAGAAGTAACATGATCATCCAACAGTTGAAAGGTGAGTAGCACAGGGCCAAACCATATCCAGGGTTCCAGAGAGGGAAGGGAGGTCAGGAGGCCAAAATTTAAATACCCAACAACAGGCAATGACTTAAATACATCTTGAAGGAATTATGCATACATAAAAAATTATATATCCAAAAAAAATGGACTGACATGGGAGGATATTTATGACATAATGTTAGAACAAGAAACACAATGAGCCAGGCACAGTGGCCCATGCCTGTAATCCCAGCACTTTGGGAGGCCAAAGTGGGAGAATCACTTGAGTTCAGAAGTTCAAGATGAGCCTGGGCAACAAAGGGAAACCCTGTCTCCACAAAAAATAAAAATAATAATAATTTGTAAAAAACTTAAAAAGAAACACAATATAGTATATTTGATTCTAATTATGTTTTCATGGAGGAGGCATCCTTTTTTTAAATAAAAAAAAGAAAACATATGAAATGAGCAGTTATCTCTGGGAGGGGGAATTATGAGAAAATTCTTTCTTTGTCTCTATGTTTTTCTCTGTATTTTCTATAGGATCAGTTCCATCTGAGGCTGGGGGTTCAAGGAAAAGAGCTGGGTTTACAGCTTCACAGTTTTGTAACCTCCTGAATTTGCTAGGACTTCAGCAAGAGAGGCTGGTTAGAAATGTAACAGAGGTTGAGGTTGGAGAAGTGAAACCTGACCTGGCTGCAGGACTTGGTCCTGGTGTCAGAAGTGGGATCACCTACAGAACTGGGGGTCCTGGGTAGTCCAGATGCTCTTAGGCAGATCGATGTTCCTGGGAATGGATTTGGGGAACATCGGGGCCCCAAACATCTAGATGTTTAGATAAGGCCCTGTGCCCTCCCTGCTGTGAGGAGAGGTGCTTGCCAAAGGTGCCCTCAGTCTTGTGGATGGGGCTTCAGAACAGGGAACTGGAACCCCACTAGGGTGACTGAGGCTACACTGTAGCTGTGGGTGGATCAATGTCAGCAATACCTAACGTCCATTGGGCACTTGCCATTATGAAACACTGTAGGAGCATTATATTATTTCTACACAACTGTCTTGTGGTTTAGGTACTGCTATTTATCACCACTTGACACCTGAAGAAATAGACGCTACTGGGCTAGGATGCTTCTGAAGAAGCAGAAGCCTGGGAAGACTGCCACCTGATGGCCTCATGGCTGCTTAGGAACCATCCAGAATGCGTGAAAGGGCAGACCCAATAAGCCCAGAACTCACTGCTCCCTGGGGGCCCTGAGGTGCTAACAGTCTGTTCACATGGTTGTCTCAGAGGCAAGAAGACCTCTTGCTCATCACAGAGAAGAGCCAGGGAAGATTGGATCCTTTACCAAAGCCAGGGAGATGCATTGGGCTACTTGTTGATACCATTAGCCATGGAGCCTTTGCCCTGAGCAATCTGCTGTCTCCTCTCCCCCATCTCAAGTCCTTCTCTGCTAGAAACAAAACTGCAGTGGACAGGTACCAGTTTTGCCTGCCTGGGCTCCATTCCTCCTTCTTTTGCTATAGCAGAATTTCATTGACTCCAGTCCTAGAGGACTTGTCAGTCAAGGTGCTTCATCTCCACCTGAGGTGTGAGTCTCCAGATGGGCTCATGGGATGCTTGCTCCAGGACTTTGAACTTTAAGGGCAGTGACCAGAAGCTAAGCACATTCTGCCCACGGAGTGTCCTGGAGAAAGTGCAGAGTGGTTCCCACCAACTGCACTCCCAGAGCATCCCTTGGATCCATGCCCATCCAAGAAGTCCCTTTTTAGCTTACATGAGTCAGATGTTGCTTCTGTTGCTTACAACCAAAGCAGCTAACCTATATGCCTACAAAGTTTGAGACCATGCCCTCTGAACAGTTAGCTAAATAGTATATGTGCTGTACACCCCTGTTTTTCACTACCCCTAGAGCTCAGTGTGCGTTAAAAACAAAATCTGAGCTGCCTTCCCCAAGCCTCAATATTAAATCATATAGAAAGAGGGAGGAAAAGCAATAGCTCATACCCAACTCTACTCTTTTCCAAAAGTATATGTAGATACAGGAGAGCACGACATGGCTGTATTTAGCCTGGAATTACCAGTGGCCATAGTGAAACAAAATTACTTGTTCTTTGAAATGTACACTTAGAGTTGCTTTAACATGTGTTTTTCATGGTTGGGTGTGGTTTCTAGATAGTTTGAAGCTGAAGTCTACTGTTTGGCCCATCAGCTTTAACCAAATTCTGATGGACTCCAATTTCCTTAACAGCAAACCACAGACTGAAATTAAGACCAACTTGCCAGTGAGTGAAAGTACCTGGGCTTTTATGATGATCAGCATTTGGATTTGTTGTTTCTCCCACAGTCTTGCAATACTTTTGCATTTCCGTCTGCCTCTCGCAGGAAATCACTTCAAGGTAACCATCAAAATCTCTGAGAAGATCATAACCTACATGATTGCGTGGCTAGCTGCATTTTGCTAGGAAACCCCACCCCCAACCTTTCAGGGACTGTAAATGCTGCCTTAGGGAAATTCAGAGACGTGCATTTCTGCCTCTGATGGTGGTTAGGGGAAGCCTGACTTCCGGAAAAGTCGGAATTCCGGTCCCATAAAAAGAGTCACGTCCACTGCCACCCAGGACATTCATTATTGTTGCTGACGGGGACCTAAGGAAGAGAGGTTGGGCCCCTGAGTCTCTAGAGCCCTGTAAGAGCTTCAACAAGAACGTGGAATAATTTGTAATTTGCATATTTATTGCTAAAGAGCTTCTAAGAGTGTTTGCGACCAGAGCTGCTGGACTTCATTATTAAGTGGGCGAAACATATTCCCTGTTTACATAGATAATTTGCTTAGAAAGTTCTTTTCTTTTTTTTTTTTTTGTTCTGCTTAAATACAAAGACAAACTTCTTTCTCTCTCTACTTCAAATTCTAATTTAGGAGAGCTTAAATGAGTAAGCATGTCTTTACTATGTTTGTAGATAACGTCCTATAACTTCAACTCAGTGGTGAGAATGTCTCTTCATTCAAGTATTCAGTTCTTCAACAAGCATTCAGTGGGTGCTGACTACGTGCCTGGCACTGTTCTACACCCCAGGGTTATAACAGGGAACAAAATGAGCCTGGCATGGACCTTATGGGACTTGCAATCTAGTTGGTGGTATGGGGCAGAGGTAGGACATACAGATTAGAAAACAAATACACCAAAGGCCAGATGCGGTGTCTCACGCCTGTAATCCCAACACTTTGGGAGGCCGAGGCGGGTGGATCACTTGAGGTCAGGAGTTCAAGACCAGCCTGGCCAACATGGTGAAACCTCCTTTCTACTAAAAATACAAAAATTAGCCTGGCATGGTGGTGGGCACCTGTAATCCTAGCTACTTGGGAGGCTGAGGCAGGAGAATCACTCAAACCCTGGAGACAGGTTCCAGTGAGCCGAGATCGCACCAGGGTACTCCATCCTGGGTGACAGAGTGAGACTCTGACTCAAAACAAAACAAAACAAAAAAACACAAGACAATGGCAGATGGTGACAAGCACTGTGAGAGGAGAGGAGAAAGGGAGTGGGGAGAGTGACCAGGGAGGTGGGCTATTAGATGGGGCATATCTGGAAGGCTTCTCCAAGTAGGCCACATTGCAGCCCAGTCCTAAGAGATGAAAAGGAGCCAGCGCTAGAAGATCCAGGATGAGAGGAACCAACTGAAGGAAAGTCAGGATGGCTGCTAGAGAGTAAAGGGACAAGAGGACAGGATGAGCAGGCCATGAAGAGGGTCACAGCCAAGCTTAAGGGCTTTGGAAAGCCAGAGGCAGGTTTTCGGGCTCAAAAAGGCTCTCTGGTTGCTGAGTGGAAATGCATCCATGGAAAGTGGTGACAGTGGCTTGGTTATATCTGTAGGGTTAGAGAGAGGTGAGACCCTTCCCCTGTGCGTGTGGAGGTGGAACTGTCAGGACTTGGAGATGAACTGGATGGGAGGTCTGTATTTGCTTTCTATGGCTGCCATAACAAAGAACACAGACTGTCTGGCTTCACACAAATCGGAAATTCTTTCTTGCCCAGCTCTGGAGGCTGGAAGTCAGAGATCAAGGTGTCTGCAGGGTTGGTTTCTGCAGAGCCTGCCCTCCCTGGCTTGTAGGTGGCCGTCTTCTAGCTGTGCCCTCTACGGCCATTATTCTGTGGGTACACATCAGTGGTGTCTCTCCGTGTGTCCAAATTTCCTCTTCTTACAGGGACACCAGTCAGACTGGATTAGGGCCCACTCTAATGGCCTCATTTTGACTTAATCACCTCCTTAAAAGCCCTGTCTCCAAATACAGTCATGCTCTGAGGTACAGGGGGTTACAGCTTTAACATAAGAATTTGGGGAGAATACAGTTCAGCCACCAACAGAGGCTCTTACAAACAAGAAAAGAAATATATTTAAAGGTAGACACTGTAGACTATCTGGTCCATCATAATCATTCAAGGGAATGACTTGTCCAAACTTCAGGACTAAAGTTACCCCTGGGGATGGGACAGAAGGTTTCAATAAGACTGGTAGTATTCCAGATCTTAGCCTCAAGGAGGGGTTCCCAGGGGTTCATCTTTAAAGTGGGCATGTCACATGTCACACTGTGGGGTACCTGGCAGAGTGCTAACCCTCAGGGAGCCTGGGTAGCAGTGGCCAGGATTGATGGCTTCACCCAAAGCTGGGGTGCATCTGGAGGAGTGGGAGGGCTGGGGGAAGTGGACAGCTTGGAGAGCCCACAAAAGGCAAAACTCCCTGGACTGGGCAACTGGCTAGTGGGGAGTGCAGCGAAGGGTTTTCCTGGTAGACGGTGGCTTCCTTAGCCAGGATGAATGTCCGGGGGTAGTCAAAGGTGTGGCCTGGAGGAAGGATGGGATGTCCTCAGAGCGTGGGTGGCTGTGGTGAGGGTGTGAGCCGAAAGGAAAGCCATTGGGTGGACAGGGAGAGACAAGGAGCCTTGGTGTCCCCTCCTGTAAAGAGAGGGCATGACACTTCCCTATCTCAAAACACTAAAACACTGCCAAAAGGATTAAATGAGAGAATATGGCAAGTAGCTTGTGAAGCTTCATTCTCAAGCATTTCCAAGGACCTGCTATGGGCCAGGTGCAGGACTGGGGCTGGGGATGGAGAGGTGAACACAAACAGAGCCATCAGGATGCCCTTGGCCCAGAGCGGGGCCGGATATGACCCCCGGGATCCCACTGGTGACGTTCATGCTTGGGGTGGGAGGGTAGCAAATGCCAGAAGACTCAGCATGCCCCTCATTAGATGCTGACTGAATCCGTTGTGATGCGTCCACAGATGGGAACATCTTACAGCCAGAAAGAGAACGTAGTAGAAAGATGACTTTGTGTCAATGGGAAACTGTCTCTACAAATTAAGTGAAAAAATCAAAACAGAGTGCTTTAAATTCACATATGCATTTTCCCCCAGAAAAAATGCTGAAAAATCTGATAATAATTTTTGCTTTGGGAGGGAGGGACTAGGGTAGAAGGAGAAAGAAGCTTCACCTTATGCCGTTCAGTGTAGAGCACTTTGGAATTTGTTTTTGTTTTTCTAGGCTCCAGCTCTATTTGAAAACTAAAATATTTACATGTGTTTTTTTAAAAAAACAATCTTGGTGTGAGATGGAAGTGCCCAGTCTGTAGTAGGCACACATACAAAATATCTGTTGAAAGAGTAAATGAACAAAGGGAGGCCAGGGACGGTGAGAGACAGTGGAGCAGGTTTGCATACTTATGAGAGAAAAAAAAGAGGTTGAAGACTCAAGAGAGACAGAGAGGGAGATGGGGCTAGGGAGGGAAGCTGGAGAGAGGAGAGACAGGGATGGGTGGGGTGTTTGGCACAGGGGTGCCCTCCCTCTGAGGGTGCAGTTCCATTGTCCTGGGGTGGAAGCAGGGTGTGAAGGGGCATTGCCCACAGAGCAGGAGCAGGTAGGGGCCAGGAGCCCCTTCCTATGAACGTGCTTGGGAAGGGCACTGAGGTGGATGGAGGGAGGAAGGAGCCACAGCTTGTCCAAGGGCAGTTCTGGTGCCCAATCCAACAGCTCTTGAGGGCAAGGAAGTGGGAATGGGGTGATCGGTATTTTTGAGACCAAATTGCAGAGGTAAGGCTGGCATGAGAAGAGACTGGGAAACTGGAGGCTGAGGGTTATTGCAGGAGAAAATTCCTCCTAGACAGGTGTCGCCATAGGTGTGGACAACTGAGGGGAGGTGTGGGGATGCTGCAGGCTTCCCTTGGGTTCCATTCCCGTCCTCTCTCACTGTGGCAAAGCCCTGTCTTAGCTGGCCATGTGGCCGTCCAGAGGTGGTAGAAGGTTTCCCCACCTCCCTTGCAGCTAGGTGTGGCCAGTAGTGTGGCCACCAGGAGGACACACAGCCCCTGTTTTCCTTCCCCTGGTAGAAATACAGACCTGCTGTGAGCTCAGCTGGACCATGCCGATGAAGGTCACACCTAGGGATGAGGCAGAGCCACACACCAGAAGGAACCTGGGCAGAGCCATCGCACTGGCCCCAACTGTCCCTCCCGCAGAAGAAAAGTCAAGTTCCACCTCACTGCGGTGACTTTTACTGTGGGTCTGCATCAGAGCAGCCAAAATTGTGTCCTCATTATTGGAATGAAATGAGAAGTTAAAGGGTTCTGCAGCCAAGGGGGGAACCAGCCACCCACAGACGTGGGATGGAGATGAGACTCCAAGAAGGGAGGAAGAGATGTGAGGCAGGTGCCCATGGCCTCAGGGGGCCAAAAGCAGTGCCAGGGGCTGCAGATGATGCCCGCCATGAGGGCACATGGGGATGTGTCTCCAATGACAGAGGAGCTTTTGGACAGAGGAGGAGGAGGCATTTTCTAGAGATGGCTCTAGCTCAGCACCCGCAACCAGGGAGGCTGACTGCAGGTGGAGGCCAAGGTTATCAGGCTGGGAGGTGTGGCTTCAGCTGGTCTCAAAGTCCAAACAGAACTCAGGTGGCCAGGCCAGACAGACTCTCCCGGACCTCCTCCCTCTGCCCTGCCGGGCCCTCAACACCCTCTTCCCGCCCAAGTGGTCCCTATCAGCTTCCCCCGAGGCCAGCAGCCCCTGGCCTTTCTTCCTGTACAAGGGCCGATTCAGGAAAACCAATGATATTAACAGAATCCTTTTTTTCTTTCTTTCTTCAAGAAATTATATCCTTGTTAATCAGGAAATGCAATATCTGAAACTGCATTTAAGCTCCTTTAATAGGTTCTCAATTACCGAAGGGGTTCATTTTGGAGGCTGAAATTTCAGCAACGCCACAACCAGCCTACCCCACGGCTTGGATTAGAATGCTGCCCTTCCGAACAAATTTCACTCTTTAGCAAGACGCTTTTGAAGCTAGCTTGCATTGTCTTTGCTTGGCTGACCTTGTACACTATTGAATTGGAAAATGTGGTTTGTATTGTAAGGCCTCTTAATAATGTATTTTTTTGAAACAAGGGACTTTTCCATTGCAAATGAGACAAAGAACGCCATAGTTAGCATGAAAACGCCTCAGTCTGTTTTGAAACATAATTTTCATTAGCCAGTTTTTCATCATAACAGGGATTTGAATTTTATTTTAAAAACAGCCCACCACCGCACCCCTCCTCGGGACATATATTTATGCATATGCCCCCAGAGGAAAAGATCTGGAGAGATGCACAAACCGATAATGGTTGTTGCTGCCGAGAAGGGAGAGAAATGATTGAGGTGTGTGTACAGGGAATTCTGCTTCTCTGCATGAGACTTAGCTTTTAATATGAGAATCTATTAATAGAGGCCGCACAAGGTCCCTTCTCCACCAGCCATGTGATCTTCAGTAAGTGCTGCCGGTTGAATTGTGTCCCCTACCCAAATCCATATGTTGAAGTCCTGACCCCCAGGGCCTCAGCATGTGTGACCTCATTTAGAGACAGGGTCTTTGCAGAGGTCATCAAGTTAAAATGAGGCCATTCAGGTGGGCCCTCATCCAGCATGACTAGTATCCTCATAGAAAGGGGATATTTGGACGCAGACCTGCGTCGAAGGAAGACGATGTGAAGAGACGCAGGGAGAAGATGGCCATCTACAAGCCACAAGAAAGGCCTGGAACAATCCCGGCCCAGCCTCAGAAGGAACCAACCCAGCTCGCACCTTGAGCCCAGACTCATGAGCCCAGACTCATGGCCTCCAGCAGGATGAGAATGTAAATTCCTCTCGTTTTAGCACCCCATCTGTGGACACGATGCAAGGCGTCTGTTCCCTGGGCCTCCTAGTGGGCCCTCTCCCCATGGCAGGGAGACTCCCCCAGGGAGAACCCACTTTCCAGGGCAGCTGTGGCCAGGCCTAAGGCTTCAGTCGTGCTACAGCTTCCTTCCCTGAAACCCGCATCTGCCCCTCAGCCTCCACCCGCTGCATGCCCCCTCACCCCCAGGAGGCCCCTTTCACCAGCTCCCATACTCCCGCCAACCCCCTCCTCATCCCCCATCTTGTGACCTCTGGTGTCCACGCTGCTGACCCTGGAGCCCTGTCTTTCTCGAGCTGTCCCCTGCATGGCCTCACTCCTCAAAGGGCCCCTGTCACTGGCCGGTGTCTGCAAGTTCAGACCTTCTAGTATACATATGCAAATTTGCATCGCGACTTTTCTTTTTTACATAGTTTGAGTTACTTGTTTTTTATTTCACTGGACACTGGCCAGAGTCTAACTGACCACTCTTCCTCAGTGCCGCTCGTAGGGGGTCCCTTTCCTCCATGCCAGGCTCAGGCCTCACCCACCCTGGCCTGGCCCCCTCAGGGGCATCCCCTCGGGGTCTCCCGGCCTTCCTCCACTCTCCCATGCACAGTTCCACTCTTCCTTGCAGCTTCTGCCTGTAACACCCCAAGGACTTCTGGTGTCAGGATAAAGACCAAACCACCCAGCTCACCTGAGCCTCAGGGCCTGCTCTGGCCCCTGCACCCTCCCGGCCTGTCTGCCCCATGCTGACCCCCGACATTAGCTCTGTGTCTTCCTTGGCCACATGGAGCCCACTCACCTCAGGACCCTTGCACCTGCCGTTGCTCAGGCCCACGGAGCCCACCTTTCTCTCCCCTGTCGCTTCCCAGGTGGGCTTTCTGATCTCCCAGACTCAGGCAGCCCCCTCGCTGGGCTTCCTCCAAGCACTGAGTCAGTATTTGTCTTTCTGTTTTCATCCATGAGATGATTTGAGCAATGTCTGTCCCTCTGCCTGGCCTGGGGGCAGGCGTCAGGCTGTCTCATTGGGCCACAACCCTGCCCCAGGCTGGCACCTGCCCATGAGGGGCTGCTACAGCCTCTGGCAAGCACAGCAGGTGCCCCCTGGCACCAACAGGACCATTTGCCTGGGGCCTGGCTCCCTGCCCACTGCGAGCCCCTCTGACCCCACTGTCACAGTCCCTCCCCAGCCTCTCCCACAGCTGACCCAGGCTGGGCACAGGTTATGGCTGAATAAAGCAGTTGCTGTGCACACAAAAAGGCCTTTTTTAGGATTCAGAAAACCAACCTGAACTCATTAACCCTAGGAAAAGTGGACTGAATAGAAACGCCCCTGCTCTCATCTGCTCATAAAAATTATCCTAAAGACGGTATGTCATTGACCCTCAATGGGGTAGGGCCTCAAGCGCAGCCACCGCCCCCTCTGTAACTCAGGCCAAGGATGGGGGATGTGGGCACAGGGGCCCAGCCTGGAGAGGGGGACCCGGGGCCCTCAAGGCTGGAGGGTGGGGAGGCTGGGTCCCACTCCGCTGATGGCCCTGGCAGCAGCTGGGGAGACAAGGGCATGTGGGGACCCCAGCCAGGTGCCGGGCGCAGTGTGGCAGGCACAGGTTTCTGGTTCTGTGTTGCTACAGGAGGTGGTGATGGCATGGGTCACACCTTCATGTGTGTGCGACCCCCGGTGAGGCTCTCAACCCACCTCACCCCTTTCCCCCAAACATGTCTCTGACCCCGCGACAGACGAGGGCACTGAGGCTTCTTACCCAAAGCCACCTCACTCAGAAGGGGCAGGGCCTGAGTTCCAACCTAGACGTGTTGGGTTCAGCCTGGGCTTCAACCTCTGGAGGATGCAGTCGAGGTCCCTGCCCTCGGGGCACAGGGGGGTTGAAGAGCAAGTGTTTCTGGGGCTCAAGGAGGCAGCTCAGCCTAGAAGGTCAGGCCCATTCAGACTAAGGCCATGCCACTGTGGCCCCCAGCCCTGCAGCGTTTGATAAGGCTTCTATCTGGCCCCAAGGGCCGGCTTCCTGGGCACACCATCCATGCAGTCAGGCACATGGTCCCACACTCAGAAGGGCCCCACACTGGCCTTAACACTCTGCCATCATCGTCTTGAAACTCTTAAAACTTTTTGAACAAGGGGCCGTGTATTTTCAATTTGCACTGGGCCCTCAAACGAGGCCACTGGTCCTAGAGCTCCATATTTGTCGTGTGACTCTGGCAGGTACGACACTAGGGTTGGCAGACGACAAGTTGAGGGAGACAGAGGTGTCCTCAGCCCTCCCTTTGGCTGAAGGAGGCATGTGAGCACTAAGCGTCCAATCTGCACCAGTTGGGGCCAGTGTCCAGCAGGCAGTGACCCACTATTGTTTATGGAGGAGTGCAGGGGGCAGCAGGCTCCAGGGGACACCAGAGGGCCCACCTTGAGACAAGGTCATGGGGGTGTTCTCACTGAAGAGGAGACGCTTGAGCTGAAGGAGGAGAATGAGCCAGAAGGCCCAAAAAGAGCATTCCTGGCAGACAGACCGGCAAGTGCACAGGCCCCAGGGTGGGTACAAGTGGGGTGTGGCCAAGGGACTGCCAGGCGCTCAGTGGGTGCAGAATGCCAGGAGATGATCGTGAGACAGGAATCACAGGCAAAGTACGGGGCTCGTAGCACTTCAGAATGGAAGGGGCTTTCAACAGGACTGACTTGATCAAATGTGCATTTTTATTAGATATTTGAGGACTACAAAGTATATGTATACTTTGAAACACAGTTGACAGCCAGGCACAGTGGCTCACACCTATAATCCCAACGCTTTGGGAGGCCGAGGCAAGAGGATCACTGAGCCCAGGAGTTTGAGACCAGATTGGGCAACATAGCCAGACCCCATCTCTACCAAAAAAAAAATTAAAAATTAGCTGAGTGTGGCAGTGGTGCACACCTGTAATCCCAGCTACTCAGGAGGCTGAGGCCAGAGGATGGCTTGAGCCGGGGAGTTTGAGGCTGCAGTGAGCCGATCCCATTGTACTCTAGCCTATGCGACAGAATGAAACCCTGACTCAAGAAAAAAGGAAAGAAAAGAAAGGAAAGGAAAAGAAGAGAAGAGAAGAGAGAAGAGAAAAGAAAAGTAAGAAAAGAAAAGAAAAGAAAAAAGAAATGCAGTTGACCCTTAAACCACATGAGTTTCACCTGCCCAGGTCCACTTATCCCCAGATTTTCTTCTGCCTCTGCTGCCCCTGAGACAGCAAGACCAGCCCCTCCTCTTCCTCCTCCTCCTCAGCCTACTCAACATGAAGGTGATGAGGATGAAGACCTTTATGATGATCCGCTTCCAGCTAATGAATCCTAAATATGTTTTCTCTTCCTTATGATTTTGTCAATAACCTTTTCTCTAGCTCACTTTATTGTAAGAATACAGTATATAATACATACTGTATATAAAATATGTGTGAATTGACTATGTTATCAGTTAGGCTTCTGGTTAACTGTAGACTATTAATAGTTAGGTTTTGGGGGAGTTGAAAGTTACCGGTAGATTTTCAACTGTGTGGGGCACTGGTGCCCCTAACTCTGGTGTCGTGTTGTTAAAGGTCAGCTGTGAACATAATGTGGACACCCGTGAGCCCAGCCCTCATCCCAAAAAGCACAACGTTGCCCATGTCTTTGTCCACTCACCTGTTCTCCCTTTCTGAATTTTGTGTTTATCTTTTCCTTGTTTTTTTTTCAGGGTACAGGTGCCCCCTAAACGGGGTATTTTTTTTAGCTGTGCTTGTTCCTGAGGTTGATGAAAGTCATAGCTCCCTGTATGTATTCTTCTGTGTTTGCTTTTGGCACTCGATATTATGTTTCTAAGGTGTGAGCACACTATTAGGTGTGGCTGTAGTTCCTCCATTTTCACTTCTGGATAATATTCCAATGTGTGAGGAAGCTGCAAGTTATTTTTCTCTTCTTCTATCTACCATCATCTCGTTTGTCTCTAGCTTTTGGCTTTTACAAATAAGGCTCTTAGGAACCTTCTTGGACTTGTTGCTGGGTGTAAATGTGCTAGAGTTACCAAAATCACAGTCATGATCTCTTAATGGCTCATGACTCACATTAGTGGGGCCCAACCAGTGTCTTTTCTTAATGAAAGAGAAGAGAATACTTGGGAGTGGATGTCTCATAGTAAGAGCCAATATTGTTTCCTGAAACTTTTGTTTCCATTATGTGCATGTTTATGTGCCTGTGTGCATGCACTGTGAGTGCATATATATGTGTGTGCATGCTTGCATTGTGTGTGAGTGCATCTGTATGTGTGTGTGCATGCTTGCATTGTGTGTGAGTGCGTGTATGCATGTATGCATGCTTGCATTGTGTGTGAGTGCATGTGTATGTGTGTGTATGCTTGCCTTGTGTGTGAGTGCACGTGTATGCATGTGTGCATGCTTGCATTGTGTGTGAGTGCATGTGTATGTGTGTATGCATGCTTGCATTGTGTGTGAGTGCATGTGTATGCATGTGTGCATGCTTGCATTATGTGTATGTGTGTATATGCTTGCATTGTGTGTGAGTGCATGTGTGTGCATGTATGCGTGCTTGCATTGTGTGTCAGTGCATGTGTGTGCATGTATGCATGCTTGCATTGTGTGTGAGTGCATGTGTATGTGTTTGTGCATGTTTTCATTGTGTCTGTATGTGTCAGTGCATGCGTATGCACAGGCGTATATATCAGATGGTGATGTAAGATGTATTTCTGATTGTGATTCACAGAAAATGTTTGTAAACCACTGATCTCATGCTGTAAATGCCTATAAAGTTAACTTACAAAAGTTATTTTACTAAGTATTCATCCCAGTTTATGCTCCCATGGGCAGGGTTCCCATTGGTCCTCACCTACTCTTGCTATTTTTGCAATTCATAAATTTGGCTAATCCAGTGTGTACAGAATATAGCCTCATTGGGTCTTAATTTGCACGGCCCTGACTATTAATGCATTTGACGTCTCTATATATCTTTATTTACCACTCTCATTTCCTCTTTTGTGAAATACCAACTTGTGTCTTAACATCTATTTTTCTCTGGTATGATTTATCTTCTCCTTAAGATTTGGAGGACTTCTTTACACAACCTGTATCTTAATCCTCTGTTGGTCATGTGTGTTGTAGATGTCTTTTCATCCTCTTTATGATATCTTTTGAATAACAGAAGTTCCTCATTTTAATAGGATCGTATTTACCAGCTTGCCTTTCTGTGCTTTCTGCACTTGCGCATTTTAAGAAATCCTTTGCTAGCTCGCGGTCATAAGATATTCTTCTACATTTTCTTCTAAAAGCTTTAGCATTTTATCTTTTTGTACATTTAAGTTCCTCCCCCCGCCCATTGGAAGTTGATTTGGGGGTATGAACCGACTTCTTTTCCTTTCCACGGGGATAACCAATTGTCCTGGCTCTATTTCTTGACCAGCCCTCTCTTCTCCACTTAGCAGCAATCCTGTAAACTAGCAAGCCTCTGTAAATTTCAGGAGTCACCATCTGAGCTCTCTGTTCTATTGTTTTGGTCAATTTGTTTATCTTTTCACAGAATATACAATGCTACAGTTACTCGAGTTTTCAATAAATCTTCTAAGAGCTCTGATACAACACGTCCCTATATCTTACTATTTTTCAATTCCTGACACCTTTGCTCTTTCATATACATTTTATAACCATCTTCTCAAGATCCCAAAAAAATAAGATAACCTGTTGGGATTTTGACTGGAATCTATTATACCTGTGAACCAGTTTGTAGAAGGTAGACATCTCTTAATATTGTCTATCCTTGAATATATCTCACTTCATTTATTTATATCTTTAATGTCTTTCAAGAAATTTTAATAATTTTCTCCAAACACATCTTGCATATTTTTATAAAATTTATTCCTAGGTATCTTATATTTTTTACTACTGTTGTAAATGATATATTCCCTCCCCACAACTATGTGCTGTTACAAGATGTAATTGATTCTTACATATTGATTTCTTTTATCCAGCCATCTTTCTAAACACTCTCATTATTTCTAATAATTTGTCTGTAGATTTTGAGTTTTTACATAGACAATCATATCATCTACAAATAGTGATCATTTTCTTTCTTTTAAAATACTTATGCCTTTTATTTCTTTTTCTTGTTTTGCTGCAAGGACTGTCAGTAAAACATTGAAAGTCATTGTCATTCATTGTGATGGAGGCATGTTTGTCTTATTTATTCCTGATCTCAGAAGTTCAGAATTTCATCACTAAGAAATATCATTTAGAATAGGCTTTTTTGGTACACAGTGCCCTTAATCAGCATAGATACATATCAAACTATTTCTCATTTTTAAATTACGAATGGGTTTGGAATTTTATCAAATGCATTTTCTGCATCTTTGGAAAGATCTTTTAATCTGTGAATGTGGCAAAGATATTTACAGATTTTTCTAATGTTAATGAGTTGCATTATTAGGATAGACCCAACATGGACATAATGTGTTATCTTTACATTCCATTTACTCATATTTTACTTACGACTTTCACAACCATGTCCATAAATGCGATTGGCCTATAACTTTCCTCTCTCATACTGTCCTTAATTTTTCCTTTTCACACTGCCCTCAAAAGGATTCAGGGTCTCTGTCTTGCAAGAGTGCTTTCCAAAACCCGGAAGGGTATATAGAGTGTGAGAACCTTAGCAATGTGTTCACATGGACTTAAGTTTTTGAAAACATAGCATATTTCAACATTAATCAGTGAAGAGACAGTCTCTTCCCACATTGTCTTTCACTGGTTCTTTCACTGGTTCTTCACACTCTGCCTTTTGCTGTGAATGTTGAAGTGACCGCTGGCACTTGGGGGATCAGCTTACAGAGAGGTTGAGTTGGGAATTCTTTTAGTTAGTGCCGTAAGTTTGTGTGTTATGCAGCCACTTCCATGTGTCGTTAAGTTCTCGCTAGCGAGGTCAGTGTGGGACAGGCTTCCCCAAATACCCCTGTTTCTCACTCTCCTACCTGTCCGCTGTCATGGTGTGAAGGTGCACCATGAATGTGTCCTCAGCACCAATCACTAGAACCATGGGGCAGTGGAGAGACAGGCGTGAAATGTGCAGAACCAGAAGCTGGTCTAGGGAAAGTTGTTGTAAATCTCATAGCTTATACATGAAAGAAACTTCATAGAAGTTTTCCAAATTTGATAATCCTAAAAACTTATGACATTATAATAATGAGTTGTTAAGCTGAAAAAGAAACTTTCTGAATGATTGGTAACAAAAAATATTTTTAATCAACAAAGAAAGAATAAGTGGACTTTCACCTCCTGCCATAGAAAATAAAAATATGAAATCTTTGTCATATGAAGAGGCAAAGCCAACCCAATCTAAAACATGTAGGAAAACATTATCATAGAAGACTCAAGTTATTGAGTAATAAAAGTAATATATGAGTTCTCTGAATTTTATTGTGTTTGTGGTACGTGTCAGCTTTATAAAATGTGTAATTTATTGTTAATTTTCCCATCCTAAATATTTATTTTTATGCCAATTGTGAATTTTTGTATGAATTTCCATTCTTTTTCTTAAGAGGGCCCCCAAAATTGAATAAACTTCAGGCTCCACAAAACCTAGATCTGCCGTCCATACTAAGAGCTCACAGAGTGAGTTGGAGATTGCACCCTTTTTCTACTTTCTGGACGAGTTTATGTAAAACTGGAGTGATTTTGTTCTTTTCTTTTTTTTTTTTTTCCACACAAAGTTTCGCTCTTGTTGCCCAGGCTGGAGTGCAGTGGCGTGATCTCGGCTGACTGCAACCTCTGCCTCCCAGGTTCAAGCGATTGTCCTGCCTCAGCCTCCAAAGTAGCTGGGATTACAGGTGCCCGCCACCACACCCAGCTAATTTTTTTGTATTTTTAGTAGAGACAGGGTTTCACCATGCTGGCCAGGCTGATCTCAAACTCCTAACCTCGTGATCCGCCTGCCTTGGCCTCCCAAAGTACTGGGATTACAGGTGTGAGCCACCGCACCTGACCCTAATTTTTTTTTGTTTTTATTTTTTGTAGAGATGGGTTTTCTCCACGTTGCCCAGGCTGGAGTCTCGAACTCCTGGATTCAAGCAATCCACCTGCCTCAGCCTACCAGAGTGCTGGGATTACAGGCGTGAGCCACTGCACCTGGTCTGCCTGGTTTTGTTTGTTTGTTTGTTTTGGTTGGTTTGTTTGTTGTTTGGTGTTGGTTTGGGTTATGTTTGGGGCAGGGGGCAGATTTTTAAATTACTCCTCAATTTCTTCAACAGTTATGGAACTATTCAGGTTATAAACACACACATTGGATCATAAACTTTTTTTATAAAAACCTGCTGGATCTGTAATTTTGTCCGTTTTTCATTCTCAATAGTATTAATCTCTCCTCTCCTCTTTTCCCCCTACTCACCCACTCTTCTTTCCTTTCCTTTCTTTCTTTTATTTGATCAGTCTTAGCAGAGGTTGATCTAATCTCTCAGGGGTTTCACAGAAGCATCTTGGACCTTGTTCATTCTCTCTTCTAGCTTTGTTTTCTATTTTATTAGCGTCTGCTTTTTTCTTCTCCTTTATTTGGGCTTACTTGATTTTTCTTTTTCTAACTTCTTAAATTGGACGGTTATCTTTAATTCTTAGGCTTTCTTCTTTTAACAATATGCTCATAAGCCTATAGGTTTACCTCGAAGTATTGATTTATCTGCATTCCATGAGTTTTGATGTGTACTATTTTCACTTTTTGCTTAGTTCTAAGATCAGTGTTCTTTTGATTTTGATTTTGATTTCTCCATTGATGCCTGAGTGTTTGGGAAGTGTTTCTTAATTTCCAAACACATAGAAATGTTTGAAATATTTTTATTACTGGCTTTTAATTTCTTTGCATTGTAATCAGAACTGTAGCCTGTATAATACCAATTATTTGAATTTGTTGAGACATTGTATGGCCTAGTATGGGGACAGTTTTTGTAAATGTTGCACATGTGTTTGAAAAGAATGTTCATACTCTAATTTTTGGACACAGTAATATATATATGTATGTGTGTGTGAGTGTGTGTGTACATTAGTCCCCCCTTATCCTCAGGGGAGGCATTCCATGACCCCCAGTGGGTGTCTCAGACTGTGGATAATACCAAATCCTATGTATACTATGTTTTTTCCTATTATTGCATTGTATAGGGCAGGTAGTGTATAAGTGGATACACTAGACAAAAGGGGGTTTCACATCCAGGGTGGGATGCAGCAGAATGGTGCAAGATTTCATCACGCTACTCAGAACAGCACTCAATTTAAAATGTATGAGTTGTTTATTTCTGGAATTTTCCATTTAATATTTCCAGATCATGGTTGACTGCAGGTAACTGAAACCATGGAAAGCAAAACCGCACATGGGGGGACCACTGTATACACTATGCTTACACAACACACTTGCATACACACACACACACGGATGCACACACAGGCACGCACATATATATGAAAGGAATTAAACTTGTTCATTGTGTTTTTTAAGCTTTGGTGTCATTACTGATCTTTTGTCTACTTGGTCTATAAATAATCAGAAGCCTTGTGCAAAACTATGCCATTATAACGATGGATTTGTCAACATTTCCCTCTAGCTATAGCAATGTTTGCTTTGTATGTTCTGATATGGCCATCTTTTCTTGGCAGGTTGGACCTTTTGTGGAGTGACCACCTTTATCCCTAATAGTGCTTTTTATTGGGTATCCTACTCTACCTGATTTTGATGTAGCCACCCAGTTTCCTTTTACTTAGTATTTGGCAAGTTTTATGAATTATTTTACTTTCATACTTTCTGTGTCCCTATAATTCAAGTATGTCTGTTATAAATAACACATAGCTAGGGGTTTCGAAATCCAATTAGATAATCTCTGTTGATTGGTAATTAAATCCATTTACATTTTTTCATATTTGTTTTTAACCATGTTTTATTTCCCACAAACTATACTTTTTATGCTCTTTTCCTCCTTTCTTGTTTTTTTTTTTTTAATATTTAAGGAATTAGTTTATTTATACTTACTCCTATTACTTTATCTTTCTTTCTTCTGGTTTGGAAGTTACACAATGCTTCTATTATTTTAGCAGCTAACTCTTGAAATTATAATATCTTAATTATTCTCCTGATTAATGCAAGAAATTTAGAACAGTAACCTAATCATTTATCTTCCAAATTACATACTTCTGTTTTCCAGTATTTTTGTTCTGTCCTTTTCCTCTTTTCTTAACCCCACAAAATTAGAGGGTATCATTTTATTTCTTTATTTAAAGAATTACATTTTCCAATTCTTTGCTTGTTATTTCTTCTTAAAACTAAGACCTTCCCAGCCTGGCCAACATGGTGAAACCTCGTCTCTACTGAAAATACAAAAATTAGCCAGGCGTGGTAGTGTGTGCCTGTAATCCCAGCTACTTGGGAGGCTGAGGCAGGAGAATTGCTTGAACCTGGGAGGCGGAGGTTGCAGTGAGCCAAGATTGTGCCACTGCACTCCAGCCTGGGTGACAGAGCAAGACTTCATCTCAAAAAAAAAAAAAAAAAAAAAAAAACCTTCCCTCCAGTAAATTTTCCTTCTTAGTAAATTCCTTTGTTTAGAAGGTCATTTAATAGAGTGTAGAGTGATAAATACTTTCAGTATTGTTTATTTGAAAATGTCTTTGTTTTGCCCTTGTTGTTGTAAGAGTATTTTGATGGGTACACAAATCTAGGTTGGCGGCTACTTTCTGTTTGGTGCTTTGCAGGGTCAAGTGTTTATTTCTTTGGATTTTTCTTAATCCCACTTGGTATTCACTGTGCTTCCAGTAGTTTGGTGTCTTTTATCACTTCTGGAAAACTGTTAGACATTTTCTTCACCAATTGCATCTCCTCTACTCTTTCTTTTTTGTTGTTGTTGTCTTTATGGAAGACATTAGTTAGACTTTCTCATGATAGCTCCTATGTCTCTTAACCTCTTTGTCTTAGTTTGCATCCCCTCTCTTTTTTCCCTAAATTTTGGGTAATTTCTTTACACCTATTTTCCATTTCACTAATCTCCTTTTCAACAGTGTCTAATCTGCTCCCTGAACCAGCCACTAAGTTCTTATTTCAACAACGTTATTTTTGTTTCTCAAAGTTTTATTTGTTCATTTTCCAGATCTACTTGGTCATTTTTACAGGCTCATGCTGTTTGCTCAATTTTTAAATTCCATGTTTTACTTTATTAAACATTTCATGTATATTATTCTATATTCTGTGATAGATAATTCCAATATCTGATATTCATGAGATGTTCATTTTTTGCTTCTGCCAACTCTTACTCCATAGTGGATTGCTTACTTGTGTATTGGGTGACCTTTGAGAACTCATATTTATTTGATCTTGATCTGTGAAAAATCTTAGAATTGAAAATAATAATGCTTTCTTCTAGGGATTATTTATATTTGCTTCTCCCAGGAGCCAGGGGCATCAGCAGCTTGGAACCACTCTAGGCCCTGGTCTGCCCAATCTCATGCCACAGTCAAAGAAGACATTGACATCTGTCCTCAGGAGGGGCTCTACAGGCAGGCCCCCCTTAAGCTCACTTTGGGAGCCAGAGAACTCAGAGGCTTCCCTACTTTATGAAAAAGTATAATTTATACCAAATCTAGTTAGGCACAGTGGGGAAGGCCCTCAGAATATTCAGATAAGCTGTATTGCAGAAGCAGAATGCTGATTTGCATTTTTTAAAGATCATGCTTGCTGCTCCGTGGAGAATGAATTACAGGGGCCAGAGTGAGTGCCAGGGAAACAGCGAGAGGCCCCTGTCAGCTTTTCATCTGAAAAATGATGGTGACTTGAGCCAGAGTGATGGCAGTGAAAATAAACAGAAGGGTAAGAATCCAAGTTAATGGAGTATATGCTGATTAACTTGCACCCCTTGTTTATTTGTAGGCACAAAAATGTGCGGTTAACCACAAACCTTCATTAACTTGTCATTTCCCTTCCAATATTCATATGTTAGACTTGTAAAAATGAAAACTTTGCTTTCTATATTTGCTAATATCCAGTGTGGCCCAAGATCTAAGGACACAGGCACTCTTGTACATCACCGATGGAAGATAAATTGAAACAGTATTTTTGGAGGACAATTTGGCCAAATCTATTGACATATTAATGCATATTCAATTTTTCTGTTAAGAATTTCTCCAGTGGAGACCCACAATATTTATACCAAGACATATTTAAAAGGATGTCCAATGTATTGTTGTTTTGATAATTGTGTGTGTGTGTGTGTGTGTGTGTACCACAACCTAAATGACCATTAACAGAGGCTTGCTTAGCTACATCAAGATTCATCTAAATAATGGAATACTATTTTGTCTTTTCCATAAGAGATAAGTCTGAGATGGAAAACTATCTCTGACAATTTAAGTGTAAAAAGCAAAATGCAAAACGATGTGGATAGAAAGATTGCATTCATAAAAAAAAAAAAACTTTAATAGCAGAGATCGGCATGAAACCATTTTCTGGGAGGATGCACAAGGAACTGTTAAAGTGATTCTGTTTGAAGGAAGCAACCAAGGCTTCGGGGTAGGAAGAGACTTGCAGTTTTCATTTTACACCTTTTTTAATACATTTTGAAAATTCCACTGCAAGCCACATATTTCTTTTGTTTGAAGAGTTTAGCCTGTTTTTATTGGACTCTTCTTGATTAGGGCACCGGCCTCCCTGAGTTATTACATCTCCTGCTTCTGCCCCTGCATCATCTCTAGTTCCTCCGCGGCAGACTGTGAATGTGTGAATGTGTGTTAGTCCCCACAGTCTTAAAAAACAAAATCAACCTTCCACAAAGATCGCTAAATCTATTATTAAGTTAAAACAATAGATTTCAAATAATAGGTATAGGATGACCCCATTTTATAAAAATGATAATTGGATAAATGCAGTTATATATGTATAAGAAAAAAAAAGCCTAGAAAGATTTATTTATTCATTCACCAAAAATGTATTGCCCGCCTACCGTGGGCCAGGCATTGTTGTAGAGATGGAAGTTCAGAGGGGACCAGAGTCCCTGTGCTGTGCCTTTTGGCATCCCCAGACTCTAGAAGCTGGAGGGTAATGTATACCAGCAGGTTAATGGCAGTTCATTCTGGGTTAGGTGACTGTGGACGCGCTTTTAAATCATCTTTGTGCTTTTCTCATTTTCTGATTTATTCTTTTTTTGCCCTATGTATGGCATAAAAGAACTTACATAAAAATAATAATTAAACCATTAAGCACAATCTATCTCACACATCTCCCTGGTTTTGACCCTCTTCTCTGTCCATACCCAAATTGCCACACTCATCCATGCAATATTAGGGACACACAGATGCTAAAATGTTTTTTGTTGTGTGTATGGAAATCAGATTTAACTGGGCATCCTGCATTTTATCTGCAACCCTACTTATCAAACAACTTGCTCCCCATTCTGACTGTGCCCCCTCCCCTGGCCTCTGCCTCAGCCTTCTCCCTAGAGCCACTTCCCTGGGGACTCTGCCTCTCCAGAGGCCGGCTTCTCCAGCCCATTATCATCCATGTTCCAGGCTGAGGAGCTGCACCCCACTTCACCTTACAAGGTGGCCTCCCCATCTTTGGCCCCAGCCTCACCTCCTCGCTCATGAATTGAATTGGTACCCACAGGCCCTCTCAAGTCCCTCCTTCCCCAGCCCTCAAATGTGCACGACATCATCCTTAACACAAGCCAGCGGGGGCCGTAGAGCCTGGGCCTCCAACCACCTGTCACCAGGTGCCATTCCGGCCATTTGGCCACATCTGATTATTACTGTTCTGTAACTGAGTCAACATTTCTCTCCACATCAACTAGCTCATTCTCACTTAACTTATTTTTTAAAATAATCTATCCCTCTGTGCCTTAGCCTCATCCTAACAGCAACCCAGGATTGACGTGTCAGTTATTGAATTGAGTCAAAATAGACATGAAATTAATCCAGTGTAAAATGTCCACCATGGACCCCTGGAATGGTGGGCAGTGCCACCCAGGAGGCACAGCCAGCGTAGAAAACACTGCTTTTCAAAGCATACACCTGATCTCACCCCCTGCAAGCTCCCTGCCCACCTCCTGGAGAACATTCCAGCCCCAAGAAGCAGCAGCAAGGCCTCCCTCCGCACCAGCCGCTCTGTGCTTCTCTAGCTCTCCCCATGACAACCCTCCCCACGGCGCCACCATCACACATGGACTAATTACATCCTCCTCCATCTCTCTCTGCTAGTTCACACCTCCCTGCTACCTTTACAGCTCCTGCCTGGAGTGCCCATTACAGCTCTCTCCATCTGTCAAGCAGCTTCTTGTCCTGCAAGACCTCAAGGCACACATAGGCAGTGGGGCCCCTCTGGAGGCCCCTCTTCTCTTTCAGTTCCCTTTGGTAAACTGGACCAGTACTGGGCAGAATAATTGGCTTGGAATGTCAGACCCTGAGCCCTTGTAGATGCCTCTCTGCTCTGCAACCCCATGGCCAAGCACACAGTAGGTGCTCAATAAATGTCGAGCCAAGATCAGGGGCTGTAAGTGCAGATGGAAGGAGGCTAGGGGTTTACAGTTACCGGACCCGGTTTTGAATTTGGGCCTCTCCACCTGTGGGTTGTGTGACAGAAGCAAGATACTGTCAGGCTTTCCCTTCTGAGCCTCCGTTTTGGGGTCTGTAAGATGGAGGCAGTCATCACCCCTATCTGGAAGGTTTGTGATAAGGGTCGAGCAGATCCATGAATGTGGGCTTCGAAGACTCCAGAGCTTTACCAAAAACGTGCATCTTGTTATCGTGGTGGTAACCATGATACTCTGATGACTCACCCGCTGTGGTCATCCAATTAGCACCGCTTTGTCCCCTTCCTGAGCTACGTGCGCTCTTCCGAGGGTAAGAACCCAGCTGGGCCAGGGTCATGAGGGAAGGTGAGAATTACAAGCCTGTTTATTTAACATTTAGGAAGCCAACACATTTTCCTGTACCTTGTCTGCAACACTTAAGCCAATATTTGCGTCTTTGGGATTCTATTTATATGGTAATTTAAAAATAGGGTTCAGACTTATAGCCGGTCTTTCTCCTGAAACTCCGAAAGCACATTAATTTTCTACACGGTAAAATAGTGCAATAATTAAATATTACCATCTATCTTAAAATCTGGTAACTCCTAGCAAAATGGGTTTTCCGAAACATGATGTAGGTTTTCCCACAAAATTGCACTCTAGGGAAATATCTTATTTTGAATGTATGAAAGAGACCACGAACTTAATCTCAATACAATGTAAGAAAAATTGATTTGTTAAATTGTAATAATTTTCTTGCATTTAAAATCTCAGTGCTTCCCGTCGCAGCTGACCCAAAGGCCCCCGTATATGTGTCTTTGGGGAGAGGCCCATGGAGCCGAGATGTCTTGTTTCATTGTTTATGAAGCTTCCCACATGCCCTTTTATGTGGTTCCAACTGGAGCTTTTGTTGTGTTGTTGCAAACTTCTCTGAAAGAGGCGAGGCTTGGTGACCCTTCACCCTTTGCCTTCAGTCTCTAAATACGTTCTCTGCGCGAGTGGAAAGGAAGATCTCCCACGTGGAAGAAAGTTTGGGCACCAGAGCTGGCCTTGGTGGGCTCCTTCTTCCGCAAGGACTGGGTGGAACGAGGGAGGCTGGGTGACCCTCAGCTGGAGGCCGAAGCTGGAGCCGGCGGGGTGAGGGTTCGCCACTGGCTCCCAATCGCCCCAACCAAAGCTCAAGAGGGCCCCCTTGTGGAAGCTCCCAAGAACAGCTCGGTGAGTGGTGTGCCTCCCCCGACGCTGGGGTTCCTCCCAGTCACCCCCGACATCTTTGGGCAGGTCTCAGATCCAAGGGTACTCAATGGAAACCACCATCCTCCATCCCTCTCTCCTCAAAACCTAAATATTTCTGCGGCCCGACAAGATTCTTGGCCCCTCTGGGGAAGATCTGGTGGAGAACCAGTTGCCAAGGCCATGAAGAGTTCAGCCGCTCAAGGGGGCATCCCAGGAGTCCCTCTCAGGCACCCTTTCTGGGTTCTGAGGGGTCTTCGCCATGATGTATACGAACACCTTCGTTCTTATTGAATGTGTCAAAACCTTGTGATTATCTTGCCGAAGTCCTGTTCTATAGAACAATAAAAGCTTCAGCCTTCTGCCAAGAGAGCTAATAAAAGTTCAGTCCAACGGGAGACTCCCAGATACACATTCTGTTTGGAAAACACTGACTCCTAACTACACCGCTTAGGGCAGGCAACAGGACATTCAGTGAGATCTGGGCACATTCAGAACCCCTTCTACGCAGTGATGCTACAAGCTGTCATCATCCCCTCACCGGCTCCTCCAAGCACCAGGTGGGATGTTGGCATCAGTGGACAGCATTGGCCAAGTTTGGTATAAATAATGTCTACAGACCAACGTGCAAGCTGGGAACGCAGGTGCTAAAGTCAAGTTAACGAGGCCTTGTCTCCAAAACACCGGAACATCTGGGTGAAAAGGGAAACGCTTCCATCTGTCACCCTGCTTCCTTGGCTCTTTGGAAGCAGCTGGCCTGTGGCTGGGATGTTCCAGTTTCCAACTGGGTGGGAGCTCCAGCCAGAGCAAGAATAATTAGCATTATCATGAGGCCAAGGGAGAGTTTTCATGTGCACAGTTTTCGTTCTGGAACATTCCTAAACAAACAAACAGAAAAACCTAGCTTATGAGCCAGGCTTGGTGGGCCAGAACTCGTCTCCCCAGGCCCCCATTCCTTTCCCATTCTGTGAACTGTGCACTTCCTTTCCCTCAGCAGGAGTGGCTAAGCAGAGGCCTCGGGGAGTTATCCTCAGTGGCCAGCCGCTTCCTCATACGCAGCGTTTTCCATTGTGGCTTAAGCACATGTCACACAAACATGAAGCAGTCACCTTCTCCAGGTGGTACCAAGCAAGGCCCACCTTTGTCCTCCATCCCGTGGTCCAGACTGACCTGAGACTTTTCATGGAGAACTGGGGGGCCAGTAGCTAACCAAACCCTGTCCCTTTGATCACCTGTCAACCCGCAGCTTCTTAATCCAAAGGCCCTTCTGCTTCTCACATCCTCAGACCTGCTCTGCCAGGTACCCCTTGACTGACTTTCTCGGGCAGCCTTCAACTCTCTGAGTGCACTGAGCAGAGGAGGGCACATTCCACAGGGCTGGGATGCTGAAGGCTGCGGCGGGTGGAGGGTGCTTTGTTTAGAGCATATAATTTCTGTGTTTCCCAAGGTAGCAAAGTCCAACCCATTCCCCAACTTGCCTGCCAGCCCTGAACACGAAGATTCTCGGATTAGGTGGATGAGGAGATTCCATTATAGCCAAATGAGAGACATGTGAGGTATCTGAGGACCAGCCATTCACACCAGAGGTTGGAGGTGGGCTTCTTAGAATGCAAAGTGTGTCTTCATATTTCTGTGTTTGTTGATGCAGCATCCAGTCATAGCATCCAATCTGCAGCCTTCTGGGGGTGTTCTGGTGCAAACCCTGCATGCCTTTTGTGCAGTGACTTCATTGGAAAGTACATCTTTGGCTGCAGCAGTGCTGGAATGGCTCCATTTCCACAGCCGGTCTCTGAAGCTTAATGGCCACGCAGCCAGGGCCACCATCGCAGCCAGCATATCTCCTCCATTTGTAAAAGGCAGCCTCCTCTAATCAAGAGAGGTTATTTTTTGGGTAGGGAGCCATTGCTGAAATTTTTATTTAAAATATGTGTAAGCTTCCTCCAAGTCCAAACTTTCTAGGTGAATTACCTCAAGCTGACGGTTTTGAAATAAACTAGAGGGTTTCAGATATTTTAAGAAAAAAAAAAAAAAAAAAAGCAAATCTTAATCCAAACCTCAGTATATAAAACAGAGCAACAGATAGGGACTGTTTGGGCTAAAGCTGGGTCAAAGACTACATCCTACCCACTGGGTTGCCCTATCTGTTTCAAAAATAACCCCAGGGTCTTCAGAAGCCAACTTGAAAACCTCTGATACAGCAAAATGTGACATGCATGCTCCATCCTTGAGCTAGAGCTCTGCTGTCTAATCTGGCCATGTAGTCACAGGGCACCTGAAATGTGACCTGTCTAAATTGAGTTGTGCTGTAAGTATAAAATATACACCAAGTTCTGAAGACTTGGTATGGGGGGGAAAAGCACATAAAATATCTCATTAATCGTTGTATTTGTTACATGTTGAAATATATAGTACTTGGAGCCGGATAAAATATATCATTAAAATTGATTTTACCTGTCTCTTTTTAGCTTTTTTAACATGGCTACTAGAAAACATGCACCAGTAAAATCACATGCAGGGCTGACATTTATGGCTTGCATTATGTGACTGTGGAGCTAGTGGAGGCTTCCTTGGGGGTGCAGGACCATGTCAGGATCCTGGTTTCACTAGGGCAGGTTCCAAGGGTGAAAAGAGGCTTTAAAGCAAAGCACCTGGCATTCGCTTCTTAGGCCAGATCCAACCCATCTAAGCCTGTGACATGATCTGATGCTCACACACCAATCTCCCTTCACCTACTTCTCTTTCCTCTCTACCTGCTTGGATCAGCCTGGGCCCCCAGCCTGCTGGGAACTCCCTGACTGATCACCCTTTTGCCCTCAGCCAGATTCTTGGCAATCCCAACAGCTGTAAACCTTGTCTTTCTCCTCTCCTGCTTCAAGCCTGACTGTAATGGCCACATCCTGAGGGGTGGGAGAAGGGTCAACAAGGAAGTCACACACGTGCTGCTATGGACCACAAGCCATTCATTCATTCAGCGAAAAGTAGTCATTATAAATAGCATTTACTGAGCACTTAGTCTATGAAGGCATTGTCCTAAGCACTTTCCATGACTTAACACAACAAATATGTATTGGGCATCCCTGAGGCACTGTGCCAGGTGCTAGAGAATCAGCAGTGAGCAAGAGAGATGAGGACCCAGCCCTCATGAGGCTGGCAGACTCGTGGAGTCACAGGCAGAGGAAGGGAGAAATGAGGGAAGGGAAGGGAAGGGGAAAAGGGAAGGAAGGAGGGAGGAAGAAAGGACAGAGGGAAGGAAGGAAGGAAGGAAGGAGAAAAGAAAAAGTTAAGAAGCCTAAAGTGACAGCCCACTAGCAGTGAGCACACCTAGCACCCAGATCTTGGTTTCTAAACACCATTTTCCAATAAAAGGAATCAGAGCTCCTTGGAGAAATGGCCAGTTTCAGGGATGGGACTGAAAAAAATACAAAATGATCCTGGAAGATCTTCTGGCACCAGGAAATGAGGAAGTACTCCCCCTAAAATGACAAAGACATACAGGAAGGACACAGGAGATTAACTGGAGGAGCTCCCAATGGCCAAATCAGGGACAATTTGAGCAACAAAATAAATAATGATAGTAATGTGTTATAACCGATAAAGTAAAATAAATATTCAGGAGTTCATAGTAATATAAATAATTGAATAAAAAGATAAATGGGAGAGAAGGGACAGTACATCTTTACAGCACAATTACTGTTAATCAACTCAGAAAGAGCTGGGCATAGTGGCTCATGCCTGAAATCCCAGCACTTTGGGAGGCTGAGACAGGCAGATCTCTTGAGCTCAGGAGTTCAAGACCAGCCTGGGCAACATAGTGAGACCCCATCTCTAAAAACAAAAATAAACTCAGAAAGAGTGATGGAACTAGAGAATGACCATTTGGAAAACACCACCAATAATAATTGTAGGCAAGAATCATTGACAGTTATCAATAGATGCTAAAATTAGTGAGGGAATGTATAATGAAGTACAAGATATTTCTGTTATCTCTGAGTATATCCCCATAAGGTAATCATTAATCACAGAGAGAAAAGTAGTAATTTAATAGTGGAGAAACATGGTAGATGCCTCCTTAAGCAAGTGATCACAGTCAAGATCACCAGGAATGGCATGATTGCCATGGTGTGCCTCCTGAGATGATGCACTGGGAAAGATACACCATCGCTTCCACAACATTCTTACCAGAAACGCATGAGCAGAATTTACTCACGAGGAAACATCAGACCATCCCAAACTAAGGACACTACAAAATAAGAGCCACTACTCTTCAAAAGTGTCAAAGTCGTAGAAGACAAAAAGAGAAGATATGTCTCAGATTGAAGGAGACATGACAGCTCAATACAATGCAGGATCCTGGACTGGATGCTGGACCAGAAAGGGGACATTAATGGGACAATGGATGAAACTTGAATTAGGTCTGTAGACTCGTTAAGAACACTGTATTGATGTTAACGTCCTGGTTCTGATCATTGCACAATGTCTGCGTAAGATGTTAACCTGTAGAGAAACTGGACAAAGCATACACTAGAACTCTTTCTACCACTTTTGCAACATTTTTGTAAGTCTGAAATTATTTCAGAATGAAAAGTCAAAAAAGTAAACCGAAGTAAGAAAGCAGATAATAAATGCCAGATGTGATGAGTGCTGCACAGGAGAGAAGAGAATGGAGTGAACAGAAGAGGGGTGCCTGGAAAGGATGCACTGCCAGGAAATGCCATTTATGCCGAGATCTCCGCGAAGATGGAGAGCCCAGCACAGAGCAGAGGATGGAACAGCACAGGCAATAGCCTCAAGGCAGCCAAAGGTTTGCCCTTTCAGCACTAGGGACTCACAGTGGAAAAGCACGGTGGGATGGGGTGGATGATCTGGTGGTAAAAAGGCACCCAGTTTCAAAGGGCTTCGAGGCTACACAAGAAAGCTTGGATATTGAACCAAGTGCACTGGGAAATCATTGAAGTTGTTGGCCATTGTTTAAATTTCCATCAAGACACTTGGGATGGTTTGAAGTTCTACTCTGATGTGAGTCTATTTGATTAATGTCAGTCTCTCCAGGAGAACAGGAATTCTGACCATCATGTGCAGCCATATAGACCCAGAGTCCATTTCATTTCCAGGCATACAACAGGCATTCAATAAGTATTTGGGGCAGGGCGCAGTGGCTCACGCCTGTAATCCCAGAACTTTGGGAAGCCAAGGTGGGTGGATCACGAGGTCAGGAGATCAAGATCATCCTGGCTAACATGGTGAAACCCTGTCTCTACTAAAAATACAAAAATTAGCAGGGCATGGTGGCATGCGCCTGTAGTCCCAGCTACTCAGGAGGCTGAGGCAGGAGAATTGCTTGAACCTGGGAGGCAGAGGTTGTAGTGAGCCGAGATTGCACCACTGCACTCCAGCCTGGGCGACAGAGCAAGACTCCGTCTCAAAATAAATAAATAAATAAAAATAAGTGTTTGTGTTGGGGAGAAGAAATGAATGAATGAATGATAGTTGGGTCACCTGGGGGACCTCAATTTTGGATGGCCCTTGTTATCTGCTGTGGGTTGAATGTAACCCCCCAAAAAAGATATGTTCGAGTCCTAACCCCCAGTACCTGGGAATAGGACCTTATTTGGATATAGGGTCTTTGCAGATGTAATCAAGTTAGGATGAAGTCACACTGGATTAGGATTAGGGTGGGCTCTAATCCAGGGATTGGTGCCTTTATAAAAGAAAGGAGAGGGAGATTTGGACACAGGTGCAGACAGAGGAAACACACAAGTAGGGATGAAGGCCATGGGAAGATGGGGGTAGAGACCAGCGTGATGCAGCCCCAAGCCAAGGGACACCTGGAGCCACCAGGTGCTGGGAGAGGCCCTACCCACACCTTGATTTCAAACTTCAGACTTGCAGACTCCAGACTGGGAAAGGATCGACTCCTGTTGCTTCAGCCACTCAGCGTGTGGTCTTTGTCGTGGCAGCCCTGAGATGCCCAGATGCTCTCCTTTCGCGTGCCTCAGGTGAGGTGACGAGTTCACCTTGAGCTGCTCCTCCCTCCGTCTTCCGTGCACCACCCTCAGGCCATTTACCACACCCACGAGTCCCTTGTACATCTCCTTATAAAATATGATTTTATTAAAATATTAAAAGAAAATAATTAAAATACCAAATATTTTAATATCAAGTTCAGATCAATCACCTTTTAAAACTCAGTCCTCAGAAAAACGGGCCATGCAAGTACAAGGCTGTTATGATAACTACCGCCACTTTTAACACCCTCTAAAACCGACGCGTGACTGTTGGAATACGAAGTGCTCGCTTCGCGCCTGAAATCACCTCGCACCCCACCCTGTGTTCGTTCGTGCCTTGCTTCGAGAACCTCAGAACAAGCAGATTACAGGAGAAAAAAGTACTTTTCTTTTGCTTTTTACCCCCAGAAGAAAGGTACCTGAAAAGCTGATATTTCTCCCTCTGCTCTGACTACAAAACTCACATCTTTTCTCCACCCTCTTCTCTCTTTGATCCATACCTGCGTTTTTCATGATCTTTGAAGAAAACATAAATTGTGGCCCCAGGAGTGAAGCCTCTCTAGGCCTCCACTGTTCATCTGCAAACTGGAATAACCACACCCATCTAGGAGAATTGCTGGGGAAGGGAGGTAAGAGAAGGGCACAGAGTGTGGGATTCCATCTTTATGAAATATCCAGAATAGGCAAATCCACAGAGACAGAAAGCGGAGTCATTGTTGCCGAGATCTAAGAGGAGAGGGGAGCGGGAGTGACTGCTGATGGGCACAGGGTCCCCTTTTGAGGTGATGACAACATTCTGGAATGAGATCGTGTTGGTGTTTGCACGGTATTGTGAATGTCCTAATGCCACCAAATTGTTCACTTTAAAATGGTTAAAACGGTGCCTGTTATTTTTTGTTTTGTTTTGTTTTGTTTTGTTTGAGACTGAGTCTCACTCTTGTCACCCAGTCTGGAGTGCAATGACATGATCTTGGCCCACTGCAACCTCTGCCTCCTGGGTTCAAGCGATTCTTCTGCCTCAGCCTCCCGAATAGCTGGGATTACAGGTGCGCGCCACCATGCCCAGCTAGTTTTTGTACTTTTAGTATAAACAGGGTTTCACCATGTTGGCCAGGCTGGTCACAAGCTCCTGACCTCAGGTGATCCGCCCACCTCGGCCTCCCAAAGTGCTGGGATTACAGGTGTGAGCCACCGTGCCCAGCCAAGATGGTACCTTTTATGTTAGGTGTATTTTACTAGGTGTGTTGTTGTGTTTTATTTAGCTAAGAAGCATCTGTCTGTGGAGGAGTGGCAATGGCCAAGTCCCTCCACCCCTCTGAACCACAGTTTCCTCATCAGCAAAATGGGTGCATTGACAGAACCCATGTCACGGGTGGTTGTGTCGATTATACCTGTCAATCCTTTGGGCTCTGCCAAGGTACTGACACGCTGCCGCTGTGAGGACTCAAGGTCATGATGCAGATGAAGCACCTGGCCTTGGGCCTCCCAGAATGTGTGCTCAGGAGACGCTGGGCACCATTTGATGATCTCAAGACAATCTTAGCCAAGTGCCCACACTTCTGGGTGTGCTCAGTGAGTGTCCTTTCCCCGGAAGGCCCCAGGCAGGTCCATATGGTATTTGTTCATGAGGCCTGTTTCTGGTGCTCTGATTCAGGATAACACATCGGCCTCAAGCAGGTCATATTTTAAGCTCCGGTAGCCTGGTCTGAGCAATTGGGAACTCTAGATTTAATTCTGCAGGTAATTTGAACAATGCTATCTAATTTCAAATGTCCCTGCTCTTATGAATGCAAAAACAGCATAATTTTTAATTAGTGGGTAAACAGTAAATAATGAATGACAGTAAGTGGACACCACTGTTAATTAAAAATCCATGGTTGATAAAAGTCAATTTGGTCCATGCATTTAACTCCGTCTATCACTTCCCTGCAAAAAGTTGTGTAACCCAACCCACCGCACCATCTGCTTTCAGCTGTTATTTCTTTAGTTAAGACTTTTTTGGAGGAAGAGAAGGGGTGGGGGGGGAAGCAAAGAAAATCCAACATCTACCCCAAGAGCTATGTTGGAGAAAATGTCATGGAATCATTTATAATTGGTTAATTTCGTTTTTGCAACCTTGAAGTTGAGACTTCACGCATGACCAAGAGGCCACGTGATGCTCCTCCACAGGTGCATCTTGAGGAGCTCTTCGCATTTGTGTGTACATGTTCCGAATGCAGCAACACTTCGCTGTATCTCAGAGTCTCCCAACATAATTAAATCCCAGTTCCTCACAGAAAAACAAGATAAACTAAAATGCACTCGGCAGAAACACAGGATCTGAGGATTCATGACAAAAGGGCCATCTAGTCTCAGTGACTTCAGGGAGGGTGCAGGGGGAAAAAAAAAGCCTTGTTTTCTTTTGAACAGAAAAACATTTCCTCAAGAGCCCAAGTTTTGTGGAAACAATGACAAGATAATTTGCAGGGCCCCTTCACTATTTTACTCTGAAACGCAAGCTTGATTTTCCTACCAGGCAAATATTGCTGACCCCTTTTGATCCTTTTCCTCGCTCTGTTTTCATCCATTCCCCCAAATCAACACTTTTGGACAGGTTTCGTTGACACTGAAGATGTTCAAATTAACCTGCAGAATTGAATCCAGGAAACCCAGTGTCTTCTGAAGAAGCAGATTGCAGAAGCCCCACATGCACGTGGTGTTGACGCTGACGTGCACCCGTCAGCTCAGGACTCCTGGCGAGTTGCATGGGGATCTGGCCCAACTTTGGTGCCTACGTACCCACTACAATATCCTGCCACAAATTCCTGCAAAGTAGACGTGCCAAGTTGAGACAAAACAACCACGGCCTCTCTCTTTCAAGATCCCACTGGCATTTCTTTCACTTGGCAGAGTGGCCCCAAGTGCTGATGAGTCGGTGTGGGGACACCTTGGCCCTGGCTGGGTGGCTATTTGTTTTCATTTCTCCTATTTGGCTAATTAAAGCCAATAAATCAGTTGCAGGATGAACCAAGATTACAACAGGGACCTAGGGCTACACCAGCATTTGTACTCATACCTTCGTTTATTCAGTCGGCCAATGTTTGTTGACTGCCCTGCGTTTTACCCCGTCTCCAAGTCAGCCCCTTTTGTGTTCTCTGGGGATGTGAGACAAGCACCGGTGACGCCGTCACACCCCGAAGTCCAACAACCTGGGCTCACATCCTGGCTTTGCCACATCCGGGTGGCATGTGCCCCGTGGAAGCTGAGCCCATCTCTGAGCTGAGCCTGTTTCTCTGCCCATGAGAGGAAGATGATGCTAACACCGACTCCAGGGTTATTGCAAAGATCAGATGGGAATAATGTATAAAAGAGCAAGGGGTCCACACCCAGTTAACAGGTGCCGTCATCCCCCTTGTCATAATCAGCGTCACTCCTGCCTTCTCAGCTGATCACTGGGGACCCCAAAAGTCTCCAGAGGCAACCCCCAACCTCAAGGGAACTGAGGAATCCACTCTGCCTCATTTTCCTCAAATACCCCTGGGGCACAGAGAGTTTGGGGTCAGGCAGCTCCGCGGGGGCAGTGGGGGGCCCTCAGCTCTCCTGAACCCTTGCTGGGAAGGTCTGCCTGCAAGGTCAGGAAAGGGACAGAACACGCCATCTGCTCACTTCTCAACTCAGCCCCCAACCCCTCCCAAGGCCTCCTGAAGTTACTGCCAGGCCCCCACATCCCCTGGACTGGAGCCCTAAGACTCAGCCCCTCCTGACCCACTCCAGCCCCAGGCTGGGTGGGAAGAGCCATGCTTGGAAGCTTCGCTGCAGGAGCTGGGCCTCCAGGGCCAGGCCAGCGCCCCTGAGCACAGCCCGTGGCTGGAGTATTTGGACGCAGCTCACTGCCGAGCTTCCCACAGCATCCCGTCATCTGGGCCATCTCAAGCCCATCAGCCCTGATTGGAGATGACAGTTTCTGGGAGAGCTGCTGCTCTTTAGCAGCTGAAGGTTTTGGCACTCTCGCCTCTCAGCAGCCCGAGAAAAGATCGTGAACAGTCCCACTCCCGGGCTTCACTTCTCCAGGCCCAGCCAAGCTCATCTAGGGGTCACTCTAGAGGACCTGGAGCTTGTGCTGCAGCGCCTGCTTCCCGTGTCCATCTTCCAGTCACCTTCTGCCCTGAGCCCAATTCCTCCCCCTGGTGTCTGGGCTTAGGGACGGAGCCCTGAAGAAGGGCAGGGCCTGCATTGTTTGGCCTCACACCTCGGCCCGGGCCTCTGCAGCGGCCATGCGCTCTTTCCCTTGCCACACGCTCGCTGAGCACCGAGTAGATAGCAGGTGCCCAGCACCAGGTGAGACCTGAAGCGAGTGGCCTCGAGGGGCCTGCTGTGTGCCGGGAGAGGCCAAGCAGCCCCCAGGGCTCCTTGGTGGAGGGGAGTGGTCTGCTCTAGGGATAGGCTAGGGCCCCACTGTCCCCAGCACCTTGGGTCCTGAGTCCAGAGTGCCCTTTGTCCAGGAGCGTGGGTCCTTCAGCCACCAGCAGGCAGGACTCAGCCACGGCTGATGAGCCCGTGGAAGGTCTGGGCTTCTAAGAGTCTGCTCCACGTGTACAATTCTCAGAGGCCTCCCAGCCCCAGAATCTGGGACAGGCTCCATCTAGGAGGCTTGGATTCTAGGGTGATCACATCTGGGAACCCAGGAGGAGATGCGTCGGGGAGGCTGATTCTAGGATCCTCAATATGGGGAACCCATCACTGTCTCCAGAACTGGGGCACCCTGGGGACGGGGCTGCGATGGAGGTTGCGGGACAGCCCTGCCTGGCTCTCTGTGGCCACAGTGGGGTTGGGAGGGCAGATGGGGTGGGTGTTCCCGGGGCATGCTGGGGTCTTACCCAGGTCTGTCTGCTTTGCAGCCCACACTGCACCGGCGGCTGGGGAGGCCGGGGGCAGCTGCCTGCGCTGGGAACCCCACTGCCAGCAGCCCTTGCCAGATAGAGTGCCCAGCACTGCGATCCTGCCTCCACGCCTTAATGGACCTTGGATCTCCACAGGGTAAGACTTCAGGTCATCCTGACCATGGACCCCTGGACTGGGAGACTTCTGCCTCTGGGACTCGGCATCCAATCTTTGAAATGGGCATAATTCACATAGTTATCCAAGAGGCCTTCTACCTGCCAAGCTGCTGGAGATGCTTGCCTCCCCTCCCAGAGTGCAATGGGAGGCAGGGACTCTGTTGGGCATCACGTCCATGGTCAAAATCCATTCAACACCTTGAACACCTATTATACAAACCTATTACGAGCTAAGTGCCAGGGGTCAGCAGTGGGACATGCGCTCAACATGCGAACACACAAATGAATAATATAAACTTGAGATTGCACTAAGTTCTTCAATGAAGGAAATAAAACCAAAGATGTGATAGCAAGTGACCTGGAGGGTTCTTTAGAGAGTGATCAGGGGAGGCTTCTTGGAGGTGGTGACATCAGCTGAGAGCTAAAAGGAGAGGAATCAGCCATCTAGAGAGCCAGGGAAGAGCCAGGCAGAGGGGGCAGCTGCTGAAGGGCCCTGGGGCGGGAAGTGGCAGGCCAGGGAGAGCCTGGGTGCACCCATCTAATTCTGTCTAACCTGACAGGCTCACTCGACATTTCAGAGGCTCAGTCGCTGCTTTGCGGCCAATGGACTTTGCATTCTCTCCTCATCTGTGGTGCACAAACCCTACAGCAGCCAGCTGAGTCCCACTCCTGGGGCAGGGATCGGGGAAAAGGGAGGCTGTGGCCCCCTTCACACCTGGCATATTCCTCCTTCCCCCGACATCCCCTCCAGGCCAGTCCCATTCTGGGGTCAAGGACTGGCCTCTCCGTGTCCTTCCTGTACCTCCTGAGGTCAGGCAGAAACTCCCGACTGCCAAACATCTGCTAGCGCTTTCGTTGGAGGAAGGGGACATGAGTCCTTCGAGGCCACTTCGAATGCATTTGCAGGCTCAGCCAGGCTGCACACAGCCCCCACGCCCACGGCACAGTCCAGGGGAGATCCAGGCATCCACTCACCAGGGTCACCCAGACAGAACTGGGGTACAGGAAGGGGGGACGCTGGTTGTAGGCTGCTTCTGCCCCAAGACAGTAACATTCTGGAGCAGTTCTTTTAAGAAATTTCTTCTAGAACTTTCTTCCTTGAAAGTTCCCTGCCATGCTCTCCAGACTGACCTTGCTGCTTCTTGGGAGAAGAGTGGGAAAGGCCCCAGAGCCTGGGAACCATCAAGAGGTCCAGTGTGACCTGCTGTGTCCTCCTGGCAAATCTCCCCTCTCCAGGCCTGAGACCCTCAGGGGTGTGGCTCACCCCTCCCTATTTTTAAGTACCTATACTAGTATTTACTTATCATTTTCTGTAAACCAACTTGCTTTTATTTACTAAAATATATTCATTTATTTTTACAGCTTTATTGAGATATAATTGGCATACATTGACAGTGTAATGTGATTATTTTTAAAGAAAACGTAATATTATCCTGGATATGGGGAGCAGAGCCACTTGTCATAAATTAAAGGTAACTGTAAAATTAAATTCCATGAAAACAAAACAACATAAATCCTCTGTAGATCTGTTGCCAACCCGAAGTTCTAAGTTGCTCTCTCTGGGAGAACAGGGAGGTTGGCATTAAAGACACATTAGCTCTGACCAGAGAATTTCCCCTCAACATTATCAAAAAGATGGAAGAAAAGAAAAGGGAATTATTTCCTTGCTGGGTGATAACATGTTTCCTCTGCTCCAACAGCCCTGGTACAAAAAAATATCAAGAAAATGGGCTGGGATCACGCCTGTAATCCCAGCACTTTGGGAGGCCGAGATGGGCAGATTGATTGAGGTCAGGAGTTCAAAATCAGCCTGGCCAACATGACGAAACTCCATCTCTACTAAAAATACAAAAATTGGCCGGGCATGGTGGCACATGCCTGTAATTGCAGCTACTCGGGAGACTGAGGCAGGAGAATTGCTTGAACCCAGGAGGCAGAAGTTGCGGTGAGCCGAGATTGCACCAGTGCATTCCAGCCTGGGTGACAAAGTGAGATTCTGTCTCAAAAAAATAAGAAAGAAAATAGCAGTACAAGAGGGTACCTGGTTAGAGTAAAATCGTGAGGAGGGTGCCTGCTATTTTTCCCCCGACTTCATCCACCGTCCACCCTACCTGCGCCCTCAGTAGGAAGTCCCAGAGGCCTCCTCTGCCCCATCCCCAGGTTGACCGTGAGTCTAGGAGTCATTTCTCTTTCTTCTCCGTCCAACCCCTTCCCCTGGATCTGTTTGTATCACCAGCAAATGGAGTCTGGGGCCAAGTCCAGCCCACTTCCCATTTTTGTAAACAAAGTTTTATTGGCACACAACCATGCCCATCCATGCACGTATCATCTATAGCTGCATTAGCTCTACAATGGCAACTTTGAGTAGTTGCAGCAGAAACCACCCAGCCCACCAAAACAAAAATATTTATTACTCAGCCCTTTACAGAAAAAGTTTGCCGACTCCTGGTTTATATCTTCAAGCCCTGTCACAGGCAAGGATGAGACCTGGTCAGGGCAGTGAGCCTAGAGAAGGGGGAGACAAGACGGGCCTCCATTCACTCAGCAAGGACGCGGGAGGGAGTGGGGCGGGCTCTGGGCCAGGTGCCCAGAGTCCAGCGGGGGAGGAAGCAGGCAGGGCATCCCGGAGCTCCCAGGCCAGCGGGTCCCCAGGTGGTTGCAAAAGGCCCTCCAGCAGGGCAATTCAGATTGAAGGAAAGGAGAATGAACTAGAAGGCTTGTGTCGAGGCCACGAGGCATCCAGTGCAAAGCCCCAGCCCCAAGGGTGCCTGACTGCGAGCAGTGAGGGGAACTGAGGCTGGAGGGGCCCAGGCCTGAGCTGAGGACTAAGAGGAGGGCTGGGGGGGAGAAAGGAGCCCAGCCCAGAGGGGAGAGGGGCTCGCGGCGCGGTGTTCCCTCTGCACCCAGCCCATCTCCTTCCACCCCTGCAGCTGCGAGGTGCGCCCAGGACCGGAGTTCCTGACCCGCGCCTACACCTTCTACCCCAGCCGGCTCTTTCGAGCCCACCAGTTCTACTACGAGGACCCCTTCTGCGGGGAACCTGCCCACTCGCTGCTCGTCAAGGGCAAAGTCCGCCTGCGCCGGGCCTCCTGGGTCACCCGGGGAGCCACCGAGGCCGACTACCACCTGCACAAGGTGGGCATCGTCTTCCACAGCCGCCGGGCCCTGGTCGACGTCACCGGGCGCCTCAACCAGACCCGCGCCGGCCGGGACTGCGCGCGGCGGCTGCCTCCGGCCCGGGCCTGGCTGCCTGGGGCGCTGTACGAGCTGCGGAGCGCCCGGGCTCAGGGGGACTGCCTGGAGGCGCTGGGCCTCACCATGCACGAGCTCAGCCTGGTCCGCGTGCAGCGCCGCCTGCAGCCGCAGCCCCGGGCGTCGCCCCGGCTGGTGGAGGAGCTGTACCTGGGGGACATCCACACCGACCCGGCGGAGAGGCGGCACTACCGGCCCACGGGCTACCAGCGCCCGCTGCAGAGCGCACTGGTGAGTGTGTGTGTTGGGGTGTGGGAGAGGGGGGTGGTGGTCTCGGGGAGGCGAGCTCGGAACCCAGCCCCGCAGCTTTGCAAGACCTGGGCCTGCCCAGGGCTCTGGCTGCCCGGCTGTCATCACTGCCCCTCCCCACTCTGGTCCGCGTGCCTCAGGACATTTGCGCACCCTGTTCACGCAGCTGGAGACATCTTTTTTCAGCCTTTACAAGGCTGGCGGGCCTCTGGTCGGCCTTCCCACGCTAGTCCTCCCCGGCCCCTGTCCTCGTGGGCACTGCAGGATCTCATTTCTGCCCCTGCTGGGCACAGAGGCTTGGTGGGTGTCCCCCTCCCTTAGTTCTCGGCTGAAATATCCGCTCCAGTCCCCATTCTACCGTTCCCCGTTTCCCGCAGGTGACCCTTGCCAGCTCTCAGCCCGCTCTGAAGCTCTGTTGGTGACTTGTTTATTGCCTCTCCCTCTGGCGCTAGGTCCTTCACAAGGGTGGGGCCACAGCGGGCACCTAGCACGGGTCAGGCCGACGATCAGGACCAATAAACGTGGATGGATGAATTAGGGAGAGGGCAGCTTTCCTCCAGGGCGCCGCTGGGGCCGCGCACACCAGCCCAGATGCCACCCCCTCGAAATCTCAGTGCGAGCCTCACACTGACCTAGCCGCACAGCCACTGGGGCGCCACCCTCGCCCACTCCCAAACCAGACGGCGAAGCCACGTGGCCTGGGCTTCTTGTGAGAGGGCCGAAAGGGATCCTTCAGGTCTGGGTGGAGCCCGGGGTTCTGCATTTCCAGCAAGCTGTCCGGGGTGTGGGGAGGCTGCAGGCTAAAGGAAACCACCCTCTCTTTAGCATGTTCCGCCTTGACTCCAACACGAATTTCATTGAAGCTGATTAACCTAGATTTTAGAAGAAGCCATTGCACGCATACCGTCCTAATTTGGGGAGGATCTAGCAGTCCCCCAGCACACTTTTTTTTTTTTTTTTTTGCCAGATGAGCAAACAGGCAGAAAGAAACGTAACTTTACTGTATAATGGCTCCTGGCACATAGCTCAGAGCCTGGCTCCTACAAGGGTGTGGACCTAGGACCTTCCCAGTGTCAGAGACCCCTCTGGTGGCTGGTGAAGCCTAAGGAACCCCCCTCAGAAAATCTGTTTTTAAAAAAAGCATAAGAGAAAATACGTGGGATTTAAATGAAAACCAGTTCTATTAAAACAGTTACCCAAGTTTTAAAACGCTAATTTGTGATATAGAGAAACGATAAATGTGAAATCTTTATTTGCCCTCATTTCAAAGCAGGGACGACTGCAAACCATGTTTCCAGTACCTGCAATGCTGTTAGTGTCATACAAGGTCAGAGGTTCTGCTGACGCTACTGGGGCTCGTTGCCTCCATTTACAATGAGAAGAAATGTTAACTTTTATTAGTGAAAGGTTAGTGAAAATGAAGTTGAGGTTAGCATTCGAGGTGAAAAACTTCTGTACAAGGCACCCAATGCGTATTTCTTGAGTGCACAAACGAGCAGATGGAGGGAGGGTGGATGAATGGGTGTGGATGGATGGATGTGTTCAGCATCCCCATGAAGTCCTCTTGGAGCTCTTAGGCCACCTTCACATCATTCAGCATGTATTTGTTGCCTACCGTGTACTGGACACTCAAGGAACTAAACCAATGAGGCAACTTCTAACCCCTGGTAGTACCCACTTGTTATTGCCCCAATGCGGGAGCACTGTGGATGAGACAGACCAGAAGCCTGCCTTCCTCCCCTTCCCCCACCCCCTCCTCCAAACTGAGGATCTGGATAGCAGAGGAGGAGCACGACACGAAGTTCTCATAATCAGAAAATCAGCCTCAGAGTTCTTTTTATGACCTCAAAATTATTCCCTTTTTGGCAACCAGTGTTCTAGGCTGGTCTGGCGTTAATCCTACTTAGTTCAGAGAAGGCGCTAGCGGTGAGTTGATTACCGGCCACCACCACCTCATTAGGAGGGGAAACTGCTCTGAATGCAGAGAGGACAGATCCCCGGGGGCTGTGGGGGCTGGCAATTTCATGCATCCCCAGGCAGGACTCTGGGGCCATGGCTGTCCCTGCCCTCCCTGCTGCCCGGCCAACCTGGGTGACCAATCCAGCCTGAAATGTGATGGAGAAGCAAAACACATAGAAATGTATGCAGTGATGAACGGTGCCAGATGTACAGACATTACATTAAAGGTCTGCTCACCAATGGCCCGTCTCCTTGGGAGAAAAAAAAAAAAAGAAAGAAAGAAAAGACAGATAATTTCAAAGAAGGAATTGCTGCAGAGAAATCCCCAAGAAATGAATCAGTTGTTGCCTTAAGCTCTCTGGGGCCCACGCCTTGCCCACGACCCAAACCAGATGGTAAACATGAACATTTTTAGAAGTTAATTTAAAACCAATTTGATCCCCAAATTCATTGCCTGGATATAGAATGCTAATCAATCAGCCAACACTGGACCAAAATTATCTGAGCCTGGTGTCACCTCTGGGGGTTAATTAGAAACTGTTTTGTGCTGTTTGAGAAATAACTTTATGTAACAGGCTTAAACGAGTAAGAGTTTGGTTTCTGTACAAGTGTGAATTCTGCTGGCTGGGGGCTTTGTTTATTAACGCATGAGACTTCAGACCTCTGCAGAAAGATGCCCGAAAGATTTCCCATGGAGCCGGGAACCTTGTTTCACCAGCTTCAAAAGCACCACAGAAGGAAATGCTTTTTCTCATCCCTCTTTCACCTTAAAACTTTGCTGCTTCTCAATTTGTTTCTGCTCTGCAGAAAACTGCTCACCCCAGATTACCAACTAGCAGCCCTAAATGTCCTATCTGCAGAGAATATCTTTTGGTTGTCTTTTGTGGTGGGTAAGGACAGCTCTGGGATTATGTTGCTGTAACGCATTATGTCTTCTCAATATATATTAGTGTGACAGCTCAGAATGTAGGTTAAAATGCCAAAATTAGAGTCGACTCTTATCAGCCGGCATCCCAATCACCAACACTCCGGCTAACTATCAAGCTTGCTTGCTCCCATCACAAACATTTTTGCAGCCATTTGCTAGCATTTCAGAGAACCGTCAAGCTCTCTGGGCCCAAATCCCCATAACCAAAGCCAATATGGTCTCCGATATTATATAAATCAAGGAAACTTAAGGTTCATTATAGAAATAAAAAATAACAGCTTATAAAATGTGACGCCCCCCCCCCCCAAAAAAAAACTGTTCTCAATCATCCAGTATTTTCTTTCTAAACCAGAACTTCTAAGTGCCACTCGTCTGGCATGAAACTCACTCAGCAGTGCTGTGTGGAAGTCTTTTGGGATTTTTGCAAGAAAAAATATATTGGAACAAATTTCCCAGCTGGACCCTCAAAATGCCCCCTTCCTGTGGCTGTCCTGCCTGGACTGCAACTCTAAGTTTCCTTCTGGAATGGCCACAGCAGGAGATGTTTGCTTGTTCTCACATCAGCTTTGACAAGTTCCAAGGCCATTTACCTTCCAGAACGGCGCTCTGGCCTACAATCTGGGCGGCAGCTTCTTTTTTAGAAATAAAATAGGAGAAGGAGAAGAAGGAGAAAGAAGAAAGAAGAAATCTGTATCTCATTCCTTTTTAGCGTCTGCTGAGCTTTTTCACTCCAAAATGCAGACTACTCCCACACAATTTGCTTTAGCATCTGTTTCCTGTTAACGTGTTTTACGGTAAACCCAGCTCACGAGAGTTTGTAAGGCAGAGACAACTGTAAATAAGGGCAAAGACAGAGGAAAACCAACTCATAGCCTGGGACAAGGGAGGGTGTGGTGGCACCTGAAGACCCGAGTGTGGCCGGTTTTCCCTATAACAAATAACACGACAATGAACATCTTTGAGTCCCAGCTCTTTACGAGATTTCAACTATCTCCTTCGCGCAGACTTAAGCAATGGGCTTCCAAAGACATAATTTTTTTTTTTTTTTTTTTTTTTTGTGAGATGGAGTCTTGCTCTGTCACCCAGGCTGGAGTGCAGTGGCACAATCTCGGCTCACTGCAGCCTCTGCCTCCCTGATTCAAGCAATTGTCCTACATCAGTCTCCTGAGTAGCTAGTATCACAGGCATATACCACCACACCTGGCTAATTTTTGTATTTTTTGTAGAGATGGCATTTCACCATGTCGGCCAGGATGGTCTTGATCTCCTGACCTCATGATCTATCCACCTGGGCCTCTCAAAGTGCTGGGATTACAGGCATGAGGCACTGCACCTGGCCAATTTTTTTTTTTTTTTTGAGATGGTGTCTCGCTCTGTCCCCCAGGCCAGAGTACAATGGTGTGATCTCAGCTCACTGCAACTTCCACCTCCCAGGTTCAAGCAATTCTCCTACCTCAGCCTCCTGAGTAGCTGGGAATACAGGCATGTGCCACCACACCAGGCTAATTTTTGTATTTCTAGTAGAGATGAGTTTTCACCGTGTTGGCCAGGCTGGTCTTGAATTCCTGACCTCAAGTGATCTGCCCACCTCAGCCTCCCAAAGAGCTGGGATTACAGGTGTGAGCCACTGTGCCCGGCTCAGACATATTTTGATGGCTTTTGATCCTTGTTGCCATATCCACTTTCCATGGGGTAGGTAGAGCAAATGATGCGCACCTTCCACTGTGAGATTTCTAAAGACAAAAATCCTCTATTCTCCACCTGTAGGGAAGATGTAACCTGCTATGAGCACATGAGAGGGGGAGCTCAGACAGCCGGGTGTAAGCCAGGCTGCATTTCAGCTGGTCTCTGCCACTTCCAGGCTGGACAACCTGGGCAGCCCAGCCGGCCCTCTGGGTCTCAGCTCCCTCAGCTATAACATGTACCAGTTGCCCAGGAAGTGCTTAGCATAGTTCTTGGCACTTCTGAAACACCTAGAAGAGTGAGCTAGAAAAAGATCAACTTTCACGGTCAAATTCCAGGACCAAGCAGACTGGGCATGAGCAAGGACAAGTTCTCTCAGGTCCCAAGACGAAGGCCACCTATGCTTCCATTCATTTCTCATTTATTCATGCAACAAATATGTGCTTGCTGTGAGCCAAGCCCTGTGCGGTGGGGATGGGGTAGCCGCAGAGACAGTCCCGGCTTTCTAGGGCTTTTTAGTACTGTAAGGCACGATGCATTCCAGTTTGATGAGGGGTGAGGGGTAGAGAGAGGAGAGTCTCAGGGGGTGGAATGAGGAAGATAAAAGAGGGTGGTGTGACAGCCCTGAGGCCCACCTTACATGGGGCATTCGGGAAAGCTCTCTCTGGTGCCCAGCTGAGACCTAAGAGGTAAGAAGGAGCTGGCGGGGAATTCCAGGTGGAAGAGACAGCAGGAGACCCAAGGCCCGGGGGATACAGGGGCTGACCTCCATCAAGGAGGCCATCCTGGCTGAAGCAAGGAGGTCGTCCTGACTGAAGGCAGGGAGTGAGGAGAGAGAGGAGGGAGGGACAGGCCGCACCTCACCCTGCCTTGACACCCCTACAGAGCTGGGGTTCCTTTCCAGGCTGCACCCCAACTTCTCTATGTGGGACAACCACCGTTTTTCTGTTTGTCTTTTGCCAGCACCACGTGCAGCCGTGCCCAGCCTGTGGCCTCATTGCCCGCTCCGATGTGCACCACCCGCCCGTGCTGCCGCCCCCTCTGGCCCTGCCCCTGCACCTGGGCGGCTGGTGGGTCAGCTCGGGGTGCGAGGTGCGCCCAGCAGTCCTGTTCCTCACCCGGCTCTTCACTTTCCACGGGCACAGCCGCTCCTGGGAAGGGTATTACCACCACTTCTCAGACCCAGCCTGCCGGCAGCCCACCTTCACCGTGTATGCCGCCGGCCGCTACACCAGGGGCACGCCATCCACCAGGGTCCGCGGCGGCACCGAGCTGGTGTTTGAGGTCACACGGGCCCATGTGACCCCCATGGACCAGGTCACCACGGCCATGCTCAACTTCTCTGAGCCAAGCAGCTGTGGGGGTGCGGGGGCCTGGTCCATGGGCACTGAGCGGGATGTCACAGCCACCAACGGCTGCCTACCGCTGGGCATCCGGCTCCCGCATGTGGAGTACGAGCTTTTCAAGATGGAACAAGACCCCCTCGGGCAAAGCCTGCTCTTCATCGGACAAAGGCCCACCGATGGCTCAAGTCCCGATACCCCAGAGAAACGTCCCACCTCCTACCAAGCACCCCTGGTGCTCTGTCATGGGGAGGCCCCCGACTTCTCCAGGCCACCGCAGCACAGGCCATCGCTGCAGAAGCACCCCAGCACAGGGGGTCTTCACATAGCCCCCTTCCCACTTCTGCCCCTAGTTCTAGGGCTGGCCTTCCTCCACTGGCTATGACATTGGACTTGACATCAGGATGGCGGCTCTGGACACCCATTCAACCCTTCAGACTCCCTCCTGGCAGCTGTAGGGAAGGAACCATTCTCCTCTGCTCTGTCATGGATGGATGCACAGCCCCACTGCTTCCAAACTCTGCCTGTGTCCCATGTGGCTCAGGACATGAGCTTAACCCCTGCAAAGCCTATACCACATCCCACAGCCCGGGTCCCCAGTCAAGCACTTGGATGCGGCAGTGATGTTCATCGCTACGTGAGTTTCTAAAGATCACTCCCAATTTTTCTACTTTCCTCATCCTTGGCAGCTCGCCAACAGGTGCAGTCAGGGGGCCACACGGAACACCCCCATCCCATGTTCCCCCCAGTTCTTCCCATCCTGACCCTTGGGATTCCAAGATGGGAGCAAGAGGAGATCCTGAGGCTCTGCCTAGGGACGAGGCCTACAGTTCTGCCATGTCTGTAGGTTGTTGTTTAAAGATTATTAATTCGAATTTAGCAATACGATCTCTAAGTGGTGCCATGAATTAAAGATGCCACTTCGGGCTTTCAGTGCTTCTCAGCTTTTGGGCAAAGGGCTTGTGTCTTCAGGGGCAGCTCAGCTTTCCTGAGTCCTGACTGCTGGCATTCGTCTGCATTTGCCTGTGCTTCTGCGAGTCGGACCTCAAGCTGCCAACACTGCATGTGGATAAATCCAGTTTTCCCGGGCCAGCATGCAAAATGAAGAGGACTCCATCTAAGCTGAGAAGCATGGCCTCCCCAGAGCAGCCTGCGGCCTCCAAGCCTTCCTGGCCCAGGCAAATGCCAGTGTGCACCAGGCTGGCTGCTGGGGGCAGGTCTTTGGAGGGGAGCAGCATTTCCAGCCTTCTGAACATAGTTAATAGTAATGACAGCCGTAACACTAACGCGCTCTGCAATTCGCCCTGCCCAGCCATCCTCGGTTGCCAAGATTGCCTGTGCCTGCCTGACAAAGGAAGAGAATCTCCGAATGTGTATCTTTGGGCCCACCCTAGGGAGAGGTCGGGGTCACCAGGCTACATGGCGACATCTAGGCAGCTCCGCCTTGCCCAGCCTCCTTGCCATAATCCTAATATATTGGTGTCCTCTGCTCAGAGGGGACTGTCATCATGGTGGGAACAGGCTGTGCCTCCCCAGGGACTCTGCCCATGTTCCCAGGGCCTCATCTGTACACTGTGAAATTAACTGGCATCCTGGTGGGCCCAAGGGTTTTCAGGACTGGGGGCCAATGACTCACCCCCTCCTTCCTCCTCCTGATCCCTATCTCTAGCTCTTATCACAGATTTTGAACAATTGTCTGTGAGGTTAATGATGGTTTCAGAGGGAAGCCCTTTTCCTCCCTGAGACTGTGTGGGGTTCAGTCAGCCTGCTGAAATTGCTTCCACTTATTACCCATCCTTCCTCTTAAAAAAAAAAAAAGCCCACCAAGTTAGTATTCTCTGTAGCTCTCAGACAGCTACAAGTGTTCCTGGCATATTTACCAAAGTACAAGAAATCATTACATTATTTACGGTCTCAGACTACATCAGGGTTGGGGGAGCTCCTGGTGGGGATGGCAGTGGGTGTCGATGATATGTCCACGGCTGAGCAGGTCTTGTATCCGAAGCTTGAAGTAACCATGCCACCATTTATCATCAAATTTGAACCTTTTAATAAAATTAAACAGCCTGAAAAATGTTCTTGCTGGTTATTAAAGTCAACCAAGGGAATTACAGTTCTAAAGAAAGGAAGTGGAGTGTCTTCCAGAGAATGTGTGAAAGAGAATAAAACCAGTGGAGGTAAACCCCAGCTCTCTCAGTTCTGCTTTCATGCCACTGCCTGTCCTGCTGAAAACCCCCCAGGGGCTTCCACTGCACTCAGAATAAAAGCCCGACTTCTGGCTCGCTGTTGCCTGCAAGGCTCAGCCACGCCTCCACATGCCCCGGCCACACTGGCCTTCTCTCTGTTTCTTGATCACAGGAGCTCTTGCTGCCTTGGGGCCTTTGCACAAGCCCTGATTTCCGCCTAGCCTCTCTTCCCCCAGACCTTCAGAAGTTGAGCACTTTCTTTTCAATCAAGTCTCAGACCAGATGTTGTCTCCTGAAGATGTCACCATTCGCATCCCAAAGAGCAGCCCCATTTCCCTGGTCCTTCTGTCAGTCCACTGCATCACAGTTGTATGTTCTTTGTCATGAAAACTGATCACTGGCGGAAATGACCTTATTTGCCTAGAATGTAAGCTCCAACGAAAAAGACTCGGCTCTGACTCGCTTCCTGCGATCTTTCCGGAAGGGTCCAGTGTGCCTGGTGCATGGTAGAAAGAACTTCAATAAATATGTGACTCAGTAAATGTTGGTTATCCCTGTTAAGCCTCACACTGAGACCCGTGAACGGATCACCTCCATCTACCAGATTCAGCGACCCTCGAGAGGCCCAGCTGAGTCAGTGAGAGGTGTGTGAGTCTCTGCGTCTTGCGCGCGAGGACACTAAGGCACAGAGAGAAGGGGCTGGGCTCCAGAGCCTGAGATCCGGGCCTCTGTATCACAGCCCACGGGCTTGGGGTGTCCTCCTCACTCTTGGAGGGAATAGGATTCCTTGATTTTATTTGGGGAAGGCAATTTAGTGTTGCTTCGTGGGATGCCATCCCTAATGAGAAGGAGTGTGTTGAGCAGGACAGCAGCTTCCTGGATCCCCTCAGTTGGACTTAGTTGCTCTCTGCTCGCTGGGGCTTGTTAGTTTGGGGGCAGGTGATGCTGCTCGGAGCTACGAAGGCTGAAGAAAGGGCAACCATCCCTTTTCTCCCAGGCAGAAGGTCAGGGCTTCCAAGACTCTGGGCTGATAAAGGAAGGGGTCATTTCAGAGGCTGAGGGGCTGAGACTGTCTGGTACAGGGCCAGAGGCCCATGGGCACCAAGCCTTCCTTCCAGCCCTTTGCTCCCGCCCCTTAAGTCTCTGCCCTTCACATAAAACGTGAGAGCGCTCTCATCTACAGACGGGGAGGAAAGCCTAGAGTCCTATTTCCAGATAAAATTAATGTTCTCCATTGCATGTTCAGTCACGTTGAAAGGTGGGGGGTGGGTGGGAAGCCCATGCAGTTGATAATTTCATTGTGCAACTCCCAGGAGAGCAAATGAGCTTTTTTTCTTTAATAAAAAGTTGAAATTGTATACAGCTCTCAGAGGTCCATTAACTAACAGATGCTGGTTATCAAAAGAAGCTCTTTGCCTTTCACTAAGCGCATGCTTTTAATCTCCCAGCGGTGCTACCGGGCTGAACAGCAGTGTGTGGCTTGGTGACGCAGGCCCACCAGCACGTGGCCCTGGTCTGTGCATCCTCTCCTGGGGGCACAGGTGACTCAGACACGAGGGACTGGAGCTTTCTGACGCAGAATGTAGCACTGCATCAGGGCCTGGTCAGGGCTGATTCATACCCATTAGCATCGCAGACCGGAGACAAGCAGGGAAGAGCTGTTCCCACTTCAAGAGGGGACTTGAACAGTAGCGTGCAGCCTCCAGTCCGCTCCTGATGGTTCTGAGACTGAAAGCCTGCTCCTTCTCACACACACAACCCCGCTTAAATGGATGTCAGCATGAGCACAAATGACCTGTCGACATTCCCTAAAACCACCCTTCCAAGCTTCCAGACAGACCCTCCTCCTGCCCACCTGACACCTCTACCTTCCATTTCGGCCACAGTGGCCTCCTTGCTCTCCTGCAGTCCCATGGAACCCAGTCCCTCTCAAGGTCTTGGCTCCAGTTCTCCCTCACCTGGAAGGCTCTGCCCACCTCACCCCTGACCACCCCAAAGATAGCGCCCACCACAGCGCAGTGACTTCATCACAGCATTTGTCAGTGGCCGAAATCTGAAAAAAATCCCGTTTGTTGGTTTTCACCTATTGTTAGCCCCTCTCCTCTAGAATGAGTTCCTTGCCAGCAGGGTCCTTGTCTGTCTTGTTCTCTGTGGATCCCCAGTGTTAGAATGGTGCCGGGCACATAGTAGGAGGTCAATAAATACCAGTTAAAAGAATACATGTTCCAAGACCTGATTGGAGACTCCGAATTCAAGCAGCAAGATGACACCCACACACTATACTGGCCTGGAATTTCGATGTTGCTGACTTTTTTTCTAATCAGATGAGCAGAGCAGAACCCAGGCCTGTGAACTTGAGGACATCTGTTTTCTAGTAGCCAGGATATATCTAGAAAGGCATTGAAGACCACTGCTCTCCCCAAATAGGAGGCCACAGGGCCTGGTAAGAGGTGCCTTGAGACTCCATCTCAAGCTTCTCATCCCCCAAAGGTCAGGGAGACTGGGAGAGCCTCAGCCTCACACAGGTACCCAAGGCTTTCCTTTCTTAGTTTTGGAGCCTCCATCTCCCCCACCCCCGACCCTGCCAGCTTCAGTTTCTTTATCAATAAAATGGGCTGAAACCTGATGGTTCCTGGAGCCAACCAGCCCCAACATCAGTTACGGGAAGACCCAAAATAGTAAGTGATTCAAATGGAATCAATAACGTATTTTGAGAGAAATGGCAAAAAAAAAAAAAAAACAAAAAAAAAAAACGGGTTTGGTGGCTGACGCCTATAATCCCAGCACTTTGGGAGGCTGAGGTGGGTAGATCACGAGGTCAGGAGACCAAGAGTATCCTGGTTAACACGGTGAAACTCCACCTCCTAAAAATGCAAAAAATTAGCCAGGCGTGGTGGCAAGCACCTGTAGTCCCAGCTACTCGGGAGGCTGAGGCAGGAGAATCACTTGAACCCGGGAGGTGGAGGTTGCAGTGAGGCGAGATCATGCCACTGTACTCCAGCCTGGGCAACAGAGCAAGGCTCCGTCTCAAAACAAAACAAAACAAACTCTTAGTGAGGATGGGTCTTTGTCCTGTGATACAGTATGTATTTCCTAGGGGTTATTAATAACCTACTACTCTCACTCCTGCATTTGGCATTGTTTTTAATCCCTCAGGAGAAAAAAAATTACCAAAACTTAGGTGGTCACTACTTCTGGTGAAATCAACTGCCTGTTTAGTAAAAAGAAGACCCACAGACATTTGCTGAGCATCCATCATGTGCCAGGTGCTATGCTGGGTGCCTTGGAAGGAAGGCCTTCCCAACTTCCAGCCAAGATGGGGCAGGCAGACACATGCCTTTAGCTCCACTTCCTTCTGAAGTCCCAACAAATTATGGGAAAGAATTAAAGGGCACAAGGTCACAGGAATAAACAGAAAAGGAAATAAGAACATAGCCAACAGGAGATGTCAGCAAAATTCTGGAATCTGGAAAGCTGATGGGTAATTTATCACTGATGGGAGATTACAGAAGGTGGAAAGCAGGTTGGTCAAAGGGCACAGCTCCGAAGCAAGTCCACTTGTGCCATGAATCCCCCTAAGGCTTAGGAAATGGTGGCCCTAGGCATGGCAGAGGCCAACAGAACAGTAGGGCTAAAAACAGGAGGAATCTTTGAAATGTTTTACAAGTCTGTAAAAGGAATTCTACTCCTAGATCCCATCCCTAACCAATTTAAGAAACCAAAAGTTTAACCCGAAAATCTTTGGACTTAGGGACAGCCCAGGGCAGAGTATCATGCTAAAAATTTAGATACAGGTTAAGTATCCCCAGTATGAAAATTCAAGATCCAAAATGCTCCAAAATCCACAACCTTTTTTGAGTGGTGACACAATGGTCAAAGGAAATGCTCACTGAAGCATTTTGAATTTTGGATTTTCAAATTAGGAATGTTTAACTGGGAAGTATAATGTAAATATCCCAAAATCCAAAAAAATCTGAATTACAAAACACTTCTGGTCTCAAGCAGAACAACATACAAAAATACAGAACGACAACAAAAAAGAACAAAGCAACAAAGAGCTATAATATCCTCAGTGAAAAAAAATATACATACATCTTGGAGCAGGTTGCTGTAACAAAGAATAACTGGAAAAGAAAGATGTCTTGAAAACTATAAATATGTTAGCAGAAAAAAATCAAAAGAAGGTTGGAAATTAAAGTTGAAGAATATTCCCAGAAATAAAAAAGAATTGGGAATTAGAATGGCACTTGATTTCTTAAAGGAAACACTAGAAGCTGGAATCAGTGGAACAATGCTTCCAAAATCCTCAGAATGATTTAAACCTTGTGTTTTATACCCTGTGCAACTATCAATCAAGTGGAAGAGCAGAATGGGACATTTTCAAACATGTAAAGTTCTCAAAAAAATTATGTCCCACATACTCCTTGCTCAGAGACTTGCTAAAGGATGTGCACCCCCAAAATGGGATAGTAAGAGAGAGGAAGCTAGAAATCCAGAAAAGAAGGGGTCCAATCCAGAAGAGAGCAAAAGGAGTTCCAAAGATGAGAGTGAGTGAAGGCCCTGGAATGAGAGCTGTGCAGTAGGCTCAGATAGCAGTCAGTCCAGAGAGGAGCAGGAGAACAGAGAGCTCCAGGAGTGACCTAAGAAAACCAGAAAAATCAGATTGCCTGAGGTGTTGTGATTGTGCTGAGATTCACACTTCTATCAGGGTCTGGGCTGAATTTGTGATAGATACATAGGAAACTGAGCAAACAAGACACTAAGACGTAGTGACTCCGGGAAAACAAAGGATTACACATAAAAGGGAAATATAAGCATAGCACATTTAAGGTAGAGGTGTAAACAATATCTCAGTAGTCTTAATCATGCAAAAGTATACTGATGTAGCCAAAAATTATAACATGACTGAGAGGGAGAGAGAAAGAAATCTATGCTTGGGATGTGGTTGGGAGAAAGATTATTAGAGCTAAATCCCTATCTCCCTTAGGAGGAAATCAATAGATAATATATAGAAGTGAAAAATCAAGAAAAAGTAATATAACCACATTATTAGGAAATGTAGATGTTAATATCAGAAGAAACAGTTCAATGTGCTAAACTGGCAACCTCTGGGAAGAGGTAGCCCAGGGCGATATGAGCCTGCTGCTTTTCACTATGAGCCTGTTATAGCTGTTTGGCTTTTTATATTATGCACACAAAATACTTTGGTATTAAAAAAAAAAAAAAAAACTGAAAACACCACAAAACCAAACCCAACAACAAAAAAACCTTGAACTTCCCCTCAAATTGCTTTCAATCCAGTAAAGGGCAGACCGTGTTAAGAGAGGTTTCGAATGCTCTGGGATGCGAGAGTGGTGGAGCACAGAGGGCTGAGCAGAGCAGCCGGGCCCACTCATGGGAGAACAGAGCATTTGGGAGTCTGAGCTTCTGGGAAACAGGAGGAAAAGTGGGGACCATGCCAGGGCCCTAGCCGTGGACTGCCAGCCCTTCCTCACACATAAGCTGGATGAATATTCTAGGGTAGTTTTCTCTTTACTAATGGAGAGTATTTTCTTTAGTGTGGAGGCACTTTTAGGACCAACAATGTGACTGCAGGGTGGGGTTAAAATATACAGCGGGTCTTGGTTTGACTTAAAAAGCTTCTTGTCTTCCCTATACATTTCTTTAACATTTTTTGAAGTGGCATAAAGGTAACATTTTTCAGAAAGTCCGTAACACTAATTTTGTGTTTCTTCAAATTTGTACTATTTTCTTCTTTGAAGTGATTTTAGCAGTCAAACATTGCTAAGAAAACAGAGGCCAAAGTTCTACTTGGAAAAAAAGAAAACTCTAGACTCTTAAGTGCAATTTCTGAAGAGTATTTTCAGTTTCTAATGGGGCATGTCACTCCCATTACTCCTTGGCAAATTATCAGGTAGCAGGTTTTGTCTTCTAATGCACTAACCAGAGATAATGGCAAATCAGTGTGGTCACTTCTTCAAAATAGCTCCTTGTGTTGCTGTTTAGAAAACTCCTTCACAGTTGGGGTTTTAACGCTTCGGGTTTTAACTCTTTAATGACCATCACCATTTTTCAGTCTCTCTTACAGAAGCTCTCCTTGGTCTGGGATGCTGACATTTGCCTCCCCTGCACCCTCTGGGAAGGCCATGGTTAAAAGGACCCCAGAGATGCAAGAATGACATGAATGCAGCCAGATGAGAGCAAGTGAGGTGGCCAGTACAGGTCAAGAATCAGAGCTCTAGCAGTTGCCATGAACGGTTGTTTATTTCCCTCTGCCCAATCCACTTCGATACACTTTGCTGCAAGTCCTTTTCCTGTTAGTAAAACAAGGTAGACTCCAATTTCCACATTCATGACTGTGTGCCCTTAGCCTCTTCATTTCTGCTGCTCTGCCATCAGCCCTTTGTGTGATAAACCTTTGCTCCCTTTGACCTTACTTCACTCTGGGTTTTCATCGTGTTTTCAAATGGCCTTTACATACATAAACAACTGCTCAACCTCATGCAAAGAACCACAAACTCAAAGTAAGACACCACGTGCATTTTACAGGTGAGGAAAGATCAAAAAGTTAGATGGCGCAAGGTGCTGGCAAAGCGTAAAGCAGCAGACCCTGCGAGGACTATGAATTGGTACCTCCTCTTTGGATGGCAATGTGGAAGCCATCTAACACAATTTAAAATGCAGGCACCCTTTGAGCCAACCACTGCTCCTCTACAAATTGATTCTGTGATATTCCTGCTCATTTGTAGGAGTGTTTGTTGTAGCGTTGTCTTTAGCAGTGAGACTAGAAACTGCTTAAACGTACCTCCATAGAGGGCTGGTTAAGTAAATTAAGGGCACATACAGAGGAAAATTATGCAGCCATAAAGAATGATGTGGGCTGGCATGAAATATCTCCAAGATAAACTTCAAAGTCCAAAAAGGAACATGCACAACAGAGCAGTTAGTGTGTGCTGTTGCATGTGTATTAGAAAACACATGGTTGGGTGCAGTGGCTCACGCCTGTAATCCCAGCACTCTAGAAGGCTGAGACAGGAGGATGGCTTGAGCCCAGGAGTTCGAGACCAGCCTGGGCAACACAGAGAGACCTCATATCTACAAAAAAATAAAAAAGATAGCCAGGCATGCTTGTGCATGCCTATGGTCCCAGATACTCAGGAGGCCGGGGTGGGAGGATTGCTTGAGGCTGGGAGGTGGAGGCTGCAGTGAGCTGTGATCACACCACTGCACTCCAGCCTGGATGACAGAGTGAGACCCTGTCTCAAAACAAAAGGAAAACACAAGGCTGTATATACACAGACATATATGTGCATAGAAGATCTCCAGAAAGAGTCAACACATGGAAAGTTCAGGATATCTCTGGAGAAAGAAAGGTTTGGGAATGGAGGAAACCTGATTTTGTATACTGTGTACCCCTTGGTCTTGTGTGAAGTCTTACCATTTGCCCACCTTACTTTTCCAAAAGAAGTTAAAATTGTTTTCATTAACGTTTTAACAAGGTAACACTGTAAGATGGAGAACTGTCAACCACTACTTAAAAGACAGAATCCACCCACCTTTCAAAGCTGGAAGCAATTTACACAGGTGGGTACCTTTGTAAATCACTGATGACACACACTTCCCCCAATAGGAAAACACTGACATGCAAGCTGGTCCCTGTGCTTAAGCTCTCTGGGCAAAAGTTTCCTCATCAGTAAAATGAAGACGTTGACCTAAGTGATCTCTTAGATCTGTTTTCTGGTGCAAAAGGTCTCTGATTTTAATTTAAACCAATTTCATGTTCCTACAAAGCAGTGAGAGTCGAGCAACGGGCTCTAGTCCACACTCCAAAGCCTATCTCAATGGAATTAAGCCATCCATTCAAAATAATTTTACACTGAAGCATCCTTTAAATATATTCAGAGCACAGAATTTATTGAACATAATATGGAGACAGCTAGTACAAAAGTTTATGCCTTGGCAGGGCAGGTTTCATCAGGCTGATAATGGAACATGGGAGAACATGCTGTAAATGGCTCTTTTGGTCTGGACCCTGCAGAAATACATCTCCTTCTCTCTGGGAAACATCATGTCAGCTGCCAAGCCATGAATTTATTACATATCAGAAAACCAAAATGTGCAACAGTAAAGAGTCCTTTCCTGCACCAACTTTTTAAATTACTTCCATGTCAAAACAGCAAATACAATGAAAAATACATAAAGGACAAATTATGAAAACTAAAGCATTCTAAGACATCTCTTAAGATACTCAGTTCCTAACATGTTAACATACATTGAAGACTATAAACACACACATCAGAAACTGTGGGAATCTTTTTTCAACATAGGGAGAAAGACGTAGAATAGGGAGAGAACAGCATGGGTTACTGAAACCATTTATTCAGAAAGCAGAGGAAAGGCGAAAGGAACACTGAAATAGATCATTTTTAGTTTCTTATAGGAAGTTCCAAATGGCAGCAGTTGATAAATCGTCTTTAAAAAGGAAACGACAGCAACAGAAATGAGAACCAAATATATTTTGCATTTTTCTCTCGGTGTATCATCTTGAGTCACCTTACTTAGGCTACACACGAATGAAAAATATAAAAAGCCACGCCCACTAATTTCGCAGCACCTCATATAGTAGCAAACAGACAGAGGGTACTTACGAAACGTTTGCTAAGGAGTGAATGATGAAAAGCAAAAAGTAGTTCTTGTACACATGGTCTCAATATCACAGACAATAAATTCTGACCTTTGAATTCACATAAAAGATGCAATGGAAAAACATTTTAACATGGATACTGTACTAGAGGATTAACAGCTGAATTCAGTCTATTTCTTAAAAACAAAAGAAAGACGGGAATGCAGGCAGCCAGTTCGGAGAAACAGCCAGGACTTTTTTGTATGACATGGAAAAACCGGCAAGTCAACGTGTGAAACGTGCACACTCATTTCTCATCTTCTTAAACCCTAAAAAGCCCCGCAATCTTGTTAGCACTAAGCCTGGATGAAATTGTGTTAAGATATCTGATTAGTCTCCCTTAGTTGGCATTTTCCAAAGGGAAAAAAAAAGGGAACCTGTTTTATTTCAGTCAGACATGGCTTTGGGTATCAGTGAAACGAAGCTCTGACAGCAGCTCCACCTGCAGAAGGCCAGGCGCACTCCTGCAGCTCATCAGAATGCAAGCAGGAAAGCAGGCCAGCAAGCGAGCATCTGTCCTGCACCCACATCCATTAGCCAAGTGATTACATCTCCATCAGCCCTGGGGTGTAATAAAGCAATTGTAATCGGGCATTGTTACAGGATCAATGTTTCCTGGTTTAAAAATAAACATCAGCATTTATCTAGCAGCAGAAAGCGATTCTCCCACAGTACTGTTTTATTCAACTGACATCTTTTAATCAAAGCAATCCATATCGTGGCAACATTCCAAGGTATCATAACTGCAAATATTTATGGCAAGTTAGATAATGGCTACATTTTTGTTGCTACACTTTTCTTCCTTTTCTACGGATTTAACACAGACATTTTCTAATAAACTAATTCCATTAAGAAAAAAAAATCTCAAGTAATTATATTCATGAAGACAACCTCTCATCCACCTCCACCCGTTTCTCTTTTAACTATCATCCATAACTGTTTATGTGAGTTCATGTCTTTTAAATTTTTCAAAATATCTCTGTAATGAAAATAAAAAGCCCCTATTGTTAAGTGCCGTAGATACAGCCAAAAACATGGCATGGAGGGAGGTCAGGGCCCCCTGGCACAGGGGTGGGTGAGCTTGTGCAGCTCAGCTAATGTTCTAGGCTGTGGCTAATGGGATTCAGAGGCTGGAGGAAGAGGTCTGTGAAGCTGGGGGCAGACCCATTCCCACAGCCTCCCAAGCTTGCCTGTCGGCTGACGCTCCTTATCAGGGGCTTCTATTACTTGCCCTCTTTGCTGATATCCTGGAGAACCGCAGTGCTAATTCAGGGAAAGGCCTGAGACATCAGCAGCTCAGCTGTTTTCAAACCTCAGCAGGGCCCTTCTGTAATACCAATTTTAATCAACTGCCCTCATTCACATTTAATTTACAAGTCATGTAAAGCCTCCATATAAAGCGCTCCCATCATCTCCTTGCCGAGACGGACTGGCAATATTCTTTCTAAAGCCCCCAAAGTCATTCTCCAGGAGCATCAGCAGAGATCTTCAGGCAATGAGAAAATGGAATATGTACCTTTTTTCACTGTCTGTAGTGTGTTCAGTTTCCAACAGAAAAAGAAAAAGCATCTGAACTACAGTCTTAATTCTACTTACTTTAGTGTGAAAATAACTGAATAAGGTACGGAGGCAGACACAAAAGATGTACAGACGGGCAGAGTAGCTGAGGCAGGAAGGCCTCATCCACTCACTTCCCTGAAGCAGATTTTCAGAGCTGAAATGGTATCTTAGCAATGTAGGCCTTACAGAGACTGATTTAGTTCTAAAAAGTTGCCCGATTTAACCTCCTGGAGCCTTTATTTCTTCGTATGCAAACAGAGCCATCTACCCCCCAGTCACAGTTGCAAGGATTAAGTTCAATGAGCGAATGTATTGGAAATGTTCTATACAGGTAAGGAGTGGCATTGAAACAACAGTAACTTTCTTGAAAAGGTTCCTATCAGAGCAGATCTGTCTGAGGAAAAGGGGCCAGGGAAGGCGTTCTCCAAATCCAATTAGGCCACAGAAACTCAATTCGCGTAGGGCCAGCATGATCTCAGAGCTGCTCTTGGTGTTCCAGAAGAGTGGTCGTTGGCCTTATGGGATTTGTATGTCATGAACTAGAGTCATCCATCTATATACTTTGCAGGGGCCTTTCTAAATACAATTCCATTCCAGCTCATCTTTGAGAACACTCCTTCTCAACAACAGCAAACATGGCCCCAAGTGTTAATTAAGAGAGGTCTCCTCAGAGTGGTAACTTTTCATAGTTCAGTTTGGTTCTTTCTCCTTCTTCAGGCCAGACAGCCGGGGGCAGGGAAAGCCACGAGAGGCCCTTCAATGAAATGCCATCTCCAGCAGGGGGAAGCAGTGGCCTCTACACCGAGAAGGTCTCAGGAGTTAAATGTTATTCAGGTGTTCAAAGTGACACTGGGAAGCCCAAGACCCCTATCTCTTCATACATGTATTTCTCAAACTACAATGAGAAATGGGCCATTCCTTTAGAGAAGGAGCTGAAAATGACATATAACATTGTATTTTGGCATGGATTCTGAGTTTGCAAACACAAAAATTTGTGTATGCAAAAAAATATAGGCACGATTTGAAAACTGTCAAGCTACTGACATACGGCACATATGCCACACATGCACACATGCACACATGCACACACACACAGAGTCTGTTTTCAAATTCATCTGAAAGGCTCTGTAGCTCTGAGCTCTCACTACATTCAGTTCTATCTGACTCAACATAGCCTGCAAACTGGGCAATGATATCTTTCGATAGCAATTCTGTTCCTGGGATTTGTTTGAAAGCGTTTAGGTTTTCACGGATCACTGGAGGTTCTTCATTTTTCCCCCTTCTGTGTTATGGAGGTATAAGTCGTCTCTCTAGCCATAAACTGGCCACTGGTAAAAATCAATTTTGATTTTATCAGTATGTATTACTGCTGGTGCCAGCAGTTCAGAAGACGAGAGAAGGAAAACATGCAAACTAGGAGGAGAAAAAAGTTAAAGCCAGTTCCTCACACCTACAAATAAAAAAGCCTGCTGTCTTTAAGAGGTATTTTGTATCGTGCCAAGGAAGCTTAAGTTACCAATTTAAAACTTCAATCAATAAAAACTTTCAGGATTCTGTCACCGCTTCCATCTCTTCTGCATTTGTGAGCACTATGGCTGGCATTTCTGAAGCCAGGGCCGCCCTCTCTGAGGTGCTGTGGAGCCAGTAACCACAGGAGCAGACTGGAGGGCAGCCTGGCAGCAGCTCCCCCATGCACACTGCCCAGCGGCATCCTCCCTAGGCTCGCTCTTTCCATGCCAGTTTCGTCCCGATTATCTGACTCTTAACCCTCTTGGGGCAGGGCAGGCCGTTGTGACAGGCCCCATATTCACCTCCTCTTTGCCTTATTCTTTTTTTCATTATGTAATTCTAGGGAAAACACCCTAAATGTGCATGCATCTCCAAGTCCTCCAGGAGCCACGCGTGCTCCACATTCTTTCTTTTCCTGGCACATTTTTGGCTGCCAGGATGACTGAGAAAATAATCAACCTTCCCATCAGTCACCTGTTTCTCTTCCTGAGCAGTTTCCTTCTGCCACTCAGTCAAAAGGCCCACAAACATGTTCACCAAGTCCTAACCTCTAGAAGGGAGAGAGACTTCAGAGACTGATTTTTAGCTGCAACCAAAATGTCCACATCCTCTGAGAAGCTGAACACCTTCTCCTAGATGTACACAAAACTCTAAATCACCTTCAAAGGTCTAAAACAGAGTAGTTTCTCAGATATTCTTTTTAAGAACTGTTACAGACTCACAAGCCAAATCCCATGACCCGGCTGTTTTTGTGAATAAAGTTTTATCAAAACACACGGCCATATCCTTTAAAAATAAATAGAGCCCTGCTCTAGTGTAATGGGACTGTACTGTACCCCTAGGCACTGTTGGGGACCACCTAAGCACTCTCCTATCAAAGACATGAGGGCCTGGAAGCTACAGGACTTAACTGGCTGCAGCAACTACAATTAGTAAATTTTAGTCCCCTCACGGAAAGTCAGGTGGCAGAAGGCACATGCCTTACAGCTCGGTCTTTTCACTCCCTTTTATAAGTACTGGGGGACACATGGGAAAAATCCTGGAGACGAATTCCTATTGGGGTGGCCTCCCTGTCTGCACACTCAACACAATCCATGGGTGCCTGGGTAACAACTAAGTCTGTTCACCATTTCTGTGAGTACCTGGGATTCAAAGTCAACTTTTTTCATGAAGACAGGAAGTTACTTACTCAGACCAACCATAGACTTCCACTTCTCCAGTTTCAAGGCCCCTGACCCAGCTTGACAGAGCCAGGCTTAGGAGCAACGTGGCTCAACGTATGTGACTTCTAAGGACTGCCTTCCTTCTGATGAACTTGTCCTCTCAAACCTGTGCACAGTGGGACTGTGCCCAGAACGCCCGTTACTAGTCTCAATGGCATGGTTCCCTGACCTAGAAGGGAGGCTGCTTTTTACTGAAGGCCAAAGCAATGGAAGGCCAAGGGTGACCAGGTGCTCAGCTTTTTCAGCAGTTTCATTTTTCATACTGTCAGCTGAAGACAACCAAAAAAAAAATACACACACACACACACACACACACACACACACACACAGAGTTAAATCATGAAACACGTATTTCTCAGTGATAGGGCTCATTTTAAAGTTAACCTTCCAATGGCAAAATAATAAAAATGATAAAATAATAATTCCCCCCATAGAGCAAATGTGACAAAATGACAAAAGAATTCTTAATTTTGGGGCTTTATTATAATTTTTCTTTTCAAGATGCTACATAGTCAAACAGAACTGGGTTGGTCTTTTATGGCATAAAATTAATTCACAGTCAAACTCTCAACTAGTACTAGAAGGATTCGCTGAAGAGTTTCTCTCTTCCCTTGCTCCCCACCCACAACTGCTGGTGCCCTCGCTTCTAACCCTCTGCAGCCCGATCCATTTGTCCTGACTCCAGGCTAGGTCCCCAAGGGGAGGTCAGGCTCAGACTTGGACCTGGGCGCTGGAAGTGTGAGTAATGGTTGAGAGGTGGTATAAGAACAATCTAGAAGACTGACTACTCTTCATTAAAAAAGGTAACCTAGAGTTGACTGTCACTACTGAGAATTTCCCTCCCTATGACAGTTGTTATTTACTGACCCAGAAAAAACACTTCCTGGCAGCTCTTCTCCAGCATCCCAATAAACCCCACCTCCACATGACCAGACTCTCCAGAGACAGAGGAGCCCACAGCCCTCCAGCAGCAATACCAGTTCACCCAACAGAGTTCAGCAGCACGCAGCATTAACTGTACTCTTGTGACAATAAGAAAACATGAGATGAAATACATTAAATAAGTTAAATATGCATTAAACATCTCTGAATAACAGTTTGACTTCACTACATGAACCAATACAAATTTAGCTTGGTCCCTTTAAGTGAACAAAGCACTGCCATTTATTTCCAAAGCGCTGGGTCAATCAGTCAACACACGCCTCTCACTTATGACGAGTACGTCTGATGCTGCCACAGTGCAATTCCTTTGGGCTTCTGACTCTGTTCATCAGTCCCAAGGAGCTGATGGCTTGGACAGAACTGAAGACACGGAAAGCAGCCTGGGCCGGGAGTGGGCCACGTGGGGACTACTGTGTGGAGCTGACCGCACTCCCCAGCATGCTGGGCTCCAGCTCCCCAAGGGCCAGCACCAACAGGCGAGGAAGGGTGTCATTTTAAGAGAGGTAATCCAGCATCATGTACCAAGGCCTACCAATGTTTAAAATGACATTTACAATATGCCATTGTGGCATTACTCATGGTTTCCCTTGTCATTAATAAAGATCATTCTTTTCCCCCTCAATCAGTTACTATACATTTTTAACTTTCTAAAAGATCGTTACATTATATTTGTGTGTGTGTATCTGTGTATGTGTGTGCAGGGAGGGGTAATTTAAAGGCAAGACCTGTGAGATGTCATCATACATTAATTTCTTTTTACACATGGTTATGATAAATTTAAATCCCATGATATGGTGGATCCACCAATCCAATTTACCATCCTGTGCATGCTACCTCTACAAGGCAATCTTCCCAATAATTACACCAACGATAAAGAACAAAACCACCAGAGCCAAGAGCCGGGTGCTAAGGCCTTCTTCCTTCCCAGTTGGGGCTAATGCTGAAATGGGGCTGTTGCTCTGCACTGTCTTCCTCATCCGCAGTCCATCTTCTTCCTACGGGAGCAAACGCACATTTCAAAGACAAGCCAAGGCACCAGAAAGGGGAGTCAACTGTACAGCTTAACGGGATGGGCTGTTTATGCCCAGTGTTGGATGACATGATATGGTCCAACCGCATTTTGCAAACGGAGAAACTGCAGGCTACAGAGGGGAAAGGGCTAGCCTGAAGCCACTGAGAAAACAGTCCCCTCTTTTCTTTCATCCATTCCACTTGCTGCTGCTAGTTACAACAGACATCTAAACAGGGTGCTCCTTGGTTTCCCGTGATTTACAGAAAAAAGCACTTAAAAGGGTCAACTGGGCCCTTTGCACCCTCGGCCCCACCCACCTCTATGGCCATGTCTTCCGGATGCTTCTCTTCAACCCCAACCTCTCTGTCCTTCCTGCCTCTAATGAATAGCCTTCCTTGATCAAATCATCGATTTTTAAAATCACAGGCATTTCCCAAGACATAAATATATAAATAAAAGAATCTACAAAGTCAACTGGGCACGGTGGCTCATGCTTGTAATCCCTGTACTTTGGGAGGCTGAGGCGGGTGGATCACCTGAGCTCAGGAGTTCAAGACTACCCCTTGGTCAACATGGTAAAACCTCGTCTCTACTAAAATTACAAAAATTAGCCTGGGGTGACAGAGTGAGACTCCATATTAAAAAAAAAAAAAAAAAAAAACCTAAAAGTGGGACATCTGGAAGCTTTCAAATGCAGAGCTCTGTAGATAGCTGGTACTTAATGAGTTACATCCAGACTGCTGGATCAAATGATATTTGGAATATTAAAATGTGACTGGCCTTCATACACTCATCTCAAATATTTTCTACTTAATGCATAGATTTCTCATTGAAGAAGCAACATTCTTTTTCATACATATAAAGATATTTGACCATATTCCCCACCCTCCCCTTGTCCCCAAACTACATGGAAATGTAAGAAATGAAAAATTTTTTCTTCCTTCACCTCCACTGCCACAACTGCCTTGCACTTTCCTAAGAATCTGCAAGTTACTATGTAGATCTATGATGCCATTTCCATGCTCTCAAAGCCAAGCCCACATCCCTGAAGAGGGACATGCATCAAGCCATTCTATTCTGGCACAGACTCATCTTTGCTGATAGATCTCTTGCTAATTACCTCATCTCCTCATCCTTAAACCCCACACACCAGCTGTACTTTCTTTTCTTCGTTTCCTTCCATTCGCTCCCATCCGCCCGAGTACCTAGTAGGTCCTGGGGACCACAGGCAGATGAGTCCCATGGAGCTGACTCTCCCTGCAATTTGTTGCTATCTCTGTGGGACATTGATCACACTGGCTTGTAATCACTTCTGTCTATGTCTCTCCCTGCTATCCCAACAACAGAGAGCTCCTCAAGGGCAGGGGCTGTTCGTGTTTGAATCCACAGTGCCGGGCACATATTAGACCCTCAGTAAATTTGTTGGCCAGATGACAGAATAAACCAACACAAAACAAGAAGGCAGTGTTTGGCAGGATAAAGAATCTTCTAATGTTGAGATTGGTCTGATCATATTTTAAGGATATTCTGCTCATGGGGCATGGCCCGTATCACTGCACAGTGATAAACAACTGGTGGTGTCCGACTGGCTTAAAAAAAAACCCGGCAAACTAAACCATTTATTTTATTAGGTTATATAGAAGCTATTTCTACCTATTTACCACTTTAAATAGCACAGAACTCTGTTTCAGAAGAGAAATACACTCGAGAAGCTTCAGGCATAGCTTAGATTTTTAGCCAAAAAGTAGTGTCAGCTTCACAATTTACTACACACTAAAGAAATTACTGACTGAGGCAAATCAAAATCACTGCAAAGGAAGAAGATGATGCCATTTCCCAAATGCTGTCAGTTCTCCTATATCTACCTCACTGTCAGAGTAAAAGAGAAGAAAACTCATACTTTTAAAGCTGGAAGGGGCCTTAGAGGTGTTTAGCAAACAGAGGCCTAAGAGATGCTGTGACCAGCACAGATTCAGAGCTGTTTCATATTGGATGGGAGCAACTTCCACACCACCACAAGCCAAAAGAAGCACCCCCTGCCTCCCCACTTCATCACTCAGTACAATACAACCTTCCATTGCCAATGCCAACTGCCTCATCCAGAAGCTAGAAGCTCAGATTTTCCTTCCATAATCTCCACCTCCTACCCACTGTGAGGCACCCCACCTCCAAGCTCATCACCACATCAATAGTTTGATGAGCCACAACTGCCCAGACCTATTTAGAGTCTTCTAAAATCAGAACTATACTTGCATTAAAACAGAGTATAGGTCAGTATTCACTCTCTGAAAAAAGATTCTCACCCAAGTGGTTTAAAAATGCATATTCAAAATAAAAACTATTTTGGTCTCAACATTTATTTTCAATTTACAATAATGGAGAGTTTGAGTTGTTTGGGGTTTTGTTTATTTTGTTTTTGAGACGAAGTCTAGCTCTGTCACCCAGGCTGGAGGGCAGTGGCACGATCTCAGCTCACTGCAACCTCCGCCTCCTGGGTTCAAGCGATTCTCCTGCCTCAGCCTCCCGAGTGGCTGGAATTACAGGCACCTGCCACCACACCCAACTAATTTTTTGTATTTTTTATTAGAGACGGGGTTTCACTTTGTTGGCCAGGCTGGTCTTGAACGCTTGACCTTGTGATCGGCCCGCCTTGGCCTCCCAAAGTGCTGGGATTACAGGCGTGAGCCACCGCACCCGGCCAAGTTTTTTGTTTTTGTTTTTTTTTTTAAGGGGACAAGAGCTTCAACAGTTGAGAAATTTCTGATCAAGGGACAGTGGTTCTTAATTTAGGCAGATCCAAGGACCCTTTTGAGACTCTCATGAAAGCCATGGAAATTTCTCCCTGGGGAGAAAAAAATAGCCAAATACCAAAAGCAAAAAGAAATCTATATATTCACTGGCTCATCAACTTCCCCACCCAAGAAGCTAGTGAAAACGCCCTTGTTTTCTGTAGATTACCAGAAAATAAACTATTACCTTGAACTGCTTGTTCTCCTCCCGTAGCCTCTGAACTTCACCTTGCAGCCTCTTACATTCTTCCATAACCTTCTTAACTTCGGTGTCATCCAAAGAAGAACTCAGAGACTTAGACACTATTGGTGTTTCTGTCTTTGATGCAGTTGTGGATATAATTTTATTTATTTCTACATCATGCTGTTCAAAAACAAATGAAAGCCTAAGTGTCACCGACCATGTAATAATGGACTTTTTTATGCAAAGTAAAGTAGTTCTCAGCAAACACCAAACGTGGTAGCATTTCATCCACACTGTAAAATGTCACATTTATTTTAAAAATGGATTACTTTATCTGATATCTTAATAATCTAAAGCAACAGGGCCCTAGAAATTATGGATAAGGGCAAATAATGAAGTTCGGCTGAGACTAATACTTCAAAGAAAGAGAAAAAGGGCTGTGTATATTGCACTATCAAATTCCTGCCACGGAAAAATCAGCATACTGTAATTGTGCAAGCTCAGGAATTATTAGCCACAAATTACTGTCACCACAAAGATGTGAACATCCCTAGGATTGCCTTAGTGGGGTTAGGAGGCTTGGGAGAGCATTAGACAGAGGGCGAATTACTTTACCAACTTAGCATTTGGAAGCTGGGATGAAGGTGAAACAAACTCAGTGTCTGCAATGTTTCAATCTTGGGAAGTTACATACTCCCCTTATTTCCCCTGCCAAGATTCAGCTATGATCCCCTCTTGAGATTTACAGGGGATGAGAGCCAGTCAGTGGAGGGAGGGCATGGAAGCACGCAGCTTGTCAGGGAAAGAGTAACTGACGATCATTGGCCTGGAATCTAGCTCTACCCATCATTTTCCAGATGAGAAGAGTAGGCCCTGTGAAGCAAGGCCCCAGGCTACCAAGTCAACCTATCACAGAGCTGAGGCCAGAATACTGCTTTCACAGCTTCCAAACTGACCTTCCTGTGACAGGATGTACACTGGGAAGAGGGAAAAAATGACCACTATCCACTTAAAGAAACAGGGTAATGATAGTGGTAAATGATTCAGCAGAAATAAAATCTCAGGTAGTTTTGACACAAATCAACAGCACTCGCGCAGACCAACATAGATACTGTTAACACAACATTTCAGGGTACTTCTGTTTCCCAACTCCAGCTATTAATGGCTAGGATAGTTTCACATGCTGCATGCTTTCACAGTTTTGGTGTTTTTATAAAAATTAAAATGTTTTCGACTAGGTTGAAGGGAAGTCCAAATTAGCATTTCAGATACAGTCTCCTTTCTTCAACTGGTCACAAGTGAGGATCATGAAAGGTAAAGCGCTCACAGTGGACAGCCTAGAGGATGGGGCTCCTTCCTTCTCCCCACAGGCAACACCGGAATGGGATCACTCTCAATGGGGGTTGATATTGCCCTCCAGGACACATGTGGCAATATCTGGAGACATTTTTAGTTGTCACAACTGGGAAGTACTACCAGTATCAAGAGGGCAGAAGCCAGGGATGCTGCTATTAATAAAACACCCTACAGTACACAGGGCAACCTCCACCACCACCAAGGATTTGCCCCAAATATCAACAGTGTTGAGGCTGAGAAATCCTCATCTAAAAGCAGCCTTTGATTGAAGAGGTAGATAGGGTAAAAGGGGTAGGGAGGCTGACAGGGCACTTTGTAAAACAAGAGAACTTGAAAGCTTCCCACACGTCCATCAACCACCATGATAAAGGGCAAATTGTTCCCTCTTTCACTCTCACCCACTGTTTAACAGCAACCTATACCTTTGCCAGGCCACAGAAGCTCTTCAGGATTTATGACATCTCAATGGCCATCGGGCTGCACTTTTCAAGGGGAAACACTGTCAATCAGTTGTCTTTCCGTGAGTTTTTCAAAGGCTGATTTCATAAAGGCCCACTTATTTGCTGACTTCAGCTTATTTTTTTTCTTCAGACATCAGATAAAGGAAAATAATTTGCCAACTTAAATCTTGGTTTTGCAGGAAATGGTATGCAAATAAGTATCAGCTTACAACATTCAATTATTGTTAACTATAAATATACTTACTGGTTTATCATTCTCTGCTGGCAATTCAAACACACATCTAAGTTTTGAATCCATAAGGTCTTCCGGTTTTGCCTCCTTCCACTAAAACAATTTAAATTTAATAATCAAGATATTATAAACCTGCTGGAAGAATAACTTTCTTCCTATAACTGACAATTTCAGAAAAATACTCTTAATGAGAAAGCCCTGATGTATATCAAATAAAGAACTGAAGTCTGCTGAGATTTCAATATTTGTAACATGACAAGATTAAATACACTCACTTTCTCAAAATATTACACTTCATAAACCCTGAAGTCTTGCTGCCTGACTCCTCAAAGTCAACCAATGCTCCCCATGTTGCTACTCTGTGGGACAGGCCCACCACTGAACAAAAAGGAATCCTCTAAACAATGTCTGGATGACCAGGTAACCTTGGCTCTCCTTATGAAAATAAAACTTGTTTTCAGCTGGGCATGGTGGCTTATGCCTGTAATCCCAGCACTTTGGGAGGCTGAGGTGGAGGGACTGGTTGAGCCCAGCAGTTTGAGACCAGTCTGCACAACGTAAGGAGACGTCATCTCTACAAAAAAATTAAAAAATTAGCTAAGCATGGAGGCACATGCCTGTGGTCCCAGCTACTCAGGAGGCTGAGGAGGGAGGATCACTTGGGCCCAGGAGGTGGAGGCTGCAGTGAGCCATGATCATGCCACTGTACTCCAGGCTGGGGGACACTGAGAGACTCTGTCTCAAAAATAATAAATTAAATTAAAATGAGAAAATGAAACTTATTTTAAAGGCATATCTAGAAAGTATAAGCGCATACTATCTGGGACTAGTTTCAGAACCACTCTGCCAACTACCAACGGAACACATTCATTACCAAATCCCTCCTCTGTCACTGTGGCAGTGTGTGGGCTGTGTCTACCCCAAGACCCATCTCCATCCCTCCAGGCTGTAGTGAGAGCACCTTCCTAGCTAAATCCCATGTCCTAAGAGGATACGCTCCTGATTACTTCTCCTTTTGGCAGCAGAAGATGGGAATTCCAGGGTATTCTAGGATTACAGACCAGGATAGCAGCAAGGTTATGATATAGAAAAAGAAGGCACCCCCACCCTCCATGCCCTCAACCCTTCCCAAAACCATGCAAGAGGCAGCTACTGTAACACAGGTACCAAGAACCAAAAGTGGGAAGCAATCTATACATCTGACCCTAGGGGACTGCCACAAAAATTATGGCAGATCCACTAAACGGAACAGCATGCTGCCACTCAAATGATGCTGAAGAGCACTCAGTTAGATGGAGAAAATGTCCAGAATGTTAAGTGAAAAAATCGCAAAGAATACTGAAGTCTGCTCCTCTGCACACACACACCTGTACACGTGTGCCTACCACATAAGTCAAAAAAAATATCAAGCAAGGATCATCACTGAATGCTAAAAGCACCAGGTGAAAGACTGCTGGCGAGCAGGATATTCACATGGTCTCAAAGTATCAGATGACTCAGAGTATCACAGATTACCTATTAACCACAGGGGCAAATGTGCTTTGTGCTATGACAGTGGAGAGAGCTGGCAGTCACCATCTTAACCAAGTGATCAAACAGCATCACCAACAGCGGAACAACCTGGTATGAAATACCAACTATGGAATATTCTTGCCAAAACACATTTAACTTGAATTTAATCATGAGGAAATAATCAAATAAATCCAGAATACAGGACATTCTGTAAGTCAACTGGCCTGGACTCTTAAAAAAAAAAAGAAGTTCAAAGTTTGGGCAGGGTGCAGTGGCTCACACCTGTAATCCCAGCACTTCGAGAGGCAGAGGCAGGAGGATCACTTGAGCCCAGAAGTTCAAGACCAGCCTGGGCAACATAGTGAGACCCCAACTCTATAAAAAAATAAAAAAATAGCCGGCATGGTGGCATGCCTGTAGTTTTAGTTACTCGAACAGCTGAGGTGGAGGTCAAGCCATGACTGCACCACTGCACTTCAGCCTTGGTGACAAAGCAAGACTTTGTCTCAAAAAAAAAAAAAAAAAAAAAAAAAGTTCAAAGTTTGAAAAACAAAAAGGTTTGGGTGTCCTCTACTAAAGGTCACTTTTGGAACAACTAGGAAATAATGAATATGAATTTATCACATAATAATACTGAATTGAAGTTACTTTTTTCAGCTATGATTAATAGTATCATGACTATATAAGAGACTGTCCTTGCTCTGAAGCATTTAGGGGTGAAGTGTCATAAATTTGCATCTCAAGCAAATAAGAAAGTTTGTGACAGAAAGGAAGCAAATGTCACAACATGTTAACAAATGTAAATCTAGGTAAAAGTTATATGAGTGGTCACCATGCTATTTTTTCAACTTTCTGTATATCACAATAAAAAGAAAAACATTTTAAAATAAAGAAAAAGCAGGCTGGGGCAGTGGCTCATGCCTGTAATCCTACCACTTTGGGAGGCTGAGGTGGGCAGATCGCTTGAGTCCAGGAGTTTGAGACCAGCTTGGGCAACATGGAGAAAACCTGTCTCTACAAAAAAATTAGCCAGGCATGGTGGTGCGCTCCTGTGGTCCCAGCTACTTGGGAGGCTGAGGTGGGAGGATCACTTGAGCCCAGGAGGTGGAGGCTGCAGCGAGCTGAGATCACTCCACTGCATTCCAGCCTAGGTGACACAGTAAAATCATGTCTCCAAAAAAAAAAAAAAAAAAAAAAAGGAAGAAAAACACAAAGCTCTCATTTCTCATTAATGATGGTTAGGCCTAGTAGAAAAGAACTATGGGTCACTTTAAATTTTTTTCATTTGTGTATTTCCAAAATTTCCCACAATGTACATTTTATATAAAAAAAATTTAAACTTATATCATCATACAAGGAACTAAAATGACCCTTTACTAGATATGCAGTGACTGGCCTATTACACACTCTGATAAGCAAGTGTCAGACACTGGACCCACCAGGCACTTACACAGGCACACTTCATACTCACCACTGTGTGAGCTGCATTTTTATCCCTATTTTACAAATGATCAAAACCTCAACAGAGTTAATAAAACCTGCTCCCAGCCACAACGTCAGTAAAAGGAAGAACTCAGCTCGAAAACACCCAAGCCCATGCTCTTTTCACTATGCCATGCAGCAGAAGCCAAACAGAACACACCCTTGGATCTTCCATTATTTTCTATCTGCCATGTTTCTTTGATCACACAAATTAACATGAAGTAACACATCATGTTGCAGAAAATCAGAGAAAGTTTTCATAAGAATTGTTCTTATGAAAAGAAGACAGCCTATTATCACTGATCTCTCTAAAAGTCAAAAATATCTGGCCTCCTCCTTCATTTTCTGCCTACAAGTGAAACATCAGCGGAGATGCTTCTCCAGAACTTAAACAAAAGGCTATGTGGTGACATAGGGCATGGGGTGGTCTTGGCCTGAGTTGCCCTTGGTATGAAACTCAGACAGAGGAGAACTGCAGTATGGTGTGATGAACAGCGGACTCAGGTGGGCAGACCTGCCGTGGATGACTCGGGGCTCCCCTTTGGGCGGGCCAAAACTGGAGAGCAATGCAAGTGGTATGAGGCAACCCTGTCCTGCTTTCCTGAACTGTAAGGACAAGCGCATCTGTCCCTGCTGGGGCTGTGGGTTGTATTGTAGATTTCAATTCAACTCCCAGCCCCAGAATGCCAATGGACTTATTCAAATGTATAAAAAGCTCGTTTTGGAGGGAATGTCCATTATACTCTTTTTTTTTTTTCCAAAACCATCACTAACATCACTTATTTCTTTTATAAAAATGAAGTCATCTTAATTTTATCAAAATTAGAGAAAAGTTAAACATAGATTTAAGCAGGGGGGAAAATAAATAAGCATATTTACTAGAACAAAGCCACAAACATGTATGTCTAAATGGGTGAGGACATTCAGCACTGACACTCTCACATGGCTCTTGAGTTTGTGGGGGATGAGAAGACAAGTAAGAAAAAGGCGGGACAATGAAAAGTATCCTTTTCTGTCGGGGCAGAAAGGAGAGGCGAAAGAAGGCAATCCCTAACCATGCAAGACACCATCCACCAGTGCAAGGAGCTGCTGAAGCACACTGAGCTCAGGAAAGTCAGAAAAGAACAGCCTTCTAGAAAGTCACAAAAAATGTTAAAATTATTCCTCAAAGTTTTAGAAAAACCATAAAGGTAGATAAAGTACAAACCTCCTTGAAAAAAAACTATTCCCTTTTAAATAATTTTGACATATTTTGAAATGCATGCACCCACAATTCCATATCTAATTGGTTTTTTAAATTATTGTTACTGAAAAAAATAAGAAGCATTCAGTACTTACTACTGCTTCCATATCTGAAGTGTCAGTTGGAGCAAACATAGACTGAACCATAAACTTGTGTTTACTTTTCTCATTGGGATCATAATCGAAAGGCTGTAACATCACTGAGAAAGAAAATATTTCATTAGGAGGGTCAGAGCTTGGTTGTCAGTGCCATTTATTATGCTAATACTTGTACTTTGGTTGTAAAGCAATTTACCGGCATTCTCTTATGTCTTAGGATGGACGCCCCTGGTGAAGTAAGCAAGGATGACCAACATCTCCATTTTGCAGGTCACCAACCTAAGAGCCACAAAATCACGCATGACAGAGCTGGGAATAAGGCCGAGGACCCAGTCTTCTGATTCCTAGTCCATGGATCTTTCACTACTGCAAGCCTACCGTAAATGTCTGCTACAGGCCTTACAGAATTGGGAAACTGGGTAGCAACACCATCTGCCTGTTTTGCTCAAGAAAACATATCCAAATGATCTCTTCAGGAATTAAATAGAATAATCTAAGATGTTTAAGAACATTTAAGGAACTGTTGTAGCTTCTCTCCAACCCATTTCTCATATAGCTAATCAAGGTAATCCTTGAAATACAATTTTGCCAACATAAAGCTAGAAAATTTTTACAATCAGGACACTCACACAGCAGGGAAAACGGTATCAGCTTATACTCCCCCTTTTTTTTCCCTAAGAACCTAGAGAAATCTCACACAGAGGATCCTGTGGATGAGTCACACCCACTGCATGGAGGGAGGTGCCTTCCTACCCCAAGTGGCTCCCTTCAGCCTACTTCCTAGAGTACAGCTGGGCCTACTCCTATCAAATGATGGCTGCTTTAAAATATGTTACTTTGCTACAAGGCTTTGGCTAACCCACACATCTAGTTAAGTTCCCTGAGACAACTTCACATGCAGGGAAAGCCTACTGTGGCCTTGACCACAACAGTGGGCATGGACTGAGTATCTCCATGTGCCAGAAACTGGGCTCTGTCCCTTAGGTTTACCATCATCTCATTTAATCCTTAAAAAGTAGGTACTATTGTTGGGGGAGAGGGGCTATTCTGGTGTCTACTTTTCACATGAAAAGAATGAACACAGAGAGGTGAATTTGCCCAAGGTTACACCTTGGTGGAGTGCAGACTCAAACCCAGGCAGTTGGTGTGGGGACCTAAGTTCACAGCCACCACAAAGGACTGGTGCCTTGTCCTCTGACAGTACAAGTCTTATGCTTCTCACCAGCAGGGCTTCTACCACCTTTCTGCTGGGCCCTCATCAGCATTCTCTTGCCTTGAAACCCCAACTTAGGACTTCCCAGGTGCTTCCTCTAGAGCCACACAATCAACCACAGCCAGCAGCAGATAGAAAGCAGGATAGCCGTGGTCTACAAATGAAGAATCTGGGATTCCACAAAGTGAAGTGGCTCCCTCAAAGTCACAATGTTAAGAAGTGGCAACACTGGGACAAAGAGCCAAGACTTGACTACAAGTGCAGTCTAGCACCCCTTTCACCACACTAGTCACTCCAATATGAGCTAGATTTATATCTGGCACCCAGGCCCCACGACAAAGCTAATGGAACCATTCACAAAACAGGATAGAAATACCAACCTCCCCCATCCATCTTAGGGATGCAGTAGCACTCTTCACCATGGGAACAGAGAAAGTCCACTGAGACCTAACCATGCATTGGACTTAAATGCACTGGTGTCCCTAGTCACCCAGACAGCTTCACTGCCCACAAGACCCACCTGAAGGCCCTGAGCTACAAGGAAGCCTTGCTGGGAGACTTCTTCAGGACAAAATTCAATAACTGTCAGAGAGTAAACCTTTTATCAACATAACTCTTTCTCTGGCATCACTGAGCTGGCAAGAGCTGACCTTTCCTACAGACAGACCTGGAACATTTACCGACCTGGGCTTGACACTTAACCTCAGGGACAAATGACCAGACTGGCAGGTCAATGCTTTTTCTGAAAGCCAAATTCCCAATGTGTTTTTTTCCTGCCCCTAAGATTGCAATAACGAAAACACACATTTTAAAGTAAAGAGCCAATGTCTTTACATGCTCTGTGAACCTTCCTGGACAGGGACTGTCAACCTTCTTTGGAGCTGGGATTCACTGTTAGATTAATGTTCCCTTTCTAAAATTAAAGTGAATTCAGTTTTAAGAATTTCAGGTCTTCCTTGGCTGTGACAAAATCATGCTCTGGTATTTTTCAGTTTAGGAAAGAAGAGAACTTTGACCTGAACTACTCTTAGATTTTTGGCAGGGCACAGATCTAGTAGTAAACACCGTCTTACCCTTGAGACTCTGTTCTCCCAGCTGTGAACAGCTATTGCACCACTCCCAAGTCTACCACTCTGGAGAGCTCTGAGGAGGAACAAGGTTTATTTGTAAAGATCCCTGATGCTCACATGACAGCAATCCAAGGAAAATGCTAATTTTTAGAGAAGCTATTTAGATGAAATACAAAAACCAATGGGTCCAGAGAACAGAACACACCCCCAAAAAACAGCCCCAGGAAGCTCTGCCTGCCCCTTCCCATTCATCACCTTCCTAGAGGCAGTGGGAGTAAAAAAGTACAGCCAAGAGCACTGTGTCCAGAGCTCTGCCTGGGTTCTAAGAATGCCCCAAGGGAAAACAGGTCCTTCCTTTCCATTTCTCCATCATCCCTCAGCTTCTTCATCCCCAATACTTTCATGATGGCCCAAGAAGGAAAGAAAGGAAAAGAATCTTTACTCATGCCTCCTGTGTAATAGGTACCATAGAAGGCAAATTCTCCTTAGTGCTCCCATTTACTACTCACAACAATCCATCCAAGCAGCACGTCTCCTTTTTCAAGATAAAAAGATAAGGGCTGCCAGGCATGGTGGCTCACAACTGTAACACCAGCACTTTGGGAGGCCAAGGCGGGAGGATCACTTGAGTTCAAGACCAACCTGGGCGACAAAGCAAGACCCCATCTCTACCACAAAAAAATTAGCTGGGCATGGTAGCCTATAGTCCCAGCTACTTGAGAGGCTGAGATTGAGGTGGAAGGACTGCTTAGGCCTGGGAGATGGAGGCTGCAGAGAGCTATGATAGCACCACTGAACTCCAGCCTGGGTGACAGAGCAAGACCCAGTCTCTTAAAAAAAAAGAAAAAACAAAAAAAAAAACAAACAAGATAAGGGCTCAGAAAGGCGCTAAGTGGGCTCACCTGGGTCCCATGGCCAGCGTATTAAACAAGAGTGCCAGGGCTCAAACCTGGCTTTGACTCTAGAGAAAAACAATTTACAGTAGTTACTGTCAATGATAAAATACAGGCTTTTAGGTAAAAATTATAATTGTGGAATACTTTCATCTGCCAACCAGAGCTTCATGGTTCTGCAAATACTTACAGACTTTTCCAATGAGATCATCAGGAAAAGAAATGAATGTGATTTTTTTGTGAGTGTACAATGCAATATGCCAACATTTGGAAGCTCTGCAACACTCAGCAAATGGTTTCCAAACAATCCATGCATGATATCACAAAATCCATTCAAAGTACAACAGAGACTGATGTGTTTTAGTGAAACAATGTTCAAAAAGTCACAGACATGGCTTCAGATTCCACATCATACTAATAACCTTGAAGAAAGTAACACTTGTCAAGTTTTGGTGTAGTATCGAAGAATGTTCAGATTTATCTGAAAAAGCAATTAAACATACTCTCCCCTTTTCCAACTACATATCTGTGGTGACAGCAGTTTTTCTTCATATGCATTCACCAAAAGAACACATCCTAACAGACTAAATGCAGAAGCAGATATGAGCATCCAGCCTGTCTTCTATTGAAACAGACACTAAAGAAATGTGCAGCAGGGCGCAGTGGCTCACGCCTGTAATCCCAGCACTTTGGGAGGCCGAGGCGGGTGGATCACCTGAGGTCAAGAGTTCCAGACCAGCCTCGCCAACATGGTGAAACCCTTTCTTTACTAAAAATACAAAAATTATCTGGGTGTGGTGGTGCATGCCTGTAATCCCAGCTACTCAGGAGGCTGAGGCAGGAGAATCGCTTAAACCTGCGAGGTGGAGATTGCAGTGAGCCAAGACGGCGCCACTGCACTCCAGCCTGGGCGACAAGAGTGAGACTCTGTCTCAAAACAAAAAAAAAAAGAAAAATGAAATTTGCAGGCCAGGCACAGCAGCTCATGGCTGTAATCCCAGAACTTTGGGAGGCCAAGGTGGGTGGATCACCTGAGGCCAGGAGTCTGTGACCAGCCTGGCCAAGAGGCAAAACCTGTCTCTACTGAAAATACAAAAATTAGCCAGGCACGGTGGTGGGCACCTGTAATCCCAGCTATTCGGGAGGCTGAGGCATGAGAATCACTTGAACCTGGGAGGATGGAGTCTCACTCTGTCCCTCATGCTGGAGTGCAGTGGCAAGATTGTGCCACTGCATTACAGCCTGAGCGACAGAGACTCCACCTCAAAAAAAAAAAGAAAAATTGGCAAAAAATGAAAAAATGTCAAGTATCAGTCTCCTAATTTTTTTGAAAAGTTACTTTTCATTAAAAATGTTACTCTGTTAACATGTAATTATGTTATTCTTAAATAATTATATGAATTTTCAGTTTAATTTTTAATATAATAAATATTGATATACCCCACAAACCAAAAGCTTTTTGGGTCTTACTTTTTTTTTTTTTAAGAGATGAGGTCTTGCTATGTTGTCCAGGCTGGCCTACAACTCCTGGGCTCAAGTGATCCTCCTGCCTTGCCTCCTGAGTAGCTAGGACTATAGGTGCCTGTCACTGTGCCCAGCTGCGTCTTCATTTTTAAGAATGTAAAGGGGTCCTGAGACCAAAAAGTTTGAGCACTGTTATGCTACACCAAATGGTCTCACAGGCCCTCCAGGAGGTAAAAATATAGTTAAATAAGTCAATGCGGCCAAGTAATAACACACTGGTGGCTCTGTGTAGTACCCCTCTTGGGAGAATCTGCAGTTTAAAAAGAGAAAGGAGATTTACACAAACCAGGTCTTGAGTTTTCGGGACGTACCTGGCCCTCAGGTGAAAATAGAGGCACATATGCATGCACACACATCCCTTACGGAAGGAATGGGCGTTCCCTATGCTCCTCTAATCAAAGGCCTTTGCAACTGCTTGCTCTACCTCCACAAAAGGGCACTGTCTGAGATATACTGCCCCCTTACTGCAGACCTTACAGATGTCACCAGCACAGCTCCAGGCCTAGAACATCCTACCTACCAAGTCACCACAGTGTAGACATGGAAGGACCATTTCATGGGCAGAGGAGAAGACATAAACAGGCATGCAAGCACACAAGGCAGTGGGTGTAAGCAATCACTTTAACAGAGCACCGGCGACAGCCTGAGGTAGCAGGTCCAACAGCCCTTCTGCAAAAGCGGAGGACTGAGGAGATATATACACAGATGCCTACATGCATTGGTGAATGGAAACTTTTCAATTGGGAATAAAAACTGTGCCCTACCGGCATGTCAACTTTCAGGAAGTTCTGGGTATAAGGTGGGTAGTTATGGGAGGTTTTTGATCTGAGAAAAGTTTTCTGCTTTGGAAAAAAAAAAAAAAGTCTAACAAGCACCATGGCATATGCTTCATTTTTTAAATCTCAGAATCTCATCTTTGAAATCTCTTCGCATTTACACGCCTACAATCTCAGCTCAGGCCCCAAAGACTCACTTCTAGATTTCTACCAGCCTGGAACAGCAAATGGGGGTGTTTTTCATCACCAGCTCTCCTTGGCTTGTGGGCTCCTACATCAGCCAGCCACAGTGAGGACTTGGGACACCCAGATTCTGTGAAACTTCATAAACTTCTGGAGTATCTCAGTATCCACATCCTGCATAACATGGCCCCTAACTCACATCAAAGAGTTTGTATTTCTCAGCTACTATCATCTCATGTCAAATTCAATTTGCTCTATCCTGTTAGTGGGAACTTTATAAAAACATGACAGAATGTTGCTAATCATTAGTTCTTTCAGCTCCATATGTGCAAATTGTGACAGAAATTATGTACTTTTTACCATGGCAGACTATAAAAGAGTTTGCCATTAACTTAAATTTATTTCACTTTCACTTTTTTTCAAGAGATGGGGTCTTGCTATGTTGTCCAGACTGGCCTCCAACTCCTGGGCTCAAGTGATCCTCCCGCCTTAGCCTCCTGAGTAGCTAGGACTATAGGTGCCTGCCACTGTGCCCAGCTGCATCTTCATTTTTAAGAATTTAAAGGGGTCCTGAGACCAAAAAGTTTAAGCACTGTTACGCTACACCAAATGGTATTCACCAGTATCTCTGGTATTCAAGTGAATACTGATGATAAAGCCCTCTTAAATGAACCATCTATCCTACTTTTAAAATGTATCTGCTGATACTACACTAAACAGAAGCCTGTTACCAGAAGACAGCCTGGAAGCCAGGTCACTACTCATCTACATTAATGCTTTGTGATACAATGCCTGTTGTATTACAGATTGCAAACTGGGATCCTGTTAAGAAAGGGCCTTTGGGGTCATAAAACATTGGATCATTAAGATCAGAGTTGCCTGAACAGAGAAGAAACACAGAAGATACGCTACTTAAAACATACACACACACCCCTTGGAGTAATGATGACTTGATTAAATGCAGTTAAATGCTGCTTCTGAGAACCCAAGCAAATCACAGATCACTTTCGCCTGCATCATAATGGTAACAGATCACAGATCACTTTCGCCTGCATCATAATGGTAACAGATCACAGATCACTTTCGCCTGCATCATAATGGTAACAGATCACAGATCACTTTCCCCTGCATCATAATGGTAACAGATCACAGATCACTTTCGCCTGCATCATAATGGTAACAGATCACAGATCACTTTCACCAGCATCATAATGGTAACAGATCACAGATCACTTTCGCCTGCATCATAATGGTAACAGATCACAGATCACTTTCATCTGCATCATAATGGTAACAGATCACAGATCACTTCTGCCTGCATCATAATGGTAACAGATCACTTTCATCTGCAGCATAATGGTAACAGATCACAGATCACTTCTGCCTGCATCATAATGGTAACAGATCACAGATCACTTTCACCTGCATCATAATGGTAACAGATCACAGATCACTTTTGCCTGCATCATAATGGTAACAGATCACAGATCACTTTTGCCTGCATCATAATGCTACGAGATCACAAATCACTTTTGCCTGCATCATAATGGTAACAGATCACGGATCACTTTCACCTGCATCATAATGGTAACAGATCACGAATCACTTTCGTCTGCATCATAATGGTAACAGATCATGGACCTGCATCATAATGGTAACAGATCACGGACCACCTTCACCTGCATCATAATGGTAACAGATCACGGATCACTTTCGCCTGCATCATAATGGTAACAGATCACAGATCACAGATCACTTTCGCCTGCATCATAATGGTAACAGATCACGGATCACTTTCGCCTGCATCATAATTGTAACAGATCACGGATCACTTTCGCCTGCATCATAATGGTAACAGATCACAGATCACTTTCGTCTGCATCATAATGGTAACAGATCATGGACCTGCATCATAATGGTAACAGATCACAGATCACTTTCGCCTGCATCATAACGGTAACAGATCACGGATCACTTTCGTCTGCATCATAATGGTAACAGATCACAGGTCACTTTCGCCTGCATCATAATGGTAAAAGATCACAGATCACTTTCGCCTGCATCATAATGGTAACAGATCACAGATCACTTTCGTCTGCATTATAACGGTAACAGAGCAAATAAAGTCTAACAAGTACTACAGCACATGCTTCACTTTTTTTTAATCTCACAATCTTATCTTCGAAATCTCTCTCTCCACATTTTACGTGCCCACAATCTCAGCTGAGGCCCACAGATCCTTCTAGATTTTTCCAAGTTTCTTCTAGTTTCTTTCCCATCCAAATCACCCTGCCTAGCCCCTACAAACTCCACAAATTTAATCGTACCTTAATACCCTACTTGTATCATGGTAATTCCTCAGATCAAAAACCTCCTATAAGAGTAACTATTTCCTAAGTAAAAGGCAATCAGTTCAGCTTTTCACAATCTGGCCCTTCTTGGATTTCTTGGTCTCTTATTGGCAGGCCTCCCTTCTGCTCCAACAGGTGTGCGCATCACTCAGGCCACACATCATGCCCCTATGTCCTTACACCCAGTGATGCTCTCCTATCATCATCAAAGTCTCCCTTATCATGTCGGCCCTGCCTGACACGTTTCTCTTGATTCTCCCTTACCCTACTCACATGTCAATATACCCCATCTTCCAGGACTGAATCCACTAACAGAACTCTGTAAGGAATAGCCAGGCATGGTGGTGCATGTCTGTAGTCCCAGCTACTTGGGAGGCTGAGGCAAGAAGACTGCTTGAGCCCAGAAATTTGAGGCTACAGTGAGCTATGAGAGCGGCATGCACTCCAGGCTAGACAGCACAGCAAGACCCCAACTCCATAAATAACTAAACAAACAAGGCCAGGTGCAGTGGCTCACACCTGTAATCCCAGCACTTTGGGAGGCCGAGGTAGGCAGATCACTTGAGGCCAGGAGTTTGAGGCCAGCCTGGCCAACATTGTGAAATCCCATCCCTAACTAAAAATACAAAAAATTTAGCTGGGCATGGTGGCACACACCTGTAATCCCAGCTACTGGGGAAGCTGAGGCACAAGAATCATTTGAACCCAGGAGGTGGAGGTTGCAGTGAGCTAAAATGGCACCACTGCACTCCAGCCTGGGTGACAGAGAGAGACTTTGTCAAAAATAAATAAATATATAAATATAATAAAATTTAAATAAGAATTCTGGAGGGAAAAGTTCTCAAACTTCAGTGAGTATCAGAGTCACCACGAATGTTTGCTACAACACAGACTGCTGGACCCCACCTCCGGAATTTTTGTGTTAGCAGGGCTGCAGTGAGAATGAGCACTCCAATTTCTAACAGGTCCCCAAGTGGGCTGCTGCTGCTGCTGGCCCAGGGTACACACCTGGAAAATCTGTGCTGTACTATACCTCCTAACACTGCAGTTCCTGCTGAAACACCATTTCATACCACAGTTCCTACTGTGGGCACCTTACTTTATTGGGAGACTGTCAACTCCAAGACTCCTAAGCTCCTTCTGACATGTTTGCTTTTTCTCCCCAATGAGACTGAGACCAGAACTTAATGTTTTAATAGCTCACATTCTGGGTGCTAATTTGCATTTTTTGCGTTAGCTAACAGGTTTGCACCTTCTTCTCTTCCAACATTCAAAGCGTTCCTGAATCATGCTCTCCCTAGAAATATCCTTGGAGAAGCCCAAAGAGGAAACCCTTCTTTACCCCCACCAGCTGGCTTTTCTTCTGTCCCACTTCCCAGAGTCACTCCCTCCCTTCCAAGAGGGCAAGACAGGGCTTCCAGTTTCTCATGGCAGTGCCCTCAGTCTCGCACTCCCCGTCCTCTCACAAAGCCTGCATAGAGAAAGACTGTCCTCTACCATATGGTGCTTACAGGGTCGGAATGAAGTCACTGATCCACTTTTTTGAGACTAATCAAAGACACAGATACATAAATGCCAAGCAGAGCTCCTGATAAGCTGGAGATAACCAGCATTACCTAAACAAGGTGATATAATTCTAGCCTAAAGCAAAGAAGCTGGACATTTTAGTTAGACTGTGAGCAAATTTATTATATCCTTTAGGGTCCAGAACACGTTGAGATCATGACCACCTTGGTGGACCTCTGCCTATTCAGGGGCCCATGGATGGAACTCTGAGTCTAGCAAATAAATAATGAATTGCATTTATTTATAAATCAGTTAACACTGAAGTGTCTTTGTGTTCTCTACAGGATTTTCCAGTTCGTGTATTCTGTCTTAGAAAACAAACTCCTCACAGTCTGATTAATTTGTTTGTGCTGAGACTAGTACAAATGTGCTGACAGTGAGGTCTCCTTTCTCCAGTATCAATGGAAGATGAGGACTGCTATATACAGGCACTGGCCAAATAACAAGGCTTATTCACTCTTTTTTATAAATATCTTTTAAAATGTAAATCTTTTTCAAAAATCCAACATACTTTTCAATCTCCTCTAACATTTATAATGGAATACAACATACCCCTTTTCTGATTACTCTTATGTTGTGACATGAACCCCCATTATATACCATCTTAATGAAACCTGCAAGCTGTGTCTCTTGGGGCTGATCACCTAAAACATGGAGAACAATTCCCCGAGGCTTAAGGAATTCCAGCTCCCCACTGTTATTTCTGAATGCTCCCTGCACTTGCTCTCGGTGGTGTTCTTGCCCAGCCCGTCCACTGTCTGCTATGCACTGTCACATGGGCCGCTTTCAACGTGGCCACCTCTGTACCCCTTTCCCTTTATTCTCATCTGTGATGAGCTGGCAACCAGGACAGGGTTAACAGTAAGTCTAAGGTAAGAATAAACAAGACAAGATTCAAGACTGGAGAGCCCTCAAGTGTGTAAGTATGCAAGGACCCATAATGAGTGAAAAGAAAATCACTTTTGGCTTCTTAAAACTTTGCTTATTTTTTGCTTCTCAGTTATGCTGTACAGAGTTGAAGTTACCTTCAGCTAACTGAGGTAGACAAAATGTGTAAGTCCTCTTGATCTTGATATTTAAAAATGTAAAGAATAAACTGTGTCATAGTCACAAAAAAAGTAACAATTCTTCCTTAAAAACCTAAGTATTACAGTAAACTTGTAAAAACCCTTAAAAGCGTAATTAAGCTGAATTTTTGTTGGTAATTTTCTTTTTTCTACTTTTTGTTTAAGCAGAATCTCTCATCTGCTGAAAAAGATTAAAGACATCTTTTAAAGTATGAATGTGAGTTGTTCTTATCTGAGAGTAATAAGCCTGGTTCATGGAAACCACTTATAAAAAAGTTTCGCTTATCAGAGACTTCCAAAGCAAACAATCAAACAAAGAAGAATGTTGCTGTTAAGAAGCTCAAACTCCCCAAATGCAGCTCCCACTATCAGTGCTTGATGGATAAATGTTTGGCTTCTTTGTCTAAGGGCTCTGTGCGTTTATACCCTAGTGCACCTGAAAGGTGCACTCCTGGTTGACTGCTCCAGGGCCACCAAACAGCTACATTAAACTGAGTCAGGGAAATCTTAAAAGGATTATTAATCACAATACTATCCATTTAAATTAACTGATCAATGTTTTCATCCAAGAAGAGCTGCTGATGTTCATGCTCTGAGGATTTTTCTTTTCTTTTTTTTTTTTTTTTTTTTTTTTTTTTTTTTTTTGTGAGATGGAGTTTCTCTCTTGTTGCCCAGGCTGGAGTGCAATGGCGCGATCTTGGCTCACTGCAACCTCCGCCTCCCAGGCTCAAGTGATTCTCCTGCCTCAGCCTTCATGAGTAGCTGGGATTACAGGCATGTGCCAGCATGCCCGGCTAATTTTGTATGTTTAGTAGAGACGGGGTTTCTCCATGTTGGTCAGGATGGTCTCGAATTCCCAACCTCAGGTGATCCGCCTGCCTCGGCCTCCCAAAGTGCTGGGATTACAGGCATAAGCCACTGCACCTGGCTGTCCTGAGGATTTTACTGGAAAAACTTTATGCTTTAAATGTGATTGAAAAGAGTGCTGAAAAGGGCTGTATGTCAGGAATGAATACTGCTCCTTAATCCTTTGAATTCTAATTTAAAATACAGATTCAGACACTGGGAGTTTTGTGTTTGTCTTTAATCCATTTTCAATTCCCAAGGTACACTTAGTAAAGTGTATCTGTAACTAAATATCGGTATCTTTAATGACTCTTTCCAATGCCCCCCTCCACACACAGATATTTTGCATTTCTAATTTGCTTGGGACACAGGCAACCAATGTGCATAACTGAACTGCAAATGGACGCATGCTTGCTACTTTAGTGAAATTAGAATTCAGTGAAGGTTATAAAAATATTAAACTTAATATCATATTACAGGAAGCATAAGTATTTTTGATGGGCCCATAATTTTACCACTTCACCTGCTGTATCCGCTGGCAAACATGGTTTGGAATATTAATGGAAAACTCCCTCATTATTAACTGAAGCACTAAAAAAAAAAAAAAATCCACAACCACTAACAGCTTACCACAAAGACATTTTCAGAAATTATGTACCTTAAAAATATTTTCCCACCGTACAGTTCAGAAAATAGATTTAATTTTGTAAAGCTAGAACAAATGGGAAGATCCCCACTGCCTCAAAACAATTCGTTAATTCAAAAAGTTCTTTATTCCTTACATTTGAAATCTCAGGAGGAAAAAATTCCAACCTCCCTTTCTTCAATCTCTATTTAAGTGTACCTATTTTGCTGAGGTCCAGATTAAATAATTCAAAACCATCTCTAGTTGATAGTATGTATCATGGAGCAACGGGCCAAAACCACAGTATTCTGGGCCAGTGAATGCAAACAGAAAGCCCCCTGCACCCCCTATCTACCATGTGACCTCATCCAAAAAGCACAAACCTCAGAAGGGGCTACAATAAAAATGAGATGAGACGAGCACCCATGTAAAGGACAAAGAAAAGGATTCAAATCACAGGTCCAAGGGGCCAGGGCCTAAAGCAACTCTTTGGGAAAGCCCACATATTATAATCCACTGACACAAAAAGTTTAGGTTATGCCTGTGTCCAACTGTTACTTTACCACCTAAGTTTATAAAAGGGAGTTTTTTTAAGGACCCAATAAGTGATCTGCCGTGTTCTGAAGAAAATAGCATGATAGGTCAGAGCCTGAACTTTTGAAGCACAATGTAAGGTCCCTTGAATATCAGGGTAATGTGAAAAGGTAAAAAGAGCTTCACAGGGTTTCTCTGAAAGACATCTGGCTTTCCATGTCACAATCTGAACCTGTGTGCCTTCAAAACCTTGATCCCTCTGGCCAGCACAGGTGCCAGCTCCATGGGCAGACATCATTACCATCAACCCTCCCTCTCTTCCCACCTTCCTGCTTCCCTCCTCTCTTTCTTTCCTTCCCCCTCCCTCCCTCCTCTCTTTAAAATAATGATTTACAGCCTTCCCGAATAGCTAGTGCATTCCAAGGGTTTTCAGAAATGGGAAAAATGCACTGGTCATGTCCTTCTCAGGTATGTAGTGACACTTTGGGTGGTGGGCAGGGCAATGCTAGCAGTATTTTAAGCTGATGTGGTGGCCACCTTTTTAAAGATTATACCTGAAAATGTACTGGCAACTTTTCACTATAAAACAAATGAATATTACACAAGGAAGAGAAAACACAAATTTCTTCTCAAAATTAGCAAAGGTCCATAAATAAATAAAATATAGGGGTAATTTATTTCTAAACAGTCAATTCAAGTATTATGCAATCCACCTTCTTCAAAAACTAGCCGGTTTTTGTCAAAGCTAGTGGAAGAACAACGAACGTACAAATGTACCACTCTTGTACCATGCTGTTGATTCTGCAGTATTTGTATATATTCTGTAAGGTAGACACTATTCTCCCTACCTTACAAGTGAGAAAACAAGAACCTAGAAAGGTTAATAGGTTGGTCAAAATTCAGCTGACTGGTTAAACAGCACAACTGGTCTTCCTGTTCAGGTTTCCCGACCTCAAATCCACTAATCTTTGAAGAGAGTGGGTAAAACCAAGCTTGGCCATGTGCATATCTGGGGAGAAGGGGAGGCTGGCTTTTGGATAATCTGCACTGCCTGTCGACTGGTATCCTCCTCCTCCTGAGGACTCTAGTGACTCACCAAGATGTCATCATGTAGCTGTATTAATACCAAGAGGACTCCTGGAAAAAGGCAGTGCTTTTTATCCCAAGCTATGCATGTCTAATAAATGATGCAGTGGTCCCTCAGCACATACAACTGCAGCAAATGGGGCTGGCCTCCTTTGCTGACTTGCAAGGCTGTCCTAGAAATGCAATGACATCTGGTTTCACCTTGGTTCCCCCCAAGCACTGAGCTAAATACCAAATAATAACAAAGGAGCTCTTTCTAAGGTGCAGATATGATCTTGTCTCATCTAGGAAGAAAGTCTACAGACACATGGACATTTTATTATTCAACTACTTTTTCCCCCAAATACATTAAACTTTGAGAATGATGGTACTTTTTACATTCATTCATAAGTGGGGTCATCCTCTAACACTACTGAGGCAGTTTAGTATGACAGAAAGAGCACTGGATCAGGAGCCAAGCCACTAGCTTCAAATAGCAGTGCTGCCATGACCATCCAAGTGACCCTTGATGACTGTGCCACACTCTGTGCCTTACTTTATCTGCCAAAGGAAGGCCACAACCACAAAGTCTTGGTCTTCCTTGAGTAAGCAATCATAAATCAGAACAAAGGCAGAGTTCGCTTTTACTTTTTAAAAATTCCTATGATGGGGAAACAATGGATCTTCCTGAAAGAGAGACGGAGATGCCTGGCGCGGTGGCTCACGCCTGTAATCCCAGCACTTTGGGAGGCCGAGGCAGGCGGATCACTTGAGGTCAGGAGTTTGAGACCAGCCTAGCCAACATGGTGAAACCCTGTCTCTACTAAAAATACAAAAATTACCAGGTGTGGTGGCACGCACCTGTAATCCTAGCTACTCGGGAGGCTGAGGCAAGAGAATTGCTTGAATCTGGGAGGTGGAGGTTGCAGTGAGCAGAGATCGCGCCACTGCACTCCAGCCTGGGCGACAAAGTGAGACTGTCTCAAAAAAAAAAGAGAGAGATAGAGACATACACATACACCCACCCATACATATTTATATTTTATATCAGAAAACACACTAACATTGTACAACCACCTACTGAGATTCTTTTATTCAGAAAACCATGCTGCATTCCCTATTCTTCCTATAAAAATTGGTAATTTTCATCTACTGACAAACTTGCTCAAATTTGATACAGGCATGGAAATCGAGGGGGGGAAAGTAGATAGAAGAGGGGAACAAAAGATTTCAGCTGCCCTTGATGTCAACAGAAAAATTTAAACCATACATATCCAGAGGATACAGAAATGCCAAAATCCCAGTTCCTTCCTTTCTCCAGAGTGCTGCAGTTCAAAGAGCATGGGCTTCAGAGCCAGTCAGAATGATCCACATCTTGGCTCTGTTATTTGCTAGTTTCACGATGCTATGACCACCAGTCTACTTCTTAGTAAAATGGAGGTGACAATGCATCCCTTACAGGGCAGGTAAGAGAAATGACATGAGATAGTACATGTGCAGGTCCAGCACATAGAAGCCCCTCAATCAATGCTGGCTTCGACCCTCCTGACTTCAAGATAATAACTTGATTCGAAGATCAGGTCTTGCAGACTCAAGAGAAGCACAGGGGGAGAGCTGGCATGGGTGCACCATAATGAGAGAGACGAGATGCAGGGAATAAGAGTTTGCAGAAACGATCAGATAATGAAACACCTTATATCTTTCCAAAGAGGTGAATCATTTTCTTTTAGGTGTCAAATGAATAGCCAAGTGTATCACAATCAAAATCTATCATGGAAAAAGCCAGAGAGATACTCATTTCAAATGAGCAGTAGCTTCTATTGATGCAGAAGCCTCTGTGACACTGAGTCACTTGATATTTACAAGATAAATACACACTCCCCCACAGCTCCTTCTTGGATGGAGAAGTTCTAATGAGCTAAAAGTTTATTCCATTTCTAAAATACATTTAAACTCCAACCCATCACTGACATCTCCTTAATTCTGAAATCCAATTCTCAATTTGGGCACTTTACCAGTATTTTTCAAAAGGTGGATTTTGGAAAATACATGCACTCCCAGACAGAAGAGAAAACCATCAGACATGCACCAAACTGACACCCTTGAGTATATTCCAATTTGCTCAGCCCTCATCTCTCTTGGCGTTTCACAATCAGTAAAGTGCAGTGGCCAATCACTGGAAATGGTATGAGCTTAATGTCAGAAATCATTTAGCTTAAATAAGAAAATAACTCCATTTAGCTTTCTCCCACAAAGTAAAATTAAGTTTGTTTAGCCCTTTTTTATTTATTGCCAAAGGGCAGATTTAATTTCAAGGGAGTGAAAACAAAACTCATTCTGAAGTAAAGTCTAAAGTTATCACTTCAGTTTTGCTCTAACTATTGAGGTGCAAAGGGGCTGTAAGCTTTGAAACAAGGAGGCATTAATTATGAAAAAAACAGGCGACTGGGACCCAGCTTTCTGATCACGGGGTGGAGGGTTGTGGGGTGGGGTGGGGTGGGGTGGGGGTGGGGTGGAGAGAATTCTATCATCTTCTTCTGCTACACTGCAAATACAAACTTTAAGAAAACCTACTGTCCAGGGGCCTTCTGAGCCCACCCTCTAGGCCTCCAGTCTCAGGACTTACCAGATACATTAATTGAGGCCCCTGCATCGATGATTCCGCTGTTGGGCCTCACACAGTACCTACGTGGTGCTGTAGTCTTCACCTTAAAACACACATTTCGGTCTGTCGGGTTGCCAAGCTTTAGGTTGGTGGTGACAACATCGGTGAAGGGACCTGTAGAATGAGACAGAGACTGATTGGGGGTCTCATGAGGAAAGTTTAGAAGGTTTGTGGAAAAGAGAGCTGTAAATATAGTTAAGGGAAGATTTGAGATCCACGATTATCTCATTAACATGCCAATGGATGAAAGAGATGAGCTGAGGTTAATGCACTAGCAGTAACGTCTAATATTTACCATGTTCCCACTATTTCACCAGGTACCTAGTGTAAGTGTTCTAACATATGGCATCTCATTGAAACCTCACAACTTTATGATTATTGCTGTTTTGCAGATGAGAAAACTGAGGCTTGGGGAGACAAGTTACTTGTCCAAGTTTTCATGATAGTGGTAGTGAGGATCTGTAACCAGATGGCTTGCATCTAAGGCCAGTTCTTACCCATGCTAAATACTGATTTCCACAGTAACAATATGAAATCTAACAGGGAGAGCGTAAAGGACTAAACTCATTCCAAAATGATTATCTAGAGCAGTGTGCCAAGAGGAGCAGATGGAAGAAAGACTTTGAGGTGTTAATGGTCTATAAACACAGTAACTCTCAACATTATAGTGTTGCTACAGAAAACTTAGTATCACCTTAGGCTGTAGCAAGAAGTTCAGAGTCCTGCTGGGCAGTCCACACCTGAAGCATTACAGACGGTACTAATTACTCACGCTACTGGGAAGACTGCAACAGGCTCAGTGGCCTGAAGATACTTTTTATTACTATTATTTATTCACTTCCTACTTTATTAGATTTTTTAATTAAAAAAGTAAAACATGCTTCTTAAACCAAACAATAAAAGATGTATAAACAGGAATAAGCTTTCCTTTGTCCCCTGAGATAACTAATATTAACAATATGGGAGATCTTTCCACATCATCTATGTTTACACAAACAATACATACACACATGTGCAAGGGATAGGGGCTAACAAATAATGAAATAATACTATTCCTATTAACCTGAAACTTGCTTTTTTTCATTTACCCATCTATGGTGGACATGTGATCTCTGTGTTTATTAGTCAGGTGGCTACAAAAACTTAGGTCTTTTTCAACACCTTTTCAAATTTACATATTTTTCACCTGTAAATCAGTATTTCTGTGTTTCCTCTAGGCAAGTCCTTTACTCTTGTCTTTGCATTTGCAAGGAAACAGGAAGTGAAGGTGGGGAAAGGGTGTGCGCTTATGTGTTCACAAACAAATACGTAATGTTGACTCAACAAAATCATTCAAATGTGTGTTTTGAAAAACTTTTCAATGAGACTCTAAGCTCCTGAGACAAGGATTATACCTTATCCATCTCTGTAGCCCCAGCACTGTGGCTGGCATAGAATAAAGATCTCAATCTACATATTCACCAAGAAGAAAACTACCTGTGTGTGGATTATCTCCAGCAAAATTAAGATCCTCAGGCTGGTGTCTCTACTCTTGAGGTGCTCCGGGCATGGAAAAAAAAAAAATCAATCTGATATGGGCTTACCTTAATACAAATTAAGAAATCAAAATGGTGATAAGGAAGGAAGGAAATGGGACTCAATCCCAAAATCAAACGACAGCTAGTTCTGCTATGAGACTTATTTTGAAAACATAAATTTGATCCAACGTTACTCATGTGCATATTAGAGGGACATTCTGGACATAAAACAATTTTCGTATTTGTTTCTGTGTGATTTTGTCTGCTATCAACACTGGTGAACACAGAAAACTGCTCCTCGCTGAACCCAACTGCAAAGAAATACAGAAAACTCACAAGCACACACACCTCAACCACCTACGGGATACCTCAGTTCACCCTCTCCCCCTTATGAAGTTGTGGTGTGAGGATCCCAAATTTAAGTATTTGTTTATTCCTTACACTGACCTCTTCTTCAAGGTACTCTACAAAAATAAGCCAAATTTAAATGTAAACACTTAACTGTTTTTGAAAATTTCCCCAGGTTAATCTATTACATCACAGTTAATTGCTATTACACAGCAATCTTAATGGTGCTTCAACTTATATAAACCACATAAAAGGAAGTCTAAACTATTAAAAGACAAGCAATATTTGTAATAATAAACAGGATAAAATAAACATCCCAGATTTCTCCCTCCACAATCCTGGGTCTTTACATGCTTGGGATTTCTTGGCCTTTCACAGGCTTTTATTTGTAAAAATCTGGAGGGAACTATACTGAAAATATATGCAATGAAACAACATCACTGGTAAAATAACAAAGTCCCGTGGGTAAAAATCAAGATATTTGTAAGAACAGGCCAACCTTCCTCTCCCTACTCTGGGCAATTTGCTCCAAGAATTTTATTGAAAATAAATTATATTCTATTTGAGTAATTATAGAAAATAAACCATGTTAGTGTTCTCCTTTTCCCCTGTATTAATGGATTAGCATACACAAAACCTTCAATAAAAATGATGTAAAAGCTTATGAGCATCATTCAGACTTTTACTAGTCACTTTCATTTCATAAAACTGCCATTTCCATTAAAGCATTATGTAAAAAATGGGATTTTACTATACCAACATGCATATTTACCACCAATGAATTTAAACACTGCTTATAAAGTACAGTCAATTTTACAAATGAAATCTCCTTCTAAACTTAGAATTTTTCCTTTTTAGAGATAAAAAAAAATGATGTGTCTCTAGAACCACAGCATACACTTCAAATCATTTTTAATCTTCTATTCCTTATTTCAGATAATGTCTGTAACAAAACCAGGAACTAAGCATCTAAAATGTGAAATGGGAGGTTAAAAAAGTGAAAAAACATGAATTTGGGAGAAACTGGCAATACTCTTTGAAACTGTTACTCTTTTTAATAATGTAAACAATGCCCTTTATGTCCTAGATTATGCATATACTCATCTGTGAACATTTGTGTGAGTTTGCTGAAGATGCTTATGAAACAGCACTAATGAACTGAAAATGAATTCCTTGACATGCTGTAAAAGGTATTTAGATAAAGCTAAACACAGTATAATTTATTTCCTCTACCTTCCCCCAGGACCCACTGTGCTTGGATTTTTGTCATTTTAAATTGTGTTTAAGGCAATAAGAGGTAAGAGTAAGACAGTAAGAGGGGCTAGAATTGATCTGTTTTACAAGGCAAATACAGAGTGCCTGCGATTGCAGGCTCGCGCCGCCACGCCTGACTGGTTTTGGTGGAGACGGGGTTTCGCTGTGTTGGCCAGGCCGGTCTCCAGCCCCTAACCGCAAGTGATCCGCCGGCCTCGGCCTCCCGACGTGCCGGGATTGCAGGCGGAGTCTCGTTCACTCAGTGCTCGGTGGTGCCCAGGCTGGAGTGCAGTGGCGTGATCTCGGCTCGCTACAACCTCCACCTCCCAGCCGCCTGCCTTGGCCTCCCAGAGTGCTGAGATTGCAGCCTCTGCCCGGCCGCCACCCCGTCTGGGAAGTGGGGAGCGTCTCTGCCTGGCCACCCATCGTCTGGGATGTGGGGAGCCCCTCTGCCTGGCTGCCCAGTCTGGGAGGTGAGGAGCGTCTCCGACCGGCCGCCATCCCATCTAGGAGGTGAGGAGCGCCTCTTTCCGGCCGCCATCACATCTAGGAAGTGAGGAGCGTCTCTGCCCGGCCGCCCATCGTCTGAGATGTGGGGAGCGCCTCTGCCCCGCCGCCCCGTCTGGGATGTGAGGAGCGCCTCTGCCCGGCCACGACCCCGTCTGGGAGGTGAGGAGCATCTCTGCCCCACCGCCCCGTCTGAGAGGTGAGGAGACCCTCTGCCCGGCAACCGCCCCGTCTGAGGAGTGGGGAGACCCTCCGCCCGGCGGCTGCCCCGTCTGAGGGGTGGGGAGCCTCTCCGCCCGGCGGCCACCCCGTCTGGGAGGTGGGGGGCGTCTCCGCCCGGCGGCCGCCCCGTCCGGGAGGGAGGTGGGGGGGGTCAGCCCCCCGCCAGGCCAGCAGCCCCATCCGGGAGGGAGGTGGGGGGGTCAGCCCCACGCCCCGCCAGCCGCCCCGTCCAGGAGGGAGGTTGGGGGGTCAGCCCCCCGCCCGGCCAGCCGCCCCGTCAGGGAGGGAGGTGGGGGGTCAGCCCCCCGCCCGGCCAGCCGCCCCGTCCGGGAGGGAGGTCGGGGCGTCAGCCTCCCGCCCGGCCAGCCGCCCCGTCCGGGAGGTGAGGGGCGCCTCTGCCTGGCCGCCCCTACTGGGAAGTGAGGAGCCCCTCTGCCAGGCCAGCCGCCCTATCTGGGAGGGAGGTGGCGGGGTCAGCCCCCCGCCCGGCCAGCTGCCCCGTCCGGGAGGGAGGTGGGGAGGTCAGCCCCCCACCCGGCCAGCCGCCCCATCCGGGAGGTGAGGGGCGCCTCTGCCCGGCCGCCCCTACTGGGAAGTGAGGAGCCCCTCTGCCAGGCCAGCCGCCCTATCTGGGAGGGAGGTGGCGGGGTCAGCCCCCCGCCCGGCCAGCTGCCCCGTCCGGGAGGGAGGTGGGGAGGTCAGCCCCCCGCCCGGCCAGCGGCCCCACCCGGGAGGTGACGGGCGCCTCTGCCCGGCCGCCCCTACTGGGAAGTGAGGAGCCCCTCTGCCTGGCCACCACCCCGTCTGGGAGGTGTGCCCAACAGCTCATTGAGAACGGGCCAGGATGACAATGGCGGCTTTGTGGAATAGAAAGGCGGGAAAGGTGGGGAAAAGATTGAGAAATCGGATGGTTGCCATGTCTGTGTAGAAAGAAGTAGACATGGGAGACTTTTCATTTTGTTCTGTACTAAGAAAACTTCTGCCTTGGGATCCTGTTGATCGGTGACCTTACCCCCAACCCTGTGCTCTCTGAAACATGTGCTGTGTCCACTCAGGGTTAAATGGATTAAGGGCGGTGCAAGATGTGCTTTGTTAAACAGATGCTTGAAGGCAGCATGCTCGTTAAGAGTCATCACCAGTCCCTAATCTCAAGTACCCAGGGACACAAACACTGCGGAAGGCCGCAGGGTCCTCTGCCTAGGAAAACCAGAGACCTTTGTTCACTTGTTTATCTGCTGACCTTCCCTCCACTATTGTCCTATGACCCTGCCAAATCCCCCTCTGTGAGAAACACCCAAGAATTATCAATAAAAAATAAATTAAAAAAAAAAAAAAAAGAAGGCAAATACAATACCAGCAAAAACTTGCATACCATTAAAAGTGAAAGAAGAAATAGTTGCTTTTTACTCTTAATTACAAAAATTGGGCCTTAAGATGTATAAAGTTCTGGTTTGAAGGTCAAAGACCGTCACAATCCAGCACAACATGAAGAGGTCAGGTTCCAGGTGTTGAAAATGTCATAAAAAAATGGCTGAATAAACTTGTCAGGAAACCTAAGAGCATTTTATGGGAAAAGTATTCCATTAAATCTTTAAACAGTCTCCTGATCTACATATGATTTAAATGCTTTTCTGTAATTATTCATTCAAGAGCCATGGAAGAAAAATTAAAACGCTTCCCTTCAGGAAATGTAAATACTATCTTTACAAAAGAATAATTTAAAAGTTCATGTCCCATCAAATTATAAAAAGTAATAATGAAAATTTCCAGTGAACTGAAAACTCAATCTAGGCCTTACCTATCTGTATTACCTCAAGCATAGCATAACATCCTATCTACTAAATGGCAAGATAGAAGTTTTTAAGGAGTAAATATATAATTTTACCTTTTTTTTTTTTTTGAGACAGAGTCTCACTCTGTCACCCAGGCTGGAGTGCAGTGGCACGATCTTGGCTCACTGCAACCTCCACCTCCCAGGTTCAAGCGATTCTCATGCCCCAACCTCCCAAGTAGCTAGGACCACAGGCATATGCCACACCTGGCTAATTTTTGTATTTTTAATAGAGACAGGGTTTTACTACATTGGCTAGGGTGGTCTCAAACTCCTGACCTCAAATGATCCACCCACCTTGGCATCCCAAAGTGCTGGGATTAGAGGTGTGAGCCTCCACGCCCAGCCATAATTTTACTTTTAACTTAGCAATTCTACCAGAAAAATAAAGGCTAAAGTATATTTAGACCCCAAACTATAAAACTCCTACAGGATGACAGAATAAAATCTAGATGGCCTTGGATTTGGAGATGACTACTTACAACACCAAAACAAAATCCATGAAAAAAATAACTGATTAGCTAGACTTCATTAAAAATAAAAACATCTGTTCTGCAGAAGACAAGCCACAAGCCAGGAGAAAATATTTGCTAAAAACATACCTGAATAAAATACTGTCAACCAAACTATACAAAGAACTCTTAAAACTCAATAATATGAAAATGAAGGCTGGGCACAGTGGCTCATGCCTGTAATCCCAGCACTTTGGGAGGCTGTGGCGGGTGGATCACAACGTCAGGAGATCGAGACCATCCTGGCTAACACGGTGAAACCCCGTCTCTACTAAAAATACAAAAAAATTAGCCGGGCGTGGTGGTGGGCACCTGTAGTCCCAGCTACTCTGGAGGCTGAGGCAGGGGAATGGCCTGAACCAGGGAGGCGGAGCTTCCAATGTGCTGAGATCGTGCCACTGCACTCCAGTCTGGGTGACAGAGCGAAAGAGACTCCGTCTCAAAAAATAATAAAAATAAAATAAAATAAAATGAACAACCTAATTTTAAAATGGGCAAAAGATCTGAACAGCCACCTCACCAAAAACGTACAGAAAGCAAATAAACATACGAAAAGATGTCTGGCCGGGTGCGGTGGCTCACGCCTGTAATCAGGAGGCCAAGGCGGGTGGATCAGCTGAGGTCAGGAATTCGAGACCAGCTTGGCCAACATGGTGAAACCCTGTCTCTACTGAAAATACAAAAAGTAGCCAGGTGTGGTGGCCCATGCCTGTAGTCCCAGCTACTGGGGAGGCTGAGGCAGGAGGATCACTTGAACCCGGGAGGCAGAGGTTGCAGTGAGCCAAGACTGTGCCACTGCACTTCAGCCTGGGCGACAGAGTAAGACTCCATCTCAGAAAAACAAAAATAGAAAAGATGTCCAATGAGATACTATTACACATTTGTTCATTTTCTTATTGTTGAGTTTTAGAATGGCCAAATTCTAAAATACTACCAATACCAAGTGTTGGTGAGGATGTGGAACAACAGGAACTCTCATTCACTGCTGGTGGGAATGAAAAACGGTGCACAGACACTTTGAAAGACCATTTAGCAGTTTCTTACAAAACTAAACATATTCTTACCATACAATCCAGCAATCACCCTCCTTGGTATTTACCCAAGTAAGTTGAAAACTTATATCCACACAAACACCTGCACATGGATGTTTATAGCAGCTTTATTCATAACTGCCAAAATGCAGAAGCATTTTGTGAGTGGATAAAATAAACTGTGGTATATCCAGACACTGAAATAGTGCTCAGTGCTAAAAAGAAATGAGCTATAAAGCCATGAAAAGACACGGAGGAGCCTTAAATGCATATTCCTGAGTGAAAGCAGTCAGTATGAAAAGGTAGCATACTGTATGATTTTACTCTATGACATTCTGGAAAAGGCAAAACTACAGAGACAATAAAAAGATAAGGTGTTGGCCAGGCATGGTGGCTCACGCCTATAATCCAGCACTTTGGGAGGCTGAGTGGGGCGGGGGGGCGGATCACTTGACATCAGGAGTTCGAGACCAGCCTGGCCAGTATGGTGAAACCACATCTCTAATAAAACTACAAAAATTGGCTAGGTGTGGGGGCACACACCTGTAATCCCAGCAACTCGGGGGGCTGAGGCAGGAGAACAGTTTGAACCCAGGAGGCGAAGGTTACAGTGAGCGAAGATCGCTCCACTGCACTCCAGCCTGTGTGATGGAGCAAGACTCTGTTATCAAAATAAATAAATAAATAAATAAATACGGTGTTGATAAAATTTAAGGGAGGAAAGAACACAAGGAGCATAGAGCAGTTTTAGGACAGTAAAACTGAAACTACTCTGATATTATAATGGTGGATACATGTCATTATACATTTGTAAAAACTCACAGAATGTACAACACTAGAAATGAATACTAACGCAGACTACGGACTCTGGCTAACAATGACATGTCAATGTAGGTTCACCAATGGTAACCAATGTACCTCTCAGTGTAGGATGTTGGCAGTGGAGGGGGTTATGATGCATGTGTGGGGTAGGAGTTACAAGAGAACTCTGTGCATACTTTCTGCTCAGTTTTTGTGTGAACCTAAAACTGTTCTAAACTATATTTTTTTTAAAAAAAGGAAGGGGAAAAAGCATTTGGTCTTTTATATTAATTCACTTTCGGTAGTATCCCCCTTAACATTTCTAATATTAAATATTATTGAGATTTTGAAAATATCTATCTGTATTGTGTGTGTGTGTGTGTGTGTGTGTGTGTGTATATGAATAAAGATTCTTTGTTGTGCAAAGTGATTGCTCCTCTTCCTTTTCTAGAGTTCATGAAATTCTGGTTTCACAAATACATATCCTTCCTTTGTTATTTATCTTCTGATGTAGCTACAATACTTTGAAACTCAACCTATATATGTTACCAAATAAGTTGTATACCAATTTGATATATAATCTATCAGGTCTCAGCTTTCCAGATACAAGTTTAAAGTTATTAGCTTCACAACAGTTTTTTCCACTCTGCATAAAAAAAGCTATATTATTTTATACTCTTGCAAACACAAATTAGGTACAGTATCTCTCCTTTTCACAGCCTCTCCAAAAAACAAATTACCATATTTCACTTCAACTCTAAAAAGATTACCTTCTGGGAAGGTAATAATCTGTCTCCAGAAGCCTATGACTTTTGATGGATTTTGTTAAGACAATAAAAGTGTGCTTGAGGTTTCAATACAGTAGACTCTCTATGTGGGAAAAATACACTAAAATGGAGGGACACGGACATTCTAAAGCAAAATCTGTTGGATATCTTATTAATATTTTTAAATTTTACCCTTTGACAGTCTATTTACATTAAAAAGTATCCTATTGCTTTCTGCGTTCTATACCCATCTGCAGTGCACCAATCCCCACATTATTTCTTTTCTTGTTTATGTAAATCTTCCCCTTCTAGAATGGAAACTCCATCAACACAGACTTTTTTGTCCCTCTTGTTCATTACTGATCATCAGCACCTAGAGCACTTGCAGGCATAGAACAGATGCTCAATAATATATTTGCTGAATGAACAAATAGCCATGCCATGCTTCCATCTACTTCACACAATGGCTGTATTCTTCCTCTATGCACCCTCTGTAAGCACATCCAGGCTCTGGGTGAATAAATACTGAGACTACTGCTGCTCCTGTTCCAGCATTACACCCTTTTCATCTTCTGCATAGGACATATTTTGTTTGTTCCTTTCCTGTTTCCACATGGAGTGGGGGGCGGGGTGGGGGGGGGGGGTGTCTGTCCTATTCATCACCAGATCCTCCAAACTAGAACAGTGCCACAAACATAGTAAAAATGTATGCTGCATGAATACGAGACTTCCTCAGAGGTCATTGTACTCTGATTCTGCTGCATTTCCTGTAAACAGACACCTACTTCAAAACCCGGATCTGAAATCACTCTAAATTTGTGCTGCTTATATACAGGTTGAAGGTATTAAAAATGCTCACTGTGTCAATAATGCTTTCATCATAATTATTCTATGGTGTTTTTTTTTAAAGTTGCCCCCTCCCTAAAAAATGAAAGATACCATACTAACAGATATTCGAAGAGAGTGAGCTGTTAAATAACCATGAACTCAAGAATAAGGACACTGGAGAAGTTTTCTTAAAAATCTATTTTCTTGATCGAATTGTTAGCTCACACATTAAATCAATGCTTTAGAAACAAAAATAAAGCTTTAAAGCTTTGCAACCAATGTGTTTAAATGGCAGACATTATATTCCAATATTCCAGCAGAAAGCCTGATTGTATAGCTCTTATTTTGAAATAACCACATAAAAACAACCCTACCCATAGACACATAACTTTCCTGAAGAACTCTTAGAATGCAGTGTTTTAAATTAATAAAGTATTCTCCTGGTATCCTCGGGAGCCAGCCAGCTACTGAGAAACATCACACCTGTTATTGCAGCAAGAGAAATCAACACCAAGAACTCTCACTGATGATGCCATCAAAGGCACACCAGAAGCCAACTTGATTGAAATAGACTATACCAGACTTGCAGGGTGCTTACTCAATTCACTAGTTTCCTAGGTCTTTCAGAGCAGAAAGAAACAAAACTCAGCCTGCCACCACCTCCATGGGTGGGAAAACTAAACTGGAAGACATGCTACTGTATTTTAAGAATTCCTAAGATCAAACTCAGGAAAGCTACCTGAAAAAAAATACAAAGTTAGTAAGGAACAGCCTGGAAAACTAAGATATTTGCAGTTTATATAACAGATGAATGGCCAGAATTGAAAATATATAAAGAATTCTCTTACTTACAATAAAAATTCTAAAATCTCATGAAGGAATACTATACAACTCTTTAAAAGAATGAACTAGATCTGTATTTCAACAGTTGATAGGTCTCAAAAACATGTTAAGTCATCCATACACCATGACACTACATTAAGTGATCTAGAAAAAAACGGAAATAGTTCACATTAAATTCCTCCGGGGAGTTAAAAAAAAAACAAAAAAAAAAGGAGGGCGTATGAATCAGCAGATATGGAGTACAGACATGCCATAAATTATTAGTGAAGTTTTACTTGTTTTATTAAAGAAAGATTTAAAACGAGTCTTCTAACAAATTATTAACATTTAGTTACTCCATACTGGGGTATTTATATTATCTGTATTTTTCTGTACTTAAAAATTTTTTCATATACAGAAAGCTACCTGTAGTTTATGTGAGATCCAAACAAGGTTCTTTTGAAATAATTTTCTACTTGTTCAGACTTGTAAAGTTGTTGAAAACTGATAAACCAGCCTTGATAGTCATGCTTGTATAATTTATAAAAATCAAGGTTATCACTCAAAACATGTTTAAAGTTGCAGTGGTCTCATTAACTCAAGACAAAGACCCATGTGTACAATTCTGACAAAAGCTTCTGTATGAACTTCAAATACTAGAAACCATCTAAAGATAAATACTGTCACTACTTTCCTTTAATACACTAGATTTTTTTTCGTAATAGAAAAATGGCTAAAAGGAGTATATAAGAGCTGAGGCTTCATACATTCTATCTATATCCAGCACTAATATTATCGTGCAGTAGAAGATTATTCACAGATGAATTTTACATCAGTTCTAAAAGGATCTTAGACGATTTAATAAACTGAATTTTTTCAATGCATTCTTTATCCCATTGACTAACGAACATCTAGTAATTATTCTCTACTTGAAAGACCAAAATTTCTGATTACAGTAATCACAAAAATAAACAAAAAGATAAGCAATATTCTACTGCAAATAAAATTCTATCTAAATAGAAGAGTGACAAAACATGATTCACATTTTACACAAAGCAGGATGAGTCAAGACAGATAATATGCTCAAGTTAGGGGTATGAGTGATAAAATAGCATGGGGTCCCAATTTCTCATGGTTGTAGTTGTTTTAACAGTTCAAGTGCAAAAAGTCATTAACAACAGAAGTAAAACTTCTCCAAAGTGTTCCATCTTTAGTGGAGATGACAGCATGTGAAAAAGCCTCCATACGAAAATCAACACATCCAATTCACACCAGATACAGAACAGGGGAGAAGAACAAGTTTAGCATTCTGCACCTTGATGATCCAACTGGAATTTTCAATCTGTGAACGATGAGAAACAGTAGAACGTGGTTTATCAGTTAGTGTGTAATCTGTTCTGGTTCCTTTTCAATAAAGAACCTAAGTGGCTATACCAGTGATAAGAGATTATCAACCAGGTCAGCAGCTTCTTAAACTCAAGAAGAGGCCAGGGGAAAGGCTGTGAGACTTGGATGAAAAATATTTTCTATTTTTCCCTTACTCTGCCTTTGGAAATTATGCTCATTCTTCAAAGTTTTGCTCAAACGTCTTCTCTTTTGGAAAGGTTTACCAAATCTCTTTAATCAGAAGAAATTACTCCTTACTGTTCTATGTCACAACAATAAGCTGACTGCCAAATTTATATCTGCAGCCTGGCCCTCTCCCCTGAGCTCCAGACTCAACTACCTATTTAACATCTCTCGTTGCAAGTGTACTGAGCATCTCAAGTTTCTCATGTCCAAACGGCACTCTTGAGTCCCACTCTCCTCCCTCAAACTCAATGCTTCTCATCTCAGTAAAGAAACCACCACTCACCCAACTGCTTAGGCCAAAAGCAGTCTCTCTTCCTCTACATTTAATCTACATTCCTCTATATTCCTCTACATTTAATCTAGAAACCCTGTCTCCACTAAAGATACAAAAATTACTTAGGCGTGGTGGCACATGCCTGTAGTCCCAGCTACTTGGGAAGCTGAGGCAGGAGAATTGCTTGAACTGGGAGGGGGAGGTTACAGTGAGCCGAGTGAGATCGCACCACTGCACTCCAGCCTGGGCAACAGAGCCAGTCTCCGTCTCAAAAAAAAAAAAAAAAAAAAAAAAAAGGCTCCTGGCCAGGCGTGATGGCTCACACCTGTAATCCTAGCATTTTGGGAGGCCTGAGCTCAGGAGTTTAGGAGTTCAAGACCAGCCTGGGCAACATGGTGAAACCCTGTCTACTAAAAATAAAAAAATTAGCTGGGCATAATCCCAGCTACTCAGGAGGCTGAGGCAAGAGAATTGCTTGAACCCGGGAGACAGAGGTTGCAGTGAACCGAGATCGCGCCACTACACTCCAGCCTGGGCGACAGAGCAAGACTCTGTCTCCAAAAATAAAAATAAAAATAAAAATAAACTCCTGCTCAGATTCCTCTGTGGCTTCCCATCTCACAACAAAATCCAAAGTCCCTCCTGTGGCCTGCCTACCGGCAAGGCTCCTGCCCTCTTCTTTGAGCTCATCTCCCCGCAGGCCCCTCCACCACTCTAGCACAGGCATACCTTGCTGCTCCTTGAACACACCAAGCTCATCATCACCTTGCACCTGCCCTTCCATCTGTCTGTAATGCTCTTCCCAAATGTCTCCACAGTTCATACACTCATTTTATATAGGTCTCAGTTCAAATATCACCTCCTCAGGTAAATGACCTTCCCTAATCACCCTACTTAAATGACCTTCCCTAATTACCCTACTTAAAATTGAATCCATTCCCAAATCCCTTTATCTTGCATTGTTTTTAGTTGTTTTTTTCCCATTTATCACCTACTGCCTGACACCACATCATATATATTTTCTGTTTTTATTTAATGTACACCTTCTCCACTAGAAGATGAGCTCCACAAGGTAAAAGTTTTCTCATCTCGGCCTCTCAGCAATGCTTGGCACACTACAGGTACTCAATAAGTAACCCATGAAGAGAATGGTTCAGGTGCTGTGCTAGGCTCTCAAGCTAGAGAGAGAAACAGGGCACTGCAGCTCCCACCCAGAATACACAGAACAATCTTGGGGCCCATCCAGAATTAATGAATCAGAATCTCTAGGACTGAGACTCCATAATGATTTTTTCTTTTTAAAAAAATATCAAATGTGACGTTAGCTCATATTTAACAGTACCAATCTATTCTAAGCACTTTACATGTGTTAATTTGTATACTCCTAACATACCCCAGAGGGAGAAATTTGAGGCACAGAGAGGTTAAATGCATCACTGAAGGACACATGACTTTCAGATGGCAAATCTAGGGTTCACACTCTTAACTCCTGGGCAGTATACTACCTCTAACTGCATCGAACACTGTATGAAAGGTAATCTATAAAGCATCCTATCAAAAGGGGAGGGTGAGGAGCACAGGGAACTGATCACTGAGGCAAGCCCTGGAGTCTGAAAAGCAGATAACGCAAAGTACACTTTGAGCTGTAGGGAACTTGGGTGAAAGTACAGTGTGATAACGCTATAAGGGGCTTCTGGGGGCATCAAATGGCTGAAGAGGAAGGGGTACGAGAGGGGTGAAAGAAGCTGAGGCTGGAAAGATGCGGTGTGGCCTGACTCTGAAGAGTTTTGCTGCTGGCCTAAGAATTTGGGCCACGAACCTATCCGTAAGATCTAGAGAGCCAATGAATGTTTTTAAACCAAGAAATGATATCAAATTTCAATTTTTAGAAAAATATCTCTGGAAACTGTATAAAGTATAGTCCAAAGGGTGAGAGAAGCAGGCAGAAAAAATAGAGACAGAAAGTTGAGTCACGGTGCTACTACAATAGTCTGGAAGGGAAAGGACCTATACTTAGGATACGATAGAATACTAAGAAGCAAAAGGGCATAGGAGATGCTGCTGATTTAAATGGACTGAGTAGATGTGAAAGGTTACGGAAAATGGGGAGTGAAAGACAAGTTTAGGATTTCCAGCTTGCCAACTTGGTGCAAGGGCCATTCCCAAGATCCAGAAGCCACAGTCAGTGGGGATGAGAAGGTAAACGGTAAATACAGTGTGGAACATGCTGAGTTTGAGGTGTTCTCATGACAACCAGATAGACAGGGATGTCCAGCAGGCTGACAGATCAAAAGATTTGCTTGGAGATAGAGATTTGGAAGTTTTCTGTGCAGAAGTGGAAGATGAAGGCATTATTAATGAGACAACATACAGAGAATTGTTAAATTGAGAAGACTGAAGCCAGAACCTGAGAAACCTCAACATCCAGTAAAAGAGATGATAAAGAGGTGGACAGTTCATCAGAAAAGTCAAAGACAAGTATCACAGAGAGAAACCTGGGGGAACTAAGAAGGGTTTGAGTGAAGGGGTGAGGTCTGATGAAAGAAGAGTAAAGATACCAGAAACTGAGATTCACCGCTTCCCCAAAATTAGCTGTGATAGAAGACTGGGCATTTGCTTAAGCGGGGAAGATCTAGAAAACAAGATTTCTTTTTAGGAAGGGGCAACTTAAGCATGTTTGTAGGCACAAGGAAGGAATCAAGTACAAGAGAAAAGTGAGACAGCAGTAATAGGCTAACGATGCAAAATACTGTTAAGTGATGGGAAAGGAATGGGGTAAAAGAACACACACCTAAGAGGTAGTCCTGACTCTCTGAAATAGAAGAGGAGGAGAAGTAAAAACATAAGTTTCCACAAGAGAGAAAAGCAACCAGCATTTAGTGGAAAATCTTCAAATATTTTCTGAGCAAAATGCACTGTGTCTACATCGATCGGCTGTACATAACGGGCCCTGCCGACAGGCTTCATTACTCTTCACCACTGAAAGTCTTCTTTCTTCCCCCCTCTCTCCTTTCTCAGCTTTGTTTTTGTTTTTGAGATACAGTCTTGCTCTGTCACCCAGAGTGGAGTGCAGTGGCATAATTTTGACTCACTGCAGCTTCCACCTCCTGAGTTCAAGTGATTCTCATGCCTCAGCCTCCCGAGTAGCTGGGATTATGGGCATGCACCACCACACCAGGTTAATTTCTGTATTTTTAGTAGAGATGGGGTTTCGCCATATTGCCCAGGCTCATCTCAAATTCCTGGCCTCAACTGATTCGCTTGCCTCGGAGTCCCAAAATCCTTGGATTACAGGTGTGAGCCATTGCGCCTGGCATCTTTCTCAGCTTTCTCCTAAACACCAACCCTTCCTCGCCTATGCCTTAGACCCAGAGACCATGAACTCCCTGAGAAACTGCCATGCACCATGCACTGTGCTGTGCTAGGCACTGGGATGTGGGGAGAAGAGACACAATCTAAAAAAAAAAAAAAAAAAAGGGTGGGGGGGCTTGCTGACTAACAGCGAAAGGGAGTCACGTATCACGTTGCCAATGACAACATGCTGTGACATGTGTGGGAGCCAGAGGAACAGATACAATGTGAGTGAAGAATGTCAGGACAGTTACCTTGAAGAAGTGAAGCCTGTGCTGAGCCTCAAAGGTAAGCAGGGGGACGCAGTGAAACAAACAAGAGGAAAAGGAATCAACTAATTTTTAGTGGTGGAAACAGCTAAAAACTGTTACTTTATGACTACATACAGGGTAAGTCATGATACATAGTATGCCAAAGCCCCATGGCCAAGGAGAACTAAAAGGCTGAAACACAAGCATGAGGAAAGACGATGCTGGAAAGATGGGCAGGGCAATGTGGGGGGAGTGCAACAAGTATCGATAATTTTCCAGGTTTTGTTAAAGAATTTAAACTTTATTTTTGGCAACAGGAAGACATTTAATGATTGTAAGCAAGCAAGAGATATGCTCAGATTTGCATCTTTGCAAACCATCTTTGAAAACCACATCAGGGTGGAAAGAAAGAGAAGACTCGGACAAGAAGACCAGTTAAGAGGCTATTACAGTTGCGGGAGAAAATGGGGCAGCCATAGAGGGAATGGGGAAGAAGGGACAGAACTGAGTCATAGACTCTCTGAGTTGGTCAAATGCATGAATGTAGGTACCATCCAATGAGACAGTAAGAAGGGGAGGTTTGGAGGAAAAAATGAAAAGGTGGTATAGAGTTCAGCTTGGGTCATGCTGCATTTAACGTATTGCAGCCTTTTATATGGGCTTGGGTCAGGCCTGGGTTCATACATAAGTGACGTTAGAAGCGAAGGGTACTGGTAAAAGAGTTCCGCAAAGGGGAGAAGGGAAGACACAGAGAGAGCAAATCTGAGAGAAACAGGGAAAGGAGAAGAGGGGGAGAAGGTGAACCTGTAACCCTGAGCATTACCAACCGGACTGCATGATGAGTGGGCAAAACTGGCCACATGGGCGGAAGAAAAGCAGAGAGAGCAATGAGAGAGGTCAAGAGAAGAGTGTCAATGAGCAGGATGACAACAGGGGTCAAATGGTAGTGAAGACTGAACATGCAATGGGAGATGTAGTGATGAAGCAATGATTGAGCTCCCGGGCAGTGACTAGAAGTGAAGAACAGAAAGAAAAAAGACAGGAAACTATGTTTTCCAGAAGCTTACCATGATAAGAAGGAAAGTGAAAGGAGTAGCTAGACAGGGTAAAAAGGACTGACAACACAGTTTTTCTTCTTTAAAGGTGGAAGGGACAATACTCAAATGTTTAATGAAAATGACTAATGGCCAAGCACTATTCTCAGTGAGTGCTAGGTATGTAAAGAAAGAAAAAGAAACAATCTTGCTTTGGAAGAGAAAGGCAACAAAAGCATTCATTTTAAAAATAATAATAAATAAAAAGATACAAATGAGCCGACCAAGTGGTCTCTGGATTTCTCTAGATGACTGCTCATGCTTCTTCCACCTTTTCTCTGAGCGAGGTTAGAGGTGAACTATGCACTAAGATGGGATCCTCCTGCCCGCAAATTACATGAAAAGTTTTGATTGTGTGCATCTGCACATTCTCTCAAGAGTAAGCCATGGCTCTCCTTCATCCAATTAGTAAAGCACTGCCTGACTTTACAAAGGTCAGAAGCACAAATTTAGATTTTCAGAGGAGTCCATCAGGATATATTTACATGCCAACAAATCAATTCAACCAACAGATTGAGAATTCAAATAAGCCTCCACAAGGACAAACCTCTGGTTTTTCAGCAAATTTCTCTTTTTATTCTTGTGTATGCTTCTGTTTCAAATGATCATAGCAAACACTGAAAAGATGACCAAATCCAGGGTTGTATCCTTCTTTGGGGTACTCGGAAAAGAAAACAAGAAGAAGAAGAGAATGTAGTCTATGTAGTCTACTCAGAAATACTAAAACAAAAACCTATAGGAGCTTACATTCTAGCAGTGAAAGCCAAGCAATAAATAAGTAAATGAAGCACATAAAGAATAAAACAAAACGTGAAAGTGACATACAATTCGTACAATAAGAGGTGATATAGAAAAAACTGGATCAGAGTCCAAGAATACTCAGGAAAGGTTAATACAAGTAGTGAGCTTTCAAACAGTAACAAGAGGTTTCATTAATTAAATATTCAGGAGCCCATAGGAACAAAGTACCAGTAGGTGCTGTGGGAAATACAAGCTGGTTCCTGTCCTCAAGGGGCTTTCTATCTCTCTTCTTCAGCTAAAATAAACTTAAGTTCTCAAGCTTAGAGCTGGAAGGACCACCTAGAGGTACTGAGTTCAAGCCTCCTTACATCGCAGAGGAGGAAACCAAAGCTAAGGAGGTTAGCCCAAGTGCCTCTAGGTGACAGCAATGCTAGGAACCACAGATTCGCTTTGTAATGCAAAGCACACAGGCTTGGGAGGCTGTAAGACCCGGGTACAAATTCACATTCTGTAAAGTCTTCGCAAAGGCCTTCTGCAAAGGCCTCTCATCTCTAAAATGGAGATGGCCATAACACTGATTTCTCGAGTACGTACCTTTCCATTTCTTCCATTTTTCTACTATATTGTAAATGCTGAGTGATGGAACTAAAAGACTAAAATAGTACCCAGTTAACCCAGAAATGCATAGTTTGCACGACAGGTATTGAGGACATGAAAGACTTGGAGCAGAGAGTGGGGTGGTGGAAGGGAAGGTACAGTTGATAGTATTAGCACAGAATTTTCAACACTAATAAACAAATAGCTCACAATAAGAAGTGATCAAGTTAGGACAGAAGTTCTTAGGGGGAAACACAGAATTCATAGAAGGATTTTTTTTTTTTTTTTTTTGAGACGGTCTCACTCTCAGCCCAGGCTGGAGTGCAGAGGCACAATCTCAGCTAGCTGCAACCTCTGCCCTCCTGGGTTCAAGCGATTCCTGCCCCTCAGCCTCCGGATTAGCTGGGATTACAGGCATACACCACCAAGCCTGGTTAACTTTTGTATTTTTAGTAAAGAGGGGTTTCACCATGTTGACCAGGCTGGTGTCAAACTCCTGAGCTCAAGCGATCCACCCACCCCAGCCTCCCAAAGCTGGAATTACAGGCGTGAGCCACCATGGCTGGCAAAGATTAAAAGTCAGTCACAGTCATTCTAATGTCCCAGAGCAACTGCACTTTATGTAAGAGGTGCCAACGAGACAATTACAAGACTACAATTATAATAAGGCACTTTTTCTTTCTTTTTCTCTCTTTTTTTTTTTTGAGACGGAGTTTTGCTCTTGTTGCCCAGGCTGGAGTACAATGGCACGATCTCGGCTCACTGCAACCTCCACCTCCCCAGCTGAAGCGGTTCTCCTGCCTCAGCCTCCCCAGTACCTGGATTACAGGCATGCACCACCACGCCCGGCTAACTTTTGTATTTTTAGTAGAGATGGGGTTTCACTATGTTGGTCACGCTGGTCTCGAACTCCTGACCTCAGGTGATCCACCCACCTCAGACTCCCAAAGTGCTGGGATTACAGGTGTGAGCCACTGTGCCCAGCCTTTTCCTTTATTTTTCTATCCCATTTCTCTTTCAAGCCTCTTTCTCTAGTCTCACTCCTCCTCTCATCTTCCTAACATAATAAATAAGAAAGCCAAGGGCACACTCCCACTTATCTTTTAAGGGAAGAAACACAGCCAGCATGACGACAAAAAAAAAAAAAGCCATAGCCTTTGCAATCAGACAGATCTTGATTCAAATCCCAGCTCCAACCCTCAGTCAGGTTCATAACTTGGGTTAATAACTTCAGGATCATAACTGTACCCACTTCCTAGGCTTGCATTAAGAATTAAATAAATGAACGCTTAGAAAAATGGCAAGCGCACAGTGTAAGCTCGCCAAGTCACATATCTCAAATGCCATCTTCCCTGTGAGATCGAACACCCAAAGCAGAATTAACACAGCTTTTTCTAAGCTCTCAATAAGGACAGGCCATAAATATCTTGTCCCCATTTTCCCTCGTCTCCCAATACCTAGAGGCTGGAAACTTTAAGGGCTAGGCCTTCCTCCCAGGTCCCCAGTGCAACCTAGTGCCTGGCCCACAGGAAGCTTTCAGTATGTGGTAACTGAACCAAATCTCAATCAGAGTCACGCTCAATTCCCCCAGAAGGAGTCATCTGTCTATAAAGAAAACCTCAAAGGATCTGCAAAGGGCAGAAACCCAAAACAGCTCTAATTTGGACAATCATCTCTTATGTACAGACAATCCCCGATTGGTTTGACTTGCGATTTTTCAATTTTACAATGGTGTGAAGCCATCATAATTTTGACATATTTTGAATTTTGATCTCTTCCCAGGCTAGTAATATGCAGTACATGAGATATTCAATACTTTATCATACAATAGGCTTTGTGCTAGATGACTTTGTGCAACTGGAGGCTAACTTAAGGGTTCTGAGTATGTTTAAGGTAGACAAGGCTATGATGTTGGGTAGGTTAAGCTGTATCTAATATGTTTTCAACTTATAATATTTTCAACTGACAATGGGTTTCTGAGGATGTAACTCCGCTGTAAGGTGAGGAACATCTGTAAGAGATCATTATATCCATGCATGTCTCTAAATCCTTTCTGATCCAATTCGTATGCCTGGCGTATCATCGTCTTGGAAAATGACGACTTCCCAAAGTGTATCTCATACAGAATAAAACAGCACTTTTTAATCACCTTAAGTTTACCTCTTTGAACAATTGAGACAAGTCTCTAGTTTATTAACTCACCCTTATTTGTTTCTCTGTCCAAGGCAATGGCTGGTCAGGAGCATGCAGAACTAAAGGTTTTGTAGCAACACTTACAAAGTTTAAGGTGGCACTGCTAAAGATCATTTATTTTAGACATTCCTATCTTAATAAGTGCCCTTTACAACTTCTTGAATTCCCACTCTACAAACCTGCAAGCCTATGAAATCTCTACCACACACAAGCTTTGCCCTGCCTTCCAAAGACTGGATAGCAGAAGGACAAATTACCCACAAGTTAATGTGTTTTGTTTTTTTTTTTTTTTGAGACAGAGTTTTGCTCTTGTTGCCCAGGCTGGAGTGCGATGGCGGGATCTCGGCTCACCGCAACCTCCGTCTTCCAGGTTCAAGCGATTCTCCTGCCTCAGCCTCCCAAGTAGCTGGGATTACAGGCATGCGCTACCATGCCCGGCTAATTTTGTATTTTTAGTAGAGATGGGGTTTCTCCATGTTGGTCAGGCTGGTCTCGAACTCCTGACCTCAGTTGATCTGCCTGCCTCAGCCTCCCAACGTGCTGGGATTACAGGCATGAGCCACCATGCCCGGCCGAATGCTTTCTAAATATATAGAATCAAGAAACCATCAGAATCTGATATAAAAGTGAATATTCACAAGAGAAATCAAACATTCTTTGGAGTCATCTGTCTGAACTTTTTCAAAAGTAGGGCAAGAAATCCCTCCTAAAAAATTCAGAGAATAACTCTTAATGAATTGATGTTCTTAAGAAATTGTCCTGACAGCTATTAATACTTCATTAATGGTTTTAAATTCTCTGCCTCCCTCTCTCAAGAACAAACCCCTTTATGAGTTAACTCTAATGAGCTGATACTGGTATGAGGGAAAGTACAAGGCTTTGCCTGTGCCACCATTTACTAGTGCAGCCTCATCCAGCAGAAAGTTACCTAGCCACTGACTAAGTCATCTCATACGATTGTTACACAGATTAAACAGTAACATAAATATGGCAAAGCACCTCTTACCACAGTTCCTAAACTGTGTGGCCTATCTTCTGGAATTAAAGCATTTATCCTCTAGAAATGTTTGTTCCTTCTTTACCTTTCTTTACCCTTATATTGCAAAATGTATGTCAGCCACTGCTTTTAACTCCAGACCCGACCCAACGGGGTGTTGGGGGGCACATTTCACCACTCACACATATGACCACTCCCAGATCCTTAGGTTCCATTTTCAATTCCCCTCCATTCTCTGAGCACCCTTCAGCCTTTCAAGACAACTCAAGGAACTTAGAGCTCTAAACCACATCACAAGGAAGTAATTTAAATCTAGGTAAATGGTCTAGGGGTACATCCCATTGTCTTAAAGTACAAGCTAAAAGATGAAAAACACTGCAGTCTCAATCTACCCCTAAAACATTTATTGCCCTAGTCTCCACTTCCCAGATGGGCAAAGGCTGAAGGAGCCTACTGAAATGCCAACAATGTAGTAATTGAAACACATTATAGGTATCGGCCAATGTGCCCTACACAACACGAGGTGGGCATGCACACACACACCCCCCAAAAGCGTGAAGACATCACTTGACACAGGTGAAAATACTAACATGCTAACCAAAGGTCAATATTAGCCCTTCTGAAAGGATGAAGGAAAACTCCAAGAAAGCATTTCTGTAGCTTTACAGTTCTATGCAATAAAAAAATGTTATTAAAAGAAAGTATTCCAAGGTTTTCTCACGGGACTATGCCATTTTCTCAACTGCTTCCCAACCCCCAAACCCCCATGCAAGGGGGGTTTGTCTTTGTCTACAAAGACAGTGTTTGTAGACATCAACAGCTTCTGTTAAAAGGATGCATTTAACAGTTTGAAAAATATTCTAGAGATAGTATTTTACCACATTCAGTTATTTTGTTTGTTTTTTAAATAATCCTCAAGTGACTGTCAAGTTTAGTAACTTTGTTTCCATACCAAAGCTCTTTAAACAACTCTTCCTTGTGTAAAGCCAGCTGCCCACATCTGTCAGGTAAGAACTTCAAAGAACGCACATACCCACTGAGCAAGGCCAAAGCAATCCTGGATATGCTATGCTGATAACAGCCTGAAAGGGGCCTAAAATGATAGAAAAAAACAAGGATGCCAATCTGGAAACCATAATGCAACTTTGTTTTTAACACAATCCTCGGTGCAAAATAACGCAAAAGGCTTTTGTTTTATTTTATTAAAGACATTCTATGGCAACCTTGTCTTGACTAATGGAACTCAGCACTCTTTGTATTCATCTTTCTTGTCATCTAGTTGAAAGCTGTGCTCATTCGTCCCAAATCATGATCATCCTTTAGACAGCAAATTTTTCAAAAAAGTGGGGATATATAAGACACTCTTGGCCTGGCGCAGAGGCTCATGTCTGTAATCCCAGCACTTTGGGAGGCCGAGGTGGGCGGATCACGAGGTCAAGAGATCGAGACCATCTGGCCAACATGGTGAAACCCCGTCTCTATTAAAAATACAAAAATTAGCTAGGCATGGTGGCATGTGCCTGTAGTCCCAGCTACTCGGGAGGCTGAGGCAGGAGAATCGTTTGAACCCAGGAGGCGGAGGTTGCAGTGAGCCGAGATAGTGCCATTGCACTCCAGCCTGGCAACAGAGCAAGACTCCATCTCAAAAAAAAAAAAAAAAAAGACACTTTTGGAGATAATTCTTTATGTAAAAATTCAAGTTTCGGTTCTAAAAATCATGCCTAGGGGTAGTATTTGAGTGATAACCAATATAATATACTCCCTTGACTCCTCCCCTAATTTTCAACTACTTAGCGATAATAACACAGGGTCAAAGTTCTCAGTATTCTGCCTTCAGCATTTGAAGGAAACATGCATACAATTTTAATAAATACAAGATAGTGTTAACGTTTAAGAGTTCAGCTCTTTAATAAGCATCAATTCAGACTAATTATTTTAGTAAATCCACACTTGGATGAAAAGCTCCCAGGTAATTATGAAGATAACAGTGATCTATGTCACAACCACTCACGTTAAGGAAACATCATTGCTTTACAAACATAAGCACATGGTCAAGAACTATACATTTTTTCCCCTAAGGAGTTAACTGTGAAGAAAAAGGAGTGAATAGGTGGATAAAAGAAAGTTAACTTCCAGTCCACATTTTTCTCCCAGGAACAAGATTTCAGAAGTAAATGGTACTATCTATGAAGATTTACGTTTGACTCAAGTTTAGTAAGTTTAATGCCGCTTTTGATAAGCAAGCTACTTAATAATTAAATAAATGAAGATAATCTATTCAGGGTGGATCTAAACCACTACCACGAAGAATCTTCAGCACATGGCTGACGCTCTGTTGTGCTGTAAAGCACAGTCTGCTCCACGTGATCATGAAGTGTTAAGAAAATCAGTGCCATGCTAAAGCTAAAGAATTAATGCTGTACTTGGCATCTGAAAGATAATTACTGCACTGAATGAACTATATCCACAGGGCTTTAGATTTTTTAACTTCCTAAACAATCTTAAATTACACATCAACTTGAAGGGCTGAACTAAAGAGTCTAAGCCAACTTTTCCCATACAAAAAACAAAACAAAACAAACAACGTCCTTAAACTATCATTTAGAGTGTCCAAGTTTCTATTTTCTCCCAAAAGTGGTACTCAACTACACTGATTCATTGGTGCCCTCCCATCTGAGATCCCTACTAATGGCAGGACTATCTAAGACTTCTTGAAGGTCATTGGTTCAGTCAAGCAATAAAGCAAAAGTAAATGCATCCACAGTTATGTTTAAACCTTAACCGGCTGGGTGCAGTGGCGCACACCTATCATCCCAGCACTTTGGGAGGCCGAGGTGGGTGGATCACCTGAGGTCGGGAGTTCGAGACCAGCCTGACCAACAGGGAGAAACCCTGTCTCTATTGAAAGTACAAAATTAGCCGGGCATGGTGGCGCATGCCTGTAATCCCAGCTACTCGGGAGGCTGAGGCAGGAGAAGTGCTTGAACCCGGGAGGCGGAGGTTGCGGTGAGCCAAGATCGCGCCATTGCACTCCAGCCTGAGCAACAAGAGCCAAACTCCATCTCAAAAAAAACAAAACAAAACAAAACAAAACAAAACAAACCTTAACCTAGTGAGGATGGATGTTCAACAGACCATTTCCATGTGACAGTATCATTGCTGGGGGAATGGGCTAGGATGTAAGGAATGATCTAGAGTCCTGAACGACCAAAAAATATATGACATACTATTTACCACAGATGGACTCTCATGGAAGGGGAGGGAGAAGGGAATGAAAGAAGAGTGCTATATAATGCCTTGAAAGTGACTCATTCGGAAAGCTCTCTTTGAGCTGGACAACAAGTGGGATCTCAGAGTGAGGAGATGGCAAGGAAACGATTAGGACTTGGAAGAACTGAGATCAACAGAAAGAGTGACAATTTTAAAAAACTCCTATGACTTAGTGAAAAAGACAAAAAGAAATATAAAAGAAAACACACACTTAGGCTGCATGCAGTGGCTCATGCCTGTAATCCCAGCACTTTGGAAGGCTGAGGCGGGAGGACTGCTTGAGGCCAGGAATTCAAGACCAGCCTGGGCAACATGGCAAGACTCTATCTTTACAAAAAAATTTAAAAATTAGCCAGGAATGGTGGCATCTGTAGTCCTAGCTACCAGGGAACCTAAAGCAGGAGGATCTCTTGAGCCCAGGAGTTTGAGGCTACAGTGAGCTATGATGGCACCACTGCCCTCCAGCCTGGGTGACAGAGCAAGACCCTGCCAAAAAACAAAAACATTTACTCTCTCAGAAAGATACCCCTAGTCTGAAAGAGCTTAATGTTCACTTACTAAAAATATCTCATGAAAGTCAACCTTAAGTCTAGGCAAATCCTCCTGTGTCATGCTTCTTTCAGGAAGCCACCAGGCTTTCTCCTTTTGATATTTATGATGCAGCATAGTACTTCCTATAAAACTGCATAAAGTCATATAAATTTGCATTCTTTTTCTTCTGTAACATCCTTAAATTTAACATACCACACAAAATTCCCAAGATTAAAGAGTCTGACAATATACAATCCCATACGATCAACTTAGGCTGCATTTAAAAGATAATTTTTCCTTTGAATGGGCATTTTAGTTATTACCTTCTCAAGTAAAGTTAGCTCAGAGGTTCATCTAGGTGAACGACCAGAAATCAGAGTCGTCACCCTGAGTAACCTGGAAGAAACCAGTTAAATGTGCCATTTCTCATCCTGAAATGAATTATCTCTAAGTCAGGGTATTCAGTCTCTATTAATTGTACTGTCTTAGCATTCAGTTTAAAACAAACAAACAACACACCTCATGACGTCATTTAAGAACACACACAGATGTCTCTTCTAAAGTTATGAGCCAGAGGCCTTCAACAATTTGGTACCACTTCTCTTGGACCACTTCCCTAGCAAAAATATCCAGTGACTTTGGCATAATTACTTTGGCCAATCCAGGGCCAGAATGATCGCTATTCTCTGCCACACCTTTCAGGTACAGAAGTGATGAAACCACTTAAGTAGTTAAGTGGTTGTCTAATCTCTGTATAGTACTATGCACTTACAAAGCCACTAACAGCCATGTCATTCCTTCTAAACACGTTCTACAAGAGGCAACGTGGACACGAGCATCATCCCCATTGACCGAATAACCACCCCAGGCTTTGAGGAGTGAAGTGGCCTAAGGTCACACATCTTTCAGTAAAACAATTGAACAAAATCTTAAATTTTCTCAAATGAGTGCCTCTTTCCATAACATATTAGACAACAGAGTTTGTACTGGGATTTGGGGGTTTTCAGAAAGTTAATGCAAGGAAGGACTGCTCAAGGAGAAGCAACACAATTTTAACTTGGACACTGGCTGCATCTATGCATAAAGGGACTGAGATCTGACTCTTGTCTACTCACCAGCCTTGTCTCCCATCTTGCCAGGCAACCACAACAAATGTTCTTTGTTGCTGTCATTCAGAACCACTAGTGGTGGCCGGGCTCACGCCTGTAATCCCAGCACTTTGAGAGGCCAAGGAGGGCGGATCACTTGAGGTCCGGAGTTTGAGACCAGCCTGGCCAACATAGTGAAACACCGTCTCTACTAAAAATACAAAATTTAGCCAGGCGTAGTGGCACATGCCTGTATGTAATCCCAGCTACTCAAGAGGCTGAGGCAGGAGAATCACTTGAACCTGGGAGGCAGAGGCTGCAGTGAGATGGCGCCTCTGCACTCCAGCCTGGGTGACAGAGTGAGAACTCTATCTCAAAAAAAAAAAAACTACTAGTGGCATCCCAAAGGAGCCCAGTCATCTCAGTGTTTGTGCCTCTGTGCATGCAATTTCCTCTGTCTGAAATGTTCCCCACCCTTTCCTTCTTTGAGCCTTCTTCTACTCGACCTTTATAACTGAGCTCAAATGACACCTCTTTCAGGAGTTGACCTCCTCAATGCTCCTGGAGCACTCTGGACTACCCTACATCATTGTCCTGTCCTGGCTGTTATTCTCATCTGCCCCCTTCCCTAAAGTACTGGGAGGAGGTTGAGGGAAAATAGGAGAGTACAGCTGATATAACTTGGCTTCTCTGGGTATCTGACACACAGATCAGGTACTCAGTAAATGTTTGTGGACTAACCGAATGAACCCACCAATTATCAGGAGAAGCCAAGCCAGGCCTCCCAGATAGAGAAAGAACTTCAGACAACTCAAGTGGAAACTAAGGCTCACTATTTTCACTTTAGCTACCTGGACTTCTTTCCCAATCTGGCATCCCCAGAAGGCCATGAGAACATCATGAAAGCTCAAGTACTATCCTGGAATTACAATCCACGGTAGGTTTGGTGGGGTTTTTCGGTTTTTTCATTTTAATTGGAAAGCCTTTGGTTCTCTGTAAATTCAGAGTTATTTCACATTGTTAACTTGGAAGGCAAAGTGACAGCCACCGTTCTGGAGTATTTCCCAGCGATCAGACAGCAAAACGGTTAAGAGCGTGAACTCTGAAGTCTGGGTTCAAATGTACCATTTGCCAACTGGGTAACTTTGGGTAAGTTACCCTACACTACTTCCCAATAGGACATATAAACTGGAGAGCCTCTGGCCATTCATTCATTCATAAATACCAACTGAGCATCTACTGTGAGTCCGGTGCTAGCGATATAGTGGAGACCCGGCCTTCCAATCTAAAGTACGCTTCCATGGAGTCAGACTGTTCCATTTCCTACACAGCACTTAGCACTATCTGCAATGATCTTGTGTGTTGGTTTGTCTGTCCTCGTCGGAAGGTAAGCTCTGTGAGAGCAGAGGCCTTATCTGTCTTGTGCATCCATCACCTCCCCAGAGCCTCCCACATCACTGGATACACGCAAAAAGAAAGAATGAGCATGTCAGACAAGAACTTTTACCTCGTGGCCCTGGTGAAGGTAGGAAAAAAAAAAAAAAAACAAAAGTAACAACATAGAAAACATAAAGGCACAAATTACAGAGGTAATAGTATCTGGGAGAAACCAGGGTCATGGCTTCCCATCGCCGCAGGTGTTGCTCCAGACAGCTCTGCGGAGAAAAAGGATCCCAGCACCGTGGCAGCCTCCTTGCACCGCAACCAGGAGACAGCATGAGGGACGCAGTGAAAGGAAAATGGGCCCAATCCCATCAGAAGTCCTGAGGAGGTTCATTTGTTGGTTCAACATGTTCATCTGTTGGTTCAACAGGTATTTATTTACTAGGCGTATAATGTGTGCTGGGTACACAGCAGCGAACTGACAAGAGCCTGTCCTCATGCAGTTTCCCTTCTAGTATTGAAACAGTGATTTTGGGTATGAAAAGTGCCGTGCTGACCACGAAACAGTGACGGAATAGGGAATGACAGCAGGTGTGCACGGTGGCTGGGTGGTCACAGCAGGCCTCTCTGAGCAGCTGACACCTCAACTAAGCCCTGAGGTCAACACTGTCACGGAGCAGGGGAAGAAACTTCTAGGCAAAGGCAGCGGCGGAGGCTCACACTAGAGAGGATCACAAACTGGTAAGTTACAAAGTGACAAGTGCCTCGAAGGCAAGTCCCAGGAGGCTGGGGGTCGGGGAGGAGGCGCAGGCCCCGGCTCCCGCACCAGCCCTCTCGGGTCCCGGCCACTCCGGGCAGTTCTGGGGAGCGCGGCGAGCGCCAAGGCCCGGCCCGGCCTCGCCGCCCCCCGCGACAGCGCCGTCGGGGTGGGGACGAGGGCCGACGTCACCCGCCGCGCCGGGCTCCGTCCTTCCAGCACTGGGGCGGAGGCCGCGGGCAGGAAGGTGGCGGCCTCTGGGGCTTACCTCGGAATTTGAGCTCGTGCTGCGGCTCGAGGCTCAGGACCTGCTCCACCTTCGCCATGTTCCTTAGCGGCGGAGCACCTTTGGCGGGGAGACCCCTGAGAGGTCACCGGGGCGGGAAGCGTTAATGCTGCGCCCGCTTTAAGTTTTACAAAAAGGCGGGGACCGGTCGGGGCACGGGCGGGGGTCCTCTACCGGGTGGGCGCGCTGGGGGGGGGTCGGTCTACGCGGTGCAGGCGCAGGGGCGGAGGGCGAGGGCGAGGCCGCGGTGCCCGGCGAGCTGACGGCACGCACGCACGCACGCACGCACGCAGAGTCGTACACACGCACGCACGCAGCAGGCTGGCCCGCTCTGGCGGCGGGAAGCTGCGCCCTGCGCCGCCGGCTCCAGGGGCGGGGACTAAAGCTGCGCGCGTAGAGCCCCTTCCGGGACAGTGCGCAGGCGCGGCACAAGCCACGGGGGCGGGACTGCGGGGCAGTAAGGGGCGGGGCTTCGGGCCGCTCAGGAGGCGGGGTCTGTAGTCCAGCTACGACAGCCACCGCGGAAACTATTAAGGGCCCGCTGGGGGCCAGCTTCGTGTTAAGTGCTTTATTCAATAATAACAATTAGAATAAACTTCCACTTTTCTCTTGCTTATGTAGTGCCAGGCACTGTTAGAGACTTTGAATAATAGTGAAAGTACTTAGTATAAGTATAATGTTTATGGGTGAGTGATATGGGCTAGGCACTGTGACGTCTTGTAAATAATAATTATAAATATAATAAACTACCAATTATTGCTTATTTATTTTGTATCACTCTACTGAATGCTTCCAATAACAACAGCAACTACAATAAATACAAGCTACTCTACGTTAAATGTTTACTATGCAACTGGCACTGTGCTGAATTCTTTACTAGTAAATTCTATTTGTTTATGCAACAAATATTTAGAAATACAATGATCAGAAAAGCGAACCTGATTCCAATCCTTTTACTATAGCCTAGTGAAGAGACATCTTTTGAATAAATAACCACACACGTAAGTTAAATAATTAAAAATTGCTGGAGAATCCAGATCTGCTTGACCTCAAAAGTGGATACTCTACATCATGATTACCGTTTAAATTGTATTTCATTATATTATGTTTACTATGGAAGTTAAATAGGTGTTCTTAATAGTCTCCTATACATACCCATATAGGTGAGACAAATGTGGCAAATTGCTAGCAATGGCTGACTCTACATCGCAGGTATATGGTTTTCTTGTACTGTTTCTCCCACTTTGCTGTATACTTGAAATTTTTCATGATAAAAAGGTTTTTTAAAAGAATAGTCTTTGTATTTTAACTGGAGCATTTAGTCCATTTACATTTATTATATTTACTGATATATCTGGAATTATTTCTACCATTGTATTTTGTTATTTCTATTTGTCCTGCCTGGTTTTTTTCCCCTTTCCTTTCTTCTTTAGGGTTTATTTTTATTCTCATTCTGATTTTCTTCACCTGTATACTCTATTTCTAAGTTTTAGTGGTTACTTCAAACTTTTGGGCATGCATACTTACCTTGTGAAAGTCCAATATCTTTAAATATTTGTAAAAATGTCTTTACCCTGTTTCCTTAAAATATAAAGACTTTGGAGTACTTTAATCACCCATCCTCTAAATTATACACCTTAATGTAGTGTATGTTAAGTTTAACCTTTGCCACTGTAACCCCAAGAGACATTACTAAATTGTTTTATTCAGTCAACATTAGTTTAGATTCAGCCACACAATTACCATTTTTATCCACCTTTTCTTCTTGCATCTCAGCTTTCACCAACAGGATCACTCTCCTTTTGCCTGAGGTAAATCCTTTAAATTTTATTTTTTTGTAGCTTCGTTGGTGCAAATCCTCTCAGTTTCTGCTCATCTGCAAATGGATTCATTTTTGCCTTTTGTTGTTTTTATTTTATTTATTTATTTATTTGGAGATGAGGTCTTGCTCTGTTGCCCATGCTGGAGTGCAGTGGCATGATCGTGGCTCACTGCAACCTGTATCTCCCAGGCTGAAACAATCCTCCCACCTCAGACTCCGGTGTAGCTGGGACTAAAAGCATGCACCACCACGCCCAGCTAATTTTTTTATTTTCTGTAAAATCTCACTATGTTGCCCAGGCTGGTTTCAAACTCCTGGGCTCAAGTGATCCTCCTGCTTCAGCCGCCAAAGTGCTAGGATTACAGGCATGAGCCACTGCGCCTGGCCTTGCCCTTGTTCTTGACAGATATTTTGGCTTGCTTGCTTGAATGACAGCTGTCCTCTCTCAGCACACTTGATTGCCATCCACTGTTTGCCTGTTCCCCCTCATTGCTCCTCAGGAGTCCAGTGACAATCTTAACATCGTTCCTTCATAGGTTGTTGGTCTTTTCTCCCTCTTCTCATGTTCTACAGTTTTACCATGCTGTATCTTTTTTTTTTTTTTTTTTTGAGACGGAGTCTCGCTCTGTCCCCCAGTCTGGAGTGCAGTGACGCCATCTCAGCTCACTGCAACCTCCGCCTCCCATGTTCAAGCGATTCTCCTGCCTCAGCCTCCTGAGTCGCTGGGATTACAGGCACGCACCACCATGCCCAGCTAATTTTTGTGTTTTCAGTAGAGACAGAGTTTTGCCATGTTGGCCAGATGGTCTCAAACTCCTGACCTCAGGTAATCCACCCACCTCGACCTCCCAAAAAGTTGGGATTACAGGCGTGAGCCACCATGCCCAGCTCATGCTGTTATCTTTTTATTTATCCTGCCTTGAGTTCTTTGGGCTTTCTGAATTTGATGATTGGTGTCTTTCATTATTCTTGAAAACTCTCAGACAATACTTTTTTTTTTTCAATTTAATTTTACTTTTTTATTGTGGTAAGATACACATCACATAAAATTTACTCTCTATCATTTTTAAGTATCCAGTGGTATTAACAAGATTCCTATTGTGGTGCGACCTCACCATCATCCATCTCTAGAGCTCCCTTCATCTTGCAAAACTAGAACTCTGTACCCCTTAAGCAATCATTCCCCATGCTCCCTCTCCTAAGCCCCTGGCAACCATCATTCCACATCCTGCCTCTGTGAATTTGACTAGTCTAGGTACTTTTTGTAAGCAGAATCATACAATACTTGTCGTTTTGTGACTGGCTTATTTTGCCCAGCATAAAGTCCCCAAAGTTCATCCGTGTTGTATCATACGTGACAATATCTCTGTTAAATGTTATCTTGGATGGACACAGTGGTTCATGCCTGTAGTCTCAGCAATTTAGGAGGTCAAGGCGGGCAGACTGCTTGAATCCAGGAGTTCAAGACCAGCTTGGGCAACATGGTAAAACCCCATCTCCACAAAAAATACAAAAAAAAAAAAAAAAAAATTAGCCACGCATGGTGGTGCATGCCTGTAATCCCAGTTACTCAGGAGGCTGAGGTGGGAGGACTTGAGCCCAGGAGGTGGAGGCTGCAGTGAACCATTATACCATTGCACTCCAGCCTGGGGTAACAGAGTGAGATCCTGTCTCAAAAAAAGAAGAAATAAAAATAAATGTTATCTCAACCTCGTTCTCTCACTCTTTACATCTTGTAGTGTGATTAGTAGTTATTCAACTAATATTTTTCAAACTGTAGGTTGTTTTCCAACAGTGGCTTATAAAATCAATGTAGTAGATTGTTACCAGTGTTGAGAAAGAACGAGAATATAATATATTGGAGTGTATTGTATTATTTCATGAATCTTTTGTTTCAGTTGTATTTATTAATATACACATATCTATGGAGTGAGTCACAACTAAAATACATTTATTACTGTGGATTGTGAAAGAAAAAGAGAAAAGTCTTGTGCCCTTCTCCATGTCTATTAACCTCTCTATCACATCTTAATCTGTCCTCTTTATGTTCCACGTTCTGGATAGTTCTTCAGATCTTTCTTCTAGTCACTAATTATCTCTTAGGCTATTGATAAACCTGTTTCAGGAGTTTTTCATTTTGTTTATTTTTTTTTAAGCCTATAAGTTCTATTTTGTTCTTTTACATATCCAAGTAGTTATAGGTTGTGTTTTTTCTTTTTTTTTAATTATTATTTGAGACAAGGTCTCCCTCTGTTGCCCAGGCTGGAGTTTAGTGGTGTAATGTTGGCTCACTGCAGCCTCTACCTCATGGGCTCAAGCCATCCTCCCACCTCAGCCTCCCGAGTAGCTGAAACTACAGGTAGGCACCACCACACCCGGCTAATGTTTGAAAGTTTTGTAGAGATGGGATTTCACCACATTACCCAGGCTGGTCTCGAGCTCCTGAGTTTATGCAATCCGCTCGTCTCAGCCTCCCAAAGTGCTGAGATTAATGGCATGAGCCACTGTGCCTGGCCACATTTATAGGTTTTTTAACACTGGTTCCCAGCTCCTCTGCCCTCCCCCAGGGAATGGTGCCATAACAAAGCTTTAGTGTTGGTCTCTTCTGCCGGGTCACTTTGGTAAGGGGAAGCCCATGTTCCTAAGCCCATACAGAGCCTCCACACCTGCCACCATGGCCACTGCATAAATAAGCTCATTGAGCACGCAATGGCACAGCTGTGGGAAAGACTGACTGTTGTCTGCAGAATGTGCCCTCTTGTCCACTCAATTAATAGAGTTGCTGCTGCAGTAGATGTCTTTGAGTGGGCATTCACATGAGACACCAGTGTCTTTTTTTTTTTAATTTAGAGGCGGAGTCTTGCTCTGTTGCCCAGGCTGGAGTGCAGTGGCACGAACTCGGCTCACTGCAACCTCCACCTCCTGGGTTCAAGCAATTCTCCTGCCTCAGCCTCCCAAGTAGCTGGGATTACAGACGCCCACCACCACGCCCGGCTATTTTTTGTATTTTTAGTAGAGACGGGGTTTTACCATGTTGGCCAGGATGGTCTCGAACTCCTGACCTCATGATTCACCCGCCTTGGCCTCCCAAAGTGCTGGGATTACAGGCATGAGCCACAGCGCTTGGCCGAGACACCAGTGTCTTCACACCCATCCTGAGAGGTATCTAGTACCTCCTCCCAGACCTCCTCACCACACATCCACATCTGCTCTCTCCGTCCCTGATCATCCATTACCCAGGGGCCCGTGCACCTCTGTGCTCTTGGTCATTTCTCAGCCACACAAAGTACACAGCCAAACACACTGCTTGAGATTCTGCTAAATGTGTGAATTCCATTTATGTTGTAATCCTGCAGCCCACCCAATTAAAGTTTGAGTATAATTTTCAGCAAGGTCAAAAATCTACAGCTAGGCCAGGTGCGATAGCTCACGCCTGTAATCCCAGCACTTGGGGAGGCTGAGGCGGGTGTATCACTTGAGGTCAGGGGTTTAGGACCAACCTGGCCAACATAGTGAAACCCCGTCTCTACTAGAAATACAAAAAATTAGCTGGGCGTAGTGGGAGCTGCCTGTAATCCCAGCTACTTGGGAGACTGAGGCAGGAGAACTGCTTGAATCCGGGAGGCGGAGGTTGCAGTAAGCCGAGATCATGCCATTGCACACCAGCCTGGGCAACAAGAGCAAAACTCCATCTCAAAAAAAAAAAAAAATCTACAACTACAAGAAATAAAGGATTATTTTAGGGCTCTGTAGAATCTCTCTGGTTCTCTGTGAGTTAAGCTGAGAGTTTAAAGATTGGAGCGTGTCCTTTACTTTCCATAATAGCTCCAGTGAACTCAGAAATAGCTATCTCACCCCATGGTCCTGAAGTCATCACTACCATGTAAGTGTGGCAGTCCCATGGCTCTCCATGCCCTTACTTCAGTGGGAACATTGTCACAATCAAATGATATTAGTAGTGATGTCAGTATGAGCCATTGATTACTTGTAATCACTGGTGTGTAATAAACTGGCTCTCTTGGGGAGAAATAATATCTGTAGTTTTTGCAGATTCCTTTTATTTCCTTTTCTTTGTTTTTTTGTTTGGTTGGTTGGTTGATTTCTTTTTTTTTTTTTTTTTTGAGACAGGGTCACACTCTGTCACCCAGGACAGAGTGCAGTGGTATGATCATAGCTCATCATAACCTCAAACTTCTGGCCTCAAGTGATCCTCCTGACTCAGCCTCCCAGCATGCTGGGATTACAGCTGTGAGCCACCATGCCCAGCCAGGTTTTGCAGATTTCTATGGTATAAACACTCCCACCATGACTGATTTTAGGCTGCCAATGGGATGTCACTGAACAGAGTTGAAAAGAGGTGTGTGTGACTGGCTCTCACCAGCTGGTATTCAGCACACCTGTGCTTGTATTCCATATTTCACAGGCACTGCAGTCAAGCATGAGGATGTGGCCAATCCAATCCCAGAATCCCTTCTTTGAGAGTCTGTTTCCTGGGACCACTCTTGGTACCAAGTGCTCTGTTAGTCAAGGTCCAGCCAGGAAAGCAGAAATTGCACCAGCTGTTTTAACAAAGATAATTTAGTATAAAGAACTGGTTAAACAGGTAATGGTGAACTGTCAAAGCCAAAAGAAGAAGACACTGAGGTATCACAAGGGTAGTAACGGCAGGAAGAAACTACCATTCCTAGGGTTAAGAGAACATAGGGAAGATGCTGGGGTTATGGGAACCCAGGAGCTCAGTGGGAGGGCTTCATGGAGGTGGCCACGGACTCCTGAGGAGGTATCACTGGCTGGCCAGGGCTGGGGCCTCTGAGGGGATACAATGAGGCTGCTTCTGGGAGTGCCAAAACCACGTGGAGACTGAACAACTACTGCTTTCGGATGAAAGGTCACTGCTGAAGCAACACTGTCAAGAACAGGAACAGGACAAGAAAGACTGGTCCCTTCTCCCCTCTTCCGATTTCAGGTCTTCCTTGAGTGCCTCTCCCAGTGGAGCCTGAGAGAAAACCCGCTGACTGAGGAGAAATGACATGTCCAGAGACTCAGCCCCAGTATGTCAGAGCAGGGTGTAGAGGGTTAATTTGGAGCTGAGAGACAACAGCTTCATAGCTACCAATCCCTTTTTTATTTCTTTAAACATAGTAGACATACTTATTTTTACAGTCTGTTCAGTGCCTGACATGTGTGCAGTTCTACTTTTATTGTTTCTGGGGGCTTTGGCTCAGTGCAGCCTGTTTCCTTGTGTGTTTTATTGTCTTTGACCTTATCTGTGAGAATCCCTGGAGGCCGAGCATTTCAATTACCTCCAAAACTTAGCGGCCCAAATATCAACAACCATTTAATTATTCTCACTCACACTTGTGGGGGTTGACTGGGCTCTGCTGGGTGGTTCACACGCAGAGCCTCTCATGTGGCTTTCGTAAAATAGCAGCTGGGTCTGTGCAGGGAGTTTAGGGCCAACTACAAAGTTAAAGGACATAGTTCCTAAATCACCCTCCCTCTGACACCAAACTACAAGTTTGTTGGTGTCTCCAAACCACTCTCCAGTTTGATAATTCATTGGAAGAACCCTCAGAACTCACTGAAAGCAAGTGTACTCATGGTTATGGTTTATTTATAGGGAATGTATACAGATCAAATCAGCCAAGGGAAGATGAGCATAGGGCAGAGGGCTCCAAATGTGGAGCTTCTGTCGCCCTCCCCCATGGAGTCAGGGTATGATATGGTTTGGCTCTGTGTCCCCACCCAAATCTCACCATGAATTGTGATAATCCCCAAGTGTCGTAGGAGGGACCCGGTGAGAGGTAACTGAATCACGGGGGCAGGTTTTTCCCTTCCTGTTCTCGTGATAGTGAGTAAGTCTCACGAGATCTTATGGTTTTACAAAGGGAAGTTTGCCTGCACAAATTCTCTTGCCTGCTGCCATGTAAGACATCCCTTTGTTCTTCCTTCATCTTCTGCCATGACTGTGAGACCTCCCCAGCCATGTAGAACTGTGTGTCCACTAAACCTCTTTCCTTTACAATTACCCTGTCTCGGGTATGTCTTTATTAGCAGTGTGAGAACAAACTAATACAGGATGTGTGACTCTTAGTGTGTAACAAAGTGCATGGAGTATTACCATAGAAGCTTGCCTGAACTTCAGTGTCCATAGTTTTTACTGAAGCTCTATTATGCAGGTATGATTGATTGATTGCCCACATGACTGATTTCAGTCTCCAGGTCAACTGATATCACATGATCCCAAGTCCCCACCCTGAGCCGCACTGTTGGTCTTTGGTAGCCAACCCCTTGCTATCTGGCCAGCCTCCACCCCCGATCACCTTGTTATGACTATCCAGTATGACACAAGCTACCAGGTGAACACTCCTATCAGTTAAAACATTCTGAGGACCCAGAGATTACTTCCCAAACACCATGACAAAGGCCAGATCTGTCTGGGTAAGGCCAAATTCTTCATTATCCAGTCTGGAATCATTGGAAGGCTTGCATGCTCACAGGTCTGGCCCCTGGCTGGAAGAGTTCAGCCAATGGGAACACCTGGGACTCTGTGGTCATTTCTCTATGACTTATATGTTTTGTCCCTGAGCTGTCTCTCCAGATCAAGGCTTCAGGTAACGGGACTTTTTACATAGCAGCTCAGGGCTTGCAAGCTAGTGTCAGAGAGAGAAAGAGAAAGAGAGAGAGTCCCAGATGGAGGCGTATCACCTTTTCTAACCTAGCCTCAGAAGTCATGTGGGATCACTTGCTCACTGCATTTTATCCTTTGAGGCAGTCAAGAGACCTGTACAGTTTGAAAGGGTGGGGATGGAAACTCTACCTCCTGGTGGGACATGGCAAGTTTCTAGGAGAGCACATCGTGTAGGAAATATTGTTCCAGCCGTCTGCAGAATATACAATCAGCCACACCTGGGCTGAAGGTGGCTCCTCCAGAAAGAATTTGCCTTTGCCTTGTCTTATTCCAGGTAGAAGTGGAGGGTGGGCACTGACCAGGGTAGCTTTCAGGTCTCAGTTTAAGATTTTCAGACCACCCAGGTAGTGTGAATTTGGGCTGCAAACCTTTGGGAAGCCTACCCTGTGCTCCTGATTCTTAGAATAATTGGCCATTTCCCCTCATTGAGTGCCTCCACCTGACACTTTTCCTCTGGGGCTGGGGGCAGTGTTTTGGGCTCATTGTACACTGAAGGATCCTGCTAGACTTCCCAACTTGGGTGGGCCCTGAGCTTTGTCTTTTGTCCTATAAAACCTAAAGTACTGAGAAAATTAAATCACTTGTTCACAGGCTTCCACAGTTCCCCAGGACAAAAAACAAAAAACAAACCAAAAAAAAAACCCGGCTTCGGGACTCAGCTTATCCCTAAGGGCTTAATCTTCCCTTCACTGTTTGGCTTCAGAACACTCCTTGTGCTGGCTCATCAATGCATTTGCAATATTTTATCCAGCATGTGAGTTGTTTTGATGGGAAGGGTCACTCAGCATGTCTAATCCTCCATATTGCCAGAAACAGAAGTCGCCGGAGTAAAGTTTTCATGTTAAAAACACTTTGTTGCACCCATGACCCAGATGTTAGTTTCTCATACCATTTCCCCAGAAATGGAAACCAGGACTTTTTGGAAATATGGATGATTCTTGGCCTGGGGTAGGGAATATTTGAGGTGAACTTGGAACCTCTTGTATAGGTAGAAAGTAAGGAAGTGCTCAAAAGATAAAATAATGATAACATGTCAAAGGGACACCAACTGGAAGAGCTCCCAATGGCTGAAGCTGTGACAATTTGAATAATAAAATAAATAAGATAGTATTGGATTATAACCCAAAGTAGAAAATAGGCCGAGTACAGTGGCTCACACCTGTAATCTCAACACTTTGAGAGGTCAAGGCGGGAGGATCGCTTGAGCCCAGAAGTTCAAAACCAGCCTGGGCAACATAACAAGACTTTGTCTCTACAAAAATAAATAAATAAACAAATCAAAGTAGAAAATAAATATCCTTGAGTCTATAATGACAAATAAATGATTGAATAATAAATACAGTAGAAGTGACACATCTCCCATACAGAAAAATTGTAAATAATTGATGTTAGAGATACTCCTCCCTCCAGGACGTGGAACATAACTTCCACCCCTTAACCGTGGGCTGTACTTAGCGGCTTTCTTCCAAAGACTACAGGATGGAAAGTCGGGGGAAAAGCAACTTTAACAGTGGGACTCTGGGAAGCCATTGGTAAGCCAGGTGATCAAGGTCAACATCGTTACTGATAAGTCCTGCTGATAGGAGGTACTCTTGATATGATGTGATATGAATGCATTTCACCTTTGCGGTCTTCACCCCCAAAGCCCACCCCAGTCAAGTCATAAGAAAAACATCAGAAAATCTTAAACTGAAGGACATTCTATAAAACACTGGCTAGTACTTCTCAAGGGCAAGGTCATAAAAAACAAGGGAAGTGTCAGAAGGTGTCACAGCTCAGAGGAGCCCAAGGAGGCATGACAAGTAAAGGTAAAGTGGTATCCAGAAGCAAAGAAAGGACATTAGAGGAAAAGCAAGAAAATCTGCATAAAATATGGAGTTAACAATAATGTATTCATCATATTAACAACGGTTCATTAGTCTTGACAAATGTACCACAGTAATGTATGTTAAGAATGGGGAAATTGGGTGTCGTGTATATGGAAAGTCTCTTTATTATCCTTGCAACTTTTCTGTAACTCCAAACATACTCTAAATAAACAACAAAAAAAATACTATTCTAAAATTAAACTTGTTTAACATTTTTAAAATTGAATTTCCAACCTCCTTCTGTAGGGGGCAAACTCTCAGGCACTCAGACCCTCTGATCAACCAGAACACACAATGCTGAACCGTGTTAAGGAAATGAGTGACTTTGTTGTCATCCTCTTCATCCCTTTTCCTCCTTTGGAAACACAGCCACCTCTGGCTGTCCAAGTCCCCCCATCCTTCATGGCCTCAGTCACTTACCCATCACTCACTTTTTTTCTTTAATGCATTCATTCATCCAGGTTTTTAATAAAATTGGCAATCAGATTTTAATGGAATTTATTTATTTACTTATAGTATTTATGTATTTAATTTGTTATTTATTTTTTGCATTTCCTCAGCATCTACTGTGTGAGCCTCCAGCACTGGACGCATTTAGCCTCACTGTCTGGCGGGGGGATGTTAAAGAAAAACAAAATCATCACAATCCGTGATAAACACGAAAATGGATGAGAAGAAAGCTATGAAGAGACAATTAACTTTACTCTAGAGACTGAGAGAAAACTTAGAACCTCAGAGGATGTTACAGAACAGTTTTGGAAAAAAAAAATCGTAAGAAAGATCTTGCCAGACAGAAAAAAAAGGAAGGGTTCTCCCAGCTGAGGAACAACAGCTGCAAAGGTTGGGGCTGCGGGGGCTTGCGCGGGGAAAGGCAAGGGGAATAACAATCACTCACATGGACTGAGCTGCTGTTCTCCTGTTCTGGGTCCAGCACCTTATTGGCATGTGTTTTAGTTTCCTATGGTTGCTGTAAAAAATGACCACAAACGAAGTGGGTGAAAACAACACATATTTATGATCTTACAGTTCTGGAGGTCGGATATCCGAAACTGGGTCCCATAAGGCTAAGATTAAGGTGATGGTAGGGCTGTGTTCTGTCTGGAGGCTCTAGGAAAAACCCATTCCTTGCCTTTTCCAGCTTCCAGAGGTCACACACAGTCCTTGGCTCATGGCCACTTCCCCCATCTTCAAATCCAGCAGTGTAGCATCTTTAGTGGTTTTTTTTTTTCTTTCTTTCTTTCTTTGAGACAGAATCTTGCTCTCTCATCCAGGCTGGAATGCAGTGGTACCATCATAGCTCACTGCAGTGTTGATTGCTCCCAGGCTCAAGCAGTCCTCCCACATCAGCCTCCCAAGAGACTATGGTGTGTGTCACCACACCTGGCTTTTATTTTTATTTTTTATTTTTATTTTTTGCAGAGAATGCACTAATAATAACAACAACTGCAGCTACCATTGGTCAAGTGCTCCATGCCAGGCACTGTTCTAAGAGCTGCGTGTGTATTCCTCATACATTCTCACAACAGAGAGGTAGTAATATTATGATGTTCTTTGGTGTACAAATGAGGACACTGAGGCACCAAGAGGTTTAGTAACTTGCCCCAGAGCAGTGAGAAGCTGGAGATGGAGGACCTGCATGAAATAGACCATGGGGCAGATGAGGGAACGTTGCTCAGAAGTGGGGGCCATGGTGAGAGAGTCGGGGGCATGGGCTTATTTGTGAATTTTTTTTACTATCTGTCTCCCAACTAGAGAGCCAGCTCCATGACTGATCCATCTCTGCTGAACACTCTACCCTCTAGCACCTGGCAAGGGTTTGGAGCATAACAAAGTCTCAACAAATGGAAGAGTGTGTGAACAAATGAAGAAATGAATGAATGAATGAATGAATGAATGAAGATTCAGGGTCACCAAGGGTTGAAGTTTCAGGACAAGCTGGCACACAGGATTTGTTAAAAAAAAAAAACCCACTCAGAGACCAGGTGGCTCATGCCTGTAATCCCAACATTTTGGGAGGCTGAGGTGGGAGGACTGCTTGAGTCCAGGAGTTCAAGACCAGCCTGGGGAACATAGAGAGATCCCATCTCTACCAAAAAAATACGAAAATTAGCTGGGTATGGTGGTGCGCACCTTTGGTCCCAGCTACTCAGGAGGCTGAGGTGGGAGGATTGCTTGAGCCCGGGAGGCTGAGGCTGCAGTGAGCTGTGATCGTGCCACTCCACTCCAGCCTGGGCAACAGAGTGAGACCCTGTCTCAAAAACAAAAACAAAAACAAACAAACAAACAAACAAAAATCCCCACTCAGACCCAGTAGCTCAGAACCTGGATGGGGGATGGGGTAGTCATAGAACCAGGCACCCCCATAGCTTTACAAAAAGGGGTGCAATCATATTGCTAACCCTTGCCCACGTTGAGGGAGGCTCCTCCAGACTTGGGCAGGAGGACTCCGGCAGGGCTGGCTCCTCAGCTGAAGGTCTCAGTAAACTAGGTGGCTGTCAGTCAGGATGGATGGAAGAAGGTTCATGCTTTCTCCCCTTGCCCGCAAGAAGCAAGCTCTCTCCCAAGGCCCCGAACACCTTGATTCTTCATTCCTGACTGTGAGCAACCAGGGGATGGATTCTTGGTCCCAATCTCTGTGCCTGGCATATAAAAGGTGCTCAATACATGTTTGATGAATGAATGAAATAATGTAATTAAGAATTTGAGGGGGCACGGTGGGGGAAGTTTTTTTGCTCCTTAGGACTTGTCCCCAATCACCCAGAAGACCACATTTGCATACAAATAATTGATATTCTAATTACGAATCATTCGTATTGATTTAGTAAGCAGATCCCCAAAGCATCTCTAGAAGATAATTAGATTCCACGCTTCTCAGGGGTAAGAACGGCATATTTACCTCATTGTTCCCCCATGGCAGTGTGAGGCAGAAGAACCGTGTGATAAATGTTTGATGAGGCAGTGAGTGAGCATGGTATTCACTGTGGGGAGATTTTACAGGGTCCCCACAGATCATTTCCAGTGTGTTGAGGCAGTTGGGAGGGGACAGGGGATGCGTTTTGTTAGTGTGTATGTCAAATTTGCAAATCTCTCTTTTGTCCAAGCCCTGGTGATTTTCCACCTCACGGCCTTCATTCATTGAGCAGACATTTGTGGAGGGGCACAGGGGCAGAACACCGAGGACCCAGAGACAAAAGACACGCAGACCCCCATCTCCCCCTGTCTAGCTAGGAGATAAAGCAGAGTAAGACAGAACCTTGAGTGACCCTACCAAGGAGTGGCTGGGGACGAGGGTCTTAGACCTCTCCCTGTTGTTTCTGTCTGCCTATCCCCAGGCCACCCCAAAGAAATGACAATAATACATAAACATTAACAAAGGATTATGCAACCAGTGAGTGAGAGCATCATTGGAAAACTTTGTTATTTTCATTGATCTGATTAGAAACTGTGCTTACTCTGCAAATGCAGCTTCGAATCCCCTCTTCCACTGTCCTTCTGACTAGTCAGCCACCGCAGGGTGTCTGAGAAGAGAAACTGCGCAGCAGCCTCTGGTTGCCAGCATCAGAAAGGAAATACGAATCCCTGAATGCCAGAGCTAGGGAGGGGTAGGGGGAGGGAGAGGCAGAGATGGAGAAGGAAATGGGAGAGAGAGAAAGAGAGAGAGACAGAGAGGGAGGGAAAGAGAGAGAGGGATGGGGGAGGGGGAGGAGGAGGGAGAGACAGAGATGGAGAAGGAGATGGCAGAGAGAGAAGGAAAGAGAGACACAGAGGGAGGGAGAGAAAGAGAGGAAAGAGGAGAAAAAGGAGGAGAGAAAGAGAGGGAGGGGGAGAGAGGGAGGGAGAGCTGGGGAGAGGGAGATATATATATATATATATATTTGGGGAGGGAGGAGAGCGGACGAAAGAGGGAGGAAGAGAGAGAGAGAAGAGGAAGAGAGAGAGAGAGAGGGAGGAAAAGGGAGGGGTAAGGGGGGAGAGAGAGAGATGGAGGAAGGGAGGGAGATGGAGCAGAGAGGGGGGAAGAGAGAGGGAGGAGAGAGAGGGAAAGAGAGACGGAGGGAGAGAGAGATGGGGGAGAGACAGAGATAGAGGGAGGGAGGGAGAGAGAGAGAGAGGGGTATAATGTGGGAGGGCAGGGGAGACCGTGGCATGGCATTGTAAGTTTCAGTTTCTCCATTTTCATTTTTCTGCTCCCCACTCCCAGGAATGCTTAGAGCCATAGATTATCAAGTGACTGTCACAACTTTGCTTTTGTATCTAGGGGAAAACCCCAAACAAGAGTAACTGCAATAGGTAAAGTACCTGCAGCGCTCTCCTGAAATCCAAATGCTCGCAGCAGGCCCTGCCATTTTGTGCTGAGAAAGGAATGTGTCTTTGCTATGACCGCTCCCTGTGCAGATCAGGCAGTAGGGAAATCATGGGCTCTGTAGACCGATGGCCTGGGTCCCAACCTGCCCTTCGCAGCGCTGTGACTCAGCAGATGTGTGGCCTTAGGCTGCTGGCAATGCCTTGCAGACAAAGACCCCCAGGACACATGTGTGGGGGAATAAGTTCAAAGTGCCGCCTGGGCGCTTTGGGAGTGTGAAGCAGTTCCCTAAGAGGGGTCAGAAGAGACTCGGGGATTGGGGATAATATTGGTGATTTCAGGGCAGGGGTCCAGGAAGTGAGCTTTGCTCTTGGTTAGGTGCTGTCGGGAACAAGACTTGGGGTCATACTGTGATTGCATCCACAAGGACTAGAGTGACGGAGAAGTCTTGTTTATGTTTTGACCCATCATGGTCAGAGTGGCCTTGTGTGAGGTCAGTGTCCTGTGACATTGCCGAAATTGTCTTGTGAAATTGTGGCCTTGTGTTGATGTCAGTGTCTCTTCGACAGGAGAGAGTATACCAAGGCCAGCTGCGAGGGCCAGGCCAGCTTCTGGCTGATTATCTCTTCCTCGCTGTCTGAGCCTCGGCCACTTCCTCATCTGTACGGTGGGGATAATGGAAGTTCCTGCCTCTTGGATCTGGGGAGGACTCAGTGAACGGATGCAAGTAAAGTTCTTGCTGCAGTGATGTTAGCTCTTATCACAAGGATGGCACACTCGTGGGGTCTCACATCACCAGGGATTTCAACGAGGTCCCTAAATCTATGTCTTATGTCAGAATCTGGGGGTCGTGTGATGTGTGAGCCTGGGAGCTCTTGTGTTCTCTGAGGCTGTTGTTGCAGCTGGGTTTGTCTGTCTTTGGGTACTTGGTGAAGGAAGTAAGTTCATCATGTAGTTGGGGTTGGTAAACCCCTCTTGTACCAAATACCCCAATTACATCTAGGAATTGGGGCACTGAAAACCGGTTCTTTATTTTTTATTTTATTTTTTTGAGATGGAGTCTCACTGTCACTCAGGCTGGAGTGCAGCGGCACAATCTTGGCTCACTGCAGCCTCCGCCTCCTGGGTTCAAGCGATCCTACCGCCTCAGCCTCCCGAGTAGGTGGGATTACAGGTGTGTGCCACCATACCAGGCTAATTTTTGTAGTTTTAGTAGAGACGGTGTTTCACCATGTTGGCCAGGCTGGTCTTAAACTCCTGACCTCAAGTGACCCGCCCACCTCGGCCTCCCAAAATGCTGGTATTACAGGCGTGAGCCACCATGCCTGGCTGAAAACCGGTTCTTCACCATCATTTTGAACTCTGTGAAGACATCCCCTCTCCTCCAATATTTACATGTTTTTAAGTAAAAGCCTGTGATTCTTAATTTGCAGCAACTAGGAAAAGAAAAATGTCATAAATACCTTCTGTTATTTCTTCCTGTGGGAAAGGTATCACCCAAAGAACCATCTCCCCATTTCTTCATTTCTTGGAAGATTAATTAATTCCCTACTGGGGTCCTGATTTATTTGTCTTGTGATAGTGCATGGCACGTGGTAGGAGTCCTGAAACCGTGTCCTGGATTTTCATTTATTTATTCCTGGGAGTCTAAGACGTAGGACTTTGCAGTGGCAGGAATGTTTTAATGTTTGACAAAACAAATAATAAATGAGGATGGCTCAGCCTTTGAAAGCAGGTACCTGGGAGGGCAGGAATGCAACCTTTGCCTGGCCTCAGCAGCTGCTGTGCTCTCTGCAACGTCTCCAGGGCGCCCCGCCTGCCTCCTCAGCTGTCCTTGCGTTCCTTCCCAGCCTCTCTGCTCCCTGCTCTGAGCATCATTTCTCTCGGTAAAACCCCTTTGAACCTATTATTCTCCTGCAGCTGGGGCTACAAGGAACCTTTTGTCTTTTTCTCATTTTACTTTGCAACTTAAGTCATTTTTCTTTTCTTCGTTTCGTGTTTATATGTGTACATGCATGCATGCGTGGGTGTACTATTTTGAAATGACGGCATTATGAAAAATAAAGACAAGCTTTTATATTTTTTAGGCTTTAATATAAAAACAATAAAGAATTCCCTAATGGACCCATGGCAAAAAAAAGCAGGCACTAAAATGTACATGGTTTTGTAACAAGCAGTTGTATGCTAAGGCTAATAATGGAATTTGTATGTTTATTATTGGTGCAATTAATAATATTGATTTATATAGCCCGACTGCTTGCCCTCATTAGCTATTCACAGTAGCCTCATAAAGTTTGCAACGTTATCCTTTAGCAATGTAAAATCACACACCAACTCACAGAAGAGGGTAGGCAAAGTTTAAGTACATTCACTGACTCAGCAAAAGACCGAGGAATGTCTTCCATCTGGCCTTGAAGCCCCTTTTAATAAATAACCCCACCGTCATACATTCTAGAGACCATCCCAAGTAAGTCCAATTTTATTCCACTTCTTGAAATGTTCTCTTCACAATTTCTGGATTTAAACTTAAACTTGCACATCCCTCCACTCCAGCGAATGCTGAAGAGCTTGTAAAGTTTTCTTTTTTTTTCTTTTCCACGTTGGCTGGGTTCTTCCTTCCATCAGGTGGCTGTTTTTTTGGGGGGAGACTTTGATATACACAATAATCATCTGCATACATGTACTGTAAGAGGCTTCAAAACTTGCTGTCCTTTCAGCACCCACAAGGTGGTTCACAGGTGGCTTATAAAAACTGCCACTTGAGGCTGGGTGTGGTGGCTCACATCCGTAATCCCAGCGCTTTGGGAGGCTGAGGCGGGTGGATCACGAGGTCAGGAGATCGAGACCATCTTGGCTAACATGGTGAAACCCCGACTCTACTAAAAATACAAAAAAATTAGCCGGGCGTGGTGGTGGGCGCCCGTAGTCCCAGCTACTTGGGAGGCTGAGGCAGGAGAATGGTGAGAACCTGGGAGGCGGAGCTTGCAGTGAGCCGAGATCGCGCCACTGCACTCGAGCCTGGATGACAGAGCGAGACTCCGTCTCAAAAAAAAAAAAAAAAAAAAAAAAGACTGCCACTTGGCCACCAACATTGCCCTCTCCTATTACCTTTAGAAGTAATTTAAGAACAGGGAAAGAAACCCACAGGGATCTCAATTCTCTAATAAGGGGTTTATCATCTTGGAAATAGGAAATATAAAAATACATTTAAGCATGCAAAACATTCTTGGTGGGATAGTTCATGATTCGAGGGCCTGGATATTAAGGACTGACTCAGGTCGCAAACTGCCCAGCTGGCAGAGAGCTTCCACGTCACCCAGCCCAGTCTGTTGTCATGTTTGTTTGTGTGTGTGTGTTTTAACTGTTGTGTATTCTCGTTTATATGCAAACTAGATATGACTTGACCTTATCACTTGAGCGGCTGATGGCAATTTTAATGTTGATGATAGTATACCACTGGAGCATATTCCACGCCCTAACGCTGTACATTAGCCTCTAATTTACATTCACAACCCCACAATTTTCTTCTTAAAAATGCCCTTTTTCTAACGGAGTGGAACCTTGTAGCTTTCCCCTTATATTTTCCATATATTTTATTTAAAAGAGGCCTGAAGTTTCATTCTGGGCTGAATATTAATAAACAGAAGTCTGACCCCCTTGGTCTGTTCCCACCCCTCTAACAGCAGTATCTGAGGTTCTGTTATCTTCAAGCACATTTCTCAAAATGTGGTCTCTGGATTTTTAAATTGTTTCTTGGAAGATGCTGAAAAGTTGTGTTTAAAATTTAAAAAATAAGCAAATAGAGGTCTGATTAAGATCATAATTAACAAAGTGATTCATTTTGACCAGGTGCTAGGTGAAAGCTTTCTTTTTTCCCTTCTTCTCTCTTACAAGCTCCACTGGTGTTATAATGAAAAGCAGTAATACTCCTGGTGGGTAAATTTTAGAAGGCTGATGATGCTTGGCTTCCCAACCAACACTGACATTTTTAGTGGAGAATCATGTTTTTGGCCAGTATTATTATAAGCCAAACAACTGACAGATTTAAAAGGCTCTGTGTTTTATAGTTTACCATCTCAATGGAAATCTGCTTCTTAAATTCTAATGGAAAAAAAAATCTGCAGTAAACTTTGAAGTTACTTAGAAATCTAGGTCCATAATTTAGTTCTTATACGCTCCAAGGCAAGCAGCTAGATGCTTGTGGAAAAATAAAGCAAGGCTGTTTTGTGTAAGCATTTAAAACATCCCTGTTTGTTTTGGGTGTGTGCTAATTTGTGTCTTCCTTTTTGGTGTAGTGATTCCCTTTTTCTTTTTTCTTTTTTTTTTTTGAGATGAAGTCTCGCTCTTGTCCCCAGGCTGGAGTGCAATGGTGCGATCTCGGCTCACTGCAACCTCCACCTCCTGGGTTCAAGCGATTCGTCTGCCTCAGCCTCCCAAGTAGCTGGGATTACAGGTGCCTGCCACCATGCCAGGCTAATTTTTTTTGTATTTTTAGTAGAGACGGGGTTTCACCATGTTGGCCAGGCTGGTCTCGAACTCCTGACCTCAGGTGATCCACCTGCCTCGGCCTCCCAAAGTGCTGGGATTACAGGCGTGAGCCACTGTGCCCGGCTGTGATTCCCTTTTTCTTGGCAACAACAAATGGGACTGGCTTCTGCCATAGTACTATCTTGACAGGGTGTAGACTAATATTCTCCTCTTTTTTCCCCAAGTGAGAGGCACCTGCATATTCTCCTTCTTAACGGGTATTATTTATGCTCCCTCTATCCCCTATTGTCCAAGAGGATTTAGGGCAGCTTGAAAAGATATGTATTAAATTTCAGAATGAAATGAAGCGGTGCTATAAAGTTTTGCACACTTGCCCCAAATCTGGCTCTAAGGTTTTTACTGACCAAATTGAATAGGGTGTGTGTGTGTGTTTAAAAGGAGAAAAATAAGACAAATTCAACTTCAGTGTATGTATTGAGCCAATTTTCACTAAGGATTTGAAGACAGGATTAGAGTGTGAGAGTTCCTGATTTTTTTTTTTCTAATAAGAAAAAATCCAGCCAGGCGCGGTGCCTCATACCTGTAATCCCAGCACTTTGGGAGGTCAAGGTGGGCGGATCACAAGGTCAGGAGATCGAGACCATCCTGGCTAACACAGTGAAACTTTATAATACAGTGAAACACTGTCTCTACTAAAAATACAAAAAATTAGCCAGGCATGGTGGCAGGCGCCTGTAGTCCCAGCTACTTGGGAGGCTGAGGCAGGAGAATGGCGTGAACCCGGGAGGCGGAGCTTGCAGTGAGCCACGATTGTGCCACTCCAGCCTGGGCGACAGAGCAAGACTCCGTCTCAAAAAAAAAAAATTCCACACATACTCAGGGTAAAAATTTTAAAAGTACAGAAGTACATATACAGGAGAAAGTGAAAACCAGGTGACAGTTCTGTGGGCCAAGCCTCTCTTCTCAGAGGTAAGTTCTGTTAACAGCTTGGACTGCAGATCTCCAGACTTTAAAAGCAGAAAATAATAATATCAAGTGTTAGCAAGGATGCTGTGCAACTAGAATTCTTGCACACTGCTGGGGGGAGCTATATTGATATTCCACTTTAGTTTTAGAGATGGACTTTTGCTCTTGTTGCCCAGACTGGAGTGCAACGGTGTGATCTCGGCTCACTGCAACCTCCGCCTCCCGGGTTCAAGTGTTTCTCCTGCCTCAGCCTCCCAAGTACCTGGGATTACAGGAACCTGGCACCATGCTTAGCTAATTTTTATATTTTTAGTAGAGTCGGGGTTTTGCCATGTTGGCCACGCTGGTCTCAAACTCCTGACCTCAAGTGATCTACCCACCTCGGCCTCCCAAAGTGTTGGGATTACAGGCATGAGCCACCATGCCCAGCTAAATACACCATTTTAGAAAACTATCTACAAAAGCAAAAACAAATACAGACATTGAGAATGTGTGTGTGTGTGTGTGTGTGTATTTCTCATGACCCAGTAATTCCACTCCCGGGCACATGCCCAAGAGAAACCTGTACAAGCCTTTACACCAGAGATGTATGTAAGGTTCACTGTGGTCCATTCATAATGGCAAAAATCTGGAAATAATCCAATGCCTATCAATATAGACTAGATAAATAAATGGTGGTTTATTCACATAGTGGAATCCTACATAGCAGTGAGAATGAATGAGAATACGACATACCATGTTGGATGAAAGAAGCCAGACCCATATGGAACCACATGGTATGTATATAAAGTTGAAACCAGACAAAACTCATCAGTGATGTTAGAGAAGGAGCACAAGGTGGGGCACCTGAGGTGTGGCAGATGTCCCACTTTGTGATCTGAGGGTTGGTTATGTGGGTAACCTTCGTGAAATTTAATTGAGCTGTACCCAAGATTCATGACATTTTTTGTAGGTTTTATACTTAAAAACATAGAAAAAACAAAACAGCAAACCAGCAGACTTATAGCAAAGTTATTTTAACTGAATCAGAAAGTGATTATCAGGGAGATGGCTTACAGAAATAAACCCTGTGAGATGTTTGTGCTTTGTTAATGCCGTGTTAAACGACAGCTACAGGCATCCCACCCGAACAGCCACATGGGATAAGCTCTTATTACCTTCCCTTTGTGAAGATAAAAGAAACACAGGTCAGAGAGGTTAAGGGCCTTGTCTAGGGCCACATAGCTTGGAAAGATGCTCTGATGAGACTCAAATCCAAGCCTGTTTGTCTCAAGCCCTCTCTGCTCTCTCTGGTTCCCTCACTTGAACTTGTAGGTACTCTTTGGCACACCTACACTGTACAGGCAAATGTGCTTCTACCTAAGAGGAACAGCAAAGAGAGCACGGGTGTGTGTGAGCCAGTGCTTCTGCTGGCAATGAAGAGTACTGGGGGTGCAGGGTTCAAGTCAACACTGGGATGGAAAGACTAGCATCTTTGATGAAATCCCCATAATAATGGAAGATGAGGGAAGACCTTTTCTTCCACAATCTAGGGCACTGCACCGTTCCTTTCTTCCAGGGGCAGCAAACTTCCCTCTAAGTGCTCACTGGTGGCCTTGCTGACCTGCTTCTAGAACCCCCATCTTAACTACTGAAGAGCAAGGAGAGGGAGGAGTTGTATAAGATAAGGATATGGGAAGCTGGGAAGCTTCAGATACCTTGGTACAAATAACTTGCTGCTCACCAGACACTACAGCTGTCAAAATTCTGGTACTTCAGTATCCAAAGGTCATTTAAAAATGACTTCAGAGTATTTGGTTAAGAAGAACATATGATGAGTAATATCACAAAGAGAAACCATTTGGGAGGCAAATATATATTTGTAAACATAGCATTTTATTAACAAAATGTTTACACCCTTCTTACAACAAAACAGTGATTTAGCATGTTATACTCTATAAAAGTGTATTATAGAATATTCAAGCTAAAACAATATTATTTAAAAGTATGGCAAATCAACTTTCATTTGCAAACTATCTACTATGAGCATAGGCATGAAAACAAAAATCTTACAACAAAAAACAAAAGGTCTAGTTTTCTTTTGTCAGCATCTATAAACAATACAGGCATCATATGGTTTACATACACTTAGGTCCAGCCCAAGGTTAAGACTGCAAAAATAAAGTCTTCAAACATCCACAGAAGCTTGGCAAACCACCACTGCAGCATTCCATGACAGGTAACCAGGCCATGTGTCATGCAGTAAGTCCAAGGCCATAAATTTGGGCTGTTTATAATAGTGCTACAAAGCGGCCAAAACTGTAAGCAACTGAATTTTACTTTCGTAATAGATGCTTTTATAAAAAGGCACAAATATCTTATTCCTTTCATCAGGTCTTGAGAAGGCATGACATTCTTAGGAGAAAGAGAGATTGCTGGTAGGACGGCTTAGCTTTTTTTTTTGAAAAATGTCTAGGCTCATTGCCATAGCTGTTTTTCTTCAAGACTTTTAATTTGGACTTTTACACGCTTAACAAATGCTTTATTACAAATTCAGCGAAGTTCTGACCACTTATGTTAACTATCTTATTACCAATGGTAAAACAAAACAAAACAAAAAACCAAAACCCATTTTGTTAACTGGCCGTGTTCCCACGGTAAGCGAGCGCTGCTATTCTCTTTCTGAAGCAGCGGAGTTCTTCACCTAACACTGGCCTCTGTGTTTCTTATTTTATTTGTTTTAATGCTCTGGCCGGTTTTTTTTTCTTTCAAAAATGTTAAATTAAGAGTTGTACATGTCTTTGAGGTGCCTATGATATTTTGATACCTGTATCGAATGTGTAATGGACTGAATGAGGGTAACTGGGATTTCCTTCACCTCGCTTATCTTTTCTTTGTGTTGGGAATATTCTTATTCTTCTAGCTGTTTTCAAATATACAATCAATTATTGTTAAATGCAGTCTCCCTACTGTAATATCGAATGCTGGAACTATTCCTTCTATCTAACTGTATTTCTGTGCCCACTAATCAACTTCTGTTCATCCCCAACCCCAGGCCTGCGCATTTCTGACTGTGCTTGTTAGAAAAGCCCCAGCTGGAGGGGGTGAGCAGTCCCTGTTGCTGTGACCACGGAAGGCCGCAGGGGAAGGCAGATTACATATGCGAAGGAGGTGTCTGTGGCCATGTGTCTTTAAGGGAGAGCCCACAGAAAAATGAGCCTAAGGGAAATAAAGCGAGAAGTCTGCTTCAATCACAGAGACGGTAAGGTGTAAATTCTTAAGAAGGTCAGAGGAATGATTGACAATTATGTGAGTGACTCACAAAGTGAAATGATGGAAAGACTGAACTGCATGAGAGTTAAAAAAAAAATCTTTTCCAGGGCAATAAAGCTCTGTCTACACAGCGTAACGAATGGTTTAAAAATAGGGCCACCACTCACGCCTGTAATCCCAGCACTTTGGGAGGCCGAGGCGGGCGGATCGTGAGGTCAGGAGTTCGAGACCAGCCTGATCAACACGGTGAAACCCTGTCTCTACTAAAAATACAAAAAATATTAGCCGGGTGTGGGGGCGGGCGCCTGTAATCCTAGCTATTCAGGTGGCTGAGGCAGGAGAATTGCTTGAACCTGGGAGGCGGAGGTTGCAGTGAGCCGAGATCGCGCCCTTACACTCCAGCCTGGGTGACAGAGCGAGACTCCGTCTCAAAAAAAAAAAGAAAAAAAAGCCACCCATCAGTTGCTCTGACTAGCCAGCTGCCGATTAATTCACCCTGTAAAGAACTGACCAGTCCCTCTGACATCACGTGTATGAGCCACGTTAAGACAGTTTCACAAACTCTAATGTCATAAGTTCATATACAAGGTAAGTGAATATAAACAAAGTCAGTGCTGGCTTCAAAATTTTTCAGGAGTAAAACTGATTATTCAAGTATAAACTTAATTAAAAATTAATGGCCAAATGATACTAGGATTAAGCCCCAAAGCAAAGTCAAGCACCACCATGGGCATGGGCACAGGGACTACTCATGCCAGTGGGCCCCACTCTACTTGGGTGGCCAGTGGCCTCTGAATTGGCCTAGAGGAAGAGGTATGCCCAGCTCTTCTACAAGATGACGTTAGATGCTGAGGGGTTTCCTTGACAATTTCAATTTTGGCCCTATGTGTGAAATGCTATTTTAAGGATGATTTCCTCCACAGTACTGCATTCAAAAGCTTCCCCAAACAATGAAAAGTTCCTGAATCAAGCAAAAAGCGGAATCAGTAAAACTGGCATGTTTTGTTTGTTATAATATTAATGTCTACAGCTTAAAACTGTCAATTAAGAAAGGCCCTTTAAAAAAATCGTTACTGGTTGGGCGCGGTGGCTCACGTCTGTAATCCCAGAATGTTGCGAAGCCGAGGCAAGCAGATCACCTGAGGTCAGGAGTTCGAGACCAGCCTGGCAAACATGGTGAAACCCCATCTCTACTAAAAATACAAAAATTAGCTGGGTATGGTGGTGCACGCCTGTCATCCCAGCTACTCAGGAGGCTGAGGCAGGAGAACTGCTTGAACCCAGGAGACAGGTTGCAGTGAGCTGAGATCGCGCCACTGCATACCAGCCTGGGCGACAGAGTGAGACTCCATCTAAAAAAAGAAAAAAAAAAAAAAAGAAAAAAAATCATTACTATCTTACGGCTTTTAATTGGCTGATAGGCCTTGATACTTGAATTCTTGCTCATGAAAATAATTTTGTTGTTTCAATTATGATGCATTTTGTGGAGTACTGGGCACCATACAGATCTAAAAATGAACTTGCAGTAAATTAAACACTTTTTGTTAAATCTGTTAGACACCACGGTTTTAATTTCACCATATACTAATGATACATCTTAATCTTACTATCTAAAATGTTCAACGTAATAAAAGGGATAGATGGAAGGTTTGGGATTTTTGTTTTTTTAAGCTTATGAATCCTTTTGTTTTGAAGCCAAAAATATTCTGGCCTATCCATAATTGATTATACTCTAAAAGGAAAGAAAACAGATATTAGTTATTTCTGATGGTATAGACCATCAAATTAAACCTGATCTATGCTATTGGAAGTCCTTCGAGATCTGGAAGGTAAATCATTTTCCTATATGCTAAGAGAATCCTGAAAGACCAACAGAGATAGATGAAGATTCTTGGTTCTATTTATTCACTTCCCACATTATGTCCAATGCAACTTCATCACAATAGGCCTCTCACTTATCATTCTCTTAGACTGAAAAAATGGAGGCTCCTGAAAAATGTAATATCTTCCTCATATTTTTTAGACTTTCATTTGCACATAAAACAGGACAAATGCCCCAGAATTCCATTAAAGTTTCTTGCAAATCGGATAATCAAACTGCCTGGATTTATATTATTAGAAGTCAAGACAAGCAACTCCGCTGTCAAGAGAAATTCGCAGAGGTTGTTTCTTTAAGTTCTAGGCTAAATTCCACCCCCAACCCTTTTTTCTAAAACTATAAAATATGATGTTTATCTCATGGATAAATTTGTTTCTTAGACTATTTTTTTTTAAATCACAGCACAGCAGGAGTTAAAACAAATATCCTAAACATTACCTTGAATCATTTAAAAATCCTTTTGATAAACCAAGCTAACTAGAGGCAGGTATACAGTTAACAGCTTGACCCCTGAAGGTACATTCCATTTCTTCCTTTAAAAAATATTAACTGTTAAAGAGGTAGAAAAACTCTTGAAGTTGAACGGTAAAACTGTCCCTTTAAAGCAAATGTAAATAATGACTTTCACAGGTTCACTATCTAGTTTGTCACTGAACTTTCATTACAGAGTTAGAAGGAACATTTATAGCCCAGTGAGGTTAGAGAGGAGAGCCAGCCTGAGTTTGTCATTTCCCAAATGTTCTAGAGCAAGTACCAAGTATAGCTCAGTTAAGGAATTTCCAATAATTTTTCCCTGGAAGAAAAGGGTTTTCACAATACTTACACAGGTTCCTGCAGAGACACGTGGATGTTTAGGGGGGCTCATCCGTTACTTAAGTAACATACTGTGCACCTATATCTTATACTCTTAAGGGCCCATAAATCACATCCTTGATGTATTCTGAAAGAATAAGTGAAAGTACCAAAAAGAATTCTGTAACTCACTCTTAGAATCTAAAAGATGCCTGTAACCATGAGCAAATGCCTTTCTGAGCTGGAGGCTGACATGCCAATTAGTGCAGTGTCGTCGGAATCTAAACTGCTTATTTTAACACAATGCCCTAAAAATACTGACATTTTGGTTTGACAGTTACAGGAAAGTTAGCTAAAGGATATTTTCATTACTATATTTCCCAGAGTTTAATTTAGAAGGCTTCCTAGACCAATTTTCCTCCTTGAGAACAGAAAAGAAATACATACAAGACGTAAAGAGAAGTTCTGAAATTAAAGTTGGTTTCCTTTCCCTTTAGATATTTAAGAATAAGAGGAATTGACAACTTCAAGAAGGACACCAGCCCACATAGAGGAGGCGCTCAAGCCTCTCACACAAAAGTCCCGATCCTTCCAGACATCCAGAAAGTGCGTACACAATGGGAAACAGGGACTTCAAACAACATCATAAACGGGTCACAAGAAAATAAGTTACTTTGAAAAGAACTAAATCTTTCACCTGCTTCGTGTAAAACTTATTCTGACCACGGCTGACAGGCAGGTGATGGACACTTAATCATAATCTTACTTTATGTTCTTTTAATCACCAGATGATGGTTAATTAGTTATCATAGAATCAGAAAAACACTTGTGTGAGAGTTCTGGAGACCATTGGTTTCTAGGATTGGACGCCTGCAAAGAGCTTATTTCAATTTCTCCGAAAAGAATCAACATACAGTAGCAGCTAATTAATAATTTTTCTCTTCTGTTCAGTCCTGAGAGTTTTAAAAAAATGGCCCTGTATCGTAAGAAAACCAAACATGTTTATAGATGGGAGTATGTCTCAATTCCTTTGAAATATAGCCTCTTCTCCATAAGAAATTATTATAAAGAAAATATGAAATGTGTATTAGATCATTGCTTAGTCAGCTTAATAATCCAAAATGTGTTCAAAATGAAACACTGCTTCTGACTTTAGTATTCATCTTTGCATTTTAGAAGCAAATAAAATAAGTGAAAATATTTTTTCCCTGCTTTCACTGAGTATGGATTATGGATCTGAGAGAGCAATTTTTTGTTGTTGTTGCTAAGCATTAGAAGGATATTACACGAGAAACAGTGCCGAGTCAAGTTCTTAGACAGACTGATGAAAATGAGGGAAGAGGCCCGAGAAATGCATAAGTACAAGCTTCATATCACTCATTCTGTTAATAAAACATGTGGCTATAATAAAACAGAATCACACCCTACATATGGGAGGGAGGGTGAGAAATCATGAAATCAGCAAAGGGCTGATGAGATGGACCCACATTGGGCTCGGTACAGTAAAACATCACAGTAAGATCAGACACATCCAGATGCCTCACCAGTTAAGATGAGCTCAGAAGACCTTGCCTTTCCCCATGCACCGAGACACCATGCAATCACCAACAGCTACTGGTGGGTGTGGTGGAAAAAATGTGAAGGTCATAGATTTGCACCATCTTTTGGTAAAATAAGACAGAAAGGGTCGCACATGCTTTGCCTCTTTGGTAATGAGTCAAGCAACCTCTGTTTTTATTTTGTTGTCATGGAGATAGAGGCCCAGCAGTGGGAATTCTAGGGACACACCAGGGTGGTGCCCGGATGCCTGGGATCCATCTGGATGTATACAGAAGAAAGTCAAACTACTTTAGGTGTAAAGCGCCTGGCTCTGGGAATCACATGGCTTCTCTAGGAGCTTGCTAATTTAGCACCGGGGAGGAAGCAAAATCCTAGGGGCATGGAGCATCCACATGTCTTTTAAACAAAACGAAGTTAGAATTTTTACTAATGACATTCTTTTTATATGATTTCAGAAGATAAAAAAAATTCCAAATGCTTAAGATATACAACAGGGAAAAGGGAATTGTTTTTTATTTAATCTGAATTATAATTTTCCCATTAAAATCTATCCATATTAAGTGGGGGGCACAAAATAATACCAATTATTTTTTAAAGTTTCAGCTGTTCAGTTTCAGGATAGCTCTGAAAATACAATTTAGTTTGAAATTCAAGCTGTTTCATTTCCTATTAAATCTTGTAAATTTCCTTCCCCTACAATACTCAGGTTGGAAGGGTGCCAAATTAGACCAGGAACAAATTTTCACCAACTTCACTTCAATGCTTTATTTTTAGATGATATTAAAAACCTCATTAGGCTCCCTGAGGGAAAAGAGTGTTAACCACTAACAGAGGCAGGGGAAAAATAAAGGAAACAGAAAGATAAGCTAAATTGTTAACAAGGAAAGCTCCTCAGTTGGTCTGAGGATGCTGTACAAGCTAAAAGAAACTTATTACCAAGACCAGGTAAATGACTTGAGGTTGGAGCTTAATCTTTTACCCTCAGGCTAGTAAGGACTAGTCAGGTTTGTCAAAGTGGCATATGTCTTTATTATGATTTCCAGATGGGATCTGGTGGGAGGCGGGTGGGTAGAAGGGAAGGCAGAGAAACCTTTAAAGATTGTAAGCTAAGTGCTCTATACCTTTATACAATACCAATGTGCTTGAGTCTCCCGTTAAGAGGCTGAAAACTGGGCAGGCATACGCAAGACTGGGTGCGAGATTCAATGGAATGTCAAATGAAACTTAGAATTTATTAATGTATTTACATAATTTATAATCTTTAAGCAATGGCCCCATAAATATAGACTACAACTTTACATATGCTAAGCAATAGATACTTGCTTTTCCCCACCAAAATACTTGGGTTAAAAAAAAATTGACAGCATTTATACCACCTTCTTCACTTCCACTCTTCTTCCTTTTTAAACCATTGCTAGTCATTTTAGAACATATGAAATTCAGTTTATTCCGGGCAGCTTCTCTACCATCACCATCTTGATCATGAGAGCTTATTTAAAAAGGTGCCAATAACGTGTTTGGTGGCACACACATGACAAGGTCAGAAGCAAACCCAGGATGAGCTAGGCATCTGCTGCTATCATTGTTAATTTACTGTACGTATCCTAGGCTAACATGTTCAATGAAAAGTGCTTTAGAGATGGCAGAGATGAAATCATTTCCATCAGTCCTATAAATAACCCATTTTAGCTTCAGACAATAATTGTCCTCCCTACACTTAAACTATCCTACTATATGTTAAATGATACAACTCCCTCTAACAGTGGTAACAGAAACCAAGGAAATTATAATCTCCACAAGGTCTGTTTCTTTTCCCTTAAGAACCACAAAAGTGCTAATTTTCCCTTTACAAATGTTACATAAAATCTTGATTACAAAACTACTCAACAACTTAATCCTACCATCCATACAATTATATGTTCCTTTTCAGCAAGGTCAAAAGCCAACGATGTAGTCCCTTTGTACACTAGAGATTCTTTACATAATAGAAGTTCACAGACTGAAATATCATTGCTGCAGTCTTTGGAGAACAGAACTGGTCCATTTCTGTGAATCCTTTTTGCACGGAGAAGACTCAAGACTGGCTAGGTGAAAACTGGTGGCAGGGACCCCAGCCCTCCTGTTAACTTTCAGGACCACCTACTTCATCATCAAGTCTGAGAGGCTGAGGTTCGGTCAGCAGCAGCTCCGCTTTGGCTCTGAAGGCTGTCTTCGGAGTTTGAAGCCCTTACCGCCAGATGGCAGGTTGGCGTCAGTGGATGGAATTCTTCGACCTAAACCAAGATGAGAAAAGGGAAGGGAGTGAGCTTTAACTTTCTCAGACACAACAATTTTGCAGATGCAATTTGACAGGTTTCACTGAAGTAAAAAAAAAAAAAAAAAAGTTTAATAAACTTTTTATACTCGAATAATTTTAGATTTATAGAAAAGCTGCAAAGATGATAGAGCTCCTGTGTACCTCCCACCCAGTTTCCCCCAGTGCTGACATATTACCATGGGACATTTGTCAAAATGAAGAGTTCAACATTGCCACATCACTATTAACTCCAGACTTTTTTCAGATAGCATCAGTTTTTCTACATGTCCTGCTTCTGCCCCAGGATCCAAACAAGGATATCACACAGCACTTAGTAAACGTTTTTTAATTAAAAAAAGCCACACATCAAAAACATTTTGTTTTGAGTAGGTAATACATAGGATTTGTTTTTTAAAAAGTTCAGTCAGAACATGGTTGTCCCTCTGTCTCATGACAAGGCCACCACTGTGGCCCATTTCTCGTGTAGCCTTCCAGAGACATATATGCACAAACACTCAGGCACACCTATATCCCTACCCATCTCCCCTTTCCAAGGCCAAATGGGGCAAGAAATAAAGCAAACCATATGCACCATTCTCCACCTTGATACTTTCACTCAACACATCCTGGGGATTGTGGCATCATAGTACATGGAGAAAGAGCCGTCACCTTTTTTTTTTTTTTTTTGAGACAGGCTATCGGCTCTGTCACCTAGGCTGGAGTATAGTGGCATGATCTCGGCTCACTGCAACCTAAGCTTCCTAGGTTCAAGCGATTCTCCCACCTCAGCCTCCCGAGTAGCTGGGATTAGAGGCGTGTACCGCCACGCCCGGCTAATTTTTATATTTTTAGTAGAGACCAGGTTTCGCCATGTTGGCCAGGCTGGTCTTGAACTCCTGACCTCAAGCAATCTGCTTGCCTTAGCCTCCCAAAGTGCTGGGATTACTGATGTGAGCCACTGTGCCTGGCCTGCTGCCTTCTTTTTAACAGCTCTAAAATACTGCATTTGTAGATGTACCACCATTCATTTAACCATTTCTCTATTGATGGGTATTTAGTTTGTTTCCAATATTTTGATGTTATTAACAAAGATGCAAGAAGCATCTTTCTGAACTTACGAGTATGTGTGTAGGATTAATGCCCGGAGTGGAAGAGCTAGGTCACGGTATTCTACTCCTGGGTATTTGTCTGACACATACATTGTATTCCAGTGTCTATCTAGCACAAATGCAGGAAGAATGTGCAATTTAAATTTTGACAGATGCTGCCAAATTACTCTCTGAAGAGGCTGTGCCACTATATTCTCCTACCAACAATGCATGAGAATGAACAGGTTTCACTTCACTGCTCCGTGAAGCATAATGACAATTTCAAGAGAATCCTTAAATCACCCATCTACCTACCTGGCTGATAACTCAAGGGTTGCTTCTTGTACAAAGGCTTTCCTGACACCCTCCCACTTCCTTACTCTGTAACATCCCAGACACTACAATCAATCAGGACACCAGAAACAGGTTACTACACATATCTCATATCTGTTTACATGACTATCTCCCTCACATTAGACCCTAAGCTCTTCTAGGGAAGAGATCCTATTTGTCCATCTTTATGTTTCCAGTATCTTATCAGCACAATACCTGACACAGAAGTATTTTGTAAACATGGAATAAATGGACATGTACACCTTTTGACATTAACAAGGCTAAGATGGCCTCTCCGCTGACTCAGGTTCTCTCAAGCCTTGAGCCTCCACCACTTTGAGTTGTCTGCGGATCTGTGTGGGGAGTACACAGCATGGTTTCTACATTGAGAAAGTATCTCCCAATGTCTTCTAACTACTTTTCAAATGACTAGACACTGCTGTGAATATACTACAAATCTGTTTAAAAGCTTTACCCAAGCTTCTTGTCATTATTCTCAATAAATGGATATTGAAATATAGCTGGTATCTAAGAGACATCTGTGAAATATGACATCAAAAAATTGTTGAACAAATAATATTTTTAAAAGAAATAAGAGGAGAATATTTTCATGAGCTGGGAACAGGTAATGATTTCTAAAACAGCAACCAAAAACCTAATGCAGCTAAACATAAAGGAAAACAAGGATCAGTCAGATTATATGAAGATTAAAAACTTCAATCCATCGAAGGAGTTGACTAAAAAAATCAAAGGCAAGCCATACAGTAGAAGATACTTCCAATATACATAGTCAATAAGTGACTCATCTCCAAAATAAAGAACTATAAAACATTAAGAAGGAGGCAGGTAACCCAACAGGAAAACAGGCAAAAGACTTAACAGGCCCTTCACAAAGGAGGATATGTAGATACGACAAATGTAAACATATATTCGGAAATGTGCTCGACTTCATTAACTGTCATGAAAATGGAGATCACTGACTACCCACCAGAGACAGAAGGTGATCGGACTTCTCATACACTACCGGTATGGTTGTCAACTAGTACAACTACCACTTTGAAAACTGGTTGGCGGTAAAGCTGTACTGAATGCATGCATACTCAATGACAAGCATTTTTTCTTGTGGGTATAAATATACCTAACAAAAATGTGTACAGATGTTCACCAAAGAATACGATCAGAATGTTTAGAGCAGTACTGTTTGTAATAACTCTAAATTGGAAACAGCTACCCAAATGTCTATCAACAGCAGAATGGATAATTATATTGTGGGTATTCTTCACTGCCCCCTTACCCGCACAACTCGGACTCTGACACTCACACGCACAAACCAGCCATGAGAGTGGATCATTCACAGCTAGATGCAATGACATGGATGGTCTAAAAATGTAATGCAGAATGAAAGAAGCCAGACACACAAGAGGAAACAGAGTGTTTTTAAAAATATAAAGTACAAAATATATGTAAAACAAAACCAGATAAACCAATCTGAAGAATTAGTATCAGGATGGTTACCGTTGGGTGTAGGAACGGCCATGTCCCAACCAGAGTGCCAAGCACCGGAGTATATTCAGTTTGTGAAAATTCACTGAGCCTTATACTTCTGATACGTGCACATTTCTGTATGTCTATTATACTTCAATACAAAGTCAGTGTGCCAGGCACTGTGCTCACGCAGTTTTACTAAGCCAGTGAACAAGAAAGTCTATGTACATCTCTCCCAATTTTTCTAATCTTTGTGAACATATAGGTTTTGTTTTTCACAGTTAAATTGAATATGTACATACTAGTTTTTATATAAGACTTTTCATTGTTGGTATAGTTTACTATCTTCCTTTTTTTTTTTTTTTGAGATGGAGTCTTGCTCTTGTTGCCCAGGCTGGAGTGCAATGGCGTGATCTCGGCTCACTGCAATCTCCACCTCCCGGGTTCAAGCGAGTCTCCTGCCGCAGCCTCACAAGTAGCTGGGATTACAGGCATGCACCACCACGCCCAGCTAATTTTGTATTTTTAGTAGAGATGGGGGTTTCACCATGTTGGCCAGGCTGGTCTCGAACTCCTGACCTCAGGTGATCCACCCATGTTGGCTTCCCAAAGTGCTGGGATTATAGGTGTGAGCCACCATGTCTGGCCTACTTTCCTGTTTTTAATACCACTAAAGTGAAGAACACAAAAAGATAGCAGTAATTTTAACATACTCATGACACCACACACTTAGACATTTTAGCTTGAGCTGTGAAAAATTCCCAACTGGCTTTATGTTGCCTTTCAAAAATCCATCTGGGTACCTGCTATTTACATCCAGGACAACAATAAACATGATTTTTGTTTTTTTAAGAGACAGGGTTTTGCTCTGTCACCTAAGCTGAAGTGTAGCGGTGCAATCAATGGCTTACTGCAGCCTCAAATTCCTGGGCTCAAGCCATCCTCCCACCTCAGCTTCCCGAGTGGCTGGGACTACAGGTGCATGCCACAATGCCCTAGTATTTTGATTTTTATATTTTTTTAGACATAGGGTTATACTATGTTGCCTAAGGTGGTCTTAAACTCCTGACCTCAAGTGATCCTCCTGCCTCAGCCTCTGGAGTAGCTGGGATTATAGGTGACAACCACCATGCCCGGGCACATCATGACGTTTTAACACTGAAATGAACGGGCTGGCCTAGAGGGTGCAATCAGTAGTTCACTGGCCATATCTGGCAGCAGATGGGCTCCTTAGGCCTGCAAAGTACTCTGAAAATACTTAAATGATTGGCCAAATCTAAACAATGGGACATGTAAAAAAAAAATGTGAAAACAACCTCAGCAACCAGGGGCCCACATTCCAGTGTGGCCCCAGCTGATGGAGCTGGGCCTGGCCTGAGCTGGGGTTCCCAAGGCTTCACCTGGGCCTGCTCTGCTCATGGGTCAACCTTGCCTGGCCTTGGTGGGCTCTGGAGTTCATGCCCCTCCTCGACACAATGGCAAAGGACCCTCCCTGCTTCAGTACCCTTGGCTCTCAACCACATGGTGGATCTTAACGCTACATCCACCCTGCTCTGACGGCTTTCTGCTTTTCTCCACCTGGAAGTCTGACATGTTTATGTGACTCCCCACACCTCTACAGGGCCTGCTTCTTTGGACCTCAGCTCTGATAGCACCTCCTTAGGGAGACCTTCCCCAATTGCTTGCAGACATTCCTTCATTTCATCCTAAATTATTTTCTTTGTATCAGTTATTATGATCTGAAATGATCCTATTTATTTGGTGTTCACTGTCTGTTTCCCTCTGTAGAATGTGCGCTCCAGGAGAGCAGGGGCTGCGTCTATCTTCTTCACGGCTATTTCCCCTGAGCCTGGAACAGCTCCCAATAAATATTTTGATGAATTTGAATGAAATGAATAAACATAGATACGATCTGCAGAGGATCCCAAAGGCATGCAGCAGCCCCTCTCCCATCGAGTATCATCATATTAACACTTCTGGAAAGGGAAGGGAAAGAGAAGGGAAAACAGGTCTTACCTTTCACTTGCCTAGTATTATTTTTGAGGGTTTTCTTACCGTGCAAGTATACCTGCATTTCATTTCCCTTTATTCATTTTGTTCATTTTCAATGACCTTGGACGACTAACAGAAACATATTTAAATAGAGAAAGAAATGGGACAGCTTTCATGACCTCAGTACCCTGTGCATTATTTATTCAGTAGCAACACTCTTTCCAGAAGGGCGGCAGCTCTTCAGCAACTATAACATGATATGAAAACTGGACATTACTCTTACCTTCTCCAACTTCATTTCACTGATCACAATATCAGAGACTAGACTGCTCTAAGTAAGACAGGAATTCTAACCAGGAAGATCATTCTGTGTTAAGCGGCTTTTACAGAGGAAATGGATAAGGCACAGAGATACTCACTAATTTCTATAAAGAGTTCATTTATGTTTATCGCGTTTTTTGCGCTGGTCTCTACAAAAATTGCATGAATAGAGTCGGCGTAGTCCTTTGCATCTCTCTCCATGACTTCTCTGGAAGGCAACAACTACATATCAGAAATTCTACCCATGAAGATCTTAGTTGTACCCCCACCTACCCAGTAGTTAACCAGATTTATGATGACAAAGGATGGACTAAATGGCTGCTGGATGGGCCCTGAGACATGGTCTTCTCGATTACACCACATCCATGGGTAAACAAACAAAGTGAAACAAAACTCGGTACCACTAGTAATGTAGCTAATGGAATGATTAGGGATGGCAGGGTTTTCTTCCCCAGCCAAAATTTTCAAAAAGCCCTTGCTTTGGGAATGATGGAAGTGGCCCAGGGAAACTGCCAATAAATGTGCTTTCTGCATTCAAGTATTCTAAGTCATGGGAGCCTGGGGGCTGCTCTGATCTCAGATAATGTTGGATGCAACGCAACCAGTATTTCCGTAAATTGCACACCTGTCTGTATACATAATATAATTAGCTCCAAATGCCTGAAATCTTAATTTTAGTTTAAAAATTTAGGACTCCAACCACACAACCAAAAGGAATTTTTCAATGTCAGAGATAAAATAAAAGCAAGATTCTTAAACTGGATATTGCTTATTAAGAAAAGGAACACATAATAGGTATTGTAATCTCTCGTTCTAATAACTTACCTTACATCGATAAGATCACATTTATTTCCTGCAATGGCAACTACAATATTAGGTGGGCCATGCTGTCGAAGCTCTTTCACCCAATTCTTTAATGTTGAAAATGTCTCCTGTAACACACAAAAAAGAGAGCAACTGGAGATCTAAGCAACCAAAAGAGTTTTCAAAACAATCTAAAGAAAACTATATAGTCTTACTTCTTTTGTGATATCATAAACGATTATAGCTGCAGCCGACCCTCGATAGTACATTGGTGCTAAGGCACGAAACTGCAGAGGAGGGGGAAAAATAAACAAAATTGGGAAAACTGGTTAAATATGTTTTATACTAGATTTATAAGCCCATTATCCCTGCACAAAAAGTAATCTTTCTCTTAAGCCAAGAAAATGACATGCTGCTTTAAAGCAAATGAACCAGTAATTACCAAAGGCAAAAACTTTTAATGTAACACTGAAATGTCTCTCAGAAGATAGTTCAGAATACAGTTTTATAGGAATTAAATATGGCGCTATAAACAATTGTTTCAGCTAAAAAGGCTTTTTAATTGAACTCAATGTTATAATTCCCAAATTCATTTGTTCAATAGTCCTTTAAACTTTGGCTTCCCTAACTATCAGGGGAGATAAAAATAATGCTATAAATAGTTCTCCAGAGAAGTAGCTGCATTTGGGTGTCATAAAGAAAACCCTGTAATCTGAACACTGATTGTCCTTCAGAAATGAGTACACATCTACATTCACTACTTGGATGAGTTTGCAACTTGCTTTTTTGATATCTCCTTGCATGTGGCAATTCTCAAATGCTGGGTACAGATCTCATTTCATTTACATCAATTTAACCCTGAATACACAGCTTCTTCCCACTCATCACCCTGGTCACCCTGGCCTCCACAACCGGTGACACACAACAGGGAGGAAAGAGAAGGGAGAGGAATAACCATTTGAACAGCAAGGGTGATTCAGTGAGCTATTTCTCTCAATGAGTGTGAGATGGAGACTGTGAAGCTCTTTGCCCAGTCAATCTCAGTTCTTGGGCACACGTCCTATGTGAGCATCTCACCAACTGGATATGATGTCAATGTTTAATGACAAGAATTTTGCCTATACTTAATTTTCGTCTTGCACCCTGACTCTGAAGCCTGACCCCTACTTATGATCTGATGACACTGTATTTACATCCTGTTGTTAATGGTGGTTTACCCCTGAACACAGGCAGGGATTATCACAGGGGAGCATTTGGTGCACATACATAAACCACATACAGAACTATGGATTCTGGAACTGCTTATCCAATGAGTTTAACCTTTTGGCTTTTAAAATTTCGTATTAATTTGAGTTTTACGATAAATTTAAAATTTATCAAATTAAATTTTAATTTGATAAACTGACAAATGTATATATCTGTGTGAATATCATCCACTAAGATGTCAAACAGTTCTATCAACACAAAGTTCCTCAATATTCTTCTCACAATGTCCTTCTTCCACCTTGTTTTCATGTCTGTTTTACTGATATTATATAACCACATGGGTCTCTTTTGTTTATTATTTGAATACTACATCCTTTTGCATTCTTTATTTGTTTTTATATTTATAGTAGTCCTCTTATAACCAGCACATAGTTGGGTCCTGATTTTTGACAACCTTTGCCTTTTAAGTGGAAGGTTCAGCAGTTCAGCTCCTTTATATTTAATGTATTTACTAATATATTTGGATTTAGGTCTACCATTGAGACGGAGTTTCGCTCTTGTTGTCTAGGCTGGAGTGCAATGGCGTGATCTCGGCTCACCGCAGCCTCCGCCTCCCGGGTTCAAGCCATTCTCCTGCCTCAGCCTCCCTAGCAGTTGGGATTACAGGCATGCGCTACCACGCCCGGCTAATTTTGTATTTTTAGTAGAGATGGGGTTTCTCCATGTTGGTCAGTCTGGTCTTGAAATCCCGACTTCAGGTGATCCACCTGCCTCGGCCTCCCAAAGTGCTGGGATTACAGGCGTGAGCCACCATGCCCGGCCTGTATCTGTTCCATTTCTTTTAAAATTCCTGCTCCTCCGTTCTTTTCCTCTTTTGCATTGCTTGAATTTTTCTTAGTGTTCAATTTTAGTATATTAACTTCTCTACTGACTTTTGAACTGTACTTGCTTGTATTATTTTTTAAGTTGTTGCTTTTGTAACTATAATATATACTGCACATTTTTCTTTTTTTTTTTTGAGACAGAGTCTCGCTCTGTCACCCAGGCTGGAGTGCAGTGGTGTGTTCTTGGCTCACTGCAAGCTCTGCCTGCCGGGTTCAAGCAATTCTTGTGCCTCAGTCTCCCAAGTAGCTGGGATTACAGTAAGTGCCACCATGCCCGGCTAACTTTTGTATTTTTAGTAGATATGGGGTTTTGCCATGTTGGACAGGCTGATCTTGAACTCCTGGCCTCAAATCTACCTGTCGTGGCCTTTCAAAGTGCTGGGATTACAGGTGTGAGCCCCTGTGTCTGGACTACTGCACGTTTTTCTACAGTCTACTTAGTTTAAAATGCACCACTTCATGTAAAATATCAGAGACTTGCAAAAGTCTAATTTCTTGTTATCCTACCATTCTTTGTACTACCACTGTCAAATAATCTAAATCTATATATGCTATAAACTATACAATCCAGTGTTATAATTTTTGAATTAGTTAACTTTTGAATAATTGAAGAAGAAAAAACATACGTTTCTATTTGCCATTTCTAGTGGCTATTATTTCTTCCTATGGATCTGAATTACCATGTGGTGTCATTTTCCTTTAGTGTGAAAAACCTTCTGGGACAGCTGCTGTTGATTTCTGTTTTTGTTTTTCTAAAAATGTTCTTACTTTGACTTTATATTTGAAAACTAATTTTGGCAAACTGATAGGTTTTTGCTTTCCACACTTTAAAGATCCTGTTCCTCTGGCTTCTGGTCTCCGGCGTTTATGTGTAAAGTTAGCCATCATTCATATTGTTGTTCTCCTGTTTACGTGTCTTTTACTTCTGGGTGCATTCAAGATTTTCTCTTTACCTTTGGTTTTCAGCAGTTTGACTACGACTTACCTAGATATGGTGTTCTTTGAACTTACAGATTTGTTGAACTTCTTGGATTTGTGAGTTATGTTTCACTAAATTCGGGAAATTTTCAGCCATTATTTCTTGAAATCTTTTTTTCTGTTTCCATCTCTCTCTTTGCTCCTCCTGGCTCTCCAATTACACATACGTTAGACTGTTTGAATTTGTCCCTATGATACTGAGACTCTGTCCATATTTTTCTACTGTTTTTCTATTCTTCTGATTAATGTGTTCTATCACCCTCCAGTGAGTTTTTCATCTTAGATATTGCAGCTTTCAGTTTTAGCATTTTCATGTGATTCTTTATTAGTTTCCATTCTATGTGAGATTCCCCATTTGCAGTTAAGTCATTAACACTCCTTTTTTTTTTCCCTTAAGAGATGGGCTTTTGCCATGTTGTCCATGCTGGTTTGGAACTCCTCGACTCAAGCAATATGCCTGTCTCGGCCTTCCAAAGTGCTGGGATTAAAGGCATGAGCCACTGTGCCTGGCCTAGTTTTCTTTAAATCTCTGAACATATGTAAAATATGTGCTTTAAATTCTGTGTCTGCAAATTCCAAGAAAAGGGTCACTTTAGGGTTTGCTTCTACTCACTGGGTCACACCTTCCTGTTTCTTCATATGTGTAGTAGTGCTGACTGTCCACTGGACAGTGTGGATGATGCACTGTAGACGCTTGGTTTTTTTCTTCTCTGAAGAGTATTAAGTTACTGGTGACTCATCCTGAGATTGGTTGGTCTACTTGGGTTTTTGGATTTGCCCTTAGTCCTAGGACACGGTTTCTACTCCCAAGGCATGGCTCTTCTGAAGTTTCATCGGAATGCCCAAGGTGTTTAGTGATCCCCTGTAACACAGCAGGATTGGATTCAAACTTTGAAGTCTAGCCCTGCTGTAATGAGGAGCAGCTGAAATCTCTGCTGTCTTGTCACCCTTGCCAGCTACTGGTTTCTGTTGCATTTTATAATGTCTCTCTTGTGAATTCACAATTTGGGGGTCAAAAAAACTTCAGGGAATTTATAAACAGATTTTAGGGGGTCCCTCCTTGTTGAATCCCTTTTCTGCGATTTGCCTCCTCTTTTTCTGGCTGCTCTAGCAGTCCTAAACTCTGCACTCAACACAAGCTTTCTGCTTAAGTACTAGCTACCCTGTGCCACTCGAACTGGGAAATACCCACTGGGGAAAAGCTGTAAAAATGTGGATCTTACACAAGAAAGCTCCCCTTTGCAGTCCCTGACTGCATTTGGTTGCTCTGCAGTGCCTTCAAACAGTTGTTTTTTTAAAGCTTTGTCTGGAGTTTATATATAATTTTTAGCTGTGGGAGGGCAAGCCACTCGCTATTACTGACATGGAAACTTTCATGTCCTTTTGATGCAAAGAAAGAAGGTGGAGGCATGTAAGAGACTCAAAAGCTGTCAGCACATCTCTGCTCCAAACCTGGCTCTAGATCAGGTGACGGCAAACTTTTTCTGGTAAAGACCAGGTAGTGAATATTTTGGCTTTATGGGTCACATAATCTCTGCTGCAACTACTCAACTCTACTATTGTAGAGTGAAGGTAGCCACAGACCAAGCTTGTCTAACCTGCGGCCTGTTATGTGGCCCAGGACAGCTTTGAATGTGGCCCAACACAAATCCATAAACTTTCTTAAAACACTGAGCTGTTTTTGCGATTTTTTTTTTTTAAGCTCATCAGCTATCGTTGGTGTATTTTATATGCAGCCTGAGACAATTCTTCTTCCAATGTGGCCCAGGGAAGCCAAAAGACTGGACGTCCCTGCCATAGATAATAAACAAACAAGCATGGCTATGTTCCATGAAAGCTTTATTTACAAAAACTGGTGGCAGGTTGGATGTGGCCCAAAAATATATGTGTAAATTCTGTCTGCAAATTCTAATAATGGGATCACTTTCGGGTTTGCTTCTACTCATGGAGTCAGGTCTTCTTGTCTCTTCATGTGGATGGTAACTGTGCACTGGCCAGTGTGGATGATGCACTGCAGACTCTGGTTTCTGGGACTGTCTGCCCCAATTCTAGATGATACTAAGCCACTACACTTGTTCTTGATTTTAAACAGGAGAACAATTCCTTACATGACTACTGTGACAATAAATAAGTCTGAGGCTTCCTAGTGTTCTGATCTCTGTAAAAACAGTCATTGGGAGAAACCATATTAAGATGCAGGAATGTACATTTTTAAAGACTGGATGCAATGTCTATTAGACTCTGGTTAGGAAGCTTTTTTTTTTTGAGATGGAGTCTCACTCCATGGCCCAGGCTGGAGTGCAGTGGTGCGATCTCGGCTCACTGCAACCTCCACCTCCCGGGATCAAGTGATTCTCCTGCCTCAGCCTTCCGAGTAGCTGGGACCACAGGTGTGCGCCACCATGCCTGGCTAATTTTTGTATTTTTAGTAGAGATGGGGTTTCACCATGTTGGCCAGGCTGATCTAGAACTCCTGACCTCAGGTGATCCGCCTGCCTTGGCCTCCCAAAGTGCTGGGATTACAGGCGTGAGCCACTATGCCTGGCCAAGAAGCTTTCTTTTATACAATCACACACAGATGGCAAGTATTTGACATGCTCTTACTACAGGTATGGTGTATTTATGAGGTTTTTTAATATATGTGTTGTGTCTGTCTCAATGCTACTGCAGGAGTCTTTGTTACTGAAGGAGATAATTGGTGGAAAAAGGGTGATTTTAAATGCATTCATTCAAGATAGCAAATAATAGGGACAAAATGGTCTCACAAAGACTCTATCTTGAGAAGATAAACTTAAAATTGTAAAATCAAGTTTAATTTTATCTGGTATTTGAAAAACCTTAGGTTTATTATTGCAGCCAGGAGCTAATTTTCTGGATGAACACTGAGTCGAACTTGATTGATAACTTGGCTATGAATTTTCTGATAAAACTACATACTAGCACAATACGATATCCTTCATTTCATGTTTGACTTTCATAGTCTTATCATAAAAATGACAAATTTTTACAAAAATATTTGAGGGCTTCATCAATTTTCCCTAGGCCCCTCTTAACCCTTTGATACACAAACCATTATCTTCTGAAGCACTTATATCATCATCCTGAGCAGTATTTTTCCTCTTCATTTAAGTTAACAAGATCCCTACTGTCAAGGGCTTCACAGGACATTTGAGAAATTCTCCAAAATCACTTTCATTGACTTAATGAAATCACTTTGCAATCAAACGTAGCTGGACCATCAGAAAGACAATCCATCTGTCAAAACTATGTGCAGTACAAGATGTCAAATGGGGAGGTTGGGGAGGATGTCTGAATGGTCAATTCATCAAAAGGGTTTTCATTTTACGACAATTTTGGTTCCATAATAAATGTCATAACTACAAAGAGTAATAAACATACAACAACAGAAATTTATAATTTGAGTCATGCACTACTCACATGGTAAAAGTAGGTAGAGGAGCTGTCCTTATCTGTGCCTAAGTAGGGCTGGCAATCAGTAGACATAAACCTATGGGCATCAATACCATGTGCCAAGGGGCTGAGAGCAGAGATATGAAGGCAGTCCTTGCCCTCAAGGAGCTTACAGTCTAATGAAAGGCAGACAGGTAAGGAAACAGGTGACAATCCCATGGATGACAGCAATCAAAGACTTCAGGATACAAAGGAATACTCCAAAGAGTTTATTTGCTGATTCATCCAACCAACCAATATCTGAACATCAGCTCTAGGTCAGGCACCATGCTAGGCCCTGGGAGTACAGCAGTGAACAAGACACTGTGGTCCCAGCTCTTGGAGTTACAGTCTGATGGGAGATTCTGTCAATGAAGGTAGGTAGACAGGTATCTAAGGACAATTTTTAATGAATGTTCTGAGGAAAATGAGTAAGGGCAGTAATGAAGAACAAAGTTGGGGCCCTGCTTAGATGCAGGGGGTTTAGAGAAAACTCTGAGTGCATCACATTTAACCTGACACTAAAAGACGGGAAAGGAGCCAGCTGGGCTCCAGTGGAGGGAACAGAGAGTTTTGGTGAGAAGGAACAGCGTATCCAGAGGCATGAGGCCAAGGAGTGCTGGAGGCCCTGAGAAGAGAGGAGCCCCGGGGGAGGCCTGGGCAAGTCACGTGGGGCTTGGGAGGTCTCTGTTCAGAGTGTGGCTGTTATGAGAGGTGCAGTGGGAAGTCACTGAAGGATATTAAGCAGGCCAATAACACAGGCTGATTTTTGTTTCCAGAAGATTCCTCTGGGTCCTATGAGGACATGTCATGGACAGAGGGAAAGCAGGGGACCCACGAAAAGGCTAAAGGAGTACTCAGTGAATGGCCAAAGGTGGCTGAGAGCAGGATGCTGGGAGCGGAGATGGAGAAGTGAACCTATTTGCGATACATGTAGAGAATGAAGCTGTCAGGACACCTGGGTGGAGAAGGTGTCCAGCACTGAGGCCAAGGGAGGAACCCAGGGAGGCCTCCAGATATGGGTCTAGAGCAACACGGCAGTGTGGCGATGTGGTTACTTGTCCGAGAGCAGGGATGGCAGGAAAGCCCCCTTTAGGTGACATTGGAGGTTGGTTCTGAAGGCTGAATAGAGTTGTGGAAGGGCATGAGGGTGTGAAACTATGGCATGCTGGAGAACAGCACGCAGTTTGTACTAGAGGACAGACTGGTGGGAGGAGGTGAAAATAGAGCCTGGCTGTGGATGGCACATTCTGGACCTTCAATGCACTGCCCAGGATAAACGGGCAGTCCCTGACCCAGACAGGCTTACAAGACGTGTCTTGTGTGATCCTCCCAGCATTTCAAACAATTTGTGGGTAGCTGTCAGGTGTGTGGCTTTCCTCAGCACTGCGCTTTGGCAACCCTGGACATGTGCTCACGCCCAGCAACAACTGGCTGGAGTGTGTGCTCATCAGGTGGTGCTCCTCTCCTGTCTTCTCCATGCAGGGCATCCTGGTCAGCACCCCTGGCCTGTGGCTTGGCCCCATGAGCATCTCCTGTGCAGCTCTGGGCTGTGTGATGGTGCATCAGGCAGGCTGAAGGCAGGTTTGCATCTCAGAGCAACTACTCCTGTTGCAGAACCAATGAGAAGTGGACAAGCAAGAGGCAGGAAAACCAGCTAAGTACAAAACTTCACAGACTTCTGCTACCATGGTGGCAGAAAGGGAGAGAGGCAAACACCTTTGTGTTATTTTTTTTTTGTGTTCCAGAAAAAAAGAGATGTTATACGCCACTGCATATACCAGGACAGGCTCTGATTCAAAGCATAATGGAATCTATATTACAGCATGATTCTTTATGATGAGGGCTTTGCTGTATCATCAAATATATGTGAGGGGTAACTGAAACTTGGGATTTAGTGGAGGGTACATATATTACTAATAGGAAGGGCCACACGGATTCGTGGCTAACAGGACAGAACCCAGGGCTGTGTCTACAGATATATTCAGGATTCTGGTAAGCGACACACTTCTGAAGGACAGAAGAGGGATGGTTAGCAAAGGTCCAGCTGTCCTAAATGCTCCATTCTAGATGTACAACATGAGCAAAGGAAAAGGAATGGGGAGTGGAAGACGGTAAGCAGAATATCTTAGATGAGTAATGGGACAGAGGCACAACATCCAGTGTTAAAAACAGAAGAAACCAAACAGAGCAAACTTAAGACATTAAACCTGTACAAATGCATGGAGTCTATGTCTAGGACAACAGTAATGGCTTGTTTTGTTTTCCTCCATTTGTCTGTGATGATTCTTGTCAGATTTCATACTACACACACTATCTATGGTGTCTTAGATAAGGCTGTGATGACAGACTATTTTTCCTGATTACTTCTGGTACACTTTTAAGAGCTTAAGATAGCACCATGCATCTATCAGATGTGCTGTTTGGATCGTACTGTTTGAAAACAAAATTAAACGGCAGCTGAATAATGGGGTGGCTGCCAGAGACACCTTGGAAGGGAAATTGGACTTAGTACCCAGAGGAAAGGGGAGGCAGCAGATGTGTCTTAGTACCCAGAGCAAAGGGGAGGAGGCAGATGTGTCTCAGTACCCAGAGGAAAGGGGAGGAAGCAGATGTGTTTGTCCCCATCCCTGCCTTCCCGGCCCTTTCTGATTTGGGTGGGCTTCCCCAAATTCCATTAGACCCCATGCTGCCATGTTCAGGCCCCGCTTCTGGTTCAGGCTCTTCCTTAAGCAGATAACCATTGTGGCCAATTTTGTCATCAGGCATTTATTAAGTATCTATTGCAAGGCACTGTGTTAGCTTATCCTTTTCACTTATATCTCACCCTTCATATGCTGTAAAGTTCCCTCTTTAGCTTTTAAAAGGCAGCGATAAATGAGTTGTGCTTAACTCACCCTTTCTACCACTAATTGCTTTATATATCTTTACTAGAGGAGAGAGCCCCAAATTATACACAGTGCTCTGAGTGGGATTTTATCAGGCCTGTTGGTCAGCATTTACTTTAAGACACTGCAAGGTATAAAAATGCCCTCAGTGCCCATTATCACTTTCTCCATCGGTGGACTCTGTGGCTCTAATTGAAAAGGCAAAGGCAAAGGCTGGCCTACGCAAATGGAAATAAATGTGTCTCCGGTGCACAGAAGAGAAGTGAGTAACGTGAGATGACAGGGATGCTGACAGTTTAGTTGGAACTTTCATTTGGGCCTCAGAAAAACAGAGTAAATTAAAGAGTGACTTACTCGTTCTTGTCCAGCTGTATCCCAGATTAGGAATTTATGTAGCTCATTTTGGTACTGGACAGTCTTGGTCATAAAAGATGCCCTATAAAGAGAGACCTAAATGATCAGAATACAATTATGTAAAGCACGTTTCCAGCCCCAGTCGGAAACATCACTTAGACTCAACCAACGCTCAGTCTCCCAGCACCACGCTGTATCCTAATTGTGTTCCTCTCTGGAGTATTTATGGGATGCTCAGATGCTGAGTGCATATCCTCCGTCAAAATAAAGCATTAGGCACATCTGCCCGACACCAAGAAGGAAGGGTTCTAAGCTCCTTATCAAAAGAATCAAGAGATAGTTTGGCAACACAGACATTAGCCTCCCTTGTAAAACACAAAACCTGTTATTTAAAGAGATGTTATCATGGGAAAATATTCCTAAAAAACTATGTCCAGGAATGTATACACTAGTTAAAAAAAAAACTTTTTAGGATCTGGCTTTGTCCTCCCCCAATTCCCAAACCACATTCCCATGTAAATAGGTGAGTGAGAGCTAGTGTTAACATGCGAATTAATAACATTAAGGTGTTGAACAAGGAGCAGGAAGATGGCTGGAGAAGTAACAGCTGCACCAAGGGGACCCGATTCATCATCAGTGCCCCTGACGACCACCTGCATTTCATCGACAAAACGGGTTTCTCAGCTGAAGTTCAACATCACACCTTGGGGCCTCATCGAGCCCCGGATGGGAGAAGGAATCATGGTTTGCAGGTCACACCGCTCACTTTCAGGGAGCTACTCTGCCCAGGGCACTCTGACGGCAGGGTTCCTATTATTTTGGGGGTTCTACATTTGGAGAATCTTGAGTGAGACCTCAAAATCTGTGTATCCTCTGAAGAGCCATGGTGGCCCAGAAGACACGCCTGGACACTTGGGGGACTCCAGGACACAGGTTCAGGATTCTTGCCCTGGGATTGGGCCCAGCTCCAATACTACCTTCCATTCCCCCCTCACCCAGAGGGCAGCCTCCCAGGAAGTCCTTTGTCTCCCAGTCTTCTCAAAGCATCCCAGTCTGGCCAGTAGAGCCCAAAGATGGGTGTGTCTTCTTTTCTAATGAAAAATAAGACTTCTGGAACCAAGTACGAAGTTATACTTTTTTTTTTTTTTTTTGCCAAATTGTACTCTTGTTTTTTGGCCAAGTTGTACCCAAATCACTCCAATCAGGACATTGAACTCAATGGCTGGCATTTTCAGATATGCTGAGGCCTTGAAATATTTTTCTTGAGATTCAAGTGATAATCTTCAAGAAAAGTGCAAGTTGAATAGACAGGATGACTTTCTGATGAATCATGAGCTTAGACAAGTATCAGAATCCTTAGTTTTAAAACTTCAACTCTGATACAATGAATTCCTGGCAATATTTATATAAATTTATGCCATGGCAAGTAGCCTCCAAAACAGTGACTGTGACTAGGAAGCGAAGGTAAATTAGGAGGCAAGATCATATTTACTGATAGGTACTACTTATTGGATATTTATTTACTGAAAATTTACCCCTTGGTATCCTTAGTAAAGTGCTTTGTACACAGAAGGTACTCATAAATGGTTATTGTATCAAGAACTTTTGGTGACTCACTATGATTAAATCAGGATGTACAACATGGTTTCTCACTTAGGAAATATCTAAGCATTCAAAAAGCATTGTTTATTGTGAAGATTAAATGAGATGATGTATGTGGAAGTGCTCTGTAAATTGTAAAGCACTGTATCTATACAAGGTATTATTATTATTATTTAAAGGCAGCTCCAGGAAATGTTTTAGTTTAGACTTTGCAATTAGTCCTAAAAGCTTGCAACTCAACTCTCCATCAATTATGGTTGTGGTGTTACATTTATGAGTGACAACAGGCATCCAACAGGAGCCTACCAACAGAGCCAACACATCCAACACTTCCATTTTGGCTGCTCAAAGGAAGAAGAAATATATTTCAAGTAGACAAAAAGCTGAGAAAGGTATACACAATAATTATGACAGGATTGGGACTCAATGAAGTTTAACCTACCTGCCAAGCATTTACCTTTAATTAAAACATTACTTATTACTGACTTATTATTGAGTCAGATAAAAGACAAAATGGCAGCTATGATGTAATGAAAGTGCCCTGAAGGATTAAATCTAACTCCCTGTCTGACCCTGGACCACCCTTCTACTCTCCCCTTTCATCACTTTCACCACGCCTCCTTCCTGTCTACCCTGAAGTTTTCTTGTACCTCAAGCTCCCTTCTTGGGTCTAAGTCTCTGCTGTTGGCTTCCAGTCCATTGATCACCAGCATCACTTGCCCACACCACCAGTTCTCTAGCCTCCTTGCCTGTCTTGTCTCAACCACCCAGAAAAGCCCCAACAGCCTCTCCACCTGCTTCCTCTACCCAATGGTTGGGTGGTGGCTTCGCTGGAGGAAAAATTACAAAACTATGTGGACGGCCATGAAGATTCTACGCTTTGTCTGCTGGGCATGCGTCTTAGGCCTTCTTCCATTCCACAGCAATTATCCCACATTCTCTCTCCTCCTTTCCAGTTCTCTACCACTTCCAGCTACCTGTCTCTTCAGGACAACAGCTTGTTTCAGCCTTCTCAGAGAAAACAGGTTATAAGCCCCAAGACTTTCAACCAGCTCCCCAGTCAACACTTTCAACTAGAGAACAGACGAATTTCCACTCATACTTGCTGTGACTTCCATTTTTCTGACTTTTGCTGAGTCAGAGATGTCTTTTCTTTGGCTCATGTGTCAATGCTGCCCTGGTTCATGACCCCAGCACATCCTGCCTTGGCCACTGCAGTCATCAAACTGGTCTCAAGTCTCAAATCTTTTCAATTGTCCCTGTGTCCACCTTCCCACGGACCACTGACTGCTCCTCTTCCTTGGATGCTTTCCCACTGGCTCTCCCCTGGCCAGATGCTCCCCATCGTTTGGGTCTCAGCTTAAATGTTAATGACCATAGACACCTGTGCCATCTACCCCACCAGGCAGCCTCCCACCCAACTCACCACTGCACTTTGTCTTTAGAGCAGCTTTCACAACATCTGAGTAGTTCATTTATGTTTTTTTCTTTTTAAAGTTTGCCTGTTCAATGTCTGACTTACCCATGAGAATTTTAAGTTCTTTGAGTGTAGGGGCCTCGCTGTAACTCTTCCTCTGTAATAGGGGTATCTTCCTCATCTCTCCATCTCCTTGCTATCCTAGAACTCCAACAAAACATTTATCATGTAGCCTACAAGCTAAGTGGCTGTCTGTTATGCCAACAGATCTAGGGTGTCTTGGCCAAGCACTTCCTGAAGCATGAAGTGAGAAGTACTATTGAAATGCAGGTAAAACGTTGAGATTAGAGCAGACCTGGGCTCTGCAACCTTAGCAAGGTGTGTGGCCTTTAGGGTATGTGGGAAGTGGCTCAACTAGTGCAAGGCTGAGTACGCCCAAGCAGTGTCCTTCCTGCCTTCTGCCAAGCCACCAGCTCCAACTCCTTCTAGCCCACAGGCAACCAGCAAAATCCAGGAGTTACAGCAAAGTCACTGTGTCCCTCTCTCACTCAAAGCTCTGGAATTCTGCTAAGAAGTCATATCGCTTTTTGGAAGGAGGGGGTGTCTCTTTCCTGCTCATTCACGTTTGAATCAGGAGTTTTTTCCCAACCCCACGTCACAGCTCAAGTGGCCAACCTTTCTCCCCTCAACCCCACAATGCATTTCTGTTGATTTCTGAGAGGTTAAAATCTTGGCCTATCACATCTGTAAGAACCACTTCCTCCTCAGCATTAGGATTGGATTCTTTTCCGTAGTGGTAACACCTGGATTCAGGGTGAGACATGGGAGGGGGAGGTTGCCTGTGGCGCCTCCCGAGCTCTGGGCTAGCCCCAGGCAGAAGTCCTGCAGGAGCAGGACTCAACAATGGATTCCTTCCTACGGTCAGGTCTTCACCTGTTGAGAACAGCACTTTTCCAAATCTGCTTGATTTTAGTTTAACTACACAATTTAGATACTTCATCACCCTTCCTGCCCAACATGGTGAAAATAGGGCGTTATTTCCACTCTACCCCCACAAATCACCCCAAATTCCAAGATCTCAATCACAGAACGTTATGTCTGCCTTCCACAGAACAGAAACGAAGTCTGCAACTATCCTTTGTCCTTTGTTACTTGCATCCAATTTTGAAGTAGAGCTGTCTGGTTCTTCATTTTATATTTAATCTACACTTGAACCTCAATCCCTGAAATAAATTCATAAATTGGACCCTAATCTTCCAGTGGGACTACTACAATTTTTCCCTCCCGTTGTCACTAGAACTCTAGGATCACTAGGATCACTCCTTTAACGATCAAGTTAAATGATGCAGAGGGTATGATAACTTTAATATCTTGCTTTTTGAAAAACTGGCAATGGCTCCCTGCCATTCAAATGATACATTTTTATTTTCCAGCCTGCCATTTACTTGTCTGATAACCTTATTTTTCACTACTAAACCATCTCTCTTCACTCTGCTTAGGCAGATCTTATTATGTCTTTAATCTAAAATCCATACTAGCATTATTTCCTAAAGCTAGAATGCTTTTCATATACTTCTCCATTTATCATGGCATTCTAAAAATATGACTTTCTTCATGCACACCAAGTAGTCATGAACTTTGGTCAGAGTACGTGCTCTCAATGAAAAAACTTGTTGCAAGGTATTTTAAACATTTCTTTTCTTTAACTGCAGTAGACTTGTTTAGCTCTCCTGGAACATAGGTGTGCTCTGACATTACATTCCAGCACCTCTCTTTACTGCAAACCCTGTTCTTTGCATGGCATATGGGATGGTGTCATCCCCATAATGGCATATAGTGCCTCCCGAGGATGAACAATCCAGCACATTTTACAATTAACAAAGGATTCTCACTTCTCAAAACTAGAAATCTCATGCAAACAACCCTTGGATCTCTGGATTATGTACACTGATGGAAACACCACTGAATACCAAGATTGAGACATAAAAAGACCAAAGGCACATGACATCTAGAAGTTCCTCTAACAGAGGTATCAAGGGACCTTCACAAAGTTGTCTCTGTTAGAATGGTGCAAAGAACTTGATGGGTTCTCAGTGAGGGTTAGCTGAATTTAAGCGCACATTTGGCTTATGTTAGAGTGGCTTCAAGAAGCCGGAAGTCTCAAGTGTATCCATAAATTCAGTGAAGTATTGTGTGCATTCCATAGTCACACACACCTTTAACCTTTTCTTGAATCTCCACCATCTCTTAGGCTAATGAGATCTAAGGATTAACTCTGCATAGTAATCTCTCCCAAGCAGTCGATACCCACTTAAAGCAGAGTGGTGCACAACGGACTGTTCCACAGGTTCATGGTCATCCTAAGCAAATCCTTTATCACCTTCTACATGTTCATCATACAGCCTAAAAACTTTTTGGAAAATATTTAAAATCAAGGAAAAGATTTCTTTAAACAGGCTGGGCACGGTGGCTCAAGCCTGTAATCCCAGCACTTTGAGAGGCTGAGGCGGGCTGATACTTGAGGTCAGGAGTTCAAGACCAGTTTGACCAACATGGTGAAACCTCGTCTCTACTAAAAATACAAAAATTAGCCGGGTGTGATGGCGGGTCCCTGTAATCCTAGCTACTCAGGAGGCTGAGGCAGGAGAATTACTTGAACCCAGGAGATGGAGGATGCAGTGAGCTGAGATTGCGCCATAGCACTCCAGTCTGGGCGACAAGAGCGAGATCCGTCTCAAAAAAAAATAAAAAAAAATAAACAAACATAACTAAATAGCAAAAAGCTTATCCTTTCCTAAACTTGTCAATAATAATTTACATAACATATACCATTTCACATCAAAAACAAAATCAACAATGACAAAACTGTCTTGACTTTATTGTTAGACACTCTTCTAATGATTTCACATGTGACCCAACTGAATCCCTCTACTGTGGGCTCCAGGCTGGGTTTTATTCTTCATCACCATTTTGCAGATGGGACACAGAATAGACAGGGCTGGTGAGAGGTGCAGTTAGGATCCACAGCCAGGCAGTCGAACCTCAAGTCTGTGCTCTGAACTACAGTGCTATTTGTACTGGGCAATCTGTTCACTCCTTCAAACACCTGGACTTCTACCACATGGCAGGAACACCAGGCAGGCAAGGTGAGAAAGAGCCCATCACAGCCCTCAAGTGGCTTACACTGGGGGTACTGGTCAGGTGAATAGATAATTACCAGGTAATTATCCTATGAGGTAAGTGAAGAATGGACAGACTGTGAGCAGGAGAATGGTGATGGCATCCTAGGATCTGCACCTTAACCTCAGAACCTGTGAACAGATTCCCTTAAATGGCAAATGAGACCTGCCCGATGTGATTAAATTGAGGATCTTGTGATGGAGAGAGGACCCTGTATTACTCAGGTGGGACCAAGAGGAGTGAGAGCCAGAAGAGAAGGTGATCTGAACATGGAAATGGAGAAGAGAATGACGGGCCTTGAAGATGAAAGAAGGGGCCACAAGCCAAGGCAGTTGCTAAAAGCTGAAAAAGGTATGGAAATGAATTCTCCCCTCAGAACTTCCAGAAGGACCAGCTCTGTCAATACTTTGACTTTAATCTTGTGAACTGACTTTGGACTTCTCACCTCCAGAACTATAAAAGAGTAAGTGTGTGTTTTTTAAAGCTGCTCAGTTTGCTGTGATGTGTTAAAGCAGCAAGAGGAAACAAATGCATCAGGAAAGCCTTCAGAGAAGAGGTGAAGTATGGGGCTGAGCCAGAAAGTTGAGGGAGAAGATGGGCGAGGACCCCCAGGGGGGTCCCATTCCATGAAGAGCAACGGCAAGAATCAAAGTAGAGAATCATGAATGTCAAGCAGCAGCCTGGCTGCTCTGCAGGGTTAGACTTGGAGGGTGGGGTGGGCAGAGTGCAGTTAGGTGACCACATAGAAGGCTCCAGGCAGGTGAAGGCTGGTAACAAGTGCCTCCTTGGTGTGAGGCCCTGTTCCTTGTAAGCCAGAATCTCCTGGAGGCCAGAGCTCCGCCACCCCATTTATGCTGCTCCATTTGTATTACTAGTGAATATTTCAGAGATATTCTAAAAATATTTTAAAAAAGGTACATTTCTATGTACCATTTGCATTATGTTGCTTCGTTTGAATTACTACTGAATATTTCAAAAAATCACTCTCTTTTTTTAAACTGAGCCTTGCCTAAGCAACAATATTGGTAAAATTTAAAACCTACCAGTTTCATGAACTAGTTTTATTTTTCCCAAGAGACAATAAAATACTTTTTATCCCCCCAGATTCCAGGCAGTATCCTTAAAGTCTCTACTTTTAAGGATCCTCCAGGACAGAAGTAGAGACAGATGATGTAGGCAAAAATTGGGGAACAGTAAGCCCTGTGAGGGCACAGACAAGACGAAGGGAAGTGGGTCAAAAAGAACAGCAAGGCTGACATTTTGGGCTGGATAATTGAAAAAAAACCAGCGGCCGGGCGCCGTGGCTCATACCCGTAATCCCAGCACTTTGGAAGGCCAAGGCGAGTGGATCACTTGAGGTCAGGAGTACGAGACCAGCCTGGCCAACATGGTGAAACCCCATCTCTACTAAAAATACAAAAAAATTAGCTGGGCGTCGTGGTGGGCGCCTATAATTCCAGCTACTCAGGAGGCTGAGGCAGGAGAATCGCTTGAACCCAGGAGGTGGAGGTTGCAGTGAGCTGAGATCGTGCCACTGCACTCCACCCTGGGCGACAGAGCGAGAGACTGTCTCAAAAACAAACAAACAAACAAACAAAGAAAACAAACAGCAAGGAGGGGAAGCAAGCTAAGCGGCCCATGGAAATGATCCTGGACAAAGATAGGATGGGCAGGAAGGGACAAAAGGGACAACTTAAGACTAACATACAAAATCCACAAGGTATCAACTGCGGTGAGGGAAAGGGAGAGTTCTCAGCAAGTCTATGTAGCAGGCTTCTGTCAGTTCAGCCAACTCTGTGTGTGATGAACTATTTCAGTTATTTCCAAACTGTAACTGTATTCTTTAATTTTTAAAATAGGTAATACAGTCATATGTTTCAATATTCAAAACGTACAAAACAAGGATAGACCCAAACATCTCCCACCTTCCTTTTCCAGCCATTGAATTCCTCTCCCTGGAAGTTTGATCTTAGCAGTTTCTTAGACCTCCTTTCAGAAATACATTAGGTTTAGATAAAGCACATGCATATACAGTTTCCCCATATGCTCTTTTATTTTTAAACACAGATGGCAATACATACTACATACCTTTGATTTTTTTTTCTCTATCCTATACCTAGGAGATCATCCAACCTAAGTATATCAAGTTTTCTGAAGATGGCTTTTTTCCTGTATTATATTGAGTACCTGCACCATGATGGATATAATCAGACCCCCACTCATCAACAATGCTGCAAGTGCCAACCTTGGAGAATTTTTAATTGGTTTAGAAATGATGTGAGTTTATCTGTACGACAAAGACCTAGAAGCAGAACTGCTGAGGCAAAGGGAATGAGGTGACGGCATAACAGCATACTAAGAGTGTCCCCATTCCACACAAGCCGTTTCTGACTTCCACTTCAGAGATGAGGGTTAACTGTCCTTGGATTTCAAATAAATGGAATCATAAAATAGGTACTCTATTGTGTCTAGCTTCTTTCATTTAACAATGGTTTTGAAATTCATCTACAGTGTTTTTTTATTGCCAGATGGTATTCAATTGCGTGACTATATCGCACTTTGCCCATTCTTATGTTGAGAGATTTAAGTTGTTTCAAGTTTTTGGCTATAATGAACAAGCCTGCTATAAACATTTTTGTACAAGTGTTTTTATAAACATAAAAAGAGTCTTCCAAAGTAGTTAAACCATTTATACTTTTATTAGAAATTTATGGAGTTCTAGTTATTCCATATTCTTGCCAACATTTGGTTACTCTTTTAATTTTAGCTATTCCCTAAGAACAGGGCATGGATGTCTACTCATACATTTTGATTCAACACTGGACTACAGGGTCTAGCCAATACAATAAGGCCAAAAAAAAAAAAAAAAGTACAAAGTTGGTAAACATAGTAAAATTGTCAGACATTATATTCACAGACATTGTGATATATTTTATATCACGGAGTCCATCAAAAATATTCTTGTGTAACTACTGCTCAGAATAAGACGCATGACATCTCCAATGACCAGAAGGTTTCCTCATGCCCATTTCCAGTTAACTACTGTCCCTATCCCAGGCAAAACATGAAGTCTGTAATTTAAAAAAAAGAAAAAAAAAAGCTCAAAATAAGAAAACTTACAGTCAATATAATTATTTATATGGCAGGTTTAATGTTTCCCATTTTGGTATTTGTTTCTCTGCTCTTCTTTTTCTATCTTCTTTGGATAGATCAAATATGGACGGCAGTATTCAGCTTCTTAAAAAAAAGAATTTTTTTTTTTTTTGAGATGGACTTTCGCTCTTGTCGCCCAGGCTGCAGTACAGTGGTGCCACCTCTGCTTACTGCAATCTCCACCTCCCAGGTTCGAGCGATTCTCATGCCTCAGCCTCCCAAGTAGTTGGGATTACAGGCACCCGCCACCACACCCAGCTAATGTTTTTTTGTGTTTTTAGTAGAGACGCGGTTTCACCATGTTGGCCAGGGTGGTCTCAAACTCCTGACCTCAGGTGATCCACCTGCCTCGGCCTCCCAAAGTGCTGCGATTACAGGTGTGAGCCACTGAGCCTGGCCAAAAAAAAATTTTTTTTTAAAGAAGTGTAATGGCACAATAATGGTTCACAGTAGCCTTGAACTCCTGGGCTCAAGCAATCCTCCCACCTCAGTCTCCCAAGTAGCTAGGACTAAAGGTGTGGCTCATAAAATCCAGCTAATTTTTTCATTCTCTTGTAGAGACAGGGTCTCGCTATGCCACCCAAGCTGGTCTTGAACGTCTGGCCTCCAGCATTCATCCCTTAACTTGGCCTCCCAAAGCACTGGGATTATAAGTGTGAGCCATGGCACTGGGCCCTCGATTTTATGTCTTGTGTTGGATTTTCAGCTATACCTCTCTGTGTGTCTCTATTTTTTCAATAGTTTCTCTAGAGATTACAGTATGCATCTTTAAATTTCAATCTACTTCCAAATATTATACTATTTCATGAACAATGTAAGACTCTGCCAGCTGAATTCCACATATTCATATATTTCCCTCCCATCCATTGTGCTCCTGTTGCCTGTTACTTAACTTCTTCATATGTTACAAACAAACAATATAATTGTTACATATATATTTAAAGCCAATAGTGTTTTTAGCTGGATGAAATAGGCTCCTGTTAATATTTCTTGATATGGGCCTACTGTAGACAAACTCAGCTTTTGTCTGAAAATGTCTCCATTCACCTTTATTTTTGAAGAAAGTTTTTGCTGGATACAGATTAGTTGGCAGGTTTAATTAATTAATTATTGCTGGATACAGAATTAGCTGGCGGGATTTATTTATTTATTTATTTATTTATTTATTTATGATGGAGTCTCACTCTGTCGCCCAGGCTGGAGTGCAATGGCATGATCTTGCTCACTGCAACCTCCGCCTCCTGGGTTCAAGTGGTTCTCCTGCCTCAGCCTCCCAAGTAGCTGGCATTACACGTACCCGCCACCACACCCTGCTAATTTTTGTATTTTTAGTAGAGACAGGGTTTTACCATATTGGCCAGGCTGGGTCTTGAACTCCTGACCTCAGGTGATCCACTTGCCTTGGCCTCCAGAAGTACTGGGATCACAGGTGTGAGCCACCACACCCCGCCTATATATATATATTTTTAAACTATGTTAAAGATGCTGTATCATTATACTCTGACCTCCACTGTTTGTGCTGAAAAGTCAGAGATAATTATTATCACTGTCCTCCTGTATATAACATGTTTTTTATCCCTCTTCTGATTGCTTTTAAGATCTGCTCTTTATTTCCGGTTATCAGCAGTTTGACTATGATATACCTAGACTGTGGAGTTGTGGTTTGTTTTGTATTTATCCTGACGAGTTTGCAGAAATTATCAGATTTATACATTGATCACTTCCATCAATTGTGGAAAGCTCCTACCTTTTATCTCTTGAATTATTCTTTTCCTTTGTCCTTCTCCTTTCTTTCAGGGAAGCCAATTGTGAAACTGACAGCACCTTACAGATTTTGGATGTCTTTTAAAAATATCTTTCTCTTCTCTTTGCATTTCAGTTTGGATACTTTCTACTTATCTGACTTTATATGGACATTTTATAAGATGACTGGACACAGCAGAGGAGAGGGTCAGTGAATCAGATCAAGATTTTTAAGAGATTCCTTTGCTTTGCAGCTCCACCCATGGATTCTTGCACCTTGGCTGCTGTCACCCTATGCCCAGCAAAAGTAGAAATTCCTGTGAAGAGTTTGCTCTGAGCTCACCTGCCCCACTTCAAGTCTCCACAGTTAAGAGCCCAACTGTTCCCATCTATGGCAAAGTTTCCCTGTCCCTCTGTTTCAATAGAGGATGAGAGCAGCTACGGCTCTCTTCTGAATGGTCTATCACTTATTGAAGTTTAGTTTATTTAGGTTTCTTTGTGTGCTCAGCTGCCTAATGGGCTTTTAAAAACTTATCTTGCTTGTTTTGGCTGTTTGGGTGAGAATGATGGTCTCTTGTGACTTTTTATGAGTTGGAAAGCATAGTGGATTGTTTAAAGGACTGAGTTATTACATTTAAAGGATATAATATGCCCATCGTTATCATTACTACTTACATTTGATAATTTTTGCTAAGTTGTTGTTTACAGTGGTTGTACGAAGGACTTGTTAAATGCTCCCTTATGGCAAGGCAGAACAAGGTACTTGGGGATGACCGAGGAGAAAGAGGAGTTCAGTGGTAGATATGTGGAGTCCCAGGTGTCTCTGTTTAAATACCCGTCACCTGGAGTCACTAGAGAAAGGTGGCCATCAAAGTGCTGAGTGTGAATGAAATCACCTAGGAAGAGACACAGACTATGCAAGAAATTCTGTTGTGACATTTTAGGGGTGGACATTGAAGCCAAGAAACACAAGAAGGAGGAAGCCCCAAGAGGTAGAAAGGAGAACCAGAACCGTATCCCAGGAAACCAAAGGATTAAAAAAAAAAGTCAAGATAATGCCAAATACTTCTAGAGGGCAAATACAATAAAAAGCGAATTATATTTGTGGTTTATATTTAGTCAAACTCTACAACAATGGTGTTTCAATGGAATAATGGGGGTAAAAGCTGATAAGAGAACGGTCAATAAGAGATTGGTTAAATAGACAATAAATGTATATAATTATGAAAATCTTCAATAATAATTTTTTACTGAGCGTCTATTGTGGGCTGAGGATACAGCTGTCTGTGGTCATTTCAGATACGGTTCCTCTTCTCATACAGCTTATAATCAAGTGGCAGGAACTGACAATAAATAAACAAATAGATGATTATAGATTTTAATATTTACTACGAAGATTAAAAAAAACACTGTGTGGTGATAGTGACTGGAGTGGCAATTTGAGATAGGATGATAGCAAAAACTTGGAGGAATCCTAAAAGGGAAGAAGATCCAACCATTCCAATATTTAGAGGGGGGAGAACATTTCAAAAAGAGGAAACAGTAAATACAGAGACCTTGAGTTGGGTCTCTGTATTTCTTTTCAAATGTTTGAAAAGAAGGGCCATGTGGCTGAAATGCAGTAAGAGAGGAAGAAAGTGATAAAAAATCAAGGTGAGGACAAACCACCAGCGTTGGCTAGAAGTGACAGAGGATGAGGTTCAGGGCTGCCAGTGTGGCTGGAAATAGAGAGGGGATGTTCTAGAAAAGAAGGAGCTGCAAATCCATACACAGACTCCTCTCAGAGCCACAGCTGATTCCTATAATTGCACATGCAACTGGGGAGATGCCAAGGAGTCCAATGGACAGCAACAGCTGGAAGGCCAAAAAAAGAGCTGAGCAGAGATTTCAGTTGTTTCCAACTGTAGGGGAGAAAAGTTGGGAGTTTAAATCCTGCCAATCCAGAGGCTCACTGGACACCTTCAATGATAATGAGGTAGGCCATATCTCAGAAGCAAAGATAGTGTCCCAAGAATAAGGATTTGTCATAAGGCGACATCCCAACACAACCGTCTGAACAAAGTGTTAAGATGAAGCTTCCACAAGTTCAAGATGATTAGCCCATAATTTAACATTCTGTTAAAACAAAACAGCACTCTTCAGTGGAAGATACGAAAATCTAAAATCTTTGCAGCGTATCTTCTGCAGTGTCCAGTACAATATAAAAAACTACTAGATAATCCAAGAAAATGTGACCCAAGGTCAAGAGAAAAAAAAAAGTAGATGTAACAGATCCTGAGATGATCCAGACGCTGGAATGAGCAGATACAGATGTTAAAAACAGCTACTATAAATATAATCTAGACTTAAAGAAAGTCATATTGAGTGAGCAGATGGGGGAACTATGCATGTAAAATATATAAAAGAACCAAATGAAAATTCTAGAATTAAGGACAGTATCTAAATACTGGGGGAAAAATATTAGACACACTGAACAGAATAGTCATCCTTCAGTATCCGCAGGGGACTGGTTTCAGGACCCCCCACGAATAAAAATTTGCAAATACTCACAACTGTTGTATAAAATGATATAGCATTTGCATATAACCTACATGTATCCTCTCATATACTTTAAGTCATCTCTAGATTACTTACAATACCTAATACACTGTAAAAGCTAAGTAAATAGTTGCTTTATCATTTAGGGAATAATGACAAGAAAAAAAAGTCTGTATATATGTTTAGTACATGTTTAGTACATATACAGACTCTTCCCCCCCAGATACTTTCAATCTGTGGTTGGTGGAACCCCTGGATGTGAAACCCATGACTAAAGAGGGCCAACAGATTTGGAGACACTGTAGAGGAATCAACTAAGATAAAGACAGATCAAGAGAAATTATGTGATTGTTAAGAATAGAGAGAAAAAGATGGGGGTAGGGAAAAGGACACAAACTCAGAGCCTCCATGGCCTGTGGTATAATATCTAGCAGTTTAACATACATACAATTGGAATCCCATAAGAGGACCAAGAGAATGGTGCAAAACAGATACTTAAAACAATTTGGATGCAAATGTCCCAAATTTTGTAAAACTAATCAAATTTCAGATCTAAGAAACGCAGTGAACCCAGAGTATATTACACATTTAGCATATTAAAGTAAATTACTGAAAACAAAAGATAAAGAATAGGTCTTAAGAGCAGCCAGAGAATGAAAAGGCATTACATATAGGGTAACAATATGAAGGAGGATGACGCCACTCAACAAAAACAACGAAGGCCAGGATAAAACAGAATGACACAGTAAAGTGCTGAAAGAAAAAACATCTGAAATCTACATCTAGCAAAAACATACCTCAAAAGTGAGTATGCAGCCAGGTGCCGTGGCTCATGCCTGTAATCCCAGCACTTTGGGATGCTGAGGCAGGCAGATCACGAGGTCAGGAGATCGAGACCATCCTGGCTAACATGGTGAAACCCCGTCTCTACTGAAAATACAAAAAATTAGCTGGGCATGGTGGCAGGCGCCTGTAATCCCAGCTACTCAGGAGGCTGAGGCAGGAGAACAGTGTGAACCCAGGACGGGGAGCTTGCAGTGAGCCGAGATAGCGCCACTGCACTCCAGCCTGGGTGACAGAATGAGGCTCTGCCTCAAAAAAAAAAAAAAAGGGAATATGCAATGCAGACATTACCCTAGGTAAACAAATACCGAGGCGATCTTGTCACCAGCCCTGAATACATGAAATGCTCAAAGAAATTCTTTAGACCATCGGTAAATGTCATCAGATGAAAACTCAATTCTACAGGAAGGAATGAAGAGCAATGGTAATGCTAATATGTGTGTAAAATAAAACTACTTTTGCTCTTCCTCCTTTCTTCCTGTTCTTTTTTTTGAACAATTATTTAGCCCAAGAGTTGCTAGTAGGTAGGCCAAGCAGGTAGGTATTCTTGAGTATGGAAGGTGGAAGGGAGCCATGGTGCCCAGAGCAGTGTATCAAAGCCTGACTAAAGTAAGGACTACCTAAGTAGGGAGGAAAAGAGAGCTAGGGCTGGTTTGGGAAATCCTAGATCCTGTGAAGAGGGCATCCACAACACAATGTTATCATCTTTTTTTAAACCTCAAATAGCCAGTTGTCTTTAAATGACATTGTGGGGGGCGGCGGGAAATACAGTAAAATAGCCATCATTTTAAAAATTTGAAATAATCTCCAACTTCAGAAAAGTTGCAAGTACAATATAAAGAATGTAGCTGGACACTGGTTCACACCTGTAATTCAATCTGAGAGGCCAAGACAGGAGGATTGCTTGAGTCCAGGAGTTTGAGACCAGCCTGGGCAACATAGCCAGACCCTGTCTCTACAAAAAATAAAAAAAATTTAGCCATGTGTGTTGGTGTGCACCTGTAGTCTTAGCTACTTGGGAGGCTGAGGTGGGAGGATCGCTTGAGCCTGGGGGGTTGTGACTGCAGTGAGCTGTGATCACACCACTGCACTCCAGCCTGGGCAACAAAGTGAGACCTTGTCTCAAAAAATATATATAACATTTTTTTCGCAAATAGTTGAGAAAAGTTGCAGGTATAGGATTTACCCATTTGATAGTGAGTTGCCTATTGCCTTTGAATGTTAGTGTAGATTAATTACAATCAAGATTATTTTCTTATGTAAAGCAGAGTAAGATAATCAAAACTGTGAACTTAACATTGACATATTACTACCATCTATTCCTCAGAACCCATTTGCGTTCTGCCAATTGTCCTGATAATATCCCTTTGGCAAAACATCTAGTTCAAAAGCACATGTTGCGTTTAATTGTTATGACTCTTTATAGTTTCCTTCTATCTGGATCAGTTTCTCAGTCTCTCTTTGACTTTTTAGACCTTGAGACTTTTGGAGATTGTAAGCCAGTTGTTTTGTCAAACGTTTATCAATGTGAGTTTGTCTGATGTTTACTCATGATTAGATACAGATAATGCTATAAAATAAGTTAAACTTTTGAAATTCAATTAATGTAATTCACTCTTTTTTTTGGATACTCTTACTTTCAAGCATGGAGGTTATTCCCTACTCCCTTGAGTTTGGGATTGGTTTAGTAACTCCCTTCTGAACAGAAGCCATGGTAGATGACTCCCAAAAGTAGGTCACGAAAGGCACTGCAAATTCTTCCTTGCTCTTTCTCTTGAATCATTTGCTCTGTGGAAAGTTAGCTACTTTGTTATGAGGACACTCAAGCAGCCCTATGGAGAGGCTCAAAGGGCAAAGAACTGTGGAACTGAGGCCTCCAGCCAACAGCCATGTGAGTGAGCCTTGCTGGAAGAGGATCCTTCAGATAACTGCAGCCCTGCCTGACATCTTGATTGCAACACCATCAGAGTGGGACAGAACCATATGAGCTAGGCCACTTGGATTCCTGATACACAGAAAATGTGAGATAACAAATGTTTGTTGTTTCAGGCAGGTAAATACTGGGACGATTTGTTACTTAGCAATATTTAATACTGTAACCCACCATATTAACATAAGAGAAAAACAAAATAATCTAAATAGATGCAAAAAATATCAAGACAAAATTCAAGACCTATTCAATTTTTTTGTTTTTTTGGAGACAGGGTCTCACTATATTGCCCACACTGGTCTCAAGCGTTCCTCCCACATTGGCCTTCCAGAGTGTTAGGATTACAGGTATAAGCGACTGTGCCCGGCCACAAGACCCATTCTTGATAAAAACTCTCAGCAAACCAGAAACACAAGAAAACTTCCTCATCCTAAAAATTGGCAACCTATAACTAACATCAAACTTACTGGTACAATACTGAATGTTTTCCCCCTAACATTGGGAAAAGGTAAGGATGTTGGCTCTCACCACTTATTCAGTATGGTAACAGAGGTCCTAGCCTGTGCAACAAGGCATGGAAAAAACTAGAAGGAAAGGAAGAAGTCAGCCTTTATTTTCATACAACATGATTGTGTATGTAAATAATACTAAGGAGTCTACAAGACTCCATATTAAGTTATAGAAGCATCTACCCTACCAACTATCAATTCTACTCTAGTTCCCAAAGGAAATGAAAACCTATGTCCACAAAAAAACCTTAAAAGAATGTTCATAGCATGTATATTCATAATAGTCAAAAACTGGAACTTGGATGTCCTCAACTAGGGGGAGGAATAGACAAATTATGGTCTATCCATATAAGAGAATATCACTCCTCAGTTTAATAAAAAACAAAACAAAACAAACAAACAAAAAACTCTGGGACATGCAACAAGGTTAAATCCGCAAAACATTATTTCATGAAAAAGAAATCAAGACACCAAAGATTATATACTGTGTTATTGCATTTATGTAAAATTCAAGAATAGGGAAATTTATCTATATTGATTAAAATCAACTCCCCATAAGCAATGGTGGTGCTTATGGAGAGTATGATTCACAGAGGGAACTTTCTGAGGTGATGCAAATTTCTGCATTTTGATTAAGGTGGATGGTACTTATATGGAATCTACGTTATCAAAATCAAATCATAAGCTGCTTACAAGAGACCTACCTTAAATATAAACATACAGAAAGTTAAAAAAAAACAAAACAGGAAAAAGATCCACCATGCAAACGCTGACAAGGCAAAACACATTCCTAGAACTAAAGAATATATTTCACAATGTTACAAGGTTTGCTTTATCAGTAAGATATTAAATTCTAAATCTGTATGTATGGAATGTAGGTGCAAAATAAAGCAAAAGTGATAGAATGAAAAGGAGAAATAAATTTACAACCATAGTGACAGATTTAACTCATTCCTCTTAGTAACTTATAAAGGCAGGTAGGCCAAAAACCCAGCAAAGACAACAGAAAAAATGAACATGATTAGTAAACTCGACCTAATTCCATTCAGAGAACACAGCACTAACAGCTGTAGAGAATACAACCTTTTCAAATAAACATGGAACATTTACCAGGATGGACTATACGCTGATCCACATAGCAAACAGTACCAGACTTCCAAGGATTTATATCATACAAAATATGTTCTCTCACCTCAAAACAATTATGTCAATAATCATTAACAAAAAGTTAACTAGAAGATATCCCTGTTTGGAAACCGAGAGACATACATAGAAAAGGCATTTAGATCAAAGATAAAATCAAAATAGAAACTGGAAAATATTCTGAACTGAATGATGATGAAATGATCTATAAAAAAAACTTGTTGGATCCAGCAAAAGCCACAGTCAAGTTTTTTGTTTTTTTTTTGAGACGGAGTCTCACTCTCTCACCCAGGCTGCAGTGCAGTGGCGCCATCTTGGCTCACTGCAACCTCCGCCTCCCAGATTCAAGTGATTCTCCTGCCTCAGCCTCCCCAGTAGCTGGGATTACAGGCATGTACCACCACACCCAGCTAATTTTTGTATTTTTGGTAGAGACGGGGTTTCACCATGTTGGCCAGGATGGCCTTGATCTCCTGACCTTGTGATCCGCCCACCTGGGCCTTCCAAAGTGCTGGGATTACAGGTGTGAGCCACTGCGCCTAGCCTAAAGTTTTTTTTTTTTTTTTGAGATGGAGTCTCGCTCTGTCACCAGGCTGGAGTGCAGTGGTGTAATCTCGGCTCACTGCAACCTCCGACTCCCAGGTTTAAGCGATTCTCCTGCCTCAGCCTCCTGAGTAGCTGGGACTACAGGCGCACGCACCACCACACCCAGCTAATTTTTGTATTTTTAGTAGAGACGGGGTTTCACCATGTTGGCCAGGATGGTCTTGATCTCCTGACCCTCGTGATCTGCCCGCCTTGGCCTCCCAAAGTGCTGGGATTACAGGTGTGAGCCACCGGGCCTGGCGTACAGTTTTTTTTTTTTTTTTTTTTTTTGAGACGGAGTCTCGCTCTGTCACCAGGCTGGAGAGCAGTGGTGCGATCTCGGCTCACTGCAACCTCCGACTCCCCGGTTCAAGCGATTCTCCTGCCTCAGCCTCCTGAGTAGCTGGGACTACAGGCATGTGCCCCCATGCCCAGCTAATTTTTGTATTTTTAGTAGACACGGGGTTTCACAATGTTGGCCAGGATGGTCTTGATCTCTTGACCTCATGATCTGCCCGCCTCGGCCTCCCAAAGTGCTGGGATTACAGGCGTGAGCCACTGTGCCTGGCCTAAAGTTTTAAGATACAAGGAATACAACCGAGGAGGACTGAAAATCAGTGACAACTGTCTATCTCAAGAAGTTAGAAAAGGAACAGCATATTGAATAAGGACAAAAATAATAAAGATGGGAGTAGAAATTAGTGAAACAGGGAAGAGACATATCATAGAGTTGATCAAAGGCAAAACTAATATCAGAAATGAAAACGGGGTCTCCGTATAGAATCTTAACATCTTTATGTCAATAAATTGGAAAACGTATATGAAAGAGTCAAAATCCTTAAAAAAAAAAACCCCAATGTATTAAAACCAATACAAGAGAAATAGAAAATCTGAGTATCAACAACCTTACAACTGTGAAAGAAACTGACTCTCTAATCAGACTATCATACAAGAAGAACTTGAAGCCCAGATGGCAACACTGATGAATTTTACTCATCACTTAAGGAAGGAATAAGAGCAATTTTATACAGTCTCTTCCACAGAAGTTTCTCAACCAGTTTTATCAGGCAAGCACAGCACTGATGCCAAATCTGACATGCACATTATAAAAAAGTATTTATATGATAGTCTCCATTTATAAACATACATAAAAATTCTAAAAAATAATAACTAATTAAAGCCAGTGATATGTATTTAATAAAAATAACATGTCCTGACCTAAGTGTATTTATTCCATGAAAATTTAATGATATAATTTACCACATTAACATAAAAGAGTATAATTATGTGATTAGCCAAATACATGTAGAAAAATATTTTGATAAAGTCAACATTATGTTAAAAAAAAAATCAAAGATCCCAGCAAACAAAATAAAGGTGCTTCTGCTGGGCATGGTGGTGTCAATCTACAGTACTCCCAGCTACTCTGGAGGTTGAGGCAGGAGGATCACTTGAGCCCAGGTGTTCAAATCTATCCCGAACAACATAGTGACACCATGTCTCTTAAAAGAAAAAAAAAAAGAAAAAAAAAGAAAAAAAAAAGGGCACGTTTGTAATGTGATAGGAATATGTACAAAAAACCTATAGCAAACATAATGGTATGATGGTAGAAGCTACCCCCTAAGATTAGGATAATACCTAGTATTACCATTTCTATTGAACATTGAACTAGAGATCCTACCTGATCTCATAGAATAAGTAAAATGTTTAAGAATTAGAATAAAGATTAAAAAAACTAATTCCCAGGTGATATAAAAGTATACAGAGAACACAAAAAAATAATGTATAGAGATAAGCTCTATAAATTAGTGAATAAATTCAGCAAGGTTACTGGATATAACTTCAATTTTTAAAAGTCGTATTTCTGTATATAATCAACAAATAAAAAGAAAATGAAAATTTCAAAACAATGCCATTTACCATATTAACAGCATAAAACTGCACTAAACATATCAAACCCCTTGGAAAGATGTCCAAGTCCATAACACAGAGAAGTAGAAAAAAAACACTGAGAGAAACTCAAGAATCCTAATATATATGAAAGAGTAATCTATGTTCATATATTAGAAGATTCAGTATTATAAAGATACCATTTCTCTCCAGATCAATTTATATATTCAACACAAGGCCAATCAAAAACACAGTAGGGATTAGCGTGTTGGTGTGAGTGAAAAAGGACAAGATGATTTTAATGTTTATATTGAAACAGGTCAAGAACAGCCAAGACATTGCTGAAGAACAACACAGAAAATTCACACCACTGGACAGTAAGACTTAGTATGAAAAAAAATTAGAAATCGTGACAATGGCACAAGGATAGAAAAAAAGACTAATGGTCTCTTTGAAAGGTCATTTAATGCAAAAAAAATAAGTGTGTTGTGATTTCATAACATGTAGAAGTAAAATATGACCACAGCAGCACAAAGCCTGGGAGAAGGGAAACAGAAGGACGCTCTTGCGAGGTTCTTATATGTGAAACTGTTATTATTTGAACACAGACTGATATATCAAAGAAGGATATTATAAATTCTAGCAAATCATTAAAATAATAAAAACAAAGAGGTAAACAAGATAATAGTGGAAATACAATGGAATCATTAACATGGGGCCAAGAGAAAAATAAAGCAAGATGGTAGTTTTAAACCAAATAATATTGACAGTCATAATAAATAAAAATGATGTAAATCAGTGCTATACAACAGAAATTTGTTATGAGGATTGAAATGTAGCTAATATGACTGAAGATTTGAATTTTTAATTTTAACATGTGGCTAGTAGCAACTGTACTAGACCGTGGAGGTCTAAATAATTAAAAGGCAGAGACTGTCAGATTAGATATAAAAGCAGAGCCTATAATTCTATCTACAAGAAAGGCACTTGAAAAATACAGCTATAAATAGGTTAAATGTAAATGCATGGGAAGAGATAATCAAATAGAATGCCAAAGAGCTTAAATTAATATCAGACCAAGTAGAATTCAGAACGGCACTCTTACCAGGGACAAAAGAGAGACATTTCATGACGTTTGTAAAAGGGTCATCAAGAAAATCTAACAATGACGCCCGGTGAGGTGGCTCATGCCTGTCATCCCAGCCCTTTGTGAAGCCACAGCAGGAGGATGGCTTGAGCCCAGGGGTTTGAGACCAGCCTGGGCAGCAAAGTGACCCCAGCTCTACAAAAAATGAAAAAAATTAGCCAGATGTGGTGAGTACACCTGTGGTCCTATTATTCAGGAGGCTGAGGTAGGAGGATCACTTGAGTCTGGGAAGTTGAGGCTGCAGTGAGCTGTGACTGCACCACTGCACTCTAGCCTGACAGATGGAGCAAGACCTTGTTTCTGTTTATGTATATATAACACAGATACATTTAAGAGATATATAATTCATACATATAATATATATAATACATGACATGTATGTTATATAAAAATATATAAAAACAATGCTACATGCATATACACTCAATAACGAAAGCTTCGAAACATGAAGCAAAACCTGATTAAAAACAGAAATAGACAAATCTTTAATTAGAGCTGCTTCAAATACTCTTTTACTGCAAAATAAGAGAAAAAAGTTAGTAAAAACACTGGAGATAGGAGCAGTGCTATTAAATGAGCTAATTAACGTTTACAGAATACTCCACACATCAGTAGCGGAATGCACATTCTTTACTAGTGCACATGGAACATTCACAAAGACAGACCACATCTTAGGCTAGGAAACAAATGTCAGATATAAAAGGTTTGAAATAATACTGAGTATGTTCTCTGACCACAATAGACTTTTTTTTTTTGACACGGAGTTCTCACTCTGTCATTCAGGCAGGAGTGCAGTGGTGCCATCTCGGCTCACTACAACCTCTACCTCCTGGGTTCAAGCAATTCTCCTGCCTCAGCCTCCCCAGTAGCTGAGATTACAGGTGCCTACCACCATGCCCAGCTAATTTTTGTATTTTTTTTTTTTTTTTTGAGATGGAGTCTTGCTCTGTCACCAGGCTGGAGGGCAGTGGCGCAGTCTCGGGCTCACTGCAACCTCCGCCTCCAGGGTTCAAGCGATTCTCTTGCCTCGGCCTCCTGAATAGCTGGGATTACAGGCGTGTGCCACCACGCCCAGCTAATTTTTGTATTTTTAGTAGACACGGGGTTTTACCATGTTGGCCAGGATGGTCTCGATCTGTTGACCCCATGATCTACCCGCCTCGGCCTCCCAAAGTGCTGGGATTACAGGCGTGAGCCACTGAGCCCAGCCAATTTTTGTATTTTTTAGCAGAGACAGGGTTTCACCATGTTGGCCAGGCTGGTCTTGAACTCCTGACTTCAAGTGATCCACCCGCTTTGGCCTCCCAAAGTGCTAGGATTATAGGTGCGAACCACCGCACCTGTACCCGCAATAGATTTAAGCTAGAAATCGATACTTGAAAAATTTCTGGAAAATACCCAAAGAATTGGGAATTAGAAAATATATTTCTAAGACACCAATGCTCAAAGAAGTCACAAGAGAAATGACAGGGGCAACTAAATGAAAATGAAAACACAACATATCAAAATCCATGAAATTCACCTAAACCATCACTTAAAGGGAAATTTACAGTTCTAAATGCTCAGATAACAAAAACTGGTTCTTTGAGAAGACGAATAAAATTGATAAACTTATAGCTGGACAGTTCAGAAAAAGAAGTGAGAAGGCTCAAATCAGCACTATCAAAAATGGAAGGGGGGTATTGCTACAGATCCCAAAACATTAAAAGGATAAGAAGTGGATATTATAAACAACTTTATGCCAATAAATTAAAAAAAACAGAGATACGATGAACAAATTCCTTGAAGGACACAACTACCAACTTACTCAAGAAGAAATAGTTGCCTGAATAAGCCTTTACAGTATTTACTAAAGGAATTGAATCTGCAGTTACATATTTTCAGACAAAGAAAACTCCCTGCTCAGATGGTTTCATCTGTGAATTCTACCAAAACTTTAAGGAAGACGTAATACCAATTCTACACAAACTCTTCCAAAAAAGTAGAAGAGAAGACATTCCTCAACTCATTTGATGAGGTCCTGACACCAGAACTAGAGAAAGACTATTACAGAAAACTACATGGAGAGAAAAATCCTTGAAAAAATTTTAGTAAATCAAATCCAGCAATATATAAAAAATAATAATGCATAATGACCAAGAGAAATTTATCTTAGGAGTGCCAGATTGGTTTAATATTTCAGTATTAAACTCTCAATGGTTGTAATGCACCATTTTAACAGAAAGAAAAAGAATATGAACAGCTCAAAATATGTAAAATACCATCTAATAAAATTCAACACAATTCATGACAAAAAATCTCATTAATTCAGGAATAGAAGGGAACATCTTCAACCTGATAATGGCATTTATAAAAGACCTAGAGACAGCCATCAAATTGAATGGTAAAAGACTGAATGAATGGTAAAAGACCTACATTAACGGTGAATATATCATGTTCCTGGATCAAAAATGGAATAGTGTTAAGATGACAATTCTTCCCAAATTGGTCAAGAGATTCAATGTGTTCCCAATCAAGATCTCACCTGGCTCTTTTGAGGAACTGGGCACTGTGATTCTAAAATTTATATAGAAATGCAAAAGACCCAGAGGAGCCAGACATGAAAAACAAGAATAGAATTAGATGACATACACTATCTGATTCCAAGACTTTCTATACATCTACAGCAATGAACACAATATTGTACTGGCTTGAGGACAGATGAATAGACCAATGGGACAGAAAAGGAAATCCAGAAATACACCCATACACATATATAAACTCATAGGTGCCAAGGTGATTTAATTCAACAAATGCTGAATTCAACAAAAATGTTTAATTTTGATCAACTCCAGCTTCTTTTTATGCTTTGTTTTTTGGTGTGTCCTATATGTCCAATGTTGTTCTAGAACTTTTATAGCCTTATTAAATTTTGGTCTGTGATCTGTTTCTACTCGTTTACTTTGTGAGGTAAGGGTCAAGAATCTTTTTTTTTTCCATATGTCAGTCTAATCATCCTAGAAACAAATGACATGTATGTGTGTGTGTATACTAATTCCATTTATATAAAGTTCAAAACCATAGTGGGAGATTAAAAAATAACCTTTTAAAATTTAATTTTGTCATTTGCTAAGAAATAACAAATGCTTTCCATACGACATACACCATTCTAAGCAATTTTTATGTGTTTGAATTCAATTTCACAACAACCCTACAGATTAGATGCCAAGGAGGATTCCCAAATGTGCAAATGTAGGCACAAAAAAGTTAAATAACTTGTCCAATGCCACAGAGCAACTAAGTGCTAGAGCTGGGAGGTGAAGGCAGACAGCCTGGCTCTGAACACTATGGCACATTGACTCCCAATGAGAGAACTTTAATGGAAAGATGGAGGGAGGGCAAATGTGCACAAGGAGGTGGGAGGAGGAGGATGGCAAAATTCCCATCTTCCAAAGAAAAAGAATCAGTAGATACTGCCTTAAACAGGAGGCGGGGAGGAGAGAGGGATCAACAACTACCAGTACATGCTGAGTACCCCTTATCTGAAATGCTGACCAGAAGTGTTTCCGATTTTGGAAAAAAAAAAAGAAGGGTTTCTGATTTAGGAATTTTTCAGAATTTGGAATATTTGCATTATATCAGTTCAGCATTTCAAATCCAAAAATCCAAAATACTCCAATGGGCATTTCCTGTGAGTGTCATACTGTTGCTCAAAAAGTTTTAGATTTTGGAGCATTTTGTATTTGGGATACTCAACCTGTGCATGCATGTTACGAAAAAATTTGGAGAAAAAATTAGAAAGAATAGCTAAATGTGAAGGCAACAGTAAGCCTCCAGGGAATGGCTCAGAGTAGGGCACTGTTATACAACACTTAGCCTCGTAACACTATTTCAGGTTTTAAAAACCATATACACATTGCTTTGATACAAATAATTTTAAAATTTTAAAAAGATTTAAACATTTACAAAAGAATAGGCAAAATGCTGTGGCTCATGCCTAATCCTAGCACTTTGGGAGGCCAAGGCAGGAGGATCACTTGAGGTGAAGAGTTCGAGACCAGCCTGGGCAATGCAGTGAGACCTCATCTCTACAAGAAATAAAAAGAATTAGCAAGGCATGGTGATGCGTACTGCTCGTGCTATTGTTGTCCTAGCTACTCAGGAGGCTGAGCCAAGAAGATCGCTTGAGCTTAGGAGTTTGATGCTGCACTGAGCTCAAAGTGTCCCTCAGCCTGGGTGACAGAACAAGACCCTGTCTCTAAAAAATAGAAATAAAAAATTAAAAAAGAATAATAGGCCAGGCGTGGTGGTTCACGCCTGTAATCCCAGCACTTTGGGAGGCCAAGGCAGGCGGATCACGAGGTCAGGAGATCAAGACCATGGTGAAACCCCGTCTCTACTAAAAATACAAAAAATTAGCTGGGCGTGGTGGCGGGTGCCTGTAGTCCCAGCTACTCGGGAGGCTGAGGCAGGAGAATGGCATGAACCCGGGAGGCGGAGCTTGCAGTGAGCCGAGATCGCGCCACTGCACTCCAGCCTGGGCGACAGAGCGAGACTCTGTCTCAAAAAAAAAAAAAAAAAAAAGAATAATAACTACCATTTATTGAGTTCTAGTATCCATGGTACTTTCCTAAGCATTTTAAATACACCTCTCTTGGAATTCTCCTAACAATATGGAGCTGGTCCTATCATTATCCTTACTTGCTTATGAAGAAACAGATCAGAGACTAAACTGCCCAGGGTTGGCCAGGCACGGCGGCTCATGCCTGCAATCCCAGCACTTTGGGAGGCCAAGGTGGGTGGATCACCTAAGGTAAGGAGTTTGAGACCAGCCTGGCTAACATGGTGAAACCCCATCTCAACTAATAATACAAAAATTAGCTGGACGTGGTGGTGGGTGCCTGTAATCCCAGCTACTCGGGAGGTCGAAACAGGAGAATCACTTGAACCTGGGAGGCGGAGGTTGCAGTGAGCCGAGATTGCGCCACTGCACTCCAGCCTGGGCGACAAGAGCAAAACTCCATCTCAAAAAATAAATACATAAAATAAACTGCCCAGGGTTAACTAGCTAGCAAGTGGCAGAGCTGTGATCTAATCAAAGTCTAGAGTCCATGTCTCATCTCCATGAAGGAAGATGAAGCCCTAGAAGTCATATAACAGCAATAGAGAAGGAGGGATATTTGGGAGGTGGCTTGGACAGGAGCGAGTGACTTACCACTGGCTGAGGGGAGGAGATGGTGAGTTAGGAGGGATTTGAGAAGGATGCTGAGGTTGCTGGCTTGAGTACCTGAGGACAGTTGGTCCTTTCCTCTACCCCAAGGTCCATGGAAAGAGGAGGAGAGATCCAAGCCTCTGAGAGAGAGTTCACGAGCTCAGTGACATACATGGACAGTCCCTAGGTGTCTATGGGCCACCTGTGGGCACAGGCTCTATGGTGAGCAGAATCTGCAGGTCTAGAGCTTAAGAGGGAATTTGGTGCTGCTGCAGTAGGACTCACCCACGTGCAGGGAGCCAATCTTCTACTCTAGCACACTTGAGGAACACAATAGGCTCACTACACAATGGCTCACTACGGTGGTGATTTTAATGGGGGCCTCCTCTTCTTACAGCGTATGTGTAGTGTAGAGGAAGGGGGTTCCTGGAATCCTGGAAGAGGGACCAGAGACATGCATGTCTGAAAAAAAGCCTCAGCTTTGAAAATCCCTGCTGTGGTTGCAACTGGAGTTACATGACATCAAGCAAGAGGAGACAAAATGCAAATGGGCAGGAGTCTACCTCAGAACCCTGGGATCTGGACATACAAAGGGATGACAAGGCCGAAGGAGACCGAAGCAAAGTGTCCCTGGAGGTAAGAAGATGAACGAGGGGACCTGGTGCAGGGAGGGCAGGAATTCTGGGCAGTTCATGCCTGAGAGCCTCCCTCCAGTGTTTCTACCTGGTCCATCTCCCATTTACATTCTTTGCCTGGCCTTTGCTGACCCTGGAGTCTGCAACTTTTAGAGCCACTAACATGTACCTGAGTTTGCACAGACAATCAGGAATTTGCCAAGGAGACAAGGAAAAGAAAGGGCCCTGAGAGAGAATAGCATGTGCCAAAAACCCAGGTGTGGAACGGGTGCTGCTTGGTGTGTGCTGGGGAGGAAGTGAGCAACAAAAACATGGAGGAAGCACAGGAGAGATGAGGCTGGGCCCGGGCTAGGGAAGGGTTCCTCTGCCGTGGTTTTCACTGAGGGGATCAAACTTGTCTTTAATGAAGCTCACACAGCAACAATGAGGAGAACTGACTCCAAGTGGCAGAGCCAGGCCACAGAATAACTGGTTCTGAAATCAGCTCAATAGCCCCGGCAAGATAGGATGAGGGCTCAGATGTGAGGATGGGAAGGAGTCCCAGAGGGCCCTTTCTTAAATGGATATGAATGGGGTTTGGGGATTGGGCTGGGGGTGGGGTGAAGAGGGATATGATGACAGTACCACTACACACCACCACCATTTACTGCACACTTCCTATGCCCACTCTGTGTATGGAGTCACGGAATTCTCCTAAAACTCCCTATAAGGTAGGCAGGGCTATGACCCCCCGCCCCAACCTCCACAAGAGTGACCCTGTCACTTGCGCAGATATTCTCCCTGCTAGCACACAGTCAAGGCCCTAAGTCTAGGGAGCATGGTTCTTCAAGGCCCATGCTCTTCCCCATGATACGACACAGGCGAGCCCTTAGGGAAGAACACAGATACCGTGTGAGGTATGCAGGACTGGAGGAGGAACAAAGACGGAGTTCTGTAGGAGACTAGGTGCAAATCATGGGTTGGAGGCATGGGCTTGGAGGTCACATTATACAGGTGAAGGTGAGGTGTCCGAGGGAGGTGAGAAACATGGGAAGTCAGGACACAGCTTGGGGAAGACCAGCTTTTATCAAATCAGTATGAGAGGCCAGGAGACTGCAGTGAGAAAGCACGGTTATGAAGCAGGAAGGGAACTAGAGAAGACAGAGGAGCTTCAACTGAGAAGCAGGGATGTGTTCTGCAGTAAGTGATGTCGGCTCCTCCTCCGGACTCCAGGGCCCTGTGGACTGGTCCCTGCTGGCTCACCAACCACCCTGCCGTCTCTCCTGGTTCTTGCTGTGGGTCCTCCAGCCACCCCGGCCTCCTGACCCCTCTTCCAACCTCCCTTGCCCTCCCGCCTCACGGTCCTTGCTGTCCCTCATGCCCATTCTGGTTCTTTTCTACCCACCGTCCCTCACCACCACCAACTACTTCACTTCCATTCTTCAAAAACTTTTTTTTCTTTTCTTTTTTTTTTGAGATGGAGTCTTGCTCTGTCACCCAGGCTGGAGTGCAGTGGTGCGATCTCGGCTCACTGCAAACTCCGCCTCCCGCGTTTAAGCAATTCTCCTGTCTCAGCCTCCCAAGTAGCTGCGATTACAGGTGTGTGCCATCACATCTGGCTAATTTTTGTATTTTTAGTAGAGACGGGGTTTCACCATGTTGCCCAGGCTGGTCTCAAACTCCTGACCTCAGGTGATCCACCCGTCTTGGCCTCCGAAAGTGCTGGGATTACAGGTGTGAGCCACCGTGCACAGCCAACTTTGATTCTTAAACTTAATCCATTCATCTTTCAATATTTAAATGTCAGTGCTGCTAGGTGCTTCACACCTTTACTGATCACTGTAGGAGTCAGTTATCCCCACAGGCCCAGGTCAGGTCCCTGTCACATGTTTTCATAGTACTGCATATTTCTCCTTCATAGCACAGAAAAGGGTTGAATAAATCATTTCTGGCTGGTCGCAGTGGCTCATGCCTGTAATCCCAGCATTTTGGGAGGCCAAGGCAGGCAGATTACCTGAGGTCAGGTGTTTGAGAACAGCCTGGCCAACATGGTGAAACCCTGTCTCTACTCAAAATACAAAAATTAGCTTGGCATTGTGGCGGGCAGATTCCCAAATGTGCGCCTATAGTCCCAACTATATGGGAGGCTGAGGCAGGAGAATCGCTTCAACATGGGAGGCAGAGGTTGCAGTGAGCCGAGATCGTGTCATTACAATCCAGCCTGGGTAATAGAGAGAGACTCAGTCTCAAAAAAAAAAAAAGAAAAAGAATAAATCATTTCCTGTACACTAGTCATAATGTAGCTTCTTGTAGGTAAGGTCTACGAGGACAGAAGTCCATTTTGTCTAGATCGGGGTCAGCAAACTTGCTCTGAAAAGTACCAGATAGCAAATATTTTTGGGTTTGTGGCCCATCAAGGCTTAGTTGCAACTATTCAAGTTGGTCATTGTAGCCCCAAAGCAGCAAGACAGTAAGTAAATAATTGGGTGTGACTGTTTCAGTAACTCTTTATTTACAAAAGCAGGAGGCGGGCAAAAAGGCCACAGTTTGCCCACCCCTGGTCTAGGCACCAGCACCCAGTCTAGCACCTGGCATATAGCAGGCACTCTATGAATAAAGAAAACTACCAAGAAAAGGCCATTTGACTTTGGCTATTAGATGGAAACTGGTACCAGGGGAAGGTGGTTTTAGTGGCATGGCAGGGAGGAGCTGAGATGACGGAGGGCTGAAGAGTGAGCAGCAGTTGCGGAAGTGGTAACTTCTCTTTCAGGAGTTCCACCATCTGAGCAGTAGGTTGGGGAATGGGTGCTCTTGTGGTGGAGTGGGGTGGATTCGGAACCTGTGTGCAGGCTATGACAAGATGATAGGGCTGAGGAAGAAACAGGGTAACTCATGAAGAGGTGGGGCTCCAGAGCTCAGGGGCATGTTTGGGGTTGGTCACAAAGGAGGAAGCCACCTTCTAAAACTGAGGAAAAAGAAACAAAAAAAGGCAGAAGAAAGAAAATGAGGAGAAAGCCTTGTATGCTATTTTCCCTGTGAAAATGTGAGCCAAATCTCCTGGTGCAGAGAGTGGACTAGAGGCAGCTCAGGAGCCACAGGCATCTGGCAGATTGGGAGCTACTGGCAAAAAGGGAACAGTGGACACTCAGGATGGGGCGTGCCTCACCAAGATGCATGAAGCTACACCCTTCACTTTTCTCTCTTCTTATTTGAGAGAGCACTTCTAGCCAAGGTGGTGTCTGGGTGTCTTGTGGATTTTAGGTTTTCAGCTCTGACTCAGTGTGAAGTGTATCACTCACTGAATCACCAGCAGTACTTGCTGTCACTTCCCAACACTTCACTTTCCCATGCAGGTAGGGACAGGCAGGCCCTGAGAAGGATGGGGTCATGTTTTACATGTGTCATACCCAGCTCTTTCTTAAAGGACACGGAAAAGCATTTTAATTGCAGAAACTTATTGGTGAATTTCATCCCCATGCCTTCAAATGTGTAGGAGACCCACAGGGTTTAAAAAAGCAGATAGGCGGCCAGGCACGGTGGCTCACGCCTGTAATCTCAGCACTTTGGGAGGCCAAGGCAGGCGGATCACGAGGTCAGGAGAGAGAGACCATCCTGGCTAATACATGAAACCCCGTCTCTACTAAAAATACAAAAAAAAATTAGCCAGGCATGGTGGTGGGTGCCTGTAGTCCCAGCTACTCGGGAGGCTGAGGCAGGAGAATGGCGTGAATCCAGGAGGCGGAGCTTGCAGTGAGCCAAGATCGCGCCACTGCACTCCAGCCTGGGCAACAGAGCGAGACTCCACCTCAAAAAAAAAAAAAAAAAAAAAAAAAAAAAAAAAAGAAAACCAGCCGGAGTAACATGGTGCAACTCTATCTCTACTAAAAAATACAAAATTTAGCCAGGTGTGATAGTGTGCATCTGTGATCTCAGCTACCTGAGGTGGAAGGATGACTTGAGCCCAGGAGATTGAGGCTGCAGTGAGCCATGATTGTGCCACTGCACTCCAGCCTGGGTGAAAAAAAAAAAAAAAAAGCAGACAAAAAATATTGAACACATAGGCGAGGTGTGGCAGCTCATGCCTGTAACCCCAGCACTTTGAGAGGTTGAGGTGGGCAGATCACCTGAGGTTAGGAGTTCGAGACCAGCATGGCAAACACGGTGAGACCTTGTCTCTACTAAAAATACAAAATTAGCTGGGCATGGTGGTGGGCGCCCATAATTCCAGCTACTCAGGAGGCTGAGGCAGGAGAATCGCTTGAACCCGGGAGGCAGAGGTTGCAGTGAGCCAAGATTGCGCCATTGCACCGCAGCCTGGGCAAAAAGAGCGAAACTCTGTCTCAAAAAAATCCATAAATAACCTCTGACAGCAGGAGCTCATAATTTCTCAGGGGACAATCTTATGGCAGTTTCTCTCCTGGGCTGTAAAATATTTCTCTATTAGTCAAAGAATGATCTGCATGGAGCACAAAGGCCAATTTTATCCTAATGATGGATAACATAGATTTTTTCTTTAAATGCTGGAAACCATTTGAGGGTTTGATGATTAAAACTAGAGCACAGCACCTATTTAGTTTTATAAGGTTAACATAATATTAAAGCCTATAAAACACAACTTCTTATGTAGTCAAAGGATTAGTATTGCAAAATGAAAAGTTTTCTTATAGCGTCAAAAACATATGAACAATCAACTTTACTTATCCATAGAACCAGAGAACTGAAAAAACCTTCCATTTCAATATGAATTTATTAATTTATTATTACTACCAGTACAGGAATGTGTAAGGGTTCAGATCTCAACCTACTACTTTCAGGAAGGACAAAAACCATTTAAATGTCTTTTACTTGATATGCCTGAAAGAATAGCACCAGGATCTATTTTCATCTGCCTTATTTCAAGGTGTAATTGCTGTTGATATTTATAGACCGAAGCTTCTGTGTCTGTTCTAATAATTAGTAGAACTCCAATTCATATTTGCATTTTGAAGTTCTCACCCCCAACAAGTCCGAAGATAATTTTCCTAAAATACACAGATCCTCACTGGACTCTTTCAAGTCCTTCCAGAGATGATGCGAACCAGCGACTCAGAATTCAATGACTACAAAGCGCAGGGCCTACACCTGTAACACACTATGTATTTGGAAGGATTTTCAATGCACCTTTAGATGTGTATCAAATAAAAGTCTCTTACCCTATTGTTGGGTTGATGTTTGGATCAAAACTGTCTTCCACAAACCGCCACACAATACTCGATTTACCTACACCTGTATCCTGAAAGAGAACGAGATGAGGGACTGAGAAAAAGTTTACCTTTTGGCAGACACCAAAAACTACTTTGTGGCATAAGTTCAGGATTTTAGAAAAATCACCCTAGACGTGTAAATTTTATAAACGGAGGAACACAAAAGCGGTTGTCATAAAAATTCAGTAGAGTAATTAGGAAATTCCAACTGTACTAAAAGGGAGAGGTTTTTGCCGTTAAGACAGATTAGGACCTTTTGAGAGACCCAAAGTTTCTGCTTCGTGTAAAAAGTAACAAGTCCACTTGCTTTTTAACATATGTTAGTAAACTTTGAACTCCTGAGTTACCTCTGAGTAATCCCTGATGAATCCTAGCCCCACCCTATTTGGGGGAATAAAGATTAGTTATTGGAGTTCCTGCCGATCTTTAAGGCAGAAACTCTGGAATGACAGCATCAATTTCAGAAAGAAGGCTTTGAAATGGCCAACACCTTGTCTTTCCTGACAAGACAGGAAGCTGAAGCTTCAAACTAGTCTTTGGGGCTTCCTGATTTGAACACCCCTTTTCTCCACAGGAAGAGTTACTTGGCAAAGTAACTCTTTGGACAAGTGGCAGGGGTATCCCACAAGTTCAAAAACACCCAAGAGACAAAGTAGGCTAATGCTGCTTGTAAAACCTAAAGACCTGTTATTGGTTTTACTTTGGAAGACTTGGCCAACTCCCAACTAATACCTTGGTAAGTTGGGAGAAAACTATTTAAGAACCTCTCTTAACCCAGATGCAATAGAGAGGCAAGGGGGGGCTGTTTGCTCTTTGTGGGGCGGGAAGAGTCCACGGGCTCCAGGGAGGGGAAGGGGAAGGGTCCCTTCGGCCTCCAGGACCTTTTCGAGAGTGCAAGAGGTGGGCGGGACGGCTCCCGAGCTGGAGGGAGGGTCCACGGGGCTGGCAGACAGCGTCTTGGACGTGGGAGGGGGGAAGGGATGAGGGGACAGGGGGGATCCGGGGTCCCCGCCAGCCCAGCCTCCCGTGGCCCTCCCGGCCGGACCCGCCGCCACTCACCCCGAGCAGACACACTTTGAGCTCCCTCAGCGCCATGGCCCGGGAGCCAGGGGCGCGGGCCCGCCGCCGCCCTAAGTTGAGAAGGGAGAGGCCAGGCCCAGCAAGAGCATCCCCTGGCGCCGCTGCCGCCGCACGGCCCAGCCCCGGTCCGCGCAGAGGCGGCTGCCGCCCGTCCTCCGGCCGTAGGTCCGGCCTGTCCGCTGCCAGCCGCGTGGGGCCCGCCTTAGCAGCCGGGACGCCGCCGCGGCCTTCCGGGAGCCGCCGCCGCCGCCATCTTGGGACGCCGGCCGCGTCACCTGACCTCCCCGCCCACCTCGGCAGCCACCTTCGCTGAGAGGGCGGGGCCGGCCGGCCGGCGCGGATCGGGGGCGGGGCCCGAAGCCGACGGCCCCGCCCCTGTCTGCAGGGCCCCGCCCCTGTCTGCAGGGCCCCGCCCCTGTCTGCAGGGCCCCGCCCCTGTCTGCAGGGCCCCGCCCCTGTCTGCAGGGCCCCGCCCCTGTCTGCAGGGCCCCGCCCCTGTCTGCAGGGCCCCGCCCCTGTCTGCAGGGCCCCGCCCCTGCCGGTCCCGCCTCCATGCCCATCCCAAGATGGCGGGTGAGTGGGGCTGGGCTCGGGGGATGCCAGGGGTGCCCCTCTCTCTCTCGCCCCGTGACCACCCCGCGAGGCCGAGGGGCCCCTGCCCGACCCCGTCCCCTCTCGCCGCAGCCCCCTGGTAACTTCTTGTGTGTTTCTTGGTTTTCAGAGATCCCCCTGTACTTTGTGGACTTGCAGGATGACTTAGACGACTGTAAGTAAGAGTTGGGGCACCCCTGTCCCTCCCTGGGACCCTCTCAAAGAATTCAGAGTGCACGAAGCGCGGGGCGGGGGAACCTCAAGCCAGGCACTCCTTGTCGGGACCAGAACAGCGGGACCCCCAACTGCCTAGATCCACTGGTGGCGGTCCCTCCTCCCTGGGCGGGGCGGGCTGAGGGTGGGAGCCCTTCCCTTCCCTCGGGGGAAGGATTTTTGTTGTTGGGGAAACTTTGGACTCCCTGTCACTTCTTTTCTTCCTGCGCCTGCAGCTGCCGTGGGATGGGCGGAGGGGGTAGTCCCAAGTCCTAGTCGACCCTGGGCGGGCGGGGGGTCCGCCACCTGGGAGGTGGGTGACTTCCCTCTCAGGGCCTTGCCCTTTTCCTAGGGACTTTTTAGGACTGCTGGGGGGTTTGGGAGGTCCCCCTCTCGGTGTGGCCGGTCACGGAGTTGCACGGACTTCTCAAGTGTCCTGGCCACAAGCCCGGCTCCATCTCTTATCCCATGGAGCCCATTGGCCCCCGCATTTCTTGGGTGGGACCCTTGTCCCTTCTTGCCCTCTTTTTTGGAATCATGTTAAGGGCTGGTAGCTGGGGGAGGTGTCATCTTAGAAATCCAAGTTCGCATTTCTGGTGAAGGAAGGAAGCGTTTTCTCTCCTGTCAAGAAACTTACTGAGCAGCTATTTGCTCTGGGGGCCACGTGTTGGGCTCCGAACCTGCAAGGATGTGTTGAAAACAGCTCTACACGCAGGGAGCTCACAGGGTGTGGGGAGAGCCTACTTGTAAACAGAAAATTACCGAGCACCGGAGTGCTTGCTGGTGAAGAAGCCCTATATAAATCATCCAAATAGCTAACATTAATTGGGGGCGTACTGTACGCCAGTCATATACAGTACTTCCTCTCATCTTTCATTCCACATCTTCAGGTTTCCTAATAGTAAGAGTTGGTGTTTACTGAAAACTTACCATGGACCAGACAGCGTTAAACTCTTTTTTTTTTTTTTTTTTTTTTGAGACGTAGTCTTGCTCTGTAGCCCAGGCTGGAGTACAGTGGCACGATCTCGGCTCACTGCAAGCTCCACCTCCTGGGTTCACGCCATTTTCCTGCCTCAGCCTCCCAAGTAGCTGGGACTATAGGCGCCCGCCACCACTCCCGGCTAATTTTTTGTATTTTTAGTAGAGAAGGGGTTTCACTCTGTTAGCCAGGATGGTCTCGATCTCCTGACCTCGTGATCCGCCCACCTCGGCCTCCCAAAGTGTTGGGATTACTGGCGTGAGCCACCACGCCCGGCCCAGTCTTAAACTCTTTACACACATTAACTCAGAAGGCGCAGTTTCGGCTGGGTGCGGTGGCTCAGGCCTGTAATCCCCGCACTTTGGGAGGCAGAGACGGGCAGATCACTTGAGTCCAGCCTGGCCAACATGGTGAAACCCTGTCTCTACTAAAAATACAAAAATTAGCCGGGCTTGGTGGCGCGCGTCTCTAATCTTAGCTGCCCGGGAGGCTGAGGCAGGAGAATTGCTTGAACCTGGGAGGCAGAGGTTGCAGTGAACGCCACTGCACTCCAGCCTGGGCGACAGAGTGACTCCGTCTCAAAAAAACAAAACAAAACAAAACAAACCAACAAGGGGCAGTTTTGTTAAAGTAGCATAACACTTTTGAAGGGGTAAAGCAAGCTGATAGTTAAGAGCCCGGTGTCTGTGGAATCAGATGGCCAAGAGTGAAATCCCGTATCACTGTTTACTGTCAGTGTGATCCCAGGCAAGTCGCTGTACCACTCTATGCCTCAGCGACCTCATCAGTAAAATGGGCATTATAGTGGCCCACCTCAAAAGGCTTTTATAAGGGATTAAATGAATAAAGGATTTAGCACAATGCCTAGTATGTAATAAACAGTTGGTAAATAATGGCTGCTGTTACCGTTATTCATGTGATCATTATTAGTAGTTATTTAACACTGTTGAGCCTGGTACAGTATAGATCCAGGTTTACCCAGCTGAATGTTTCAGCCGATGGGCATGCTCAGATTGAAGGAGTTGTATCATTTCCGTTGATACAACGGATAAACAATGTTTAGTTGCCATGATGGTGCTTGTCATTCATAGATGTGGTATTTGGTCTGACTGGAAAGCTATTTTCTAGCTGCTTCAGTTATCTAACCACCCCAAAACTCAATGGCTTAAACCAACAGCATTTGATTTCCCACAAATCTGTGAGTAGACTGGGTGGTGCTTCTGCTTAATGTGGTTTCAGTTGGGGAAGTCCGAAATGATGTCACTTATGTGGGTGGCATAGGTCCTGGCTGTTGGCCAGGACTTCAGTTCTCCGCGAGGTGCCCTTTCCACTTGGCTAGGTCAGCCTTCTCACAGTATAGTGGCCACAGGGTAGTTGCACCTCTTTTCTGACGGCTCCCCTCCTTCAGTCCTTTTTCACCTATGTATGTACAAAAAAGGAAGTAAGGAATTATATAGGAAAAAATTATGATCTTACTTTGGACAAATATTTGAACAAATGTTAGGTGTTTGAGACTTGTGATTATAAAGACTTAAGTACTCTTCAGCAGACAGCTGAAGACTTGCCCCAATGAGGAAGGAAACCACCGTTATGGCTCTGAACTTAACCACACCTTGGGTAGGACAACCTTGGCAGCCTCTTGGGGGCTTCCTGTTTGGGCAAGGGTAGGAGCTGTGGAGTGCTGTACCTTAGGAGTTTATAACATAATTGATCTGTACGGGAGGGCATGCTCATTCGTGTCGCCCTGCTTCTACCCCTACACCTCCCCATGGTAGTATTGGGAGGTATTATCATACCATTATTGGCAGAAAGAACCCTGAAGTTTTATCCTCTACATCCTGGCTCTCTCACACCTGTAGCTGTGTTACGTTGGGTGGACCACTCATCCATTCTGTTCAATTCTTTGGAAAATGGCATGAGAATGGGAGCTGCTTCATAGGACTGGTGTGAGGGTTAGATGGATAGCCAGAAAACATTCTAGTCTAGTGCTTTGTAAAGTATTCAGTGATTTTATCATCATCATCATCTTTGCTGGATTTTTATGTAAGAGCTTATGATTCAATGTTAACAGCTGCTACTCTGTGAGGTAGGTGGGATTATTCCTCTTAACAGATGAGAAAACTGAGAATCAGGTTGAGTAACTTATCCATTGTGGCACAGCTCATGAATGGTGGAATTCACAGTCAAATGCGGTTCCTTCTGCTCTTTTCTTCTTTTTTTGAGACAGAATCTCACTCTGTCGCCCAGGCTGGAGTGCAGTGGCGTGATCTTGGCTCACTGCAAGCTCCGCCACCTGGGTTCACGCCATACTCCTGCCTCAGCCTCCCGAGTAGCTGGGACTACAGGCGCCCGCCAACACGCCTGACTAATTTTTTGTATTTTTAGTAGAGACGGCGTTTCACCATGTTGGCCAGGATGGTCTCGATCTCCTGACCTCGTGATCTGCCCGCCTCGGCCTCCCAAAGTGCTGGGATTACAGGTGTGAGCCACCGCGCCTGGTCTGCTCTTTTCTTTTTATTCCACCACATGGATCAATCTCATAAATATTCTTAACCTAGGGGATAGGAGATGGATGTCAGTTTGGGTGGTACTGTGACTGTTGTCCTCCTGGGGCATTTGTGTCTAAATGATGCGATGCCTATTTAGACTGTAGGTCCCTTGGGGTAGGGACACAGGCCATCCTTTCTATAATCCAATGTCTCGCATTATCTAGGTGCTCAATTAATGTTGTTAATGTTAACGATAACGAATTATGAGGCTTTTGTCTGATTTACTTTGTGATTCTTGATTATGTTTGGCTAATTTCAAAAGGGAGCCATAATGAATGGATGTCTTATTTTTTAAATCATTCAGAGTCTTCAGGCCATTGCAGCACAGAAGAGATTTCATTTCAGAGAATTGGCTTGCTGAAGCAATCTAAATTTCTTCTCTTGAAAGCGGAAAGTGTGTGGGATGGCCTGACATATTGGTTTCCATGTTGAATTACACATGGAAGGTGGAGCTGTATGTCTATGCCTAAGCAGCTGCAGGCCTATGAATGTCTAGTTTTGCTTATAGCATATGGAGGCTGAAGAGGTGTTATTGTTGATAAGGTTTGCTTGGCCAATTAGAATTTAAATGTGTGTCAGGGATGGGTGAGTAAAAAATGAGGGGCGCCTATTGCAAATGTAAAGAGAGCTGGTGAATAAAAAATGAGGGGAGCCTATTGCAAATGTAAAGAGACCTAAGAGACCTATCAACATAAGACAATATGTGGTCATATTTGGATCTTTAGTTGAACAAATCAACTATAAAAATACATTATTGAGACAGGGAAAATTGAGTTGGACTGGGTATTAGATAATATTAATAATTATTTTGTTGGGTGTGATAATAGTGTCATGGTTTTGTTCAAAGGAAAAGGGCCTCATCTAACAGAAACAAGCATTCGTGGGTGAAATCATTTGATGTGTGAAGTCCGCTGTCAAATACTGCAACAAACAGTAAATAAAAGGTCAGGAGAGGGATAGATGGAAAGATAAATGGCAGAATGTTGATACTTGTTGAAGTTGGTTACTGGGGACTAGTCTCTATTTTTGTATATGTTTGAAAATTTCCATAGTAAAAGGTTTAAAGGAGTGAGATGAAAGTGTCACATGATCAAACATCTATAGGAAGAGTTGGAAGGCTGGATTCCAATTCTGAAGTCACTGCGGAGTTCTTGTAAGATCCATTTAGCTTCAAAAGACTGACTCATAAAATACGTTAGTGTTTGGGGGGCAGTGTATTTCTTTTCAAATATTTAGCTTGCAAGAGCTATCTGTGAAAGAGCTTGGAAGACGATATACTTCTATTTATGGGAAAAGCCAGGTTCTAACAAATGATATCTGGACCTTTGGTGAAAACGGGATTAGCTAAGCCAATGGAATATAGAGAAAATCTTGGAATCTTAATGCTAGAAGGAGCAATATATGTTCAACCTGGAATAAAAGACATTTTCCAGAGCAAAAAGCATTCCATGTTATCTGCCCACTTTGTTCTATGTTTGTAAAAATCTCCTCAAGGACAACAACCAAGCCCCCAAAGCAGAGGAACGATATTAATCTGAGTCCTAAACCAAACCATTGAACTTTCTCTCTGAACTATGATATACGCTTGAATCAATCCTAAACCAAACCATTGAACTTTTTCTCTGAACTATGATATATACTTGAACCAAAGATTTTCAGTTTTTTAAAATAAAAATCTCCCTGTCAACTGAAATAATTTGAACAGCAATATCTAATACTTGGAAAATGGAACAAAACCCAGAGATCAAAGTATTCTCTGAGTCAGAGATTGGCAGTTTTTTTCTGGAAAGGATCATATATTTTAGGGCTTGCTGGCTAGAAGGTCTCTGGTCTGCTATTGTAGCCTGAAAGCAGCCATAAATAGCACATAAATGAGTAGGCATGGGTGTGTCCTAATAAAACTTTATTTACAAATACAAGTGGTGGGCTGAATTTGGCCTAGGGAAGGTGGTTTGCTGACTCCTTCTCTAGCTCAGAGTTGATTTTATTCCATTAGAGCCCCTAGGTCTGTGGATTAGTTGAGCCAGCCGGATCAGTATCTTTCCCACTAGGTTTAGTTAGAAGAGCTGAGCTTTGTTGAAAAACCTCTGTTGAATAACCCTTGAGAAGCTGCTCAAGCTTCATGTCTCATTTTTCCCATTTGTGTGTGAGAATGGCAAGGAACAAAAGAGTCAGAGTGGTGGAAGCGGATCCACCTTGCTTCCCTTCCCGTTGTTGTAATGCATTCTACTTTAGTTGCTCTGTATTTTCTATTTCCTGTGAGGCAAACAGATGAACATCAGCAATTCCCACAAGTTGTCTCTGTTTAAAAAGAAGAGTTTTAAATGGCTTTCTTCATCACAAAATAAGCTCTTGTAAACAAATTTTGCAACAAAACCTAGCTAACAAAAGGGAAAGTAGTTTTGACCTTGAAAATACCAAATAGTTTAACCCTGATGGGAAAAAAATAAGAGGTGAGGGCAGGTATTAGTTTCCATGCTTGGAAAGTCATTCATGCACATAACGTGTTTCTCCACGTCTTCCAAGGTATCAGCCTTCCCAAAAGCGTTGGGGATAGAGTTGTGGGGAAGCCTGGGGCTCAACTCCTGACACCCACAGCCTGGCAGGGAAGTGCCTGCAGTGTCTCAAGGGCCCAGGCAGAAGAGGGAACACAGATCTGGGCCTGTAAGAAGACAGGGCCGGGCTGGGTGCGGTGGCTCACGCCTGTAATCTCAGCACCTTGGGAGGCCAAGGTGGGCAGATCACCTGGGGTCAAGAGTTTGAGACTAGCCTGGCCAACATGGTGAAACCCCGTCTCCACTAAAAATACAAAAATTAGCCAAGTGTGGTGGCGTGCACTTGTAATCCCAGCTACTAGGGAGGCTGAGGTGGGAAGATTGCTTGAAACTGGGAGATGGAGGCTGCAGTGAGCCAAGATTGTGCCACTGCACTCCAGCCTGGGCAACAGAGCAAGACTCTGTTTCAAAAAAAAAAAAAAAAAAAGAAGACAGGGCAGGGGTAGGAGGGGAAGGCTTCTGAGGGGAGGTGGCATTTGAGTTGGGGCAGGCGGAGGAAGGCGATGGGCATTTGGGCGGTGTGTACACAGGCAGAGTGTTGCATGATCCTGGTCTGCTTGGGAGCCAGTGAGAAAGAAGAGTGGAGACTTGGGAACAAGGGCTGTGTGTGAGGGAGGGAGTGGGAGAGGCTGGGAGATAGCACTGGGGGCTGTCAGTGAAGAATCTGCTTTACCAGTCCAGGGTTTAGGCTTAACCTGGGAGGCAGTAGGGCGTCCCTAAGCACTGTGGTCGGGTTTCTGTCTTAGGAATGCAACCCAAGCAGTGGTACAAACACTGCTGCTTACTTAGGACTAAGAGCATGTCAAGCTCTGCTGTGACACATTATTGTTGTAACAAAAGCCCACGGGCTGGGTGTTTTTAATCCCATTTTATTATTGCAAGTCTCACAGCGGGCACAGAAAGGCTAAGTAACTTGCCCAAAGTAACACAGCTAGTAAGTGACGGGTGGAATTTAAACCAGGAAGTCAGGCTGCAGAATTTATCTTAACCACTATCCTTTGGAGGACTCGTCATTCACTGTTATATTCATTCATTCATTCAACTGATATTTATTAAGGGCCTATTAAGTCTCAGGCACTATGTTAGGCATTGTGGACACAGAAGTGAATAAAACGAACCCAGTTTTTGCTTATATGAAGCTTTCAGTTCAGCAGCAGAAACAAGACACTAAAGAGGTAAGCAGAAGGACATATAGCAGGTGAGTGTGACTGAAGGTGCCAGCACAGTGTGGTTGCATGCATACAGGTGCTGCTAACGTCAAGTGGCCAGAGAAGGCATCTCTGGAGCCCTGAGAGGTGCTTCTGAGTTGAGATTTGAGTAACACGCTGGAGATACTCGCATGAAGAGCCAGAGAAAGCCTCCTGCATACAGCTCTTCCTTGTCAAGGACTAGCAGGAAGGCCTGTGTGTCTGGAACAGTGAATAACAGACACAGGAGGTGAGAGGAGGAGGTGGGGGCCAGGCCATACATAGCCCTTAAGTCCATTGTAAGGTAAAGTGTTGGCCTTTTATCCATGGAGTCATGGGAACCACTGGAGAATCTGAACCAGGGAGTGACTAGAGCTGCTCTGTGCTTTAAAGAAAGGAAAGACTGGTGGAGGAAAAGCTGGGGTGGGGTCCCCAGTGTGTTCCCGTGGTTCAGGCGAGGGGAGTGGGGTCTCAATCAAGGAGATGAGCCCGGGAGTGGGGAATAGGGTTGACAGATAGTTCCAGTGGTGAGGGAAGGGTCAACTCAGAGACAGGGTCTCGTGGAGAACTTTTCTGACACCTCCATTCCCTTCTACCCAGACTGGGCTAGACACTCCTTCTTTGTGTTTCCTGAGCCCTGTATTTTCCTGTGGCAGCATTTGCTAATTTACTAATAGCATTGACCATTAGAATGGGTCTTATCCTTCTTTGGGTCCCTGTGGTCTAACATAGTGAATGGCACTGGACAGCACATGAGAAGCAATGACACAGATCCTGGTGGCATTGTTGAGGACACCAGAAAGCCCCCTTGTAGGGTTCTGGAGCACAGTTAGGACTGGAGAGGAGATGTGAAAGTCATTAGTGGTGAGTGGTAGCTGGAGCAGGATGAGAGGGAGCAGGATGAGAGGGAATGTTGGAGAAGAAGGCGAAGGGGTACACCCTGGGCAGCAGAGGCTTCTAGAAATTAGCCATGGAGTTAAGAAACCAGGAGACCCTTGGAGCCAGGGTTTTGATTGGATAATCATTTATTTATGTCACTTGCCCCGGAAGGGTCAGGTAAGATGAGGATTGAAGACAGGCCATGGAGTTTGGCAGTTAGGGCGTCTTCACTCACCTCAGTGAGTAGTTCAGCACAGCCAAGAAGTGGAAGCCAGATTGGAGTTAATTGAGAAGGTTTTGGAAGTTGAGGCAGTGTGGTCTGGAATCCAGTAGCTCAGTGGTCAAAGTGTCCCATGCCTGGTAGCCAAGGCGAAGAATACAGCAGGCTGTGGCTAGGCACTGGGCACTTTGAGGAATGGTCACTGCGTTTGGGACTCACAGCCCAGCAGGAGAAAGCACAGCCTTTCAAGAAGCAGCTGGAGGGCTTCAAGAGGCTTTTCGTCAGGGATGGAAGATTCCAGCACAGATTTGCATGATTTATATGTACTCTGAAAACCTTAAAAAAAGAATTTGAATAACCCACCAATTCTCCTGGTTATATGCCCAACAAAACATAGACATATATTCTCAAAAAACATGTTCATAGTCGCATGATTCTCTTTTTTTGAGTTGGAGTCTTGCTTTGTCTCCAGGCTGGAGTGCAGTGGCGTGATCTTGGCTCACTGCAACCTCTGCCTCCTGGGTTTAAGCGATTCTCCTGCCTCAGCCTCCTGAGTAGCTGGGACTACAGGCGCGCCACCAGGTCCAGCTAATTTTTGTACTTTTAGTACAGTCGGGGTTTCCATGTTGGCCAGGATGGTCTCGATCTCTTGACCTCATGATCTGCCTGCCTCGGCCTCCCAAAGTGCTGGGATTTCAGGCGTGAGCCACCGTGCCGGGCCAGTTGCATGATTCTTAAGAGTTGGAAACTGCAATCTACTCAAATATTTATCATGACTACAAAGGATTATAAATTCTGGTATGTTCACACAATGGAAAACCATGCAGCTGTAAGAATGAATGATCTATAGCTCTAATCAGTAATATGGATAATTTCACAAACATCTGAAAAGCCAGACACAAAAGGGTACACACTACATGGTTCTATTTGTACAAACTATAAAACGATGCAAAGCGAATCTAGGCTGTCAGAAGGCAGGAGAGTTGTTACCCATTGCGGGAGGTGGTAAGTGGAATGGAGCAAGAGGTGGTTTTGGAGATGCTGGTAAAGTTACCTTGCTTGGTCTGAGAGCATTGCTTGATTGTTTTAGCTATTTTGAACAGTACGAAAATAGAGGACCCTATACCCCAATACTCATCCCAAAGATTTTGACTGTCTTCTACAACCATTTTTTTCTTTTGCATCTACCTCAAGTCTGACTAGAGAACTCATTGCATTTTTAAGTAATATTGTTCCATTCATTCATTCATTAACGCCGTGTAGACTTTACCACCCTCATCTTCTTCAACTCCCTCCCTCAAGTGGGCGAGTTGGCAGGAGAATGGAGATTGGTAACATTAAAATGGAGCATATGAACTGCTTTGAGCTGCAGAGTTCTTTCCTATCAGGTAACCTGTTTCCCATTGACTGTCAACTTAAAAGTCAGAGTCGGCGGGGCATGGTGGCTCACGCCTGTAATTCCAGCACTTTGGGAGGCCAAGGCAGGTGGTTCACCTGAGGTCAGGAGTTTGTGACCAGCCTGGCCAACATGGTTAAACCCTGTCTCTACTAAAATTACAAAAAAAAAAAAAAAAAAAAAAAAATTAGCCGGGCATGCTGGCACATGCCTGTAATCCCAGCTACTCAGGAGGCTGAGGCAGGAGAGTCGCTTGAACCTGGGAGGTGGAGGTTGCAGTGAGCCAAGATCACGCCATTGCACTCCAGCCTGGGCAACAAGAGTGAAACTCCATCTCAAAATAAAAGTAAATAAAAGAGTCATAAATAATGATGGGTTTTGGAAGCCATGATTAAAGCCACAAATCAAAGAGGAATTTCCATGTCTGCATGGCATAGAAAGGATGGCTGCTCATGAATTAGGCTGGTCTTTCCAGCCAGCCCATTGCATAGTGCTAGTAATAACTATCAGTAGCCCTCAAAGATTTGCAATATAAAACATTATGCATTGGATGGATCTGCTCATATGAGAGCTAATAAATCAGTGTGGGTCTTGTTAGAGAATGACGTTTATATAGAGAAAGTTTGCTTGCACAACTTGCCGTTTGAATTTAGTTAAGTTAACAAGGACCTGAGGTGTGCGGGGGTCACTTCCCACCAAAAGCTGTTGAAGAATCAAGAATGTTCTTTATTTGTTAGATGGATCAAGCTTGTCTAGTCTCGCTATTAGAAATAGTCCCAATTCAGGAATCTGCATTAGTACTTACAAGCCTGTTAGTGAGAAGAACAAAACTACTTTAAATAACACATTACGGGAGTGGTGTATTCTAGTTCCCCCCAAATCACCTAAGGCCTTGCAAAGATTTAGTTGTTTATTGAAGAGTGGCTAATGTGACCCTCTAAAAAATTAATTTTTATTGATATAAGTTCTACATGAATACATTCTACATTCTAAGTACAAATTTTGCAAATAAGGCTTAAACTTCTTGGCCACCATCAACCAATCTTGTAATATTTTGAGTCAAACGTGGACATAGTGGACCATGTCTATCATGTTCCTTGTTCAGTGTCCCCTAGTGGTATGTCAGAAACAGAATATTGGATTGTATGGATAATTGGTCTGGCTCAGGGTGGCATATATCATGTAGAGTTATAATGATAGGGTGACATGTTGAATGGAGAATCATAAATACTGGGAATGGCTGGAGAGTGAAAATGCTTGCCTGGGGTAGACACGCCATAACATTCTACCTCCAGCTCCTGCTCTGCTTATGTTTGGGCCAATAAAGGGATCTCATTAGGTATGTTTTATTGTGTTTATTTTTTTCCCCTTTTTCCACTTAAAGCTGATTATGGTGTGGCTACTCAGGGCTTGGTGGCTTTGTGTGAAATGGCTCAGTGTCCCTGAACCACTTGAAGGTGGCAGATAGTGTACCTTGCTGTGCTTGCCCCTTCATCTGGAATGTTCTTTTTCCCTTTCCCAGATTCTCACTCTCTTCCCACGTGGAGGATTTCTGTTCAACCTTTAAGGCCCAAATCACATACCACCTGTGTTCTAGGGAAGGTGTCTGCCATCTCTTCACTCTCTTCCAAGTGGAGCTGTGTCCCTCCTGTTTGTCTGTGCTTGTGTCCCATGGTGCTTGCCACCATGGCATTGTGGGTGGTGATGTACATGATGATCTTTTTTCCCGTGGGGCTTATGGTGCCCAGGGACCACTACTCTGTTGAATTAGGTTTGCTGTTGTTGCCTGCTGTCCATGAGGGAGGAGGGGATGTTCAAGGTCAGTCTGCTGTCAGCATGCTTTCTGTTTCTGTATTGATCTTCCAATCCTTTTTTTTTTTTTTGCTGTAAAATGACCTGTAAAGTTTCTTTTCTGTTTATTAGATTGTATCTGCTATAGTTGAACCTGCAATGCACATTCACCTAATGTTATGCTTAACATATTAATTCATACGTGGCCTGCTTTAGGACAGATGGGTGTCTGGTGAAAAACATTGACACACAGGTGAGGACTCAGGAGTCCATGGTGTGTTTCACTACAGCATCCTCATCTGATTTCCTTTATGCCCCAACATACGTTAAGTGATAGAGATACTGTCAGGGTTTGATAACCCTTGAGTAACTAGTTAACATAGAGGAGGGTAAATCCTTTTTTCTCAATGTTGTAGTTTCCAGAAATATTTTTCTCTGGTGGGCCTCTTAGTCGGAGAAGAGTTTCTTTTTTTTTTTTTTTAAATGTAGTCACCTAGCATCAGGGGCAAGGGATAAACCCTGTTATTCTTTGCAAAGTGGTCAGGACCTTCCTGAAGAGGAACTGATCTTGTTTTAGGTTGTGCGAGCTCAGAACCACCCTGGCCAACTTAGCAGTGGCTAGAAATGTAAATTCTAGACAATTATTATTATTACTTTTGAGACAGGGTCTCACTCTGTCTCCCAGGCTGGAAAGCAGTGGCACAATCAGCTCACTGCAGCCTCGACCTCCCAGGCTCAAGCGATCCTCCCACCTCAGCCTCCCTGATAGCTGAGGCTATCTGTAGAGGTGAGCTGTCTGTGTCTTAGCTATTGAAGTGGATGGTAGAGGTAAGCTGTCTATTTCCTAGCGTTTGAAGTGGTTTGGATGGTAGAGGTGAGCTGTCTATGTCTTAGCTATTAAAGTGGATTTTTAAACTGTATATCTCCCTGGAGGGCCAGGAGCAGTCACAGCTGCTGACTGCGGTGTAACAGAGCTGCAGGGGTGTTGGACACACAGTTCAAGGTGGCTCGTGTGTGCAGAGCCAGGGGATGGGGGCTGAGCATACGGGACGGTAGGAGAGGCCACTGACCCCTGTGCATCACCATGGCCCTTCTCCAAGCCCTTTTCCTACTGTGCATTGCTAGCTTATATATTAATCATTTTTGTTACAGTCAGTAGTGTCCTGTGTCAACTTGTCAGTAAACCTAGAAATTTAGAAAGTGGCAGAAACAGAAAACAGCTGCTGCTTAAAAGCTTATTATAGTGTAGATGACAAATGAAGTCAAAACATGATCAATACTGGTTTATTTCATATTTTACACTGGGCCAAGACAACTTGAAGTTATTATTAGAAACTGTTTTGTTCAGAAAGCTTTGTTTTTCTGCATCATGCGAAGCTTTCATAAATGGAGTTAGTAGCTTTTTTGTTTTTCAAATGTAAACAAAAGTGAAATTTGAACTAGGAATTATTTATGTGCTACTTCATATTTCATTTCTAACTTGAAAGCTTAAGATTCCTGATCTTTATGTGTGGTCTGGACTTGTTGGGTCCCAGAGTAATTGTTTGTAATACTGCCTTGTAGACCGTAGCCCCTTGTTTCTATCAGCATTTGCCAGACGACATGCCAACTTAGCAATGGCTAGAAATGTTAATTCTTTTTTTTTTTTTTTTGAGAGGATCTTGTTCTGTTGCCCAGGCTGGAGTGCAGTGGCATGATCTTGGTTCAAGCAATTCTCCTGCCTCAGCCTCCTGAGTAGCTGGCATTACAAGCGTGTACCACCATATCTGGCTAATTTGTATTTTTAGTAGAGACGAGGTTTCACCATGTTGGCCAGGCTGGTCTCGAACTCCTGACCTCAAGTAATCCACCTGCCTCGGCCTACCAAAGTGCTGGGATTACAGGTGTGAGCCACCGCACCTGTCCTTAGAAATGTAAATTCTAGAAAATTATTATTTTTTTGAGAGAGGGTCTTACCCTATCTCCAAGGCTGGAGTGCAGTGGCACAGTCATAGCTCACTGCAGCCTTGACCTTCCAGGCTCAGGTGATCCTCCAATCTTAGCCTCCCCGCTAGCTGAGACTACAAGTGCACACCAACATGCCCTGCTAATTTTTTCTACTTTTTGTTGAGATGGGGTCTTCTTACATCGTCCAGGCTGGTCTCAAGCATCCTTCTACCTTGGCCTTCTAAAGTGCTGAGATTATAGGCATGAGCCACCACACTGGCCTCTAGAACATTCTTTTTGAGAGAAAGGATCATTTTATGTGCTAATCTCATTGTTAAGGGACACAGCAAACTAGCTTGGTGGATCTTTACCATGCATGCATTCTTTCATTCAGCAACTTTTATTGAATGCTTGAGGTGGCCTAGACATATCAATGAGTCAATCAAAGATTCTTACCCTAAGGGTAGGAGTGGGAGGAGTGGACACAGCTGACAAGCAGTAAACCCAGGAAGTAAATGTTTTGTGTGTTCAAAGGCAGGGGGTTCTCTGGAAAAACAGGAAAGTAGATCAGGATAAGGGGGCTATAGATGGGGGACTTGGAATTTTAAAATAAGGTGGTCAGGGAAGACCTCATTGAGAGGATGATGAATGAGCAAAGATTTTTAAGAGGAGAAGGAATTCTTTGTAGAGGGATCAGCCAGTGAAAAGGCCCTCTGCCGAGGGACTGAGCGTCTGGGAAATAGCCACAAGGCCTGTGGCTGGAGGCAGAGAAGGAGAGAAGTGGGAGATAAGGCGAAGAAGTAAGGGTTGGCCAGATCTTTTCCACTGACCGGACAACCCGCAAGTAACACTGCCGGGCCAGTCTTTCTCTTTTACAGTGTTTCTTAACTGGGGTGATTTTTGCCTTGCTTCCCCCCACCCCCAGGGGACATCAGACGATGGCTGGAGATGGTTTTGATCGTCACAACCTGGGGAGGGAGTGCTCTGGCAAGTCGTGGGTAGAGGCCAGGCATGTTGCTAAACTTTCCACAGTACACAGCCCGCAAAACAAAGTATAATCTGGCCCGGAATGTCAATAGTGCTGAGGTTGAGGAATCCTGCTCTGTTATCTTTATATAGTTCATCAGTTGTTGATTGATTTAGTTTGTCTTTTAAGATTTAATAAAGAAAAAAACATAAAAACGTCATGGGAAAAGGTTATTCATCACGTTACCTGGTTAGAATGCCTTCACAATTGACATTGAAGCGAATGCTGGCATTTTCATTCACTTTGAGGAAAGGAGAGCCAAATCTTGCTTCCATGTATATTTTAGGAAGCGCTGGTGCATTGAAGGATTACTTAAAAAAAAAAATACACCATTCACAGGTAAATAGTAATAATCTTACTGATAATCTTATTAATTTGGACTCAAGTAGGATTTCCTAATTTTGAGGAAGTCTAGACTGTTGATCCACACCAGGGAAAATGTTTGCATATGTGGGGAAAGAAATGATTGTCAGTACTTGGAATGAAAAGTACTATTCTTCACATATGAATATGATGGTATTAGTAGGAATATTTTCCTTGGATTTTGCTAATCCAGTATTTTTTAGACATCAGTCATTTGTGTGCCACTTTTTTCTATTTTTATTTTAATAATACCACCTGGATTTTTCTTCATATCAAATAACTTCTTTTATTTAAACACATTTTAGAAAACTTTCATCAGTTGCTCTAAATGAAACTTAACCAAAATGTAAAACAGAAATAAAATAACATTAAATTCTATATATATAGACACAGTGCCTGCAAAAGATTCTGAGCTGAGATCTGCTTTGTATTAAAAGGAAGATTACCAGTCTTAGGGAAGTGTTCAAGACATGCCTGGACAAAGGGAATTTCCTTGATTTAATTGGAAAATGAAGAAGAGAATAACTGTCCCACTGTGTGATTTAATGACATTCAGTGTGTCACACTTGAAGATATGCTGTCTCAAGCTGTCTGCACTCTGTGGCCAGGTGACCAGGCTGTGCACTTGCAGCATGGCTGGCTGGGCTCAAAGCTGTGCCTGATAGTATAGAAACAACCAGTGAGAGAATGGAGGCGGGATCTCGTTGGCTGTGATTGGCCACCAATGGCCTATTAATGCAGAACTCTCCCAGGGTGGTAGCAGCTAGACAGCCTGGTTCTTTGTTCTTTATAGGACTAAAATTGTAATTCCATTGCTTAAAACAGAAATCCCTGTTATTTAGACTTATTATTTCTGATGAATTTTAAACATCTTTCCTCTCTCTGCCCTTCCTTATATACTTAACATGAATTACCAAAATTTGTTCTACTAAATTCATTAATAAGATGATTGAATACTTTTGATTAATTCGTGTACATTATATTGACTGTGCGAATTCATTAATTTTACTTGAACAGTTACGTTTTTGACCTTTTTTTATTTGAGACTGAGATACCTCATTTTGTAAGCAGAAGCAAATTAGTTAATGTCTTTGGCTGCCTTCTACTCACATTGTGGGTACACCTACAGGTGGTTTTAGGCTAGGTGCTGCATCTCAGGTTTGGTTTTGTGAAAGCTGGATTTTCTCAGCTTTCTCAGGGGCTGATAGGCTTTCATGAATTGAATCCTGGTAATCAAAGTCTTGGTAGAGTGATTTCTATAGACACCGGTGTTTATTAAGTGTCTGTACTATGTGCCAGGCATTATATCACATGGTCCCAGTGTTTAAAGGACCTCCAGGTCTAGCTCTACAGATAGAAACAGTCTACTTAGAAGCCAGGTCTGGGCTGGGCGCGGTGGCTCATGCCTGTAATCCCAGCACTTTGGGAGGCCGAGGTGGGTGGATCACCTGAGGCTGGGAGTTCGAGACCAACCTGACCAACGTGGAGAAACCCCGTCTCTACTAAAAATACAAAATTAGCCGGGCATGGTGGTGCATACCTGTAATCTCAGCTACTCGGGAGGCTGAAGCAGGACAATCTCTTGAACCCGCGAGGTGGAGGTTGCGGTGAGCCGAGATCACACCATTGCACTCCAGCCTGAGCAACAAGAGCAAAACTCTGTCTCAAAAAAAAAAAAAAGAGAAACCAGGTCTGGTGGTGCGCGCCTGTAGTCCTAGCTACTTGGGAGGCTGAAGCAGGAGGATCTCAGGAGTTCAAATGTAGCCTGGGCAGCATAGCAAGACCCTGTCTCTACAAAAATAAACAAAAAACAGAAAGAAAGAAACAGTCTACTTAGAGTTAATATTGTACCACTTTATGTAAAATGTTGAAGCCTGACAACTGCATAGTTCCATTTACTGCTCCTGCTTTATGTTATAGTTTAAAATATATAGAACCTCTATATATGTTATAAATTCCACAGCACAAGGTTTTAATTTTTGCTTTAAACTATCATATGCATTTTTAAGTTAAGAAGAATAATAGTTTTTAAATATTTACTGTTTCTAATGCTCTTGATTCCTTTTGAAGATACAGGTTTCCAAATGGTATCATTCCACTTCAGCCTACAGAACATCTTTTAATATTTCTTATAGTCCACATTGGCTGGCTGTGTAAAAAGGGTGTGTTAGAAACACATTTTTAGCATTTTTTTTTAATTGGACAATGTCAGATTCCTGGAGGATATTTTCACTGGATGTCAAGTTCTAGATTGCTAGTTTTGTCTCTCAGTCCTTTAAAGATGTGGTTTCGTCTCTACTAAAAATGCAAAAAAATTAGCCGGGTGTGGTGGCGGGCGCCTGTAGTCCCAGCTACTCGGGAGGCTGAGGCAGGAGAATGGCGTGAACCCGGGAGGCGGAGCTTGCAGTGAGCTGAGATCGTGCCACTGCACTCCAGCCTGGGCAACAGAGCGAGACTCCGTCTCAAAAAAAAAAAAAAAAAAAAAAAAAGATGTGGTTTCACTGTCTTCTGCCTCTACTGTTTCTGGTCAAGAGTCAGTGGTCACTCAAGCCATGACTCCATGTGTATGATACTTGTTTTCTCTGCTGCTGTCCGGATGATCATGTTTGGTTACTAGCAGTTTGACTCTAATGTACCTAGATGCAATTTTCTATGTATTTATCCTCTTGGCATTCACTAAGATCCTTGATTTTGGAAATTTACGTCTTTCACCAAATTTGTGGAATTTTTGGTCATTATTTTGTCACCTTCATTCTTTATTAAGTCCACTCACTCAGTGAATTTTTCAATTTCAGATAATTGTTTTAGTTCTCAAATTTTTATCTGGTGCCTTTTTATATTAATGTTTCTTTGCTGAGGCTCCTTCTCATTCATGGCATATTTTCCTTTCCATCCATAAGCATTATTGTAATAGTTGCTTTAAAGTCCTTGTCTGTAATTCCAGCATTTGAGTCCTCTCAGAGTCACTCTGTTTTGATTTTTTTTTTTCTTCCAGCTAGTTCAGGTTTTCTCATTTTCTTCATATGTTGAGTAATTTTGGAGTATAACCTGGATATTGTGAATGTTACATGTTGTAGAACCTCTGGATTCTGCTATATGCCTCCAAAGAGTATTGATTCTGTTTCTTTTGTTTTATTTTACTAGGCACTTAAATTGACTGGGGTCAGACTGTTAACTCATCACCCCTAGAGTGGATAATATTCCAAATCTTGGTTCAATTCTTTTAGCCTTAGCTGTACTGATTGGAATTTGTCACACGAATGCTTGGTTTAGGGCTCAAGCCAGGGTTTGGGCAGAGTTTAATACAGAGGCTTCCCCTGTTTGACTCTTTCCTTTCTGGGATTCCTCCTCTTTGCCCTTCCCCATACTCTCTAGTGTCTGTGGTTGCCCTGAACTCTGGAAATACAAACATAAGCAATATTAGTAATAGAATCGGCTAATGATTTAATGATAATAATAATTCTGACTCTGCCACTCTATGAGTAGCAATTTTCTTAACTTCTCTGAGCTGCTTTTTTGTTTTCTAATTTTTTTTGAGACAGGGTCTCACTCTGTCGTCCAGGCTGGAATGCCATGCTGTGATCATAGTTCACTGCAGCCTCGACCTCTTGGGCTCAAATGATCCTCCCTTCTCAGCCTCCTGAGTAGTTGGGACCATGGGCACATACCATCACAACCACTGAGTTTTTATATTTTTCTTAGAGGCAAAGTCTCACCTTCTTCCCCAGGCTGATCCCCAGCTTCTGGGCCCATGCGATCCTCCCACCTCAGCCTCCCAGAGTGCTGGGATTACAGGCGTGAGCCACTTTACCTGGTCTGTTTTTTATTTTTTTAATGGGATTAATATGGTTTTTAATCAAGATTTAACAAACTACTGCTACTACACAGAAAGCTCTTAGCACAGTTTCTGGTTTATAGGGGTAACCAAGAAGAGTAAATTATTATTCATTATTTTATGGCTTATACATAGCTTTTATTTCCTTGTTGATAGTGTAGTTTTATATAGTTAATGTGGTAGGATCATTAATATTCTCCAGTAACATCTATACTTTGGTGGAGCTAATTGCTAAGTTTGTTAGTTGTCTGACTAAACACAGTTTTTTGAAGAGTGTCTGGGTATTTTCTGTTATTTTAAAACACCATGTTCTTAACCCATAAAGTACACAGTGATCCTCAGAAGATCTTTTGAAACCCCTGATCCTGTATGAAAAGTATTGAATGTATATGACTGTAGATATCTTCAGGTTCCAAAACTGTCTGTTACCCCAAAGCTTGGGAACTACTGCTTTAAACTTAACGTTTTCAAGTCCATTCCAGCCTGGGCCTGCAAATGCTATATAACTCTCTGTGGGATCGAGGCTGCCTATTCCTTCTGGACTCTGAAGTGCATTGAGAATAGCTCGTATGCAGTGACTCTGGTCATCGGGCTTGGCTGTGACTCAGTGTGGACCTGTTCATCCAAGGCAGCTATTGTGCAGAGAAATGGCATATTTGATTATGTGATACATATTTTTTCTGTAACTGTGTAATTCTTTATTAAAATTCTCTGAGTAGCTGTTATACAGTGTAAATTTTTAATAAGCTCATATTATTAGCCTAAAATAATTAGTTGAGGAAAAATGTGGTTCACGTTCAAAGAAAAGTAAGTACCTAGGCACAAACTTGTCATCTCTAGATTGAACTCTTTTCCATTACTGCCTGCATTGACTTTGGGTTTTCTACCTGCCTGGTAGGACTCCTCTACTTTTTCACATTAGTGCCATCACCAACTGTCTAGTTTTCAGGGCGAGGGGTAGGAGGGATGCATTTCCACCTCTAGAGCAGGTGCCGATTAATCTTTCTGGAACTAACTATTGATGCTGTTATTTTGCCAAAATTAGCCTCAGGGAAGTCCTCAGCAGCCTGTTTCTTTATCTTTATTTTCCTAGGTTAGCAATGGAAAGGCTAGGTGGGGGAGTGGGAGAAGGGAGGGCTCTGCCAGGTGTGTTTCTCTTTACTGGGCACAAACTCTGCCAGGCTGTCTTGGAAATAGCAAGAGTCCTCTTGATAATTAGCTCTCAACTCCAGGTAGTTCCCTGCCTGCCTTATCCTTTCAGTGATGGCCTCTTTTCTAGCAGGAATGGGAGGAGAAGATGACTGCTTAATAGAACAAGTTGGTCATATCAGGGATTCTTAAAAAAAGATGGTTATATTTCTTTTTTTTTTTCTTTTTGAGATGAAGTCTTGCTCTGTCGCCCAGGCTGGAGTACAGTGGCGTGATCTCGCCTCACTGCAACCTCCACCTCCCAGGTTCAAGCTATTCTCTGCCTCAGCCTCTGGAGTAGCTGGGATTGCAGGCATGTACCACCACGCCTGGGTAATTTTTGTATTTTAGTAGAGACGGGATTTCACCATGTTGGCCAGGCTGGTCTTGAACTCCTGGCCTTAAGAGATCCACCCACCTCAGCCTCCCAAAGTGCTGGGATTGCAGGTGTGAGCCACCGCACCTGGCCAAGATGGCTACGTTTCTAAAACTTCTAATTTTAATCAAAGAATGGATATTCATAGGCTGACCGTGTGATCTGAGCCAAGGCCTTGCCTTGCTTGGCACATGGACCCTTTCCCTTCATCCATAGATCACACCGGTAAGGCCTCGTCTACATTTCCAGGTTCAGTGTCTTATGTGGAGTGAGAAGACTTGTATGTCAGGCAATGCAAATGTAAGCCCTTGTCACTTTTTACAGTGTGTTTACAGTATTTTCCACTTGTTTTATCTACTCCTAATTTGACAGCTATATTTTAATAACTCATTTTTATTGAATCTTTCTGAAGAATTCAAACTAACGTTCAGAAATAACAGCACAGGACCTGACTGTTAGTAAGCAGGTAACTCCTGTTGGGAATAGCTGCGCATGAGCCTCCTTCTGGTTAGGGCAAACTGGGTGAGTGACCGAGGGAAAGTTGCCTAACTTCTTTAGGTATTGGTTTGCTCATCGGTAAAACAAGGATAAAAATCTTACTTGGTTGAGTTGGTGTGGGAATTGAACCACATGTGAAAGCTACTTCCCTGTCCCTGGCCTATTATAAGAGCTCAAAAAATGTAGCCATTATTTTTATTATTATCATCATCCCAACAACTCCCCTTACCACTGTTATTCCTAGAGAGTAGCCTCTTTGCTATGAGTGTTCATTGCCCTGGGATTAGTCAGTGTGTTTTATAGAGTGGATGGAAAGATTAAGTTAATTCAGTGGTTGGTGTTTTGTTGGAGAGCATACTTGGTAAAATGCATAGTCTTAGAGTAAATTTACTCATTATGTGTTTAATAATGTTCCAGGGGCACATAGTAGGTGCTCATTAAACACATAATGAGTACATTCACTTTAAGACTATGCATTTTACCAAGCCTATGTGCTAGGCTTGGAGAATCCAACAGTAACTGGACATAGTTCTGCCCTCAGGAGCGTTTATTGTGTAAGGACTTCCTGCAGATAAACAGTGAACTTCCTGTTGCAGGAGGCTGGCTCAGGTTGCCATCACCAGGGGCACTTGAGGTGTGAGGAGAGTGGGAAGGCAAGCCATTCTAAAGAGGCTGCGCCCTAGCTGAGACCTTAAGTCTAAATGGGAGAGAGTAGATAGGGAACAGCATCTTCTGAACACTGTGGGGGATGTGAAACGTGGGAGTAAGTAAAGGGAGGTGAACAATGTCAAGGTCAGCCAGATCCTGCAGGTCTTCCCATGCATGGTCCCACTGACTCCAGCATCCTGATGGCACAAGGAAGGGGTCTCATCCCACCCTCAAGATGAGAACACGGAAGTGTGGACAGGTGACGTGACGAACTCTGGCCACATAGCAGTGAGTGGTAGTTGTGGGATTCATCCCATTCCAGGTGTGTTTGGCTCCAGAGCCCATGAATTCAGCTACCCACTGCACAGGAGGGAAAAGAGCAGGTTTAAAGAGGAAGAAGGGCTAGGCATGGTGGCTCATGCCTGTAATCCCAGCACTTTGGGAGGCCGAGGCAGGTGGATCACCTGAGGTCTGGAGTTCAAGACCAGCCTGGCCAACGTGATGAAATCCTGTCTCTACTAAAAATACAAAAAATTAGCTGGGTGTGATGGCGCATGCCTGTAATCCCAGCTACTCAAGGAGGCTCAGGCAGGAGAATCACTTGAACCAGGGAGGCGGAGGTTGCAGTGAGTTGAGATTGGGCCACTGCACTCCAGCCTGCGCAGCAAAGTGAGACTCCGTCTCAGAAAAAAAAAAAAGAAAAAAAGAGGAAGAGGAAGGATGATAATTGGCTCATTTTTGGCCACAATGAGTTGGAGGAACTTGTTGGATACCTGTGTGGAGAGGTGTGGTTGGGTGTTGTGGGGCCACAGATACGGATGGATAGGAATGTATGTCATGGCATCTTTGACGCTACATGAGTGCGTTTAGAACAGACCGGATGTGGGGTGGACTTTCTGTCAGAGTCTTGCTAACAAGTAAGGCCAAACTGATTTGTTTTTCCTTCAACTGCTTTAACCTGTTTGCACAGCCCTGCGTGGTGAGCAGGGCTTCTTAAACAGCAGGGCTTTCTTAGAGGTGTACATCTGCTCACTTGCTGAGTTCTCCAGTAGAGGATTGGTTCCTTTCACTCATGCATTAGACAGACTGCACTAAAAGAAAGGCGTCCGGCTCTTCTTTGTTACTCTGGTACCTATTATTTTCTTTTGCGGTTCTTCAACTGACCATTTCATTTTGGGTGAATTCTCAATGTTGCGATTCTTAGAGACTTCAGCTGTGAAGGTAGAACACATGCCACAAGGCCATGTCTTTGCCCAAGTGTGACTTGTCACAGTTGATGCACACTTTTGAGCGTGGGTTCCCCCCCTTCACTCTTCCTTTTTAGATGGATTTGAAGACTATGGTACAGATTGCGACAACATGAGAGTAACGGCCTTCTTGGACATTCCAGGCCAGGATAACCTGCCTCCACTCACTCGCCTGGAGAAGTATGCTTTCAGCGAGAACACCTTCAACCGGTAAGCCCAACCAGGCCTGTGTATGTTGACAACTCTGTGTTGTGTGCTTTAAGCTGACACTTGGGGCCACTTCTCTGTGACAGCTTTGAGGAGACTTCATGGATGATGAGGTAGGTTGGATACAGATTGTCACCAGGATGCTGGGCTTCTGTCTGAATGGTACCATCTTATTAGGCTTTTTCATTATTTTTGTTATTGTTTTGCTGACCACCTGGTAAGCCAGGAAGGAAATGGTGATGAATTTCATGGTGTTTAAGTGATTAGGATTGCTAACTGGGTTTCTTTCACATATGCAGTACTCAGAAAAATCATGCATTCCTTAATTGAGAAGCACCAAGAAGCGTCAGTTGGAAGCATTGTCTGCCCGCTTTGTATTTTGACTGCGCTGTGTATCAGGAACTTCGGTGGCAATGTGTCATGCCATGCTCCGTTGTCACCGTGTACGGTGTTGGCAGGGTTCGACTCCAGGCCCACCTTGGCTCAGTAGATGACCTTGATTCTTAATATCCTGAAGAAAGCAGAAATTAAGGCTTCCCTTTACATTTACGTGCTACCCAAACTTCTGTGAATCTGAAAGCATTCTCCCCTCCTTTCTCAGCAGACAGTCTCTCTCCTCCTGTTCTGCCCTTTGATGGGCCCTCCGTCCCTGATCCCTCGCCCCCCTCAGGTTTGCCTTCTGTCGTCTGTGTCTCCTCTCCTGTTACAGGTGCATATTCACCCCACTTGCAACCCTGACTTGTCTTGTTCTAAACTATCCTCTGAGCTTCCCTACTTCCTTCCCCATGTAGTCCCTAATACACCACCTGCCAAGACTTGATGGTACTCACATAGCCTCTTTCCTTACCTTCATTGGCTCTTGCTTTTAAAAATTACATTCTGGCTGGGCGCGGTAGCTCACGCCTGTAATCCCAGCACTTTGGGAGTCCAAGGTGGGCGGATCACGAGGTCAGGAGATCGAGACCATCCTGGCTAACACGATGAAACCCTGTCTCTACTAAAAATACAAGAAATTAGCCGGGTGTGGTGGTGGGTGCCCATAGTCCCAGCTACTCGGGAGGCTGAGGCAGGAGAATGGCATGAACCCGGGAGGCGGAGCTCGCAGTGAGCCAAGATCACGCCACTGCACTCCAGCCTGGGTGACAGAGTGAGACTCCATCTCAAAAAAAAAAAAAAACAAAAAACAAAAATTACATTCTATAAAAAAAAAAAGAAAAAGATAAAACGAAAATTACATTCTATGCCAAATATAGGCTAAGCCCTTTCATCTATTAAATCATAGAAAGCTCACAAGGATGTTATGGATGGATCCATTTAATGTTGCAGGATGAGTCCATTGTTATTCTCCTTTTATGCTAGGGAATGATGATACCTTGAATGGTGTCTTTTTTCTTTTTTGTCTTTCTAGTTTTGGCATCTAGCTACCGCCAAATAATGTAATTTAATTTTATTGTTTCTGGACTTTATATATGGGAAATCATACAGGATACATTACTTTTATGGATTTCGCATATATTAATAGTTTGAATTTGTTCTTTTTCTAATAGTGTTCTTGAATATACTGACATTTATCCATCTGCTATTGTTAAAGAAGAGTTTTGCTGTGAACAGTCTTGTAGATGTATCTGGGGACACACAATTATGCGTTTCTGTAGGACATGTACCCAGGAAAGAAATACTGTGTGACGGTGTATGCTTATCTTCTGCTTTAGTAGATAATGCCAGTTTTCCAAAGTGGTTGTATCAGTTTATACTCCTACCTTTGCCCTACTTTTTTTTTGAGACGGAATCTCGCTCCATTGCTCAGGCTGGCGATCTTGGCTCACTGCAACCTCTGCCTCCTGGGTTCAAGCAATTCTCCTGCCTCAGCCTCTCAAGTAGCTGGGACTACAGGCGTGTACACTACCACGCCTGGCTAAGGTTTGTATTTTTACTAGAGACAGGTTTCACCATATTGGCCAGGCTGGTCTCAAACTCCTGACTTCAGGTGATCTACCTGCCTCGGCTTCCCAAAGTGCTGGGATTACAGGTGTGAGCCACTATGCCCGGCCTTACCTTTGCCCTACATTTTATCTGCCAATTGGTATTGTCAGATTTTTGTATTTTAGCCAGTCTGTAGTTTGGTAGTGTATATAACGATATCACTTTGTGATTTGAATTTTTATTTTCTTTACTGTGAGTTTAAACACTTTTTCATATGTTTGTTGGACATCTGTATTTCTTTTTTGTGAAGTGCCTGTTCAAATCTTTGGTTGAATTGGTAGGGAGAAGATGGATTGTTTGTCTTTTTATTATCAATTTGTAGGAGTTCTGTGTATATTCTAGATTTCAAACCTTTATTAATTATGTATGATAAACATCTTTCAACTGGTGGCTTGTGTTTAAACTCTCTTTATGGTGTTCTTTTGGTGACCAGAAGCTATTGGTTTTTTATTTTTATTTTTATTTTTTGTTTTTTTTTTTTGAGACTTTGGGTAACAAGGTAACAAGTTCTGTTACCCAGCTAGAGTGCAGTGGTGCAATCATAGCTGGAGTCTCAAACTCCTGGGCTCGAGATCCTCCTGCTTCAGCCTCCTAAGTAGCTGCCACTACAGGAGCATGCCCAGCTACTTTATTTTGCACAGAGACAGGGTCTCACTATATTGCCTAGGCTGGTTTCAAAGTCCTGGCCTCAATGGTGTGAGCACCGTGCCAGGCACACAAGTATTCACTTTAATGTAGTTAAATTTATTGACATTTTCCTTAATAGTGCATTCAGAAGCTTTTTTCTCTATTTCTTTATATTGCTTTAAAGCCTTTATTTTTTTTCTGTGAAATAGATATACTATAGTTCTGTAATCTGCCTGAACTTAATTTTTATCATAGGAAAAATGGCTCCAGCTTCATTTTCCTAATTGTCACAATGTCATTTATCAAAAGTATGTTCTTTTCCCACTGCTCTGGAGTGCCACCTCTGTTACAGTCCAGCCTCTGTTTACAGTCTTTGGACTCTCCCCTCTTTTCCAGTGGTCCCCTCAGCCAATACTACACTGTTTTGGTTGCTATAGATTTATAATGAGTCTTGATATTTGATAGAACAAGTCTTCCCATCTTGTTTTTCTTCTTTGGCATGACTAGTTATTCTTGGTACTTTGTATTTTCATGTAAATTTAAAATCCAGCTCACCAGATTCTAACAAAATGAAACAAAACAGAACATCTATTAGGATTTTGATTGGGTTTGCATTGAATCTATAGGTCAATTTGGAGAGTATTGCCCTTTTTACAATGTGTAGACTTCCAATCTGTAAACATGGTTTATCTTTTCATTTATTTAGGTTTTCTTTAGTTTCTCAATACAGTCTGATCATTTTCTCTGCAGAGGTTTTGTGCTTTTTTTCGTTGTGTATTTTAAAGGAAATTTGAGACATCATATTTTATCCAGTTAAGGACTTAGAACAAATCTAACTGTACTATCATTATCACATTTAACAAAATTAACAACAATGCTTTCTAGTTTATCACTCTATGTCGAGTTTTCCTGACTAAAAAATACCTTTTTATGGTTGATTTGTTTGAGTCATGATCCAAATAAGGTCTATAGATTTCATTAGGTAGATGTGTCTCTTAAGTCTCTTTTTGTTTACAGGTTTTTTTCCTTTTGATCTTAAACTCTTTTTAATCTCAAATGGTTCTCTGTTTCATCTTTCTCCATATCATTTATTTGTTGAAGCGGTCATTAGCTTAGAGAATTTTCCACATTCTGTATTTGGTGGTCATGATTCTCATGGTATCATTTTCCCTGTCTTTTCTGTAAACTGAAAATTACGTTTGGAGAATTTATTATATTCTGCTTCAATTTTTTTTTTAAGCAATACTTCATATGTTGTTTTGTGAAATTCTTATTACAAGACACCAGGAAACAATGTCTAGTTGTCACACCTTTAGAGATTTCATATTGAGCAGTGGGCTCAGGTGTTTTATTCTTTCATTATAAAATTCCTCACCAGTCTTTCTTCTGATGATTTCAGGATTCACAAATAATCATTGCTTAAATCTGTTATTTCATTCTGGGTTGGAAAATGACAATTTTTTTTTTATTGTCTGTGAGATGTGTTGTGTCCCCATTTCCATCCTGTTATTTGTTGTTTGTGCCCTCTCTCTCTTTTTTTATCCCCCTAGATAATTCTTACCAGAAGGTTATGAATTTCATTAGTTATTTCAAAGACTCAAGTTTTGGCTTTGTTTCTGTTGTATGTTTGTTTTCTATAATAGTTCAATAATATCTGCTCTAATCTGTATTATTTTTTCCTTGGGTTTTTTTTTTTTTACTTTTGGGATTTAATTGCTGTTCTTTTTCTTACTTTAAGGATATTTAGCTCAGTTTTTTGTTTTTTTGGTTTTTCTTTTGTAACATCTGCATTTTATATTGTACAATTTCCTCTTAAGTACTATGTTACCTCAAGTTTTGATATATAATGTTTTTGTTATTTCTCAGCACAAGTATTTTTAATGTTAATGATTTCTCCTTTGATCATTTAGTTATTCAGAAGTGTGTTATTTCCAGATACTTGAGGATTTTGCAGATATCTTTCTGTTATTGATTCCTAGTTTAATTCGTTTGTGGTCAGAGAACATACTTTGTATTTTTTCTCTTTTAAATTTGTTGAGATTTATTTTATGGCTCCGAATGTGTTCTATCTTAGTAAACTATTACATGTCTGCTTGAAAAGAATGTGCGTTGCAATGCACTGCAATGTTTTTTGGGTAGAGTATCTTACAAATATCTTATAAATTAGGTCAAGGGTAATATATGCTTATCTATTTTCTGTTTACTTGTTCTGTAAATTACTAAGAGAAATGTTGCTACCTGCGTCGACAATTGTGGATTTATCTACGTTTCCTTTTAATTTTAGTTTTACATATTTCACGTATTTTGAAGTTTTGATGTCGGGTGCATACACATTTAGTATTGTTCTGGTTTGTTAAATAAATTGATTTCTTTTTTTTTTTTTTTTTTTTTGAGACAGTATCTTGTTCTATTCCCCAGGCTGCAACCTCTGCCTCCTGGGTTCAAGCAATTCTCATGCCTCAGCCTTTCGAGTAGCTGGGATTACAGGCATCCACCACCATACCCAGCTAATTTACATATTTTTAGTAGAGACAGGGTTTTACCATGTTGGCCAGGCTGGTCTCGAACTCCTGACCTCAGGTGATCCACCCACCTTGGCCTCCCAAAGCTGGGATTACAGGCGTGAGCCACCGTGCCCGGCCTGATTTATTAACACTGTGTAATGTCCCTTTTTTTCCCTAGTGATATTCTCCTTTTCCGAAGCTTACCTTGTCTGATATTAATATATACACTCTAGCTTTCTTTTGATTAATGTTTGTGTGGTATATTTTTATCCATACTTTTATTTTTTACTTATCTGTCTTTAAAGTGTGTTTATTATAGAAGGCATATAATTAGGTCTTGCTTTTTTATCCAGTTGTACAATCTCTGCCTCTTAATTTGAATGTTTAAATCATTTCCATTTGATGTTACTATTGATATGGTTTGTTTAAATCTACCATCTTGGTATTTATTTTGTATTTGACTATTCTTGTTTTCTGTTTTTCCTGCCTTAAATATATCAGTTTTTTTCCACTGTTGGCTTACTCGTTATACAGTACCTCTTCTTAAACATTTTTATGGATTTTTCTAGGGATTACAGTATACTTCTTTTATTCATCATGACATATGTTCAAAATGATACCACTTTCCATGCTGTAGAGTTGGAGATGTTGCATAAGAGCCTCACAACGGTGTTCTTCCACCTCTTCCCCTCCATCTTTCACGCTGTTACTTTCCTACACTTTACTTCTACACAATTCATACATTTCAGAATACCTTTTTACTATGTTTGCTTTATATAGCAACTATCTTAAAGCAATTACAAATAAGAAAAAGATTTTTAAATATTTGCCATTTTTTTCTTACCATTTTTGATGTTTTTTGTTTCTTTTTGTAAAATGCTCATTTCTATCAGGTATCCTTTTGCTTCAAGAACTTCCATTAACAATTTTTGTTTTGTACAAGACTGTTGTCAGTGAATTTTCTCAGCTTTTGTTTATCTGAAAAAACGTTTCATTTCCATTCTTTCTTTAACTAATAGACTATTTTTGGCGGGATTTTAGATTTACAGAAAAGTCGAGTGGGAAATACAGAAAGTTCCCGCATTCCGTAGCTGCCCAGTGTGCCCCGGGTTTCCTCTAGATCTTTCCATGCTGTTCACGCTTATCTTAAAGTCCTCGTCTCATCTTTCCGACATCCGGGGTTTCTGCCTAACTTCTCATCCTCACACTCCTCATCTCTCTGGCTAGCCCCTCTGTGTTCTTCTGTGTTTCTGTCATATCCTGTGGGCACTCTCTGTGGGTCCTGTCCCTACTGGTCATCATAATTTTCTTGTTTACTTCCAGGCCTAGACTGTAAAGCTCCTAAGAGCAGGGCCTGGACCTTGCTTATCCTGGTATCCCAAGCTTCTTGCGTTGAGTCTAGAGTTGGTTGGGCTTAACACATAATTATAACTGAGTGATTGAGTGATACTTCCATGGCTGGATTTCCAGGGAACATTGGTTATATTGCCACGTAAAATTAAGCCATTCTCTTTTTTTTTTTTTTTTTTTTTTTGAGATGGAGTCTCGCTCCGTCACCCAGGCTGGAGTGCAGTGTTGCAATCTCAGCTCACTGCAACCTCTGCCTCCCAGGTTCAAGTGATTCTTATGCCTCAGCCTCCCGAGTAGCTGGGATTACAGGGACACATCACCATGCCCAGCTGATTTTTGTATTTTTAGTAGAGATGGTTTTTTGCCATATTGGACAGGCTGGTCTTGAACTCCTGACCTCAAGTGATCTGCCTGCCTTGGCCTCCCCAGCCATCCTCTTTATATTAAAAAAAAATTCACAAACATAATACATGCCCATTGAAATATTTAACAACTTCAGGAATTTAAATAGAGTTTCCCTCCCTCCCCCACTACAACCTTGGGAAGAGCTGTGAAGTTTGGTGAGTACCCTTCTAGATTGCTTCCTAAATAAGTGTATGTATATATGAATGTGTTTATGTGTACATGTGTTGCACATGTATACCTAAATGTAACTTGTATTAAGAAATGGGCTTGGCTGGGCGTGATGGCTCACGCCTGTATTCCCAGCACTTTGGGAGGCTGAAGCAGGCAGATCACGAGGTTCAGAGATAAAGACTATCCTGGCCAACATGGTGAAACCCCATCTCTACTAAAAGTACAAAAATTAGCTGAGCATGGTGGCGTGCACCTGTAGTCCCAGCTACTCAGGAGGCTGAGGCAGGAGACTCGCTTGAACCTGGGAGGCAGAGGTTGCAGTGAGCTGAGATTGTGCCACTGCACTCCAGCCTGGGGACAGAGGGAGACTCTGTCTCAAAAAAAAAAAAAAAAAAAAATAAGAAATGGGCTCATACCATATGCAAAATTTTTCACCTTTTTTCATTTAATGTATCATGGATATCTTTCTAACTTAGTACATATCTAGAGGTACTAAGGCCATACAAATAGTTGCATGGTATGCAAGGGTATAGATAGATCGTAATTTATTTAAGCTTCTCTCTATTCATTTGTTGTTGGCAGCTGCATGTCTTGTAATCTAGTGGCTGGCGCCGTAGAGGACTTACAGTGTGCCACTCCCCAGCTTTGTGCTTGCTACACACCATGTCGCTGAGTCTCCCTGCGCTCTTCTGAGTCAGGCAGGGTTTGTCTCTCCAGAGGGCCGCTTTCTTCTTTCATCTTATTAACAAAGCTAACAAACAAGTGAGAAGTATTGAGGCCGAGGCTTCAGGACTCTGCTCATCCACTGTGGGCTCTCCAGGTCATTGCAAAGCAGCCAGGTTTTCCAAAATGGTGGTTCCAAAGCACCAATTTGTTTGAGTCTTTACCTCACTCCTGTTCTGTTGTGGAGTTGTCTCTGCCTCAGGGGTCCTCTCTTATCCCTTTCCTTGCTTTCTTTAAGAGGGCAGGTCCCTTGTGACCACTTGAGGCTGGATGTAGATTTGCCTCTCTGTTCTATGGCCCTAGAAGCAGATTGGGGATCTTAGTTGCTTGATTTCCCAAGGGAAGCTGAATGAATGTGGTCTAGTGAAATGTAATTAGTGACTTTCTCTGCAGTGGCTATTCTGACTTTCCAAAACCTCTTGGCTGCCAGATCTTGATCTTTCATCCCGAGGGTGGTATAAATCTCCCTGGATACAGGCTTGAGTTGATGGATTTCTTCCTGTAATATACTGGGCCAAAGGACTGCCCCTTAGAATTCCATATTTCTAGTCTTTTTTGCCTGCAAGTCAGGGTGGGTTTTCAACTTCATTGAATTCTTCTGATGCATGCATGGCCAGAAATGACATGCATTGTTCCTGGATGGTGGGTTGCTCAGAGGAGTGGACAGAAGCAGTCAGGGGCCCCTTTTTACGTGATCAGAGAAAGCCTTCAGGAGCTCCAGTTCCTCTGCTTGCATGGGAGGCCTCCAGATCACCCCAGGCCACTGCTGATGGCCCTCACTTTATCCCTCATCAGTGTCTTTGTTTAAAGAGCGTTTATTGAGGCATAGTTTATATGCAATAAACTTCAACCACTTTAATCGTTCACTTGGATGAATTTGGTAAATGTATACAGTAATCCAACCATTGTCACAATGGAGTTCAAAAGTTTCAGTCACCTGACAAGTACCCTTATTTGCCCCTTGGCTGTCTGGCACTCCCTCCCTCCCTGACCACCATAGGGCCAGGCAACCACTGACCCTGTTTCTGATGTTTTCAAAAGATTTTGCCTTTTCTAGAATTTCATATAAATTCAGTCATATGGGATGTACTCTTACATGTCTGGCTTCTCTTCCTTAGCAAAATGCATTAGAATTCATCCCTGTTGTTATCAATAGCTCATTCCTTTTTATTGCTGAGTATGTACAGATACTCTGTTTTGTATCGCATTCACCAGTTCAGGGAACACTGGGAGTTTTCCATTTCGTGGCTGTTGTGAATAATGCTTATATGAACATTTGCATTCAACTTTGTGTGGACATATGTTTTCATTTTGGATGGGTAAATGCCTAAGAGTGAAATTGCTGGGTTGACTGGTAAGTGTATGTTTAGCTTTTAGAGGAATTGCCACACTGTTTTCCAAATTACCTGTACAATTTTGCATTTCTACCAATGTCTGTGGATTCCTATTTCATATCTTTGCCAGCACTTGATATTGTCATTATAATTTTAGTTCTTCTAGTAGTGTAGTGTTACCTCATCGTAGCTTTTGCATTTTTGGCCTTGTGTTTTGTTTTGTGTTTAAGATTTTTATTTTGAAATAATTTTAGGTTTACAGGACTGTTGCAGAGATAGTACTGAGAGTTCCCTTATACCTTTTGCCCAACTTCTAATGCAGTGGCTTTCAATTATGGGTAATTTTGCCCCCAAAGGATCTTATACAATGTGTAGATACGTTTTTGGTTGTCACATCTTGGGGCACAGAGGGTGCTGCTGGTGGGTGGAAGCCAGGGACACTGCTAAACCTCCTGCCGTGCCCCAGACAGCCCCCCCCCCCCCGCCCCCACCAACAAAGACTTACCTGCTCCAAAATACCAGTAACGCTGAGGTCAGGAAACTGCTCTAATGTTTACGGCTTAAATAAGCATGTGACATTGATCAAAACTAAGAAAATAACATTGGCATTGGTGTACTGTTAACTAAATTACAGATTTGACTTGGATTCTGCATTTTTCCATTAATGTTCTTTTTCTGCTCCAGGATCCCATCAGGGTACTACATTACATTTACAGTTGCCATGTCTCCTGAGGCTCCTCCGTCTGTGATGGTTTCTTGTTCTATCCTTGTCTTTCATGATCTTGACAGGTTTTTTTTTGTGTGTGTGATAGGGTCTCGCTCTGTCACCCAGGCTGGAGTGCAGTGGTGCGATCTCAGCTCCCTGCAACCTCTGTCTTCTGGGTTCAAGTGATCCTCCCACCCCAACGCTCCTGAGTAGCTGGGACTACAGGTGTGTGCCACTATGCCTGGCCAAGTTTTGTATTTTTTGTAGAGACGGGGTTTCACCATGTTGCCTAGGCTGGTCTCAAACTCATGGGTTCAAGCAATCTGCCTGCCTTGGCCTCCCAAAGTGCTGGGATCACAGGTGTTAGCCACTGTGCCTGGCTGATTTGTAGTTTTCTGAAGATGTTGAGAATTTTTTTCTTGTATTTCTTGGCTGTTTGTACATTTTCTTTTGTGAAGTTGTTAAAATCTTTTGCTTTTTAAAAGAATAAAAGAACTTTATTGAGATTTAGTTTACATGTCGTACGTTTCACCACTTTAAAGTGTACAAGTTGATGGTTTGTAGTAATATTCACAGAGTTGTGCAACATTGCCACAATGAATTTTAAAACATTTTTATCACCTCAATAAGAAACCTGGTTCCCATTAGCAACCACTACCCATTCCTCTCCAATCTCCCAGCCCTAGGCAACCACTCTTTTACTTTGTGTCTTCATTGATTTGCCTATTCCAGGCATTTTATAGAAATGTAATCATACAGTATGTCGTCTTTTGTGACTGACTTCATTCACTTAGCATGCTGTTTTCAGTATTCATCCATGTTTCACTTGAGCCTAGGAGTTCAAGGCTGCATTGAGCTATGATCGTGCCACTGCATTCTAGCCTGGGTGACAGAGTGAGACCCTGTGTTGTTTTTTTTTTTTTTTTTTTTAAAAAAAGCTACATCATGTTGTAGTAGTATGCATCAGTACCTCATTCCTTTAATAATGCTCCATTGAATGGATACGTAGTATTTTGATTATTCACTCCTCAGTTGACAGATATTTAGGTTGTTTCCATCTTTCGGTTATTAGTATTAATAATGTGCTGGGCTCATTTATGAACACTTATTCTTTTAATTGGGCTGTTTGTCTGCTTATTATGGAGTTATAAGAGTACAAGGATTATTTATATATTCTGGATACCAGTTTTGGTCAGATATTTTCTCCAGTCTGTGGCTCATGATTTTTATTTTCTCAGTGGTGTGGTTTAGGGAGCAAAGTTTTAAATTTTGATGAAGTCAAATTTATCAATTTTTTTCTTTTATGGTTTGTATACTTTGGCTCCTCAGAAATCTTTGTCTAACCTAAGGTCACAAAGATTTTTTTTTCTCTTCAAGAAGTTTTATGTTTTAGTTCTTACATTACATCTATGGGTCCATTTTGAATTAATTTTGGTTTATGGTATGAAATAAGAGTCAATTTTTTTTCCCCCCATATGGCTATTTATTCTAGCACCACTTTTTGAAGACTTTCCCTGTTCACCTTTGTAAAAAAAAAAAAATTACTTGGTATATGTGTGGGTTTGTTTCTGGACTTCGACATTTACTTTTGTCTATTTCTCCTTGCAGTTGTATTGGTTTTTGCTGCATGTATTTTGAAACTCTGTTATTAGGCATATAAACATTTGAGATAATTATGTCTTCTTCATGAGTTTACCCCTTTATCATTATGAAATGACCTCTTTTCCCTTGGTGATGTTCTTTGCTCCAAAATCTGTTTTGTCTGATATTAATATAGCTACTCCAGCTTTCTTTGGACTATTGTTAGCATAATATATTCATCTTTTATTATTTATTTGCATCTGTATATTTAACATGTGTTTCTTATAAGTAATATGTAGTTGGGTCTTCTTTTTTTTTATCCATTCTGTTAATCTTTTTCTAATTGCAATGTTTAGACCATTTACATTTAATGTAATTATTGATGCAGTTAGGTTTAAGTATATCATCTTGCTGTTTGTTTTCTATTTGTCACATCTGTTTTGTTCCCTTTTTGTTCTTTGTCTGCTTTCTCTTGAGTTAATTGAACTTCTTTGTGATTTTAGTTTGCTTTTTAAATAGTTTATTAGTTATAATTCATTTTTTTTATTTTAGTGGTTGCCTTAGCATTTATAGTATGTATATTTAACTTACCATGGCCTACCTTCCAGTGGTATTTTACCACTTCATGTATAGTGTAAGGAACTTATCATAGTATGCCTTCGTTTCCCCTCTCCTGGTCTTTATGTGATTTCGTCATGCATTTTATTATATATGTGTTATAAATCCACAATAATAATAAAGTGTTATTTTTAACTTAGTCAATTATTTCTGAAAGAGATTTAAATAATAACATAAAAGTTTGTGTATCTATGCATGTAGTTATCACTTCTGGTGTTCTTTATTCCTTTCTACAGATTCACATTTCCATCGGATTTTCTTTATCATTTCTTATAGTTCAGATCTGCTGGTGATAGATTTTTTGAATGTCTAAAAGAGTCTTTATTCTTTTTTAATTTCTTGTCTTTGGATGGTCCACAGTTCACAGTGGCCTCCTGGGCTTGTGGGTCCACTCTTTGGGAAGGCCCCACACCTTAGGGTACCCCTGCCCCCCGCCTGCTCCATTGATCAGTATACTGATGGAATTAGCTGTTGCAGAGATCTTTGACGTGTCTCCTCAGTAGGCCTTTTGTAGCTCTAGCTCAGATCATGCTTATGATGGGACAACATCACTTGGTCCTGCAATGACAATCACATTGTCTCCCCCCATGGCCATAGCTTCCTCTGTGTAGAATGCCATAGTGCACATCATTCCTCTGTTGCTTGCCATCTTGTGGTGAGACTTTTCTGAGTTGAGTCTTGGCCTGTTCCTCAGTCTCGGGCTGACTTAACTGTTCTCCTGTACATTGCTCAGGCCAGTGGACTGCAATGATTTCTCTTTCCTTTTGGTAGTTGCCACTTCTGACTCTATCTTGGTTCTCTTGACCAGTTCTGCCTATAGTGGGATGCAGTGTCCCCAGCTCCTCCTTCCCTTGCTGCCCTCAAAATAAACATCTGTAGCTCCTTCTCATTTTACAGGTTTTATGGTTAATCAGCACAGGGAGATAGGAAAGTAAAAATAATAAATGTGGAGAAATAACGGAATTTTAAAAATTCTCTCAAGGCTTTCCAAGAGAATTTCTGCAGAATTTCTAGTTGGCACTTACTCATTCAGTCATTAAGAGGCCATCAGATGCCTCTTTGGGCCTTTCTCTTCTGCATTTATTGGTCCCTTAGTTGCCTTCAACTGTCTTGAGCTTTTCTTCTAAGCCTATGTAGGCCTGAGGAACCAGCCAAAAAATGAGAAAAAGGTTTTGCCTTATTCTCAAGTGGACATTTTCAAACTCTGATGACTACCAGACTAGAAGATGCAGGCCTCCTTTCCTGTAGGACTGTGGCCCATGCTGGAATGGCCGTCGCTGGGCATTCCTGGGTAGCCTCCGTCCTCCTTCTGGACACAGGTTGCTCATTTTGTCTTGTGCCCAGGTGCACTTACCTGCTCTTAGCGCAATGCCTGGAACCTTGTGGTCCTTCAGTCAATGTGGCCCCAATAACCATATGCATTGTTTTTGTCTCCATAGGCAGATTATTGCCAGAGGGCTGCTTGATATCTTCCGGGACTTCGGTAACAATGAAGAAGACTTCCTCACGGTAATGGAGATTGTAGTCAGATTGTCAGAAGATGCAGGTTTGTATAAGGATTGTATAATTTTATTTTTTACTTATGAATTTCTAAGAAATTATGTATAACCAGTAATAGCTATTTTTTAAAAAACCTGTTTATTAATCAATAACCTTTAAGCAGTTTCTAACCATGAATGGATTTTGTCTTGAAGAATGTATGTCTTATTTGAATTTTGACTGAAATTTTCTTATATTTAGAAAATTAAAATGATTAATGGCTACGAATGCTGTTTGCCTTGGCAGTTAGGCCTTTGGTATTTCTTGAGTTTTGCCAGACTACTGGTTGCTAAGAAATGCCAAATCAAAAGAAGCCTCTTGGGTTCGAAAATCTCAGTCATTAGTTTCCCTCTAGGCGAATCTTGATTTTTCTTTCTCATTCTACCTCTCCATGATTGGTATCGTGGAAGAAAAGCACGTTGCTGTACAGCAGATATGATGATGTTGTCTTCCCCCCCGCCCCAGTAAAGATGAGTTAGATGAATGAGTGGCGGGGCTGGCCGGTACTGACAGCTGTGCCACAGCCCCCTCCTTCCTGCATTCAGAATGAATCATGAGAAGCTTCAGAAAGTTTCAGGACTCTCAGCCTTTAGAGTTTAATCATTTTAACTGAAAATAGAAAAATAAGCCTTCCATATAGCTCCCACATTAGTTCAAAATATTTATATGAATATAACGCAATGCTTTTAAAAACGCCCAAGTGGATGTTTTGAGTCTTTAAATGGATTCTCTTTGTAAATGAGTCACCGTTTACAGTGCTGTAGCAATTATACATTTGTGTTAAATTTAATGTGGTATATTGGAGCTAGAGCCGCTCTTTTGTTTAATGCTTTGCCTTAGAAATAATTGGGATGCGTGGATTGTGGCGGAGTGCATTTATGAAAGAATTATTTATAATGTATACATTCTGGCTAGAATTTAAATAAGCACAACCCATAGGTCTGGCAGATAAGGCATTAGTTGTAATGGCTTTTGGATGCTGGCCCAGCATGCAGACTTCTTGCTCCCTCCTCAAATTTATATATGGCTTGTTATAATAGAGTTGTCATTCTCTCTTCTTTTTATGTTTTTATATTGCTGTATAGCTCATTAGCTTTTTAAGCCTGTCTGTAGCATAAATACTCTAAATGGGAAATGATTTTTAAACTGCATTTGTCTAATTTCCTTGATGAAGTATTTTAGTAAGAAAAGCTAGAAACTATCAGTATATACTATCTAAGATGCTTGGCTTATTCTTAATATAATTTTTTTAAATTTTTTATTGCTGCAGAGCCCACAGTGCGGACTGAGCTGATGGAACAGATTCCTCCTATTGCCATTTTTTTACAAGAAAACAGATCAAATTTTCCAGTGGTGCTCTCTGAATATCTCATACCTATTGTAGTGAGGTACCTCACAGATCCAAACAATCAGGTTTGAAAAATTATAACCTTAAGATCTCTTTAGCAAATTCTCTTTAGTCTTGTTTTAGCTGATATTCATACTACAAAAAACAACTTCTTAGAGTTAAGTGATTCTAGAACAAAAGGTCTATTTGTGTCCAGTTCCTCTAGTCATGTAGGAAGATAGACAGCACTCATTCTTATCATGAAATATTTCTTTTTTTCTTTAGCATTTTACTATGGAAATTTTCAAACGCACATAACAGTAGAGAGAATATGAAAATGAATGCCCACGTGCCCTACACCTGGCATCAACCATTGTTAACGTTTGACCTGGCCGGGCGTGGTGGCTCACGCCTGTAATCCCAGCACTTTGGGAGTCTGAAGCAGGTGAATCACCTGAGGTCAGGAGTTTAAGACCAGCCTGGCCAACTTGGTGCAACCCCATTTCTACTGAAAATACAAAAATTAGCTGGGCATAGTAGTGCGTGCTTGTAGTCCCAGCTACTCGTGAGGCTGAGGCAGCAGAATTACTTGAGCCCGGCAGGTGGAGATTGCAGTGAGCCGAGATCGTGTCACTGCACTCCAGCCTGGGTGACACAGTGAGACTCTGCCTCAAAAAAAAATAAAAACAAAAAAAATTCGATTAATTTTTTCATTTATCTTACCGAGATAAAATCCAATCCAGACAAAAGAATTTGCAGAAACCATCTCATTTCAGCTGTAAATACTTTTAGTATTGTTCTCTAAGAAATAGACTCTTTTAAAAAAAAACGATAGTATCATTAATGCAAATATAAAAATTATCAGTAGTTATCTAATGTCATCTAATATCTAGTCATTGGTCAAATTTCCCAGTTTTCTCATAAGTGTGTGTTTTTGCGCAGAGGCCGTTCAAACCAGAATACAAACAATGTCCACACATTGAATCTAAGTGATATATGTCTCTTAGATCTTTTAAAATTTATAATGTTGCTCCTCCCCACTTTTTTCCCTTGCTATTTATTTGTTGAGGAAGCCAGGTCATTAGTTTTATAGAATTTCCCACATTTGGGATATGGTTTATTGCATCTCTGTAGTGTTAAGATGTTGCTCTACTCCAGGCATTTCTTATAAACTAGTAGCTAAGTTGGAAGCTCAGCCAGACTCAGATTTTTTATTTAGTGAGAATACTTTGTAGATGGTTTGTGTTTTCCTGCTATATCAAATCGGGGGCAGAAAAGCTCTGGATGGTTATCTTTTCCTAATGCTGAATTTGGCCACCTTTTCTGTAAAGGTGGCCAAACTTCTATAAAGTTCTCCATCATCGTATGAGCAACCATTGGTGATGGTTGCCCTGATCCAGTATCTCATTAGAGGCTGTAAATTCTGACACACTAATTCCAACATCTCTTTTTAGTTTAATAGCTAGAGTTCTTCTGTAAAGGTTTCCTCTATCAACTATTTGATAGCCCTGAAAACCTGTTTGAATAGGGAAGATAGAATAAATGCTTTATTTTATCCCTTTATTTACCAGTTTCCAGGATCATCGTTGGCGTTTTAATAATCTACAAAGGTTACCAGTTAGGTTTTAAAAATTTTTTTGAGTATTGTTAGGAACTCCCACATTTTAACATAGTAGATATGTTTCAAACTGTTATAGTACTTATTCTTTTTTTTTTTTTAAATTATACTTTAAGTTCCAGGGTACATCTGCACAACGTGCAGGTTTGTTACAGACGCAGTAAAACACTTTCCTCATAATTGTCATATTTTTAATTTTGTTGAATACTTGGATTTCGTTCAGGTTTTGTGTGTGTGTGTGTGTGTGTGTGTGTGCTGTAGATGCAGTGAACATCGGAAAGGATGTGGTTTTGTCCTTTCATTGACTTTTCTTTTTCCTTTGGATTCATTCTTGAAAATGAGATTACACTGAGTCAGGGGATTTGACATTTCTTGACCTTTGTCCAGTAGCATTGCTGTATCTTCTCTTCCAGAAGAGCCGAGGCAGGAAGCGTGGTTTTGACTCCAGAATCTAGCATGGTGCCTGACACTCAGTCTGTGTTTGCTGAAGAGTCATATTCTTGGTCGAGAGCAGGCACTCCGATGGTCAGCCCGAGCTGTGTGTGCACCCAGCTTCCCAATGTGTCCGCACCCAGCTTCCCATTGTGTGCAGATCTGCCGCACCTCTGCACTCCCACTTCCACTACAAACACAGCTTGCCCTCCTTTTTTTGCTCCCCTGCCGTGGGCCTTCCTGCCCCCACAGGCCTCTGGCTCTGCAGCCTCTATTTCCTGCCTGCATTTACTTCCTGTTGTTCCTCAGCGGCTCCCTCTCTTGTCCCACCCTTTCAGGCCTGTCCCTGCCATCACCCTCTATTTACTTGTCCTTTTGATGGTGCTTCTGCCACGCTGGCTTTGCCTGTCCTCCCCAGCCCTTCAGTGTCCTCCACTGCTTGTGGCCGAGCTTGGTGGAGGGAGTCCTGTCATGCACTGATTGGTGCCGTTGCAAATTGATGGGTTCCAGTCGTGGCTGGGCTTGCAGCATTGCTTGGCAGTCCTTTCCCTTGTCCCTCATCAGCTGCATTTCCCATTATCCTTGGCAGTTCTCTTAGACCTTCGCCATTTCATCAGGCCTCTCCCCTCTGCCTGCCTCGCGCCAAGCAGATGACCTTGCCTTTTACTCAGAGCAAATAGAGGCCTTCAATCTTCATCCCCTATCTCCATGCAGGGAACCACCACCTACTTCACACACTCCCCAGAGCCGCCACCCAGGAACTGACGAAATCCTCTCCCCTCACCTCCTCCATCCAGCTAGAGCCAAGCCCTGTCTCCTTTGTTTCCATCAAAAGTACCTAACCCCTTGAGGGCACCCGCTCCTCTTCATTCCCACCCTTAGTAAACACAGAAAAGTGCTGAAGTTCTTTCTCGCTGACCTCTTGTTCCCTGAGGCACAGCCCAGACTCCTTCCTGGGCACCTGTCCCTTTCTGCCCTTGACTCTGCTGGCATCTGCCTGTCCCCTCTGTCCTTATGATTCTGACCTTCTTGCCCTTCCCAAATGCCCCCTCCTCTCTTCTGTCAGTCTCTGTCTTCCTTTAACAGATGCTGACTCTTTCCGACATCCACAGTGGGGGCCCCTGAAAACACCCAAAGGTCCCCGATTAGGATTCTTAATTCGGCAAAGACGAAGATTCTCGTGCATGTGGGGATGGGATGGGTGTGCTAGGTTCCAGCTAGCGTCTGCATCTCAGGCCAGCTGGCCCTTCTCTGTTCATCAGCAGGTACTCTTCATGGTCACCGAACGTGTGAGGCATGAAATTCACAACGTTGGGGGTAATATCAGTGCTATTGCAAGGACTACTGCTGCCACTCACAGCACCCCTTTTTTGAGTTGTCGCTGTGCTCCAGGGCTGTGCTCCAGGCTAGCTTGGCTTATCTCCTTTCCTCTTGTTCACCCCCACTGTGAAGTATGGGTGAGTTGCTAGTTAAGCAGAGAGGTGTGGTTGTGGGTGCTGAGTAGCAGCTGGAGAAGGCAGGAGGCTGGATGTCTGGTTTCATGAGGCTGCCTGTTGCATGCTATGGGGCTGTGGAGGCTCTTCTAGATGTTGTAAGCCAAAGTGTCTCTCCCCTTCTTGAGTGAGAGCCGAGGATTGTATTTTGTTGGCTTCCGTGACCTAGCACAGGGTCTGGCACCTGGTAGTTTCAGTAAAGATTTGTAGAACTGAATCAGCTGCACATGCCGTTTGATAATGTAGGCAGATTTCTTCAGTGGTCCTGAGCTCCTCCCCTCTGTCTTACAGGAAGGGATGTCCCACCCCCTTTTTAAGTCTCATGTCTTAGTTTCTCTCTGTGGTCCCATCCTGTTGTCTCAGAGCTTGCTTATTTTTCCAGCTCTCTCATTGGTTTCTTGTTTGATTATAATCAGTCCTCAGTCTCCCTGCTCTCTCCGTTCCCTGGCCTTGACTCAGAGCTTGTGGCCCACTCCTTCTCCTACTGTCAAGCTTTTTCAGAGAGGAACCTCCACTGCCTCTACCTCTGGGCTCTTCTTCTGGCACTAGCTCCTCGTGCGGCAGCTGATGCTTTCTGGAAGCTGGTAGATAGGTATCTTGCCACGGACTCAGTGAATCTGCTCATTGTAAAATCCAGTGCTTTTTTTTTTTTTTAATAGTTCAGTGTTTAAAATGTTATGAGATTTTTAATCACACAAGACAGCATTGTGTAATAAACACCCATATACCTACCATTCATATTCAACAAATGTTAACATTTTGCAATTTTCTGCATATCCTTTTATTTTTTATTTAGAGGTTACAGATACGGTGGCAGCTTCTCTGTACCCCTCCTCCATCCCATTCTTCTCCCTCCCTCCCCTTCCTGAGCCTGGCATGAGACCTTCTCACCAGGTTTTCACACTCACACCACTTGTGTAGGTGGCCCCTGAATAAGAGAGTGTCTTGTTTGGGAGCTTGAAAGCTTGCATAGATGGCATCATTGGACGTGTATTCCATTCTGCCGATTGCGTGACTCCTTTGTGTCTTAGACCCCTCCACATTGATTGGGATAGCTGCTGGTCATTCTTTTTACCTGCTTTATAGTATTTGTATTTCATTTTAGCTGCTATATAGTATTTATATTTCTCCCACAATTTCTTAATCTACTCACTGACTTTTTTTCTTTGTTTGACCCATTTGCACCATTTGTCACTGTTGACCAGTTTTGAGTGTTTGCACAGACCTTTACTGGATCCCACTAGGCATTTAGTGTTGCTTCACCCCAGACAGTGGGATGCAAAGGTAACTGGACACACCCCTTGCTGGGATCCTCTAAATATTTGTCTCCTTTGGCTTCCAATAATCATGGTTGTACTAACAGTACCAGCCAGTATTCATTTAGTGCATGCCATGTCCCAGACACCATCGGAAGCCTGTCGCTCCTTTCATCCCCACAACAAACTTATGAGATAGATACTATGATTATCCAGTTTTATGGATGGGAAACTGAGGCTGAGAGAGGCCAAGTCACTTGGCCAAGATGACTCAGCTAGTCACTTGGAGGATCCAGATGGGGGCTCAGCATTCAGACCCCACAGCCGGAGCCTGTACCCACTGCCGTGTTAGCTCTTGAGCTCCAGGCCTCCTCCCTGCCTCTGCCCGCACTTCTTGTCTGTGTCTTCCCCAATCTCCATCATTAGCCCAATCCTCTCCTGCCCCTAAGAGTTGCTGTTTCATCTCTAGGGTATTATCTTTGGTCTTCCTTTTCTTATGATATCAGGGTTCCCTTCATGGCCTTGTCTGCTGCTGTGGCCCTAGGGAGACTCTACACACAACTGAACACTAGACTGCTGTCTCTCACCCAGGTCTCTGGAGTCTGTGAATCACCGCCCTCCATCGCCACAGCCTACTGGATGGCTCTGTCTAGATGTCCAGCGAATCCCATAGAGTTTAGAGACTCTAGCGTCCCGCCCTAGTCTCTCTATCCTCCATCTTGCTCTGACTTCTGTGATTATCCTGTGTAGTCATTCTCAGCTCTCTGTAGCAGTGTCTGTCACACCTGCCCTCTTCTTTCTGTCCCCTGCCCTGACATCATGCCTCATGAAAGCCTGTAGTGGCCCAGGAGCCCCTCACCTGCTCTCTCTTGTCAGAACCACTTTAGGTTTCCAGACTGTCACCCTCACTGAAGCCAGGTGTGATTGTGTTGGTCCTCTGCTGTTAAACCCTTGGGGGCTCCCATTGCACCTGGAGTGGTCACCAGAGGTCCTAGTGGGATCGGGCATGCTTTTCCTGGCCTGACCTCACTTGCCCTTCATCCTCCCATTCTGCCATCTGGAACTTGTCCTACTTCTTCAGAGTATTTGGCCCCAGAGTTCATCACCTTGCACCTTAGAATGTGCTGTTTGTTCTCTGGTCCTGGAAGGCCTTCTCCCCTGCTACCCTTGCTCAGTGGATTCATTACCTGGAGCTGCTGTAACAACTTACCACAGACTGCGTAGCATAAAACAATAGATGTTTCTTCCCTCTCAGTTCCACAGGTGGGAAGTGCAGCATCAGGGGGTCGTCAGGGTGGGTTCCCTCTGGGTGCTCTAGGGGAGAATCTTTCCTTCTGCTTCCAGTCTCTGGCGGTTGCCAGCTTCTTGGGCTTGTGGCCACATCACTTGAATCTCTGCTGCTAACTTCACATGGCCTCTCTCCTCTTCTGTCAGTGTTTTCTTCTCGTCTTTCTCTTGTAAGGACACTCGTGATTGTATTTAGGGCCCGTCCAGGTAACTCTGGGTGATCTCAAGCTCCGTAATCACATCAGCAGAGAGCCAAAGAAGGTCACATTCACAGCTTCAGAGATGTGATGCGGCCAGATCTTTTTGGGGGCCATCATTCAGCCCACTACCCTTTGCAGACTCCTAGGTGTCTTTTGGCATCTGATACTGAGTGGCTGCTCAGGGCCTTCCCCCTCCTTGCCTGGCGTGCCCTCCCATCCTTGTTGTCCTCCATGCATCTCAGTATGTCAGCTAGGGTAGCATCATGCAGCAAAGCGGCACGTGGGCTTGCCTGTTCTTGTCTGTAGTCCCCTCATGCTCTCAACTCCTGACACATGCTGGACACGCAATCCGAGTGTGACACTTTAGAGGTAGCATGGGCCTTTTCTTCTCCTAGTGACACCCGGGTCCTGTCGCTGTGCCCGGGTGGTGCTGCTGGGGCATCAGCTTTCCTCACTCCTGGCAGCCAGCCCCAGTCTCTTCCCTTTGCCTGGATGTTTGCAGTAGCTACCTTGCTGACCTCGTTGCTCTTGGTCTTTTCATTGTCTCCAGTTGACTTGGAACGCTACTGCCAGGATGATCTTTCTGAAATACTGTTTTCATCTGTCGCCTGGTCAGAAGTGTTAATGTCATATTGCCTCTGTGGCTTGAGTCTCACAGGCTCACCCTCTTTTATAACCTTTTATAACCTGCTGTCGACGGATCATCTGTGACTCATCTACACACCTCTGGCTCCTGTTATTATTTGCCTGCCTTTTCATCACTGCGGTGAATTGCATATTTCATTATTTTGTCTATAAGTTGGAGTTTTATGTGCTTTCATTTCCCCAAAAATGTCTCTTCAGCTTCTTTGGACCCCTCTGAGCTCTAGTGCTTGCTCATTCCATGCAGACTGCAAAGAACAAGTGCTCCTCCACCTTCTTCTTCTGTGGACTGGGGGAGCCTTTGTTTTCTGTGGGAGCATCCCCCTTTGTCAGTGTCTCTTTCTTGGGCCCCTTCCCTGTGCGTTCTGTTGTACCAGACATAATTCCCATCTCAGGTGTGGCATGCCAGGGTTTACAAAGTCACAGGAGGTTGCTGCAGTGTTTTCCAGTCTCTGCCTACAAAGGAGAAAAGGCACGAAGTCATCCATTGATTCAGCAGATCGTTACAGAACGCAAAATTTTGTGCCACAGGCTGCCAGGTCCTGAGGGTGCACTGGAAGACAAAGGATAAATCAGATGTGGTACCTGCCTTCTGAATTCACTCTCTGCAGCAGGAGAGACAGGTGGCAATTATGAAATCATACAGAAAATAACCCTCTATATGTTTGTATGTATATAAATGCAGAAATGTGGAACAAGAGCTGTGGAAGAAAAAGTCCAGGGCACTAGTCGAGTATTGTTTAGGGACCTGTTCGAACAGGGTCCAGGAGCAGAGGGGCTTTGGGCTGGAGCGGAGGAGTGGTAGCCAGTCAGGTAGAGGGAATAGCCTATTCAAAGGCCTCAGGCAGGAAGACCCAGTGGTCTTCAGGGTGTTTAGGGTATGGGGGTGGGGGTAGGTAGGGGCCGGCTCAGCCACCCCTGCTCAGTGGGGTTGGTCTTGATCCTGAGGGCACTTCTGCTCACTTGTGCTTCACCTTCTGCGTTTTTTTCCCTTCTGGGTGAGAAAATCAAGTCAGGAAGTGCTCTTGATTCTTCTGGAACAAGACCTAATTTTCCAGCATGATGTTGAAAACAAAGTATGTCCCATTCTCCTGCAGCTCTCTGCCCCAGACAGTGATGACGAATATAAAGCAGAAGCTGTGAGCGTAAGTCCGTCCAGGGAATGACTGCCCAGCACCTGTGGGCACTGTCCCATAAGTTGACTTATACCTGACATGAAGTATTACACGTGTTTGATTTTGGTCAGCACTGTTCTCGTGAACAAGGTAACCAGTTACTCGACCTAGGTTGGAGAAAGCTCACAGTTCAGCCATGAGCATGTTTTGGAAGTAAGCATCCCTATAGCACCAATTGTTTTTTTGTTTTTTTTTATACTTCAAGTTCTAGGGTACATGTGCACAACATGTAGGTTTGTTACATATGTATACATGTGCCATGTTGGTGTGCTGCACCCATTAACTCGTCATTTACATTAGGTATATCTCCTAATGCTATCCCTCCCCTCTCCCCCGACCCCACGACAGGCCCCGGTGTGTAATGTTCCCCTTCCCATGGAATACTGTGCAGCCATAAAAAAGGATGAGTTCATGTCCTTTGTAGGGACATGGATGAAGCTGGAAGCCATCATTCTCAGCAAACTATCACGAGGACAGGAAACCAAACACCAATTGTTTTAAGAAGAAAAGGCTTGAGAAATCAGAGTGATTTGGGCTTAGCAGCAGTAGCTGGCTTAGATTTCTGTTGGACAAGATGCTGAGATTTATAGGTAAATCCTTGAACCTACTTGGACCCTGGGCCTTCCTTCTCAAAGAAACAACCCTAGTATGATGTGAGATAATTTTAGGTGGTACTTAGACAATTAAGAAGAAAATTTAGCAGACTTGTGTGTCTATAGATTAGGAGAAGACTAAGATAGGTATGTAAGCAAATAAGAAGAGTCACTGTGAAGAATGCAGATGTGGCCAAACATTTACAGGCATTTGGGAGATGCTGTGTTAAAGTATTTGTGCTTCTATCAGTCAAAGATGTGCAGTGAAAGGAATAGTATAAATGTTCAGTGTCTTCTAGTTAATAGTCTGGTATCCTTGGGTTTGCAAGATTCTGTGCCCATTGTTAAATGATTATACAGGCAGGATTTTCTACTCGCTTCTGGAGCCCTTGTTCACAAACCAGCAGCTGATGATCCAGTGCAGACTTTTCCTGCCTTCAGATCAGGATGCCTCCATTTGTCCTTGCACCTTTTCCTTTGTGGCTCAAGGGGAGGTCACAATGGGCCATCTTGTTTTCTTTAGCTGCTGCTCCTCCACTGATCCATGCAAATGATGCTGTATGGCATGACCCTTTCTGTTTGCCTTATAGAAGCAAATAGCTCCAGGATTATTCCAGCATTTTAGGAAAAATTGGTCCGTAAAGGATGTAAAAATTCATAAGCATTAATTATGAGTATAATAAAATATACAGAAGATAGTTGTTTTCCTGTTTGGGAAACAGTGACGTTAGAGAAAGGAATTATTTTCTTTTTTAAAGTGCAGAAACATTATACGCCATAGAGCTAAAAAATTGTATTACAGCATCAGAACATTTGGCAATTACTCTTCATTTATGTAAAAGTTTTATTCAACTATGCGTTAAAGGTCTGGCTTTTTAAACTAATTTAATTTTTGCATATTCCATGTGTTTATAAGATGAATCAGGCTGAAGAATAATTGATTATTAAAATCCAAATTCTCCAGGGTTCTTTTATAAATTTCAAGTTTCTCTATAAGAAATTAAATTTGTTTTGCAAAATGAACCTGGATAATATCATTTAGTTGGGGTATTTGGCAGTTGAGCAGTGAACTTTGCCAACTAGATCTTCTTTTCCATTTGGAAGTTGGTTAGGCGAGTTTCCAAGGTTACGACTGACAACCAAATATCTTACCCCTAAAGACTGATAATACCATGAAAAATAATGCTAAAGGCATTTTTGCATGATTTTTATTTTGTTTTCTTTCCAAATACTCCATTCTTGTCAGCAATATTCCTCTTCTTCTTCATTTTTTTTGGTAGAAATATTTGGAAAATATTACAAGCCTTCAAAAAGCTATCTGCACAAATCACTTGCAGAACAAATTAGTTCACATAAATTGTATTTTTCATTCCAAGTGAGATGCTGGTCTCATTACTTGAATGGATAGGATTTGAACTGTGGCTGCGAGAACAGAAGTGATCTTGAACCTCCCACCCACCATGGCCCAGACTGTGCTTGTCTGTTTCTCCCAGGTGTTCCTGCAGGACCTCTGCTTTTCCTCCCGTGGAGATCTGATGGGAGTGGAATGTGGGGTGTCTGGTCTGGCCCATGTGTGCTTTGCTCCAGCTATTTCCCCAGACCCTGGAGGCCAAGGGGCCTTGGGGGGACTTGCCCCTTGAGTACCAGAGAGCTGTGGAACACAGAAAGAATCTTCTTTTTAGCTAGGAAATGACAATGTGGGTGGAGTAAATGACAGTGTGAGTATCATTAGCCAAGGAAGAGAAGGCCACATGTGTGCTTTGTAGAGCTCCCCTAGGAAGGCAGGGTTCTGATTTAGCTAGTCTGTAGGTGATACCCCAAACATTGCAGGTGCCAGTGTGTATCTATTAGGAGGTGATTCAGGGAGCTGTTAGCTAAAAGGGTGATGAGGAAAGAAGCAAACCGGGCTGGTCAGATGCCCGATGTGTTTGGGGGCTCTCTGTTGATCCGGATGGTGTGAATATTGCTACATCTGTGCTGTACATAAACACACGCCTACTCAAAGCAGTGCCATTTTGGAGGAAGTGCCTCAACTCCCAAGGAGACTGCACGTCTTCATGGATAAAATACATCTGTTCATTCGACTTGTCACTCTCATTAGAACTTAACAATTAGTTGATTCTGATGCCAACAACTCTAGTGCATATATGATTGGGAAAATCAGAGATAACCAACTGCATGTGTCCTGGGTGTTTTAGATTGAGTTATGCAGGACAGCTTCCATGTTGGGACATGGGTACATGGAATCCTGGGAAGGGAAATGTGTGTGCATTTTCCTTTGTGAAGACCTTCTAGAAACCCTATGCAATGTTAGTGACTCTGTCCTTGATGCAGTTAGAAGGGTTGGCTCTGTCTGTCTTCTGTCACTTAGCAGTTGAGTTGTGAAATTCTGTTTTGTTTATTTCTCCCTCAAGATGGTGAGCTTCTTGGCTCACTGGGCTGCGGTATCTTTGCACCATCAGCACCCAGCACAGTGCCAGGCCCAGAGTCAGTACTAAATAAATGTTAGTTGTTGGATGAATGAATCGGTAAAAACTGCAAGAGCTGTATCTTTTAATTATATCTAGACAGGATAAACAGGCCACCAGAGACCAATTATAATTCCTCTTGCTTGCAGGGACGCCATTAGCATTCCGAGATTATAACTCATTGTCAGAAGACTATTTTTCTCTCTCAAAACTTTTTCACGTTAAGGCTTCCTCATTTTTTGTCATCATTTCTATTTTTAAGCTAATTTTTATTTGTGCACTTATTTAAGAAGAATCTCTTGGTTATGTGCTATAAAGAACAGTTGGCTCCAAGCAACTAAGTGAAGATCGTCATTCCATACAAGTGGTTCCCAGGGCCACGGGAATATAATTTCTTGTCACTAGTGTGCTGACTTTTAATGACTCTGGATTTGTTTTATACTGTATAGTAATAAGGTCATGCAGGTGTGGCAGATGGAGAGGGGTGGATGGAGATACTGGGAGTGCTTTAGTTGCCCATCACCCTGCATACGGAAGCCTCACATCCTCATTTATTGTGGCTGTCACTTTGTACAACTCTGCTAAGCATCACATCAGAAATATGTGTCCTCTCTGTTCTGAGGACACAAACCTTTTCCTTATTTGTGTTATGGGCTAGTTTCCCCGTTCGCTCCACCCCCATTGGTTTTCTTTCCCCTCTTCCTGTATGCAAATTCCAAATAGAATGATGGGTAGATTACTAACCCAGAACCTTTTTCTACTGTAAATAGGCAGTGCTGTGTATATAGTGAGAATAACAGACTTTAGAGACAGGAAGCCCTTCCTCCCCCCAATCCCTGCCTTTCTCCATCCCTTCCTTTCTTCTCTCCCTACTTTGGTCCTTCACTCCCCTGCCTTAACCTTCTTCCTTCCTTCTTTTGTTTTTTCCTCCTTTTCTTTTTACTGTGTTGGGGGAATGGAAGAATTCTTTCACAATTTTGTTTTTGGCAACTTTTCATCTTGTTTCAATTTCAAACTTGCAAGAAAGTTGCAAGAATAGTAGTATGAATTCCCCTATACCTCTTTCTGGCTTCTTTAGTAATTTGTATCTAGCTTCATTTATTTTATCATTTTTTTTCTCTTCTCCTCCATTTCTCCTTCTCTCTCCACACATACAGACAGATGCATATTTACTGTATTTATTATTTTCTGAGACATTTGAGACTTAGTCGGAGGCATTGTCCCTCTTTATATCTAAATACTTCATTTTTTAATTTAATGTTTTATTTATTAAGGACAAACAGCAGCATTCATCTAAATACTTCAATGTATATATCCTAAAAGGAAGGAAACTCTCTTATATAACCATAGTACAATGATCAAAATAGGAAATTTAACACCGATACAGTGCTAACGTCATAGCCACAGTTCATATGCAAACATCGCCATTTGCCTAAGACCCAGTCCAGGGTTACTTGCTGCAATGAGCTGTCCTATCTCTTTGGTTTCCATTAATCTGGAACAGTTCCTGAGTCTGTCTTTGAATTTTGTGACACTTAAGTATTGGAAGAGTACTGGCCACATTTTTTTTGCAGAGTGTCTCCCTGTTTGGCTTTGCCTGATGTTTCCTTGTGATTGGATTCAGATTCTGTCTTTCTGGCAGGAGTATCACAGGAGTGATGTATTCCCAGTGTGTCATGGCAGGAGGCACAAGACTTCAGCTTGTCCTAATATTGGTGATGTTAACTTTGATGACCTAATAGATAGATGTGGTATCTGCCAGGTTTCTCCAGTGTGCTCTTTTTTCCCTCTGGAAGTAATGAGAATTACCTTGTATTTAAGTATGCTCTTCTCCGTCAGACCTTCACCCGCTAGCGTTGCTGTCTATTGACAATTCTGGTTGACATTCTACTGTGCTGCCTTCTCCATAATTTGCCACCATTTTGTTGAGGATTTTCATATCTATATTCAAGAGAACAATTTTCTTTTCCTATTATGTCTCTGTCAGATTTTAGAATCAGAATTATTCTGGCTTAAAAAAATGAGTTGGGAAGTATTCCCTCCTTTTCTATTTTCTGAAAGGTTTTATTTAAGATTGGAGTTATTTTTTTCCTAAAACATTTGTTAGAATTCTCCAGTAAAACCTCTGGTCCTAGAGTTTTCTTTGTGAGATGGTTCTTCATAACAGATTTAATTCAGATACAGTGCTGTTCAGATTTCTTCGTCTGTGTCACTGGGTAAGTTGTACATTTCAGGGAATTTATTAATTTCATGTAAGTTGTCAGATTTATTGGGTTAGACTTGTTCATGATATTCTTCTATTATCTTTTTAATGTCTGTAAGATCTGTGGTGTTATCCCCTTTCAATTATGATCTTGGTAATTTGTGTTTTTTTCTCTCTTGATCAGTCTTGCTAGGGGCTTATCAAATTTATTTATGTTTTCAAGCCAATTTTTGGCTTTGTTGGTTTTTTTCACTTATTTCTTTTTCATTGATTTCTACTGTTTATTATTTCCACCCTTCTCCTTTCTTGAGTTGTTTGCTTGTCCTTTTTTTAGCTTTTTAAAGAGGAAACAGTATTTTTAAGCCTGCATTCTTTTCCATTTTAAGCATTTAAAGCTACACATTTAATGTTAATGTCTATGTGATATATTAACCCTTTCATCATTAAGAAATGTCTTTGACAGTAATCCATATTTTATAATCAATTATGATAGTAATATAACCACTCTAGGATTTTTATACTTATTATAGTATATTTGTTTATTTTTTTACTCTCAACTTACATGTCTTTACATTTAAAGTGTTTGTGCTTTTGTTAGCATCTAGTTGGATCCTGCTTTTATATCCAGTCTGATAGTTTCTGCTCCTTAATTAGTGTGTTTAGTTCATTTATATTTAATGTAATTATTGATATGTTTGGTTTTATTACTGCCATTTCTCTGTCTGTTTTCATTTGTCTCATCTGTTTTTTTGTTAATTCTTTTCTGTTTTCTTTTGGGCTAATGAATGTTTTTTAGCATTGCATTTTAATTCCTCTATTGAGGATTTTCAAAAAATATATCACCTTTTGCAACAGCATGGTTCCATTCACTTGCTTTCATCCTTTGTGCTGTTGCTTTCATGTATATTACATTATGAGCCTGCGAATACACTGTGTTAGGCCATTCTTGCATCGCTATGCAGGAATAACTGAGACTGGGTAATTTATAAGAAAAGAGGTTTAATTGAATCATGGTTCTGCAGACTACACAGGAAACATAGTGCCAGCATCTGCTTCTGAGGAGGTCTCAGGAAGCTTTTACTCATGGCGGAAGGCAAAGTGGGAGCAGGCACGTCACATGATGAAAACAGGAGCAAGAGAGGAAGTAGTGGGGAGGGAGGTGCCACACTTTACAACAACCAGATATGCAAGAACTCACTATTGTGAGGACAACACCAAGCAATAAGGGATCCACCCCCATGACCCAAATACCTCCCACCAGGCCCCACCTCTAATATTGGGGATTACAATTCAACTTGAGATTTGGTGGGGACATATATTTAAACCATATGGTACAGTATTTTAATTTTTGATTTAAAGAGTTACATCTTTTGAAGAGATTAGTAAAAAAGAAAAAAATACAGCCTTTTATATGCCCGTTTTTGCCATTTTTGGTGGTTGTCATTCTTTCCTTTCCTGGATATGAGTTATCATCTGGTATCCTTTCCCTTAATGCAGAAGAACTTCCTTTAGTACCTTTTGTAGTTCAGGTTGGCTGATGATGAAATTTATTAATTTTTGTTTATCTGAAAATGTCTATTTTGCATTTATTTTTGAATGATAGTTTTGTGGATGTAGAATTGTGAGTTGAAAAGTTTTTTTGTTTCTTTTAGCATTTTAAAGATGCCATTCTGTTGTCTTCTGGCCTCCTTTGTTTCTCATGAGAAGTCATCTATCATTTATATTGTACTCGTATATATAAAATATCCCTTTTTCTCTGGCTGCTCATGAGATTTTTCTCTTTACCTTTGGATTTAGCATAGTTAGTATACTGTTTTGTCTCCATTGAACTTCTTGGATTTGTGTGTTAAGCCTTTCAAATAATTTGGGAAGTTTGGGCTATTGTTGTTTTAAATACCTTTTTCTGTATTCTTTTTCTCCTTTCAGTTTGTGACTTAGATAACACAAAGTTGGGACCCTTGATGTTGTCCTACAGGTCTTTGAGGCATTGTTCACTTTTCTTTAATCATTTTTTCTCTCTGATGTTTAGATTTGATAATTTTTATTAATTTAAAAAGTCATTGATTCTTTTTTTTTACTTCTCTCCAATCTGCTGTTAGGCCTAGCCAGCAAATTTTTAATTTCAGTTATTGTACTATTTTGCTCTAGAATTTCCATTTTGATCTTTTATAGACCTTTACAGTTTCTATATCTCTATCATATAGAAAGTCCCTGTCTATTCTTTATGCATTTTTTCCTTGTAATTCTTGAGTATATTTATAACAGCTCCTTTAAAGTCCTTGTCCGGCCCATGCAACATTTGGATCATCTTGATGTTGGTTTTCATTGACTACTTATATTATGGATCACTTTTTTCTTATTAATGCATGAGTAGTGATTTTTGATTGGACACTGGACATTATAAATGATACATTGCAGAGTCCCTGGATTCTGTTATATTTTTCTAAAATGATTTTTGTCCTAGGAGGCAGTTACCTTGATTAATCTCCAGCTCCAAATTATCTGCCTTGTGAGCAGAAGCTGAAATCTCTGCTGAGTTTGTTTAATTTCTGACGCTGCTTTTTTTCTGGGTCCTCTGGGATCCCCCTCACATATATGTAGTTTAGCAGTTAGCCAAAGATTTAAGCACATTTTATGCACAGATTTTGGACCTTGCTTGCAAATCTCTCCTGTTGCAGTGTATCTTTTAAGAGTAGCCCCTCTTCCAGTTTCTGCCTTTTGGTTGCTTTCCGCTGCTTTCAAATGGTGTTTTTTTTATGTTTTGTCAAGATTCTATAATTTTTAGCTTCAGGAGGGTTAGTCTAACTTAGACTTTGCTATTACCAGAAGTCTTGGTTCTTTTTTATAGTTTCCATTTCTTTGATAAGATTCCTAATCTGTTCATTCATTGTGGCCCTGTTTTCCTCTTTGTACTTGAGCATATTTGTAATAGCTGCTTTAAATTCCTTTTAAAGTCTTCTAATTCTAATATCTGGATTTTCTGTGGGTGTTTTTTCTGCTGACTGATATTTTTCTTGACTGTGGGTCACATTTTCTTATTTCTTCTCATGTCTATAGATTTTTCATTTTCTATTGTATTTTGTTGAAACATTGTAGAAACTCTGGATTTTGTTGTTTACCTCTAGAGATATTGACTTTGTTCTAGAAAGCAGTTCAGATTCTGTTTTTCCTGTAGTAGGCAGCAGCTGAAACAGCTCACTTCTTTCATCCTTAAGTTACTGTTTCTCTATGAACCTCACCATCTCCCCTGTGCATGCCCAGTTCAGAGATCAGCTAAGGATTAGGGTAAGATTTAACCACAGATTTTGGAGCTTTCCTTTCTTTGGCTCCCTCCTTCCTTCACAGTAAAACTGTAGCTTTAAAAAATTTATGTATGTATATATGTATTTATTTCACTAGCTTTAGGGATACAAGTGGTTTTTGGCAACATGGATGAATTGTATAGTGGTGAAGTCTAGGATATTAGGGTACGCATCACTTGAGTAGTGTACACTGAACACCAATAGGTGGTTTTTCATTCATCACCCCATTCTGACCCTCTCCCCTTCTGAGTCTTCAGTTTCCATTATATGACTGTATTTGCCTTTGCATACCCATAGCTTAGCTTCCATTTATAAGTGAGAACATGGGGCATTTGGTTTTCCATTCCTGAGTTACTTCACTTAGAATAATGTCCTGCAGTTCCATCTAAGTTACTGCAAAAGACATTATTTTGTTCTTTTTTATGGCTGAGTAGTATTCCATGGTATATATATATATACCACATTAAAATATATATATATATATATATATTTTTTTTTTTTTTTTCCTTTTTTTGAGATAGCATCTTGCTCTGTTGCCCAGGCTGGAGTGCAGTGGTGCAACCTTGGGTTACTGCAGCCTCAACCTCCTCGGCTCAAGTGATCCTCCCACCTCAGTCTCCCAGGTAGCTGGGACTACAGGCGTGTACCACTACACCCAGCTAATTTTGTTTAGTTTTTGTAGAGACAGGTCTCACTACCCAGACTACCACATTTTCTTTGTCTTCTCATCGGTTGATGGGCACTTAGATTGATTCCATATCTTTGCAATTGTGAATTGTGTTACAATAAACATATGCATACAGGTGTCTTTTTGATACAGTGATTTCCTTCCCTTTGGGTAGATACCCAGTAGTGGGATTGCTGGATCGAATGGTAGACCTACTTTTAGTTCTTTGAGAATTCTCCGTAATGTTTTCCATAGAAGTTGTACTAATTTATATCCCCACCAGCAGTATATAAGCATTCCCTTTTCACCACATTCATGCCAACATCTATGTTTTTTGACTTTTTAATAATGGCCATTCTGGCTAGGGTAACGTGGTATGTCAATGTGGTTTTAGCTTGCATTTGTCTGATAATTAGTGATGTTGAATTTTTTTTATATGCTTCTTGGCCATTTGTATATCTTCTTTTGAGAAATGTCCTATTCATATCATTGGCCCACTTTTCAGTGGGATTATTTGTTTTTTTCTTTGATTTGTTTGAGTTCCTTGTAGATTCTGGATATTAGTTCTTTGTTGGATGCATGGTTCGCAAATATTTTCTCCCATTCTGTGAGTTGTCTCTTTGATGACTATTTCTTTTGCTGTGCAGAAGCTTTTTAGTTTAATTAGATCGCATTTATTTATATTGGTTTTTGTTAAATTTGCTTTTGGGGTCTTAGTCATAAATTCTTTGCCTACACCAGTGTCCAGAAAGAGTTTTTCCTAGATTTTCTTCTATAATGTTTATGGTTTCAGGTCTTAGATTTAAAATCTTGAGTAGATTTTTGTATAAAGGGAGAGATAAGGATCCAGTTTCGTTCTTCTCCATGTAGCTAGCCAGTTTTCCCAGCACCATTTATTGAATAGAATATCCTTTCTCCAGTGTATGTTTTGTATGCATTGTGAAAGATCAGTTGGTTGTAAGTATTTGGCTTTATTTCTGGGTTCTCTATTCTGTTGCAGTGGTTTGCTTTTATACTATTACCGTGGTGTTTTGGTTACTATAGCCTTGTACTATAATTTGAAGTTGGGTAATGTGATGCCTCCAGATTTGTTCTTTTAGCTTGGTGTTGCTGTGGCTATTCTGACTTTTTTAATTCTATATGAATTTTAGGATTTTTTTTCCTAATTCTGTGAATAATGAATTGATATTTTGATAAGAATTGCATTAAATCTGTAGATTACTTTGGGCAATGTGGTCATTTTTATGATATTGATTCTTCTAATCCATGAACATGGGATGTATTTACATTTGTTTGTGTCATCTGTGATTTCTTTGGGCAGGGTTTTGTAGTTCTGTTTGTAGAGATCTTTTACCTCCTTGGTTAAGTATTTTATTTTTATTTTTTGTAGCTATTGAGTTCTTGATTTGATTCTCATCTTGCTCATTGTTCGTATAAAGCAGTGCTACTAATTTGTATACATTGGTTTTATAACCCAAGACTTTACTGAATTCATTTATCAAATCTAGGAGTCTTTTGGAGGAGTCTTTAGGGTTTTCTAGGTATGAGATCATATCATCAGCAAACACAGATAGTTCCTTTTTTCTGGTTGGGATGCCTTGTTTTCTTTCTCTTGTCTGATTGCTCTGGCTAGGACTTCTACCTGTTGCTTTTGCTTGAGGTCTAGCTACCCTGTATAGCCATGTAGAACGGGAAGTACCCTCAGGCAAAAAGCAGCATAAATGCAAAATTTAATCTTTTTTTTTTTTTTTTTTTTTTTCTTGTAAGGGTCTAGTCTTTAGTTTCTCCAGAATGTGATCATCTTCCAGTGCTTACCATGTCTTGCTGTCACTGGATGACTCACCTCCCCACTGTTTGTGTTTAGTCATTCTATTTAACCTCTTGCAGCATTTCCCCATCCGGAAACATGAGGATAAATAATGCCCATGTCATAGGATTCTTGGGAAGGTAAAATGAGCCAATGCACATACATTTTTGTTTGTTTGTGTATTGGGCACAAGGTGGGGACCTGGCAGATTGTAACTCTTGAGCTTCTGACAAACAGTTACCTGAGTCAAACTGGAGAAATGTTGGGCCTTCTGTTGATCTTATAACTTGACAAAACTCAAAAGAAGGTGTTTTTTATTTTTCCTTCTTAGGTATGTTGGGAATATTTTGAATATTGGCTTTTGGAATATATCTTTAGTGCTACATGTGACTTACATGCTTTGACATTTTAAATGATTCGATTTTTTAAAAAAATTTATAGATAATCTGCAAAATGGCTTCAATGCTGAGTAAGAGTACCGTTGAACGCCTGCTACTCCCCCGATTCTGTGAACTGTGTGGTGACAGGAAGCTCTTTCAAGTTCGGAAGGTAGGAATGTAAGAATTCTAAAACTCTTAAAGTTAAAAAAAGTTCAAAATTGATTTTTCTAAAGGTTTTGGACTTCTTCAGTAGACATAGTCTGGGGGAAAAATGTGTCCAGTGTGAACTATGTAAGGAAAATATCTGAACAGCGTTGCCAGTTTTTACTGCAGTTAAGAAATGCGTAGAGACCTGGAGATAAAGAGTCTGTATGACTAGACCTGTTGCCCTCAGGCACAGGGTGAGAGTTAGGGGACCTTGCTGGTTTATGGTTAGATGCCCAGGCTTGCAAGGTCTTTGATTATCTGTGGTGATTTGATCCAGAACCTTCTTATCTTTGCTATACCTTCCAACCCCAAATTCCCTTTTAGTCACTTGTCACTTGGTTGTCAAATTCTTCCTTTTGAAGTTCGTTACCATCCTTCCCTAAACAGCCTCACCTTGCACCTTGCTGTGTAACTGGCCATCACCCCTCTGGTCTCTGTTCATGATACACAGGCAGAACAGCAGGTCTCCTTTACCATGCAGGGAATGTTAAGGGGCCTCTTTTGCCTTATCGCTAACATGCATTCTGTATCAAGATCAATTAGGAGCCAGAAAATCTTAGAATTTGGCACCTTATTGTAAATCTTCTGTTTTTGATGCAATGGAGGCATCTGGCGTTGTGCTGTATGGGCGATGGGCTTGGGAAAGGCTCGTTAGCTGCCTGACTAGCGGGGTAATTGCTCTCAAAGTTCCTGCTTGTTAGTTTTTACAATTTGTTAAGACAAAAAGAAAGATAAGAATAATGGATATGCCTTTTGCCTTTTTAAGGTTTGTGCTGCAAATTTTGGTGATATTTGTCATGCTGTTGGACAAGAAGCCACTGAGAAATTTTTGGTATGTGACATTTTGGCCAATTGTAATTGTTGATTTGCTTCTTAATGCACTTTCAAAATCACTTAAGTTTTGTATTTATGAATGGCAGCTCAATTTTGCATTTGTTAATTTCAAATTTCATAACTTCTGAAGCTAACATTTTCCTAAGCATTAGGTAGCTGGTCTGTGGAATGGGCTGGAAGCAACCCCCATCTTTTTTCCGGTGGGCTTGGCTGTCTCCTCCTTACAAGTCACTTTTCCCTGCCTTCTTCTCACTGTCCAAGTTGCTCTCTCTCTTCTCTCTCTGCTGCTCTTTCTAGAACACCACTCTACCACCTCACTCCTGGGCCTCAAAACCATTGGGATTTTTTTCTTGGTTTACAGGTTAAAATCTAGAGCCTTCTGGGCCTTCCAGGTCCCTTCGTAGATGCCTTTTCTGCCTCACCTCCAGTCCCCTTTCTCAGTTCTGAACACTACCCTGGCCTCGGTGGGTCTCACCTCTGGCCATATATCTGAAGCCTGGGGGGGCCCAGGCATCTGCATTTTTGATAAAGTCCCACATGATTCTGATGCATAGCAGAGTAGAGATCCACTTCCCTAAGCAGCCAGGTGACTTCAGCATCCTTGAGACTTCTTGCTCTTTCGTACCTCTGGGCCTGTGCTCACTAAGAGCATCTTCCCTGCCTGGTGGGACCCTCCTCACACTTCCAACCCAGCTTGAATTGCCTCTGTGAAGTTCTTTCCTTGTCTAGGCTGACCTACCTGCAGTGCCAGAGAGAATCAGCTTCTCCCTTCTCAGCTTCCTGGTAGCATTTGTTCAGAGGAGCTGAGGAGCTTCTTGAGGGCAGGGACCGTGTTGTGTTCATCCTTGTTTCCCCAGTGTCTACCCCGTCAGTGCCCGGCCCCTAGAGAACCTTGCTCCATAAGCATTTGTCAGTTTTATTTGACAGAATATACTCCTTGTATGGGTGAGATTTTGACCTCAAAAAGTTTAATCTTTAAATTGATTTTTAAATTTAAGTTCAGAAGCTCATTTTATTTTGTTTAAAGTATAAGCCATGTCAGCACAGTTCTAACCCAAGAATAATTTTTAATGGGCTGTTGCTTTGAATATATAGTGAATTTTTTTTTTTTTTTTTTTTTTTTTTTTTTTTTTTTTTTTTTTTTTTTTTTTTGTGAGACAGAGTCTTGCTCTGTCACCCAGGCTAGAGTGCAGTGGTGTGATCTCGGCTCACTGCAACCTCTGCCTCCTGGATTCAAGCTAAGGCTGGATCCTGCCTTAGTCTCCTGAGTAGCTGGGATTACAGGCATGCACCACCGTGCCTGGCTAATTTTTGTATTTTTAGTAGAGACAGGGTTTCACCATGTTGGCCAGGCTGGTCTCAAACTCCTGACCTCATGATCCACCCGCCTCGGCCTCCCAGAGTGCTGGGATTACAGGCGTGAGTCACCACGCCCATCTACAGTGAATGTTATCTTCTACTTAATATATCTGAATGAAGAATGGCAGTGAGTAACATGCTAATCATTTGTAGGTAGATATTGGCATGATTATATCATATTCCCATTTGCGAAGCATTTTAGGCTATTTTACATTAGGATATTAAAAACAAAGCCCTTTTAAAGGATACACTTTAAAAGGGGATGTAATCATGACCTTTATAGAGATATGAAATGAACGTATTTCAAAGATTTTATTTAACTCATTTATTAGTGAGGAAAACCAGTAAGATATTACAGCCAGTTTAATGGAGAACTCAAAGTACTCATTTATAGTCAGAGCAAGGAATATCGAAGTGAACTTACAAATGAATTCAAAACTGGTCAATATCCAGGGTGATAATTGATTACATTTCACTGGACACAATTTGCATTTCTGTTGGCAGGAATTATTTGCATTACTATCAGGTTTTAGCAACCTACCTTCTATCACTTCAGAGTTGTAAAATAGCTAGGCAAAGACAGTGATACCTGGGTGGGTGAGTTAGTTGGGACATCTACTGTTTCAGAGTCTTTCACAATCTTCTCTACAATTTACCTAACAAATATCGGTCATTCTGCCCTTTTTGGGATTTTCTCTATTATCTGTTAAAGGTAACCAAGTCATTTACTAAAATTAGGAGGTAAAAGAAATGTTTATTTCTTCCACTTCTCATAATATCTGTTTGTTTCAAATGATTCCTTTTAGACCAGTATGTATTTTCCTTTTCCTTGTCATTAATTTCTGCATATGCCTTCACTGCTTCATTAAAATAGGTTCCAGCACTTTGGGAGGCCAAGGTGGGCTGGTCACTTGAGGCCAGAAGTTTGAGACTAGCCTGGCCAATGTGGAGAAACTCCATCTCTACTAAACGTACAAAAAAATTAGCCGGATGTGGTGGCACATGCCTGTAATCCCAGCTACTCGGGAGGCTAAGGCACAGGAATCGCTTGAACCTGGGAGGCGGAGGTTTCAGTGAGCCGAGATCGCGCCACTGCACTCCAGCCTGGGCAACAGAGTGAGACTCTGTCTCACAAAAATAAATAAATAAATAAATAAATAAATAAATAAATAAATAAATAAATAAAAAAAACAGGTTCTGCTCTTCCTCAGAGTCTCCGATTGGAGTAGCACTCTTTTGTTTGTTTTGGCAGATCCCAAAGTTCTTTGAGCTCTGCTCTGATGCTGTTTGGGGCATGCGGAAAGCCTGTGCAGAATGCTTCACGGCTGTGTCGCACAGCTCCTCCCCTGGGGTCCGCAGAACCCAGCTCTTCCCGCTCTTCATCAGACTTGTCAGCGACCCCTGCCGATGGGTGAGTGCCAGCAGCCCTGTCCAGACACCAGCCTCTGTTGACCAACTGAACAGCTACGTCTGGCTTCCAGGCTGGGATTCACTTCTGGGCTTGTAACTTTGTATTTTGTCCCTTCAGTTACTGATTGCCATAATCACATTTAGACCTTGTGAGGTCTCAGGGAAACTAAAATCTCAAAAGCTTGGGGTGAGTTAAGAAGGTGAGGTACACCGTACCATTTATAGTGAACGAATATCATGAAAATCATAATTGAGAAAGAAAAAACTATGTAACTGAACTGTTACCTTTTCTGTTGCTATCATAAACATGTCTGTAATGATTAATAAGGCCTGTTCAAATACTTGATATAAAATGTATTATTCATATAAAATTAATATTCTGGAAGAATGAAAACAGTATAATGGGGCTAAATTTTTCCTTACTTTCTGTTGAATAATAGTATTTGGAATTTAGGGAATGATTTAGAAAGCAATAAATCTCCATAGATGTAATGTGGTGGAGAGTAGCTTGTGTGGTGTCCAACTATCTGTTTCAGCCTGGGCTCAGTCCTGGCCACCGCCGCTGGCCGATGCTGCGTTCATTCACTGCACTGTTCTTTCTGGTTCCAGGTGCACCAGGCTGCCTTCCAGTCCCTCGGCCCCTTCACTTCCACCTTTGCAAACCCCTCCAGGGCTGGCCTTTATCTTCGAGAGGATGGCGCCCTGAGCATCTGGCCACTCACCCAGGATTTGGACTCTGGTTTTGCCTCTGGCTCCCCTGCTCCCAGCAGTGGTGGTAACACTTCCCCTGCCAGGTATGCTCTGGCTAGGGTCACCACCAGGACCCTCGATGTACCTTAAGCACCCACCTAAAATTTCAGCAATTATCTTGTCTCGAGTTTTAGTAGTGACCTTCTGGGCAAGATGGAATATTAGAGCTTTAATTATGTAAAGAAGCAAAAAGTAATTGCAATAATGATTTTGAAACATGACTACTGGGTTATAAATAATGAAGCTACTATGTCTCCTAAATTTAGATAAAATATTCATTGAGATTAGTGATTAAATAACCTATAAAGAACATTTTCTCTTACTTTTTGATGAATGAAGTTCTCTGGGTAATTTACTTAGGGAAAAATGTGAAGTCTCCCAAATGTACTTTTTTGGAGGTTGGGTTACATGTACATAAAGGCGACACTCCTGACCAACAGCGGTAGACCCTCCAGTGTTTGCTAATATGGCGCTGGATCTTGGCTTTGTCATGTCTTTCCTCTGAGGCTGATGCGTATACACCAGCCATCCTATTTGAGGTCGTTTGTAAATGTCTCTCCATTGTCGCTAGCGTGCAGGCATGTGAGAGTGGGTAACTGATGCCTCACAGAATACAAATCCTTCCGAGGTTGGCCCATCCTCCCTCCATCCCACTTCCATCAGAGTTCATTGAGCTCCTGCTGTATGGCAGGCCCATGGGCAGTGTCTTCCTCAAGACCTCAAAGTGGTTAACAAATAGCCACCTCTTACCAGTTTCAGCGCCTTTTGTTTTCTAATGCCTGCCCTCTGGTGGAGGTACTCATGAGCAGGAAATGGATGAAATGTACCGAAGGTGCTCCAGCGGAAGTCCAGGCCGGCTCAGCCCTGGAGTATAGTGGAGAGAACGGCTGAACTTTCAAGTGGTGTTTTCAGTGCCCATCATACTCCCGGCGGGGCAGTGGGGGTTGACAAACCTCTTATCCTCTCGTGAGATTTTAGTCAGCTGACACCAGGAGACACAAAGAGGGGCCAGTGGTCAGCTAGGAAGTAGAGGACTGGGTGAGGATGTGGTTCTCATGTTTTTCCCTGTGGCTTTCAGTCTGTTACACAGTATTAAAAGTTTGCTTCCCTCAGTTTAACTCGTTCAGCAAAGCCTGTGCGGAGCGAGCCAGAGCTACCTGTGGAAGGGACCTCAGCGAAAACCAGTGATTGCCCACACAGCAGTAGCTCCTCTGACGGCCCAGCGGAAAGCCCTGTGGAAAGCTGTGTGTCGGCTGGAGCTGAGTGGACCAGGGTTTCCCCAGAGACCAGCGCCTGCTCAAAGCTTTCTGACATGAATGACCTCCCCATCAGCAGCTACCCTGGATCAGATTCCTGGGCCTGCCCAGGGAACACTGAGGATGTGTTCAGTCATTTTCTTTATTGGTGAACTCCTCTCCCTGACATAAGCAAGGACTTAGAGCTGCTTCTGAGTGAGGCTGGGCCTCAGGAGGACGACTGCAGCAGACCTGGGGTTGTGCACAACAGCTGTGTGGCCCGGAGTGAGATTCAGAAAGTCCTTGGTAGCTTGCAGGAGCATCTGATGAATGATCCAGATGTTCAAGGTAAATGTTGTTCATTGTCATTAAAGAGAAGATGGGATGTTTCTGTGTCGTGTGTTGCATTTCGCCACTTCCTTCTTCCCCAGGCATGTGTACTGACGCATGTGCGTGTGGACCTGTATTCATTTACACTGTATACCCATTGAGAGGAGAGACTTGTTCAGTCTCAGTACAGCTCGAAAAGTCAGAAATACCTCTGTGCAGGTACCTATGCAATGATTTTGCTTTCTGATTTTGCAGATGGACGTGCACAGAGTCTGAAGTCAGTTCTGATAGGAAAGTGGATAGTTTGTGGGCATGTCTGTGGCAGGGGAAATTTTATTAGCTCCTTAGACACACTCTTACATCATCTCCCACATAGAATGCCCTTTCTAGTTACGAACAGCCAAGGGTGGCCTCCTTTTGGAGCCTATTAACGCAGCCCTTAGCTAAACTTTAAGGTTCTTGTCTTTGTACAGGAAGGAAAAGCACAACTACTGCTTTGGGGTATTTTTCATTTTATGACTCGTGCTCCCACTGAGCATCTGATCAGGGATCTGGACCTTGCAATCCATATCCCATTATCATGATCTTCCTTCTCTGCACAGTGCTATATTTGTATTCTTCCTTGCATTGGAGAAATTGGAAAAAAACATCACTTGCTGCTGTTGCTGGGCAGAGATTTGTGAAGCTTTCGGGAAGGGAACTATGAAAATTCAGTTAGCCCTGTGATTATTCTTTATCCTTAAATTTATGAAGGAAATTAAATCAATGTTTGCTGAAGGAATGGGCACACGTAACATATCACTTCTAATAGCTAGAGACAAAGGTCTGTTTTTGGAAAACACATTACTGAGCTGCCTTAATCCCCAGTGTAAGACCTGGACTGGGGGCTGGGCAGTGATGACTGTGGCCCCTGAGGCCCTTGTGATATGGTTAAGGGGATTGTGCAGGCAGCCACCCTGTGGGGCATGGCGAGGGCTCGGAACGGAGGGGATGCGATGTGTAGAGGAAATGTCTGGGAGAGACCTTACATAGCAGGTGACATTTGGCCTGGGCTTTAGAGATTGGCTGAGAACCCACCATTCAGAGAAGTCAGGGGATGAGTTTCAGAAGGTTCTTTCAGTTCCCTGAAATCATTATTTGTAAAATCTTGCATGTTTGTGCATACTTAATTTCTTTGTAAGACAAGGCCCATAGCTTTCTTCAGAGCTCAAAGGGATCTATGATCCCCGAAGATCTAGAAATAAGTGATGCATTTTATTTGTGAACTGGCCACGGCAGGCAGGAGATGTCACTCAGGCCATTGGGAAGGGCCTGGTGTGTAGCACTGGAGCGGTGGGACCTGTCCTGGGCACAGCGCAGAGCCAGCTACAAGCTCTCAGTGTTTTGATGAATGTTGGAGTCCACGAAATTTAATTAATAGAAGCAGGATGCAGGAAGTAATATGTGTGTGTGTGTGTGTGTGTGTGTGTGTGTCTTTTGGGAGGTTGAGGATACTAAAACATTCGTTTATTTTTACAGAAAGGTATGTGAAATATGTTATCTTTACTGTTTAGATAGTCTCAAACTGTCATACTCTGGACAGAAAGAATGGGCAGCCTTTGGGGCTTGGTGAGTGAGAGCATTACTCATCTGTGTGTAAATGGATGTATTCATGCATGGGTGTGTGTGTGCACATGTATGTATGTGTATGTGAGCAGGTAGCCATCCTGCTTTATAAATGGGGGAGCAGGATACCCTTCACTGAGTTGTTGGACCTCCCAGTCATCCTTGTTCAGTGATACCATGCTGTCTTTCTGTGAAACATGGTGGAGTCACTTGGGTTTTTCCGAATTGAGACTTTTCAAGTTCAGGTTTGATGTTCTGTGCATGGCTGGCATTTAGTTGAAGTAGTTAATTGTTAGTGGCCGGAAATATCACCACCTTGCCGAGAGCTTGAGACTCCAGAGCATTGTCACTTCAGAACAGATACGTGTCAGTGTAGTACACCCACACCATGTAGCTTAGTGCAGACTATGTTGTTTTGAAGACTTCTCTGAAGTAAACCCCCACAAACCAAATAAAGTTGTTAAATTTCTTGAAACTTCTCTTCCTCCAGCTCAAGTTCAGGTATTATCCGCTGCACTGAGAGCTGCACAGCTCGACTGCGTGAATGAAGCTGAGAGCAAGCCAACAGCAGGCCTAAAGGAAGTGTCCATTTCACATCCCAGCTCTGCCTCTGACAATCAGATCGCTCTGGCGGCCTCATCATCTCAGGATGAGCTCTTTGTGGCCAGGATATTACAAAGCCCAGTAAGTATTTGCCGTATCCCTCAGCCACCGAGGATGTGACAGAAATCACAAAGCAGCATTTTCTCTTATTAATATATCCCAGCAGAGATGATAAATGGCAAATTTCATTTTATTCTTAAGGTCATGTTTTGGATAACTAGACAACCAATCAATCAGGTGATTGATAGTGCCGACGCGCTCCCACGAAGACGGGTGGGCACCAGAAAGTACCTTCCCTCTTCTCCAGAGATGACAAGAACTTCTTCTTTGGGGAGGTTAACCATGTAAATGCTCTGTGTCACTGCTAACAGACATCAACATCTTTTAATAATAGTGGAGGGTGAATTCAGGCAGTTCCTGGAATTTCAAGTGGACGAGGCCTCCCAGAGCAGCTGTCACACCAGCCGCCCATTTGGTAGGCGCTCTGGCATACGTGGATGCTCCAGTGCTGGTCCTGGCATGCTGTTTCTCTTTCTTTTGAAAAAGCACCAGTGACCCCCTTCCTCCTGTGGGTGGAACCAGCCCCTTGTGAGACCACGGCCCCAAAGCTGGAGTGAAGAGGGGCCCATGATTTATTTCTTCAGGTTTCTCCAGGAGCTTGGGTCAACCCCTTGTAGCTGGAGGTTCTTGAGCTGTCCTAGTTTCTACTAAGCTTCCACTTGGACCACTTTAAGTTGGGGTCTTCCACAGGTAGGGGGGCAGAATGGAGGATTAAAATGAGGGAGGAGTCTGTGGTCATACAGTCATTGGGATAGCACCGTGTCATTATCATGTGCCATGATGGATAATCTCTTCAATCTCATGGTCTCCAGGGCCTAAATACCAGTTGTTTCTCTATTCATACAGTTTAGAACTTGATTTCAGTGATTAACACCTCCCTTACCCCTTAGGCCTGCTCTAATAAAGCAAAATAAAACATTTTAGAACTCAAACATAAAATGTGTAGGAGTTGGTTATCTGTGATTAATAAGAAATGGGGTGATATCCTCTTCTGCTGGTTTGTTGCTAAAAAAATTAGCAAGAAAGCTCATTATTGTCAACCTTGTTACCTAGAGTGCAAAAGTTGCAAGTGTTAAGTAGAAGGGTGTGACCACATTTACCTTGGTGGGGATGTGATAGTATTTGGACTTCTTTATCATAGAGGTGAAAAAAAAAAAAAAGAACAGATTCCTCCAGGCTGGGGCTTTTGAGTTGCAGCTTTAAAAGGGTTTGTGTAATGGAGCCTGTTTTATGGTGTGGGAGGGCAGAGCCCTTGAATTTGCGGCTTGACTCCAAGATCCTAGTGGGATTAATTAGGATGCTTCCTGTCGCAAAAGAAGGGAGAGGAAATAAAAAACTCCAAGAACCATGAGGAAAATGTTCTCTTGCACAAGACAAGAGGAAGAAGTGCTGTGGTTGGGCAGCTTCTGGGCTGCTAGACTCCATACCTTTGGTGCTGATCTGTCCACCCTTCCCCTCTGCTGTGGTGGCTTTTGTCAGCATGAAATGCCCAGTGGAAGGCGGGGCCTGTGTCTTCCCACTTGTCTCTTTTGAAGAACAAGGACACCCCAGGCGGGAAACCACCTCCCTGCCCTCTCCTTCTGCCTCCCTCTTCCTGGCCACAGTCACGGTGTGCATTCATGGGTTGAGCATGGTGAACTGGGCAGAAACATGGGAGCCCCCTGAGTCGGGATCCTGCTAGAAAGAAGGCTGCTGGATGCTGAGTGGTGGGTGCACAGGTAGCCAGCCAGCATGGTGTCCCACTGGGGTTTGGGGAACTCACAATACCTTCTGGAGGTGCCATGACTTGTGGTGATTTGCTTAAGCCTTGATTTGGCTCCTGGATTAAGTGCTGCACATATGCTTGCACTGAAGACTTTGGAATAAAATTAATTTCTAAAGGGATAATAGTGATTCTAATGACACATCTTGTTACTATATGTGAATTTATTAATAATAAGACCACAAGAAATTGAGGTCTTAGGTTTTTATACCAAAATATTTCTGTTTTATCATGTCCTCTGTTAAAATAAATAGTACATATCAGTGAAAACCTTGGGAATTGAAGGTTCTGGTGGCGCGCCTCAGAGCAAACGAAGCATCTATCGGTGTGTTAATCGACTTTCCTGGATCATACATTGAGCTGATTTGTCAGAATCCATTAAGCTGGTAGACAGTATGACATTTCAAGTGCAACTTGGAAATCCATGTTATGGTTGAAGGAGAAGGTCAGGTCCATCTCAGTTAATGTTAATCAACGATCAGAGACCAAAATGTCACCATTGAATGTTCTTGTTCATTTTAATTGTTTACCTAATGTAAAGGTTTATCAGCGAACATCAGGAGTGTTTGTACCTGTGAAAATCTAGGACAATTTTCTGATTAAATACTCCTGTATCAGCCACATCTTTTCTCTCAGATTCATTGGGTTCCCCAGCCCCCATCCTCTTTCAGGGACCCACCATTGCTGCAATCCCTGATTACCAAGAAATGCTGGAGGTGCTGGCTCTACCACTTCTTGCAAACCTCACCCTTCTGGAGTAGTCTGTGCCTTAAACATGTGAATATTACTTAAAGGTGTTGGTTAGCCATACCAGGGAGTCCCTAGGGCATAAGGAATAGTGGATGCAAACTCACAGGGTTGCTCCTCAGTGCTTTCACTTTAGCCTTTGTATTTCTGTAAGGACCTCCAGCAGTCTTGAAATTAAAATGTATGAAATCAATTTTCCTTTGCACTTAAAAGAACTGGTTTATACAGTATCATATGTAACTGTGCAAATGTAATTTTTAACATCTGGAAAGATACCATTGACTTCAAGGAAAGCTTTTGCCTTGGCTTACAGAAGTAATTTCTGGCATTGAAAAAGGACTCTTTGAAGGGGAAGTGACAGGACAGCTGCTTCCTTTGGAGCAAATTGGTAACATGTCCAATCAACTCTGTAGGATCCAGGTGGACCCAGAAATGGAACCAGTGACCATCTGGAGACTGACCAGAGGCAGGATCCCACCCCACTTGAAGAGAATAAATCTAAATTACAGGTTCGTTTCTTTCGGGGGCGGGGGGGCGGGGAGGCAACTCAAAACTGTGTATTTTCTTAAAGTTAACTTTAAGAATTGGAACCAAATATTTTTTCTTCTATCAATATTGATTACATATTTTAATTCATATTTCGTGTTGCTAATTGTAAAAAATTAATTGTAAGGTAGTGTTTAAGCTTCTGAACAATCTATAATAGTGTTTTCAATAAAGCAAACTAATATGAGAAAAAAATAAGACATCTAACACTGATTTGATTGAGTTCTATCTCAGTCAAGCACAGTCAAACATAGACGTGATTATCAGAGTATAAGGTCTCAGGTGCTAGGTTCTTGGGGCAGTTGTAAGAAAAGAGAAGGCAGTCTCCATTCTCAAGAGCTGGATGTACCAGCCTAAGCAGACATTGCTGTCTAGACTGTCCTCTATGATATCAAATATTGTGCCAATCTTAAGAAGATGAGTTTTGGGTGTTGCTTTCACTTCAAGCAAAATTGAAAACCCACTCTCTGGAGAAAACAGAGTTGGCAATCTGAAGCCCTTTGGCTTTAGGAAGGCCTCATGTTCCTCTCACATTTCTGCTTTATTGTTTTCACCTCTAAACTCCAAACTCCTTGTTTTTCATGAGTATTTTCCTGCATTCACGATGGCCTCCTTTCTCTCTCATTTCCCAGGATGTAATACCTCAGCCGCTGCTAGATCAGTATGTGTCCATGACTGACCCAGCTCGAGCCCAGACTGTCGATACTGACATAGCCAAACACTGTGCCTACAGCCTCCCAGGGGTGGCACTGACCCTGGGCAGGCAAAATTGGCACTGCCTGAAAGATACATATGAAACACTGGCTTCTGATGTACAGGTAAAAGCCTTTCCAGAGGCACGTGCAGAAAGAGGGTGGGTCATTCATTAGGGAGAAAAGGGAAGCTGCAGCAAGGCTTATTGGCCTGAATTTTATGTGGATGCAAATTGGCATGTTTACTGGTCTCTGATGAAATAAAGCTTTAAGTGGCCAACACCTGGCAGTATTCATTTTGCTCCAAAAATGCCATGTAAGATACGGAAGAGGTTGAATTGCACTTGCTTGTCGTGATTCGTGTGTCTGCTATGCACCCCTAGTGGAAGGTACGGCGAGCCCTAGCCTTCTCCATTCACGAGCTGGCTGTGATTCTTGGGGATCAGTTAACAGCAGCTGACCTGGTGCCTATCTTCAATGGATTTTTAAAGGATCTGGATGAAGTGCGAATAGGAGTTCTTAGACACCTGTATGATTTTCTAAAGGTAGGAAGAAGGGTTAAAAGCAAAAAACAAGCCTCCTCTCTCCGAATCAAATTTGTGAAGCCCTGGATGTCTATGGTGTCAGTGAAAAAAACAATGCAGTTTTTAGCTTTCTTTAGCTGAAATGTACCATCCATAATCTTAAAGTGGATGTTCTTTCAGTGATGGGTAAATATTTTAAACTTTTTTCTCCTCATTTTCCTGTCCATTAGAGTTTTAATTCTGTGGAAGATGGTAGACACAAAGCCTAGCACACTCTTTGCAAAAGAAGAAATCAAGGCCCCCAGGTAGTGACCTGACTTGCCCAGAAGTCACCCAGGGGAAGAGCCTGGGCTGAAGTCCAACCTCTGTTCTGCATGAAGCACTTTTTCTGCAAGTCGCTGCTGCTTCCCTTCTGGCTTCCCCCCCTCCCCCCCAAACGAACGATGAATATAAAAAATAAGAGTTTAAAAATGACCTAGAGAAACTAATTACTCTCATCCACATGACCAAGAGCTGCCCTTCACGGACTCTGGTGTGCGCTGCTCCAGCTGAGTCTCTCCTCTCCTGGTGCCGAGCAGCCTCGCTCCCTGGGAAGCGGCAGTGGCACACTGTCTTCCAAACACACACAGACTGGGTTTTTGTTTGTCTGTTTTTTTGTTTTTAGATAGGAAATTACTAAAGCAGGAAGACCTCAGGGGCATTCAGAAATACATAATAAGCACATGTCCTAGCCAGGGGAAAAGGTTGGAGGTGTTCAGGGATGCATTTGATGTCAGTGTACAGCAGTGTTCATTCGCAGCCACGCTGCGTGATAGATGACGAGGTGTAGGGGAAATGCAAAAGTTCTTGCCAGTGACAAATGTATAATTGGAAGTGGAATAAAAGGGGGCATTTGGGGTCATTTTGAAGGATTATACATGTTTGTTTATATATACATTTTTAAAAAATAGTTGCTTCATGAAGACAAGAGGAGAGACTATCTTTATCAGCTTCAAGAATTTGTAGTGACTGATAACAGCAGGAATTGGAGGTTTCGATATGAACTAGCAGAGTAAGTAAAAACATATTTGGGGATATGAGAAAGCAAACTAGATGGAATAAATCTTAATTTTCTTACCATATAATTGATTTCTAAAGCAGCAGCAATAGTGTTCTTTTAGATAAAGAGATTATGTTTTTATTAAGGTATAAACAGAATTCCAAAAACCCTGAGTTACAAATACCACAGTCTCCGGGGAGACATTCATTTTCAGATGAAGACAGGGCTTGAGTCACTTTCGAATTAGAGTGTTCTGCTGTTCTAGAAGGCAATTTATTTGAACCAAATAAAAGATGAATCACCCACTCTTCAGTGTTTTCCTATTAATCGGAGCAGTTTTTACCAGAGCTTTCCTGAACATTCTGAGTGTGGTCCTCTCCGTAGGGTACAGCATGCTTAATGCCCTTTAGCTACTGTGGGAGACAGGAAGGGGTCTAACCCAGATGAGATGATTATGAAACAAAAAGGTTCCCCAAGGTGGCTCCTATCTGCACATCATTTTGTGCCTGAAGGAGTTATTTAATTCTGTCTTGAGCTGGCAAAAGGAATGTTCCAGGCTTTAGTGATGATGAAAGGGTGGAAGCATCAGTTTAAATAACTCCCCTTCCTAAGGTATATAATGTGCCTTTCACGGTGTGGAGGGAATTTGTTTGTGGCAGTTGTTGTTTGGGTTTTAGTTTTTACCTTGTTTTCATTTCGGTGTCTTTAGTTTTCATTTTTCTCATCCACAACTAGAAATCTCTCAAATAATTGTCTTCCCTGAATAAATTCATCAGGCTTTTGCAGCTATTCAGGATATGATTTGGCTGATGCCAGGGGCAAACCGAAAGCCTTTCTCTTTGCTGTGGTCTTTAATCATTCTGCTTAATTTGAGAGATTGAGGTTTCAGTCATTTTACCATGTTCCCAGCATCCTGTTCTGAGTCGAGAAAAACAGGCCCACGTTTTCCATGAAAGCAGTGCGACCTCTAGCGGCGGCGCACGGGAAGTAGGCGCGCTCGGTGCCCGGCGGGGCTTCCCCGGGTGGTTGCGCGGCCCCAGTGCCCGACCACGTTATCTAGCCCCCTACGCGCCCTATCTCCCATCTCCCGGCTTATTGAAGCCACAGCGACTGATATGAATTCTGTGCTCCGGTGCCCATGATATTGGTATCATGTTTTTGAAAACGGTGCTTTTTGATATGAAAGTATTCACCAGCACTCCGGGCTTCTGGTTCTAACTTCCTCCCCATCTCTTTTTCATTTCCTTTCGTTGCCTGGGTGAAAGCAATGTCATTTATTTTCATGCCCTTCTCCCCATCCCCATTTAGAAAGTAGTGAAAGCTTTGGTAGTGGGTTTTCGCAGCCAGCCGTCTCCTGCATGCTTTTGTCTTTCGGAGTAAGGAGCACGCGCTCCCAGTTCTCTCCAAGCGGACCTCGCTGCAGTGAAACCACCTCGTGCTGCCAAGAGCCGCGAGCAGGAGCATCCGGTTCGGTTTGCAGTCGGAGAAACGCCGGGGCGGTCGTGCAATCTCAGAGTGTTCGCTTGATCTGTTGACCTTTGTGAACTTCAACATTCTGGCTATTTTTATGTTATCTGATTTTTAAAGTTTTATGTGCTTTTCAACTGATAACCTAAAATTGAAATATTAAATCTGTATTCATAAATTTCTCAGCCTCTATTTTACAGAGTTTATTTCCTTTTTGTTTGATTTGTATGTGTGTGAGATGAAGAATTAAAATTTTGTTCACATTTTTTTTGCATGGTCATTTTGCTCAGCTTTCTGCTGTTGGCATTTTACTGAAGACCGAAATCTTGCTGGGTCTTTTGCTGTTCATTTCCCAGCCTGGCTATTTTTATCTGTAAGATGAAATAACAGTAAAAAGAAATCAATAATTTTGTTTTTTTGCCCAAAAATAATGTTTTTTTTGTTGTTGTTTTTGTTGTTGTTGTTTTCCTTTTAATTTCAGACAGCTGATACTGATTCTGGAACTCTATAGTCCCAATGATGTTTATGATTACCTAATGCACATTGCCTTAAAGTTGTGTGCAGATCAAGTTTCTGAAGTTCGGTGGATCTCCTTCAAACTAGTAAGGAATCAGGGCATTTGCTCTGTGATTTTTACAAATAGGAATGTTGATGTATCTTCCATTTTAACTCTTTTAATTTTTCTGGGCTTACTTTGTCAGCTAACCTATGAAACTAGCTTTTAAAATTTGAAATTAGGAACTATATTATAGTTTTATCAATTTGTAGGATAGCTTTTTTTGTTATATGTTTCAGTGACGGCAATTGTGGAGTAATCCTTTTATATATGAAACTCTTTAAGCCATAGGTTAGTGTTTTTAAAATACAGGTTGATTTACAGCTTGGTTTTGTAGAAAAATATTTAGTGAGCAAAGACTCTGCTGTAGAAAAGCTGATCCTATTTTTTTATGTGGGCTTTACACCAGCTGAATACTGATGAAAAAAAATCACATTTGACAATATTGATTTTAAGATACTCTGATGGTATTAAAATTTTATAAAAATGACATGTTCTGAAAGGTAATGATTTAGTTATTAAGCAAGGGGACATGCTCTAAAATTTGGAACCTTAAGATTAAGAATGTATTTTTCTAATGTCAGTCTCCTTTGAAGTTTCATTTTTATGAAGGGTTTTATGTGTGTGTGTGTATTGCCTATATTTAAACATCTTTTTTCTCTGTGTTCTAATGATGACCGTGACAAAAATTACTTTCTCCTGCGCCTATAAATTCATTTTAAAGGTGGAAGGATGCATAAAAATGTCTAGTTTCCGTGTAGAGTAGTATTCGTAATTCAAATAGATGGCAGCATTTTAAATGTGCTCTTTTGATGTTTTTCACAGGTCGTGGCAATTCTGCAGAAGTTCTATTCCAACAGTGAAAGTGCATTGGGGTTAAATTTCATCAATGAGCTCATCATAAGGTTCCGGCACTGTTCTAAGTGGGTTGGAAGGCAAGCTTTCGCTTTCATTTGTCAGGTTAGCAAGACCCCGGGAGGGATCTACCCTGGGTAACATCTGCCACGTGATGAAATCAAGTTCACCAGACAGAGAATCTCAGCCTGGAGCACTAGCCAGGAACTGAGGAATTAGTTCACCTAGCCCTGTTATCTCACAGGACATTGGGACCAACCCAGTGTGGTGAAGGGACTTGCCCAGGGTTACCCCACTGGCATACTCATTTGCCACATAGCTATTGATTGAGTACCTACGATGGTCCAGACAGATTCTAGATGCTAAAGACAAAGTGAACAAGCCTCTGCTCTCCCACATTTCCATCCAGTAAGATAAGGGCCAGGCCCACAGTCCACTCCTTTCCTATACAGGTCTGTGTCCACCACTACACCTCACCTTAGCCAGTGGCTTTGGAAGGAAGGCAGGATGAAGAATTGGGCAGTGGGTTAGGGCAGAGACTTTAACCTCTTTAGAGTAAATGTGTAGAGTTCGTATCATCCTGTCCAGCTCCTCAGATCGCCCTCTCTACTCAGCCTCTTGGAAATGAGGGTGTGATTTATGTTTGCCTAGGAGCAATGGCAGTGATAATGGCTGCCATTTCTTGAATACCTCTTGTGTGCCAGGTATCACATCACACATTTAATTCTCTAATAAAAAGTAATGTGTCATGGCGGGCACCTTTAATCCCAGCTACTTGGGAGGCTGAGGCAGGAGAATCGCTTGAACTCGGGAGGCGGAGGTTGCAGTGAGCTGAGATTGCATCACTGCACTTCAGCCTGGGCAACAGAGTGAGACTCCATCTCAGGGAAGAAAAAAAAAAACCAAGAGGTAATGTGTATTGAGCATGGCATACCCATTTACCTTTAGACCAGCTCTTTTAGGTGAAACATTTGAAGCCCAGAGAGGTTAGGTCACTTGTTCAAGATCACACAGGAAGTGTAAGCCGATGATTTTTTTTTTTCTGCTAAAGTATTGTTTTAAACATTTTAACTTTCATTACACACGTTTTCAAGCATATACAAAGGTAGAGGGATTGCTGTAATGAACCTCTGTGAACCCACCACCCAGCTTTGTTGATAGTACAGTGAAGCCGTGGTTGGGACCGTACCTGACCCCAGACCGCAAAGCCCCCTTTCTCTCCCTGATGACCACGGGCACCAGAGGACTCACCAGCGCCCCCTCTTGGACCAGTGGGACATTACAGGAGTGCTTTGGCAGCCCACTCTGAGAAGGGCAGTGGATGGCAGAGTGAACAACAAACTCACAGACTCACAAACTCACAGACGGCACAGACTTTTGTGAAGGAAGAGTCAATGTTCCAAATCAATTTGTGGAGAAAGCTTAAAGGAAATAGTTTTTGCTTTTATTTTTAAATTCTTTATCTGAGATTTAGAAAGTCTGAAATAAACAAAAGGACTCTTGGGACTGCGGGGGAAGGGTGGGAGGGGGTGAGGGGTAAAAGGCTACACATTGGGTGCCATGTACACTGCTTAAAGGAGCCTAGGAATATGTGCCTGCCTTCTAGTGTTGTCATGGGCTTCCGTGGGCTGATAAAGCTGAGCTACCCAGCATGGCGCCTGGCACCTAGGGAACACCAGCAGCCACCGCCACAGCACCCATCCACCACGACACCAATTACCCGGGCATAGAAGAGCCACAGGAGTTAGAACCCACACTTCGGCTCACAGTCCCCACCCTGCTGCCACAGGAGTTAGAACCTACACTTGGGCTCGCAGACCCCCCCGCTGCCACTGGTGGTTATGAGACCTTTGGGTGTCACCACCACATTGGAAATGAGTTTTTTTTTAACCTGTAAAACTAGGCTGATTTTGAATTCCAGGGCTAGTCCTGAGAATTAAGTGAGAGAATACATGTAAAGTCGTGTAACTGGAGAAGTTATATGCACTTGCTGGGTATGACTACAGGACTGGCATTTACGGATTGTTTATAGAGGTCTGGGCATTGGGTTATGGTTTGGGATTTGACTGTCACTTGACAGCCACGGCCGCTGTGAATGACAGAAATGAGGTTCTTGACCCTTCCTTACCGGTCAGCTGTATGCAGTGTGGTGGTATTGTCCTAGATGTTTTGCATAACAGACCTGTCATCATACAGATGAGGAAACTGAGGCTCAGAAAGGCTAAGCCGCTTAACCAGAAGTCACATAGCTACTAAGACCAAGTTAGGTTTTGAATCTAGACTTCTGACTCCTAAGCTCACCAGATCTTAACCTACTTGGAACCCACTGCTTGGTAGTGAATTATAATAAAATATTAACTGTGTTTCTAACCAAATCAGTGCTTGAGATTTAAAAATTCATACACACGCCTCAAACCTACAGATTCTGAAATGACTTCTTTGGGATTAAAGAAGTGTATGTTTCTAGAAGACTGCGGAAAACATCATTTCTTTGGCTGTGACTTTCTTGGAGCAGGCAGTGGTGAGCAAGGAGTGTGTCCCCGTGGACCAGTTCATGGAGCACCTGCTTCCCAGCCTCCTGAGCCTCGCATCAGATCCTGTGCCCAACGTGAGGGTTCTGCTAGCCAAGGCCCTAAGGCAGATGCTGTTGGAAAAGGGTAGGTGGAGCACTTTTCAGAACTTACACATTTCGGGTAGACTCCACCAGTTGTTAAAGGCCACAACTAGATTTCCTCTAGGAAACTGAGGCAGGTTGTGTGACAGCACGCGTAAGGTTTATTATGTAAATGATTATGTTAACTTTGATGCATCATTTTATGTTATTTATAAAACGACCAAGGAAATGAATGTAATTTGGTCTTCATACTTAATAAACATATGCTAAAATGTAAATTATTACATAGCTTTCCAGAAATGAGGGAAATTGATAAATTTTGAGTTATGACATGAAAGATTATGAAAGGTAGCAAACGTAAGCCTTAACTGCTATTATGTTTTAATGGTATTATTTTGTGGTCAGTTAGAAAAGATTTGTAACCCAACTAGTGGATTATTTACACCTGGACAGGACTCAATAAAAGCTTTGTGTTTCTTGGATAGTTTATTTCTACACCACACATATAGGAAAATATCTTGAACTCTGCCCTACATGTACATTTCTTGCCACCTCACCCCCTGCCCCACCCTACCTACAACCTGCTCCTGCTCTGCACATTGCCATTTCTTTTGTATTGCAGGGAAAAAAGATAGTTACTATAATTTTAAAAATATGCATAACTGTTGGGAGTCCATCTTTAACATTTTAGAAATACTCTTTGATTTATTGTCCTGACATGTGGCTAACAAAAAACAAAACCGAGTGTGTTTTGAACACTGTTCATGGCTTACCTGATTCAGACTCATGGTTTCTCTCTTTAGCGTATTTTAGAAATGCTGGTAACCCTCATCTTGAAGTCATTGAAGAGACCATCTTAGCATTGCAGTCAGACCGGGACCAAGATGTTTCCTTTTTTGCAGCCCTAGAACCAAAGCGGCGGAATATCATAGACACTGCTGTACTAGAAAAACAGAATTAACTACTTCCGTGATGAGTTGCAATCTGATTATTTCATGCTTGGCACATATGGCTTACCATAACTTGAAGGGGAACTGATTGTATTATACCAGCTGGGGGAGATTTTGGAACCTTTCATACTGTGCACTCAGTGATTGACGCCTTTTCCATCTGTACCCCGAAGGGACTGAACCTGATGGGGGCTTTTTCTGGATGGCTGGGCCATCCTGATCAAGCCTGATCAGTAAGTCTGTGGAAAGATTGCAGACCAGGTGGCTAACTGGGCACTGGAGCCTCTGAACCATCAGGCTGTCTGCCAGCAAGTTCTTTTCTCCATGGCAGACTGTATGATCTGAAGTCCCCCCAACCCTCTCCAAGTAAAGTAGTTTATTAGAAGCTCTTAAGTCTTTAATAGACCTGCATATTTCCTTCCCTTATGATTTCCTATAAAATATAGTTTATGGTGTTATATTTTTAACTGAAATACTGTACATATGTAAATAACTCTTGACAGGAAGAAAATATATTAATGTAGTATTTGCCCCCTATCAGTGAGCTGAACAAATACATCATTTAAATCTATGCTGCACTTTGAGTTGCTACAAATATGGTTCGATTTGTTTATTTTTGAAAAATGTGATAAAGAAATCTAAAGAATGATTGATGGCAGTCTTTCTAATATTGTGCCTTTGTTATAAACTACTTGGAACTTTTCCTCAGGCACTCACTCCTCCCTGCCTGACAGGAACTGTTTCCATGAAGATATGTGTTGGCCTTTGATAGAGGCATAAAGCTGAAAGATTTTTCATTTTTATATGGATATGCTGTCATATGTTTAAGAACTTGAGAGGGAAATGGATAACTGAGGTTTTTCCATTTTTATATGGATATGCTATATGTTTAAACTTGGGAGGGAAATTGATAACTGAGATGCATGGATATTGACTTTATATCTAATGCTTTAGAATCTTAACCAAAAAAAGGAAAACCTAGTTCTGATCATAACCTGCCCACAAGTTCTACGCACCTGTGACTTTGGGGGTCAAATTATATACTCTTCAAATTGACTTAAGTACACACCGCTTAGATTTCATGCGTTTCAAATTTAGACTAAGAGAAAGATGCTCTAGAATTTAACCAGGTTTTTTAAATCAGTAATTTAAGATTTTCTAACCATTTGAACAAATTTTACTTACATGTATGCACATGTCATTTTTCGTGTTTCTATTTTTATGTTCTCAAAGGTAGGATAAGGGAAGGAAGGAGGAAACAGCCCATTTGGGGTTCAAGAGCTAGCTCTGCTAAGGGCTTGTAAGCTATTTCTATTCTGCCCTTTGGTCTTTTTCTTGTTTGTCTTGTCTTTATTTTTAAATGAAATTCTTGAAGCTATGTATTGAATTTTCTAGTATAGAGGATGTGACTTCCACCTCCAAATTCCATTTAACTGATTCTTTTAAAAGAAAGATAGGCGTATATACACCACGCCAAAATAATAATAAGGTACCTATGTGAGAATTGCAAATTATACCCCAGGGTAGCATTTAGGCAGCGTCGGCAAAAAGTGAGTTAATAAATCAGAAGCTACATATTAAAAAAAAAATCAGTCAATCCGTCGTGTGTTTAATTCTTGCCTAAAGTAAATGGAGATATTGTTTTGCTTTGGTAACCAGCAATTTTTAATTTTTTTTTATTGCCCGCAAATTGAGATTGTTTTGTTAAAATCTGTTGATCTAGCAGCAAGTAGAATTATTCAACTGGAATCTTGTATTCTATTCAGAGCTTAATTTTCCGTTAAGGAAAAAAATGAGCTTCAGTTTGTGTTGTGATGTGTATAATTTGCATGCTGAATCACAACATGCTTGGAGAGATTGTAGAGACTCTTTGGTAAATAATCTAACCTTTACAATTTCCGTTTATATGTTAACATTTTTCTATAATATGAGTGCCTTTCCAATGCACAGATATTTTTTATGGCTGTAATTTCTCTGTAAAAATAATTTTTAAGCATACATTTTATTCTTTTTTTGCAACAACCGAGATTTTTCCAAGATTGTTCTGTTTCCCCTCGCCCTCCTAGCTCCCGCCCCCGTCACTTCGGCGCTTGTATTTTCTAATTATTCATGGGTGCCATGTTGAGTGTTTGTAATTTGACCACCACAGGTAAGCTTCCTGTTTACTTGAACACTCAGCCTCATCTCCGGTGAATGAAGGGAAAAGCACAGATGGGTTTCTCCCAGGCACAGCTCACTCCAAAGGTGTCTTCATAGAGCCAACCCAGCCTTTCTCAAGGGAGCATTTCCCCACTTAATGTGTTTATCAGCATCTTTCTTCCGCCAAGAATTCAAGAGCATTTTCAAAATTGATAGATTTTGGTGCAGTTTTGCAAGTTTCCGTGGAAGGCTGTCTCCCGCTTCTGGGATCCACCCCCATGTCGGGACCAGATCGGCTGCAGGGAGTCATGTTTATGAAATGTTGGTGGTTTTTTTTTTTTTTCATTCATACTAGAAGTGTTTTTATAACGAAAATCTGCACTTTACAACTCTGCAGGCCATGCATGCAATGGTGATTTACAGCCTTGTTTACGTGTAATTCCTCCAGGTGATTTATCCCAATTTATGCAAAGATCCTATTTTAAACAGACACGGAGAAGTGGTAACCGTTTCCTAACAGCAGCAAGAATGCCCCTTCCGTTTGCCTGGTGAAAAGAACTGACATTAACAGCAGCTTGGAGGCTTCGAGGAGGTGGGGACGTGGCCTGAGCTCGGGACGGGGGCCCAGTGCGGGTTGTCGGAGCGTGGCTGCCCGGCGATGTCTCTGTATTTATCAATAAATCTCCCGGTTGCTCTGGGAAGCACTTATGTCCTGTTCCATTATTTAAGAACCGTCTCCCGCGGCCGCGTGAAACTGCGGCTTTGTTCATCGCGGAGCGGGAAAGGACTGCGGGACCTTGGGGGGCCGCCCGCCCATCGGTCTCCCTGGAGGCTCGGGCGGCAGGCAGGGAGGGGCCTCGCCTTGCGTCTGGAGGGGGCGGTCCTGGCGGGGCCTGGGCGTCACAGTGGGGCGGGGGGCGCATGGGCCCGCCTTGGGGCGTCAGGGCGGGGGCGGCGATGACGCGTGGCCACCGCACTCGAGCCGCGGATGACGCGCGGCCGCGCCTGGGGGATGCGGCGGGCGGCGGCGGGGGCGGGCGGAGCGCGGGCGGCGGGGCCAACTGGGGGCGCCTCTCGCCTGCACCCCAATGCGGGACGCAGGAGCGGTGCGCGGGCCGGGGCTCAGGGGTGCGGCGGGCCCAGGGTGGGCTCGGCGGACTCGCGGGCCCTCCCCGCGCAGCCCCTGGCCTGTGCCCGCGGCCGGAGCCAGCGGCTCGTCTGTGACCCGAAGGCCGCGAGTGCCTTGCCCGACTTGGCCCCTGACGTCTTCGTCCTGCGGGTGCGGCTGGAGGAGACGGGGGAGATGTTCCGAGTGGCAAACTGCCGCGGCGACATGACCGTGCGGGAGCTCAAAGAGGAGCTGGACCTGATGGTCGGCATCCCCTTCAACCTCCAGCGGCTCCAGTACCTCGACGAAGGTGGCTCCTGCCCTGACTCCTTCCCTGGCCACATGCAAGGGCACCCTGTCCACTTCTGAAGTGGATTCCCAAAGGGAAGCCTGCTTACGTGAGAAACCCCAGATGTCAAAGCAAACCCCTGAAACCCAACCACCCTGAAACCCAGATGGAAGGGCCACTTAGGGTCCTGGCCACAGAGGGACTTCCCAATCTCAAACACACGGCGTTCAAATTGGACTCCCAATCAAGGCAAACCTTGTCCACAGCAGGACCCTAATCCACAAGCAGGTCCTGCCTGGATCGGGCTGCATCTGCCAACCCTGAGCAAATCCTGTCCAAGCCAGGACCCCCCAGAAGCCAGACCCTCAGGCTCCCCATGTCTTCATAAGGAACCCAGGTCCCAAAGCCAACTCTGTTCATGTAAGACTTGTCTGAAACAAGGCCTGTCCTCAGCAGAACCCCCAAACCCAAGGCAAGCCTGCCCATGTCAGTACCCCAAACTCAAAGCAAACCCCAAGTCCTCCTCCATGCTGGTCTTGAGAACATTAGAACCCCAAATCCTCTAGCCAACCATGTCCACGCAAGCATGCCAAACCTGAAACAAACCCTGCTGACCTCAGGACCCACAAATCCAGAATAAAATTGCCCAACACCGAACCCCAAATCTCTAGGCTAACCATGACTACTTCAGAACCCCAAATCCTCCAGCTACCACATCCCCCCCAGGATGCCAGGGCTTGAACAAACCTTGACCACCTCAGGACCCCAAAATCCAGAGCACACATGCCCAACTGAACCCCAAATCTCCAGGCTACCCATGACTACCTCAGAACCCCAGATTTTCCAGCCACTTTTGTCTTGCAAGGATGCCAAATCAAAACAAACCCTGTCCATCTCAGGACCCCAAAATCAACAAACCAGCCCAAGACTCAACCCCTAATCTCCAGGCTAACCATGACTACCTCAGAACCCCAGATCCTTCAACAACTGTGTCCAGGCAAAGAGGTCAAAGCTGAAACAAACTCTGTCCAGTTTAGGACCCCAAAACCAAGAACAAACCTGGCTAAATCTGAAATCCCAAATTGCCAGACTAATTATGTGACTATTAGAACCCCGAATCCTCCACAACCATGTCCACACAAGGATGCCAAGATCCGAAACAAACGCTGCCTGCCTCAAGACCCCATATATCTCTATGCAACTTCTGCCCATGTTTCAGCCTCAAACCCTGAAGCTATGCCTGGCCATAACAGAACCCTAAATCCCAGAGCAGACTCTACCCACGTCATGACCCTCAATTGCCCAATTCTGGACCCCCGGCCTCCAACTAACCATTTGTGCATCTGAACCCCAATCCATTAGCCACTTCTGTCTACATAAGGATGACAGAGCCCAAAATGAACCCTGCCCACATATGGACCCCAAAATTCAAAGCTAACTCTGCTCACATCTAAAAGGCAGTCACCGAGCTCACCATGACCATACCAGAACCCAAATCCCCTCAAAGTATCTTCATAAGGGCTCCAAAGAATGAAGCAAACTCTGTCCACAGCAGGACCCCAAAGCTCAAGTCAAACCCACACATATCTGAACCCCCAGATACGAAACCGTGTCTACATCAGCACTCCAAGGTTGAAGCTGGCCATGTCCATGTCAGGAAGTCAAGGTTCAAACAAAACCTTGCCTCCATGAGTACCCCAAAACTCAAAGCAAACTTTTCTTGTATATGTAACCCAAATCCTTCAGCCAACCTTATTTATACCAGAACCCCAAATTCCAGACCAAACCCTGCATATAGCAGGAGCCCAAATTTTGAGCAGATTTTATCACCATGAAGACCCCCAAATCTCAGGGCAGATGTGCTCGATTCCTACCCTCCAAATGCTACACTACTCGGGGCTACATCAGATCCCCACATCCCAAAACAAGTCCTGCCCATACGAGGACTCCAAATCCCAGAACAGACCTTTTCACATCAGGACCCCAAACAGACAGCAAACCTTACTTTAATCAGAACCCCAAATCCAGAGTAAACTGCCCTCACAGGAACCCGAGTCTCAAAGCAAATGCTGCTATCTACGTTTGAACCCCAAATAGTGGCAACTAACCCAGTACATATCAGAACCCCAAATTCCAAGCTGTGTCCTTGTTCACATCGGGAGCTCAAAGCTAGCCCAGCTGGAATCAGAACCCAGAACCGAAAGTTCCCTGTGACTGAATTAGGACCCCAAGGGCCCCACTCCAGACAAGTCCCATGTGGCAGATACCCAGTGGAGGCCAGGCACCCTAGAGCCCATCTCTCCTTCCATCAGTCTCCTTCCCTGACCCGAAGGCGTGGCTTTCCCTATCCCGATTCCCTACAATATTTAGGATATGAGAACAGGATCAAAGTCCCTGGGCTCCATCATCTCCCCACCTGGTTGAAATCAACGCAACACACTTCAAGAAAATGAAGATATAGAAAAAATCTCTGAGCTGCTGCTGCACAGAGAATGTGAACAGCTGATATTGCAGAGAGACTGCAGCTGTACTGCAGGGGCTGGGGAGCGATGGAGACAGATCTGAAAGCAGCCTGCCTCCACGGGCTTGGTGCTGCCAGACACTGCCCTTCTGGGCTCAGTTTCCTAATCCGTAACACAGAGAAACCAGCTCTGGAATTCTCGGAGCCGTTTCCCCCTCTGGACAGAAATGACGCAGGAAACTCAAAATGCACAGTGAAGGCCAAAATACCTTCCTTTTCTCTCTTTAAAATAGGTTAAGCACTTTTCCTGACGTATTTATTTTCCTATAGGAGTGTTTGGAAGATGCTCTCGAGCATTTTTGAGGCTTTATTTGGAAAGAAATGTGTTTTGAGCCTACTCTGTATTTAACATATTAAAAGTGAGGAGAGTTGTTGAAGGACTTAGTAAGAGTTCCCAAACAAGTAATTTGAAAATTATGTATCCTCAACTACAAATGCCTGGCACCCCTTCTGTTCATTTGTTTTCACTGATGAGCTATGCGGGGCTATTAATCCAAGAGAGCTAAGAGGGAGCGCGAGAGAGGGGGTGACTTAACACTGATGTCACAGGGCTATCACTCAACAGGCACTTAGCAACTGTTAGAAGCTCGACCTCTCTCTGCTGTTGTAGTCCTTGCTGTGGGTGGCAAACAAGAAAGACAGAAAGTGCTACTCATTATTAGAAGAAATTTGGGCTACTGCCTATAAATAATCCTCTGAGGCCTCTCCTACCCACCTCAAAATTTGGGGCGGGGGGAGATCAAATGAGATCATGTGTGAAAACCTTGAGTTTCACAAATCTAAAAGGGGTGAGCAAATCCATGGGCCAGGGTTGCCCTTACACGTCTGTTGTCAACTGTGATAATTTATTTAGCTGGTGATAATTAGTATTTGTCTAAGTCCAAGGCAGTGGCTGCCTGTCTATAAAAAGAGAATGTACTCCGATCTCTACAGGGGCTGTTCAGCATGTGGGAGTTTTACTCTTGCCCGTCTCAGCAAAACACAGCTTTACTCAATATTTTCAAAGTTGTAGGGAGTCAAGTTGTCTTACTTAGACTAATTACCGGTTATCCTCTGTGTCTGAACCACAAATAGGACACTAATTAACAGATTTGCTGATCACTATTCCCTCTTGACATCTACCATCCTGAGTTTCTGGTAGCAAATTGGTGCTCATAGAGCCAAGAGTGAGAAGTCAGTGGCCCTGGAGGGAAGCAGGTCTGGTGCCAGCACTGGGGTGGCTGTTCACAGGCTATGTGAGCCTCAGTCTGCTCATCAGCAGATGGAGTTAACAAACCTACCTTGGAGGGCTGTCCTAAGGATGAAAGAATATAGGTACTCGGTCTGGGAACCAAGTAATCACTAAGTACCTAGTACATAAGCACAAAGCCATGAATCATGAAACCAGAAAACTCATGAATCCCACTCAGTTGGACTCTAGACTGTGTCACCTGGGCGGAGCTGAGACTCGATGTTGGTGGCATTGCTCATAAAGAAAGCATGAGGCCTAAGGAGCTCTGGTACTCCAAGTCCAAATTGGGGTGGATGTCAGCATTAGCTCCTCACATCACGTCGGCTCTTAGCTAGGGAGATTTTGTCCCCCAGAGCCCATTTGGTAATGTCTGGAGCCTTTTTTTTTTTTGGAGACAGGGTTTCACTCTATTGCCCAGGCTGGAATGCAGTGGTGTAATCTTGGCTCACTGCAACCTCTGTCTCCTAGGCTCAGGTGATCCTCCCACCTCAGCCTCCTGAGTAGCTGGGACCACAGGTGTGAGCCATCGGGCCCAGATAATTTTTGTATTTTTTGTAGAGACGGGTTTTTGCCATGTGGCCCAGGCTGGTCTCGAACTCCTGGGCTCAAAGTCTGCCCACCTCAGCCTCCCAAAGTGCTGAGATGACAGGTGTGAGCCACTGTGCTGGGCCTGGAGGCATGTTTGATTGTCTTGATTTGGTGAACGTGCTGCTAGCATCTAGTGGGTAGAGGCCGGGAAGCTGTGAACACCAGACAACGAGGAGGGGCCCCTGCCACAAGGAGTTACCCAGTCTAAACTGTCAGCAGTGCCAAGGTGGAAAAATCCCTCCCACGCTTCAATTTGAAAGATCCAACATTTTTTTTGTCATTGTCACCTCTTTAGCCAGGTAATGACATTATCCAAGAGTATTTTGGTTTACCCTATATGATTTGTATAACCACATTGTGCTGTGTGTCTAATGACTGGTTACTTCAGGTTTAAGTCATTCTATTTGTAGAGTTTGCCTCATAAAATGACTTTACTGACTCATGTGCCTTTTCACAATAGGACAAGTTATAATTACAGAATTTTATAAATCGTTGGCATTGTGATTTTGTTCGGCTTCCATCTGAGCTGAACCAAATTTATTTTCTGAAAAGCATTACCAACAACAGACAGACCCACGCGACACCATCAAATGAGATTTGTATTCGATATTTCTAAAATTATCTTTGTGGCACTCAAGGTCAGATAATCTCTTAACTTAACCAATGTAGTAGTTTATCTTTAATACCCAATTTTTTAAAAGAAAAAAAATTTTTCCCTGCAGGAGTTTTGATGGATGACACTACCCTGAAGTTCCATGATGTTGTTCCTGGAGGGATTATTTCATTATGTATCTGGCATCATGACGGATGGACAGAACTTGTTTTGGCGGCTGTGGAAGGGGATCCCAGCAAGGTGTTTTCAAGCTTCTTTAAATGGATATTATACGTTACGAAGCAACCGTAAATTGTGGGGGGAAAATTAGTCTTTAATACGGATATGTGAATAACAGTTTCAGAGCAGGGAAGAGAGAACGATGAGCCGTGTCATAATTATGAAATACCGCACTGAGGGTTTGCCTTCACTCCTTGGGTTTACCATTTTGCTGGGTTTATCGATTTGTGATTTATAACCCACTTACCGCCCCACCCCTCCCCGCAAAGGAGTCGAGGCAGCACGTTTCTATTCATGTTTATAAGTGATAAGGTTGGAAATCTAATTTAATACTGAGAGGAGAACTCCAGATAACTGAGAAGCGTACAGCTCAGAGCTCGGGGCTGTGGTACAGGCCTCCGCCAGGTGCTGCCTGGTTCCGGAGGGAGAGGCCCCTCGTTCCCGGGGTGAGCGGCGGGCGCTCTGTCCTCCAGGGCTCCTGCTGGCCTCTCAGCTGGGCTCTAGGGGTGGGCAGTGGGGGGCAGGAGGATAGAAACCAGATGTGTACCCAACAGGGAAGATGAATCACTGTGACACGAGGGGCAATGCTATATTCTTCCTAGAAAAGAAATTCGGATGGAAAGCTATGTGCTCCTGGAGAAGAAGAGATGGAGTTTCTTTGCTCAGAAAGGGGTCAGGGAAGGCTGGGTGTAGCAGGGGCTGGGATTGGCGCTCTTGGAAGAGTGCGTGGGCTCGGGGCAGGTGCGGCAGGAGGCAGCCTTGGCAGGGAGGGTAGGCAGGATGGGGCCCTGTCCCAGCCCTGACACATCTCCTAGTCCCTCCCGCTCCTCCTCCTCCACACTCTCCTCTGCCCCTTCTGTCTCCCTGCCCTTTGTCACCAGCAGTGTGGTCCATGCTTGGTTTTCTGGCTCTTACTCTGGCTGCAGGGGTCACCTCCCTGCTGTTTGAGGCTGTCAGAATTGCCATCATCCTCGTCTCGATTCTGATCCTCCCACTGCCCCAGTCCTGACTCCCATATCAGGGCAGAGTATCCTCCCTGGGGGAACCCGTAGCCTTCCTCCCAGGCTCAAAGACTTAATTCACCACGAGGTGGTTACGTGACCGGGCTGTTCACCTGTGCATGTTCAGCTTGCTCTGAAACCTAATGGAGACAGTGGGCACACAAATAGACGGGAAAGCCAGATCCGGTCTCCAAGAGATGACTGTCACCCTCTGGGAGGCCATTTATATTGGCTGGTGTCTTCCTCAGTGGCTTCAACCACCTTCCTGTGGACACCTGGCAAAGCTATTTTCTCTCTTCAAAACATTGACAGGAAGACCTTCCTGTGTTCCGAGCCTGACTGACGGCGAATTCGTATTTCCTGAACATATATAAAGCATTAAATCATGGCCTCCCCATGCTGTCCTGGGTGTTTCTCAGCTTTTCATGAGGGTTTGCACCTCTCTTTTCCCATCATGAGCCTTAATTTGACATTCAAGCAAGCCTTCCCCTGAGCATGCCCCATCAGCCGTCCAGCAAAATGTAGCCACGCTTTTGAGAATAACTCAAACTCCTCTTGTCTTGCCCAGCTATCTTGTCTCGGGCTTACTGAAGATTCCTTCTACCGAACCGCAAATTCAGAACATTTTGAGGGTGAGAAGTGGAAGCACTGGACGTCTCAGAGGGCGTTTGTGGCGTTGTATGTGGCCTCACACAGAGGCCACTTTGATGCTGTGCAGTACCTTCTAGAACACGGTAATTCTGGTAGAAAGCTTGCTATATTCATGAGTTGGGATTTTTTGCAGGTAGAAAGGACAGAGTGTCTTGTGTTCCCAGTCCTTCCAGCAGTGGTTTCCTGGACCTGTGTCTTGTCAGCCACCAGTCAGGGTCCCCATGGTGCCACTCACTCCCTGTCTAGGCAAGTGTCTTAGGGCACGCCAGTCAGAGGCTGCCCTCCTTCTCTTCACCAGGTCTCGAGAAGATTCTTTCTGCTTCAGTGAGGCAGAAATTTCAGGACCCAAGACACAGGCGGCAGCTATAAAGGATCCCTGGTTCATTTCTCACCAGACACATTGCTGGGAATATTCGCATGCTGTCTGTGTGATTTCCAGCCTCGCATGAAATTAGGATGCTGCAATGGTCCGAAATGGTCTAGCCTCTGGCCAGGCACGGTGGCTCATGCCTGTAATCTCAGCACTTTGGAAGGCTGAGGCGGGCAGATCACATGAGGTCAGGAGTTCACAACCAGCCTGGCCAACCAGCCTGGTGAAACCCCGTCTCTACTAAAAATACAAAAATTAGCTGGGTGTGGTGGCACGTACCTGTAGTCCCAGCTACTCAGGAGGCTGAGATAGGAGACTACAACACACACACACACACACACACACACACACACACACACACACACACTAGAAAAAACCCCAAAATAGTCCACCTTCCAGCCAGCACAGCTCTGTGGTGGATGGCAGGATCACCATTCTCCCTTCTCCAAGCCTCGTTATTATTTTCTCACAAGACATTCATGCTGAACTCTCTTTTCAACCCACCTCCACTTAAGGGCCTCCTTCCACTCTCTCTCTCTCTCTCTCTCTCTCTCTCTCTCTGGCTCTCTTGATAGATAGAAACAGAAGCCTTAGCCAACATTGTCTCCAAATTAAAGAGCTTTACATAGTATTCCATAGGTGTACACTCTATCCTCCCTGGATGTGGGATATTTTTGGGAAAAGATGCCCATTGATGGAGATGCAGACCACTCAATGCGGAGTGGAGAACAATGGAGAACAGCTGTTAACAGCCTAGACCCTCAAGAACAATGGAGAACAGCTGTAACAGCCCAGACCACCAGCTTCCTTGGAAAAAGGGAGAACATGTTACGTGGTGTTTGGTCAATGGTTTGGGCTCAGGAGGGGCCTTTCCCATGGGTCTCCTGTATCAACTTGCCTCCAAATTAGACCCCTTTCTTTCCTACTCACAGCCTTGGCTCCAGCCTCTGTCAGCTCAGTCATTGCTATTTTTCCCACTTACACCAAGCAAAGTGGAAAACATCTTGGACTTCCTGGGCCGGATGATTGGGCCGTGCATCGGGTGTACAAACCTCTGTGATGGGTAAAGGTTACCTCAACAATATTCTCCTTCCTTCCTTCACTGCCTGTCTGCTCTTTGCTTGTTGTAAAATGAAATATGGGCTTTGCGCAGCCCAGCAGTCCTTTAAGCTCATAAAAAGTCATTTTTGCTCTGATAGAACTGTGATGTATTTGAAGGCACCAGTTAAAAAATTACAGCCAGCTTTGCAAAGTTTTCTGTCCTCTGCAGACAGCTGCTGGGGGGAGGTGTCATGGTCGACACTGGTGTTCTAAGAGCCTATTTAAAACTTTACCTCACCAACCAGCCGGAGCTCATAAAAACTGGCTACTGAAATGTCAGCTGAATTTAATTGAATTGCCTTGTTTTCTGTGTCATATTTGTTATCCAGAATTTGATTCAATTCAACAACTCCATATTGGACACCTGTCATTAGCCCATCCATCTGCAGGAGGCGGTGGGGAATTTAATCGAAGTGAAATCTGTCCATGAGTCAGGCTGCCCATTGCGTCATTTCCTGAGTGCCTGTCTTCTGCAGGCACTGAGCTATGTGCTCGGGATGAGAACAGCAACAAGCCAGATGTGTGTATTTTCTGCCCTCCTGGAGTTTATGAGGGGAAGTCAGTAGATTATTACAAATAATTCCATAGTCAATGATGTACACAGTGTTGTGAAGATGTAGAGTGTCTATTGAGCTTACACAGGAGGTTTCATGGGGTGGGAGAACTAAGGAAGATTTTCCCAAGGAAAGAAATGAAACCTAAAGAAAGGTCAGATTTAGCCCAGAATAAAATGGGTGAGAATGTTGTGAATGGGCCTGGGGCAGGATGCAGAGCAGGGTGTGTTTTAGGGATGAAGGTGGAAGGTAGGTATAATTGGTGCCTTGGTGGTGGGGTGGGGGAGGAGAGTATGGCAGGAGGGAATGCTGGAAGAGTAATGGGAAGGTAGGGTGAGAGTGAGCGGGAAAGACCTAGAACATCACCCCACAGCCGGTGGGATGGCAGTGATGGATCTGAGCAGGAGTTTGATATGGGCATTCTGGAAAGATCACTGGCTGCTGCCAGGGGAGTGGACTGGGGGCAGGGCAGTACTGGAGCTGGGCCAGGCAGCAGGACCTCCCTGAGGAGCACTCCCTTCACAGCCCTGGACCCCTCCTGTGTTCCCCCTCCGCATGTCTTCCTTCTGGCCAATGTTCTTATTTTACAGGAGCCAGCTGCCTCAGCAGATCCCCCCTGGGCAGGACACCCCTGCATGTGGCTGCAGCTATGGGCCGGTCAGACTGTATAATCCTCCTGCTCCAGCACGGGGCCTCCATCCACGACAGAGATGCCAAGGGGGAGACCCCCATCTCCATTGCACACCGCCTGAACCACACACTGAGCGAGAGGCAGATGGTCCTCCTCCACCGGATAGCAAAGTCGGGGATAAGGGATCTGAATGACTTGGTCATGAAGAATGCTTTGCAGAGGGTCAAGTCTGGGTTTAGGTCTGAGAAGATGACGATGACCCCTCATTAGCTCCTGGTGGGAACGTTTGCCCGCTGAGGCTGGTTTGGGCAACTTTGCAGAGTTCAATCCCATGGGGGCCCTTGGTGAGCAGGGAGGCAGGAAAACAGGGCAATTAACCTGAATCAGATACGAAATTATCTGTCCTGTTTGCAAATGATTTCTGGAGGGTGTTGATGGCAGTAGGTAAGCCTGTGCTCATTTAGTAATCCATTACAGACTGAACAGGCTCTAATGCCAGCCTTTAATTTTAAGCTATTTGCACATTGTACCCAATAGCGCTGCTCAGGGTGATGGGAGCCAATTACCTTCTCTCCCTTCTGGGGACCGTCTAATGCACTGGCATAATAGGAGTAATAACAATAATGATAATAGCACTATTGTTATTGTATAAAACAAGTGCCAGCAAATGTCAGGAGGTCGTGTGTAGTGTGGGCTGTGAATTTCAGTCTGTAAAGCCATGGAACTAAATGCTCCCACAGCTAATGTTCCAGGTTTCCTGAGCCATCTTTGAGGGGTCTGCTTCTTGAGTCGGGGGCAGAAGGGAAGCTGGGTGAGCTTGGCTGTCCACACACACTCTCCAGAAGGGATGGCTTATTACTCTTGTTGAAAGGTAACACGTTGGTGCTAGATGGGGAGGAAACAGTGTAAAAGAAGATGAGAATCAGGCTGGTCACATTTTCTCTTTTGTCCCATCTCCAGTGGTCCATGCAGTCTCCTCTTGCCAGAGTTCTCCTTTTCCTGCCAGCACTGGGATAGCCCTTCCTTCTTTCCTTTGAGCAAACCACCTTGGAGTGTCTATGCTCAACTCTCAGGTCTTTGCATTGCAAAACCTTATACCGCATTGCAGGATGTGCCTGGTGTTCCTACAGGGTCCCAGCCTGCCGAGTGCACGAGTGAGCTGGGCGTGGGAAATAAGAAGGAAAGACAAGGATGGCGCCAGCTGTCTGAAGAGAGCACCGAGACTTGACTCCTGCAGAAATGAAAGGCAGAGGCCACTAGATCTTTCTAGAACTCTCCAGACCTGGAAATCTGGCTTTTTGAAAGGATCTCCCTTGATTTTTTTTTTTCTTTTTTTGAGACAGAGTCTTGCTCTATTGCCCAGGCTGGAGTGCAGTGGTGCCATCTCGGCTCACTGCAACCTCTGCCTCCTGGGTTCAAGCGATTCTCCTGCCTCAGCCTCTTGAGTAGCTAAGATTACAGGCACCTGCCACCATGCCTGGCTAATTTTTGTATTTTTAGTAGAGATGGGGTTTCACCACGTTGGCCAGGTTGGTCTCGAACTCCTGACCTCATGATCTGCCCCCCTCGGCCTCCCAAAGTGTTGGATTTACAGGCATGAGCCACCACACCCGGCCAGATCTCTCTTGATTTTTAAAATTTGGCTTGAATTTTTGAAGAACGTGGTCTGCTACAAAAGGAGTGAGAAGATGTGGGGCACACCCATGTGACTGCCTCTCACTGTCAAACTCTAATTCATTTCATGGAGAAACGTGATAGAAACAACCAAAATCTCTCTGGAGCAATCCAAGACTCTGATGCCACAGTGAAGGAGTAGCCACGGGTCTTACTGGGTGGCGTGTGGGGTCCACTCTCCCACCTCCCACAGACCATTTATGTTCTCTAAAGCTCTACCTTCTAAGCAACTTTTGGAATCAAAATGTGTGGCAGTAGTCTTGTGACCATTGCAGTTTTCCTGGGAATGGGAAATGGCGCTGTATCCTGGCCACCCTTTCCCACTTCCATCCCAAGAACTGGAGTCAGCTTTTAAATTAACTGGCTGCATTTCCTGCTGTCATAGCAAGTAAGATCTGTGTTGATGATGTGGTTTTACACTCAGTGTACGTGGCTGTACCCAGCTCAGCACTCTGTTAGACAAATAATAGTCGAGGAAAAAAATAGCTCAGCATCAACTATGTCAAAACTGAGATCTTGTTCTTGGCAGACGTTCTGCAAAGTCAATAGGCAGATATTAAGCAACCCCAACCCAATGGGGCAATCCATTTAGCTAATGAAGTGTTAGGGGGGTGATGCAGGCACTCTTTTAACTTAACAAGTGGCATTACTCAAAGTTGTGCATTTGCCAGGAGCTCTGCCCAGCTGCCTTCGTTGTTTGGAGAGCCAACTGCTTGACTCCTATATGTAAAATTCTGGGGGCAAGCATTCTATCTTCATCTACCCCCAATTCAATTAAGCACTTGGCCAGACATTGGGCAGGTCCCAAACTCTTCATGGTGACATTTTGCTCAGTCTGTGGTAGGGTCATCTGAACACTCGTAGGTCCTGGGGAGCGCTTCATTTTAGACAATCCTGACATTCTATTTATATTCAACAAGTCTGTATCACTTACGAAATAAAATATATCCAGAGCCATAGAAGGATTGAGTTGCCATTGGGTGATATGTTACATTTTGTAGATATTTCATTAAACGTTATTTTGAAGGTTTTTTTCCCCACATTTTGGGAGCCAACAAAGTTTTTTTTGAGTGTGTGTTGGGGGGTCAATCTCAAGCATTTTTGTTGGACCCTGGAGGTGGGCCGGCATGGTGGTCAGGCACATCTCTGCTCTGTGTAGGGCAGACACGAGCTTCCTCTGGTCTTCCAGGCCCTGACATCCAGTTCCTTTGCCTCGTCTGGCATCCCCAGGTAGGGCTGGGCTTGCAGTCACCAGAGGGGAAGAGCTGCCTGTGCGGAGGTGGGGATACAGGCTTTGGGGTCAGCACAGATCTTGGCTTGCATCTTACTGGCTCTGCCATGTGGCCTTGGGTGAATTCCCCACTGCTCTGAGCCAAGAGTCCTCTGTAGAGGAGGAAGGAGGGTAATCCTGGTCACTGAGCTTGCTGGGAAGGCCTGGGAGGTGGGAAGCACTCAGTAGATGCCAACTATTATGGTCTCAGAGTTCAACTGGAAAATCTTGCTGAAGTCATGGGTGAAATTATTGACACTGGTGAGAGGGGAGATAGGAGACCCCCATTTGGTGCCTTTCCTGGGCTCCCAAGTTTTGATCACCAAAAAAATTGATGATCTGACCCTTTGAGCTTAGTGGCCCCATGGAAATGCCATTGTGTATCCTTGGATTTCTTGGAGGCCACATAAAGGCGGAGTCTTCTTCCTCCCCTCGTTACTGTCAGGGACATTGCTCACCCATGAGCCTTACGCCAGCCTGTCAGGCCGGAGCCCACTGGAGAGATGCACATACTTGTCATGAGCAGATGATGATGGCAGCTGAGTGAGCCATCATGTTTCCACTTGCCTTGGCTGCCAGGAGGCTCAGAGCCAAGGTTAATGCCCACCTGGGGCAAATATCCAATGTCCCCACCCCCGTCTTGCCTTTTATCTTTCCTTGAATGAGTTATCTCTCTTTCTAAAAATGTAACTGCTGGCCAGGCGCGGTGGCTCACACCTGTAATCCCAGCACTTTGGGAGGCCAAGGCGGGCGGATCACAAGGTCAGGAGATCGAGACCAACCTGGCTAACACGGCGAAAGCCCGTCTCTACTAAAAATACAAAACATTAGCTGGGCGTAGTGGCAGATGCCTGTAGTCCCAGCGACTCGGGAGGCTGAGGCAGGAGAATGGCGTGAACCCGGGAGGCGGAGCTTGCAGTGAGCCGAGACTGAGCCACTGCACTCCAGCCTGGATGACAGAGCGAGACTCCGTCTCAAAAAAAAAAAAAAAAAAAAAAAAAAGTAACTGCCTCATACAGGTGTTGAATTGTAAGTTGCTTCCTTTCTGGAAGTCAATGCAGTAGAAATTGTAAAAGAGATGCCACCAACTGTGGTGTTGGAAGGTGACTTGAACTTCTCGCCCAGGACTGGCTTAGCAGACCCGGCTACCTGGCCATCCAGCCTTCCAGGTGGTGAAACAAAGATGCTGAGCTTTTCTTCTGCACTCCAGTCTATTGGTGGAACCTCCAGCAGCCTCTGCAGCCGGGAGGTGGGTGTTGGGGCTGCCCCTCTGGGCTTCTGTACATCCTGGGTCTCTGGGGCTCTGCCCTAGTCCTCAGCACTTTGCTTTCTCCCTCCGAAGATGACTCGGCGGGGCCTTCAGCTGCATGCTGGGCTCTCGCCACTGTCTCCTCACTCCATCTCAGACTGGGGCACTCCCTTGCCTGAAGCATATTCACTAACCCAGGGGTTCCCAGAAAGCAGGGAGGGCATCTCACTGGTGGCGCCTCAGGGGACTTCAGGTGGTCCCTGTCTCTGTATTAAGTGACACTGAAACACTGGGTGGGAAAGGCAATCCCTTTTGACATTGCTCTCGATCCTTTCAGTATCCACAAGGATAAAGTTTCCTTTTTGTGCTAGTACAGATCCAGCACCTCCCTGACCCTCGCTAATCTCCCTCCTAAAAACACATCAATGGAGCGCAGTGTTTTGCTGGTAGCAGTATTTTGCTGGGATGTAACGGCACTGTCTTGTTTTCAGTGCACTGCAGGCCAGCGTTCTATCCCTTTCTCTCCTCCTTCCCAGTTGTGTGACCTTGGACCAAATGGTCACTTCCCAAGAGCCTCAGAGTCTTTATCCATCATGTGGGCCTCGTCACCAGCATCCCCACCTGGTTTGCATTGGTGAAAGGAGACTGCCAGTGTGGATTGTGCCCTCAAGACCCAAGGCCCTTGTCAGCGTGACCCCGAGGTGCAGTGGGAGGGTCCTGGGCTTGCAGTCTGGCAGATCCAGTTTAGAATTTTCCTCCACCACAAGCTGTGTGGCATTGGGCCAAACAATGGCACCTCTCAGAGCATCAGTTTAAAACCTGGCCCCTGTCATTGGAGGGATTAAATGCCTGGCACGGAGCAGACGCTTGAAAAATGGTAGCCATTATTATTATTATTATTATTATTGCTACAACCACTTAATTTGCTTAAAATGTTTACTCACTGGGATTCAATACACCCCCCTCCACCCGTCTCCAGATAGCCTCATACATTTTCAGCAAACCTTATACAGTAAGAGTCTCTGTCCAGAACTAATAATCCCCAAAGTGGGAGATAAATAATTTCCCTTAAATTTGCTGATTTGGGTGTGAGGCAGAGGGCTTTCTCAGCAACTTGGAAAAAGTGCGTACTGAACTTGAAACTCCAGGGCCAGTTCTGCAGGAGAGGAAAACAGCTCTAAGGCAAGAGGAAAATTCCAGTCACTGGGCTCTGCCTCCGCAGTGGCGCACTGACTGCAGATGCTTCCAGCAGAGGGCACAGAAACCCATTAACATTTAGACAAACACTCGTGTTTGTGTTCATCGGAAATGTCAGAAACGCCGCAGTCTGCGCCACTTTGAAAAAGGGGCCTCACAGATGGGCTTTTCTGCCTGAATCCCTGGAATTGTCTGCAAAATGTGCATGTCTGTACACATTTTCTGGGGAGAACCTCATTATATCCTGAAAGGGTCTGTGGACCACCCCCTTCCCCAAGGTACCAAAACCTGCTCACAAAACAAGGAACTCAACCATAGCAATTGTCAAAGTAATCAAACCGACGCTCATTTGACTGGCTTTCATTACCAATTTACAATTGGAAAAATGATAAATACTCATAACATCTGGGGCTGTGGGGTGTGTGTGTGTGTGTGTGTGTGTGTGTGTGCACGTGTGTGCGCCTGGGAAACATGTCAGCGCCGCACGGGGGAGCTTGCCGATTCCCATCTTCCTGCAGGATTGATCGCTGTCTGACAATACGTATTCAGAATGCCCACGACAGCACAGCGCCTCACCTCTGTAAATCCATCCTACAGAGAGGAAACCCCTGTACAAAATGAGACCCGGTCACAAATGTTCGTGACTGCTGTTTATGGTAGCAGGTGCCTGGAAACACTCTACATGCTCACACGCGGGAGGGATGGTGGCACATTTTGCAGCTACGAAAACCTGACTTGATCTGTATGTACAGGCCAGGGGACAGTCATGAGGAGTATCTGGGATGTATCACTAAGTGAAAAACAGCAAGTGGCCCAAGAAATGTGGATGAGCACGGTTCTAAAAAGAGACAACTCTAGTGTCTATATATGTTTATTTGAGCACAAAGAATGATGTCAAAGGTATACCTCCAAACTGTTAGCATTGCTTGCTCCAGGGCAAGAGAACTGTTTTACACAGCCCTAAATTGTTACAACCGGCAAGTCTCCTTTTGTGAGACAGGGTCTCACTCCATCATCTAGGCTGGAGCTCAGTGGTGCAATCACGGCTCATTGCAGCCTCGACCTCCTGGGCTCAAGTGATCCTCCCATCTCAGCCTCTTGAGTAGCTGGGACTACAGGAGCGCCCCACCGTGTTTGGCTAATTTTTTGTATATATGTATTTTTTAATAGAGACAGGGTTTCACCATGTTGCCGAATTCCTGGGCTCAAGCGATCTGCCTGCCTCAGCCTCCTAAAGTGCTGGGATTATAGGAATGAGCCATCATGCCTGGCCCTTCTTTTATTTTTTATCGTGGCAAAAGACACACAACATTATCCTTAGTGACATTTAGTACATTCGCGATGTTGTGCAACCATCACACTATTTCCAGAACATTTTCATCATTTCAAAAATAAACCCCATACCCATTTGCATTCACCCCGGACACCTCCCTCCAGCCCTAGATGACCACCAATCAACTTTCTGTCTATACATTTGAATACTCTGAATATTTCATATAAATCAGATCATAACAATATGTAGCTCCCCTGCTTTTTTTTTTTTTGAAACGGAGTCTCACTCTGTCATCCAGGCTGGAGTGCACAGGCATGATCTCAGCTCACTGCAACCTCGGCCTCTTGAGTTCAGGCGATTCTCCAGCCTCAGCCTCCTGAGTAGCTGGGACTATAGGCACATGCCACCATGCCCAGCTAATTTTTGTATTTTTAGTAGAGAGCGGGTTTCATCATCTTGGCCAGGCTGGTCTTGAACTCCTGACTTCAGGTGATCCACCCACTTTGGCCTTCCAAAGTCCTGGGACTACAGGCGTGAGCCACTGTGCCCAGGCACATGTAGCCTTTTGGACCTGGTTTTTAGCATAATGTTTTTGAGGTTCACCCATGTTGTGGTATGTCTTAGTACTTCATTCTTTTTTATGGCTGAATGACATTCCATTGTATGAATATACCATGTTTTGTTTATCCATTTATTAGCTGATAGATATTTGGGTTGCTTCCACCTTTTGGCTATCGTGAATAGTTCTGCTATGAGCTTTGGTGTATAAGGATTTGTCTGAATTCCTGCATTCAAGTTTTGGGTGTACATTAGGAGGGGAATTGCTGGGTCACATGGTAATTCTGTGTTTAACAGCATGTCTTACTTTTGTAATTAAAAAAAATCAGGCTGTGGAGGCTCGTGCCCGTAATCCGAACACTTTGGGAAACTGAGGTGGGAAGATTGCTTGAGCCCAGGAGTTCGAGACCAGCCTGTGCAACATAGTGAGACCCCCATCTCTACAAAAAAATATAAAAAATTAGCTGGTGGCATGCACCTGTTTCCAACTACTCAGGAAGCCGAGGCAAGAGGACGGCTTGAGCTGGGGAGGTCGAGGCTGTAGTGAGCTGTGATCACAGCACTGCCCTCCAGCCTGGGTGACGGACTGACACCCTGTATTAAGAAATAATAACCAATAAAAAAAGGAAGGAAAAGAGAAAATGCTCCCCCCGGCCCCCACGCCAGGCTGTCTAGAGTTGGAGAATTACGACAGTCGTGTGTTGAGTATTTTCCAGGCATCCCGCACACGTGATCTTATTTGGTCTTTTCAGTGACCCTGGAAGGCGGACATTCTCAATTAGTATCACAGTCGCAAGCGGGCTTAGTTAAAACACAGATTGCTGGGCCCCACCTCCCAAGGATGCGAGACTCAGTGTTTGGGACAGGGCCTGAGACTCTGCATTTCTGACAAAATCCCTGGGAAGGTGGTGCTGAGCAGCACTGAGCACGTTCTCTTTCATGCCCATTTGTCACGGAGGAAATGGAGGCTCAGAGAAGGTTAGCAACTTGCCCAGCAACACACAGCACCTAGGTGGCAGAGTGAGGATGCCTGCCCCTCTGCCATAGTTTCGAGTGCCTGTCGGGATGAAGCTGAATGTGACTGTTCTGAGCGGCAAAAGTAGAGGTTCCACCACCTTTGGGAGGCAGGTGGGGGAGTATTTTGGTTCTGGAGTCAGCTTGCCCGGGAGGCCTTCCTGGAGGCTACGACCTCGGTTACTCCTCCAACTCCCCTCTTTCCCTACTTGTAAAAGGCAGAAAATACCAGCACTCATTCTCAAAGCATCGACGGCCCTGCCCGGCCAGGATCCAGCTGGGACAGGCACATTGGGCTGAGCACGGCCAGGCAGTGCAGAGGGCAGGATAGACGGGCAGGTACGCACACCCCACGGACACTTCCTCGTGGGCTGCACCCCAGCCCCAGCGGCCCACAGGACACACCCCAGAGGTCCTGAGCACTTTCCACCCCTCTGTCTTGGATTCACGAAGAAAATCCTCTCCGGGCCTGCCGGCGTCGGCTCCCGCCAGGTGGCGCTGTCGAACGCAGTTGCCGCAGGTGCGCGGCCACGGCGGCCTGTAGGTGTCACTGCGAGACCGCAGATCAACTCCCCGAGTGGCGCCTCGCGCGGATCCAGGCGGGCCGTCCATCCGCGTCCATCCGCCCCCACCCGAATTGCAGATCCTGTTGCATTCCCCAATTTTCTCCTTTCCCGTTAGGCCGTTATACACCAGAGATTTTCCACTCTTGGTACTTTTGTGCTCTGTTGATCTTTGGATAGTAGACACTGTTTTGAAAAATATGTAACCACGTGGATATTATTTTCACATGCCATTCATAGTGTAAGAATTTAGAGAGAAACACGGTCCTCCAGTCCAAAGAGTCTTCCCCGGTGGGGGCGGGGGCGGGGGGCTTACAGACTATGTTTTTAGGGTCAGGGATAAGAGCTAGCCAGCTTTACAGATAAATTCCATTTTTTTAAACTTGTCCTCCTAAAGGGAAGAAAAGTCTAGGACCTTCCTTTCAATCCTAGTGAATATATTAATTAATATTCACCCAGGAGGCGCTGCAACAAGAAAAGCAAGAAGGAATTAGGCTAACCTAGGTATTTCCAAGCCCAAGATCCTCAACATCATTCTCCCCAAGCAAGGTACCAGTCATGTGTCACTTAAAAGGGGTGCATTCCGAGAAATGTGTCCTTGGGTGATTTTGCCGTTGTGCAAACATCATAGGGAGTACTTACACAAACTAGATGGCAGAGCCCACACACACCTAGGATATGGGGTATAGCCAATTGCTCCTACACCAGGTTACTTAACCTGTGCAGCATGCTGCTGCATTGAATGCTGTAGGCCGGGGTCTCCAACCCCTGGCCACAGAGGGGTATTGTTCTGTGGCCTGTTAGGAACCAGGCCACACAGCAGCAGGTGAGCTGCAGGCTTCATCTGTGTTTACAGGCGCTCCCCATTGTGAGCTCCGCCTCCTGTCAGATCAGCGGCAGCATTAGATTCTCATAGGACCACGAACCCTGTTGTGAACTGCTCATGTGAGGGTCTAGGTTGTGCGCTCCTGATGAGAATGTAATGTCCGACGATCTGTCACTGTCTCCCAGCACCCTCAGATGGGACTGTGTAGTTGCAGGGAAACAAGTTCAGGGCTCCCACTGATTCTACATGATGGTGAGCTGTGTAATTATTTCATTACATATAACAACGTAATAATAATAGAAATAAAGTGCACAATAAATATAACGCACTTGAATCATCCCTAAACCATCACTCCCCTCTGGTCCGTGGAAAAATTGACTTCCACGAAATGGGTCCCTGGTGCCAAAAATGTTGGGGACCGCTGCTGTAGGTAGTTGTAACACAATGGTAAGTCTTTGTATATCTAAACATAGAAAAGGTACAGTAAAACTACAATATGAAAGATACAGAATGGTGCACCTGTGTAGGGCACATACATGAATGGAGTTTGCAGGACTGCACGTTGTTCTGGGTGAGTAAGTGAGAGGGTGGTGAGTGAATGTGAAGACTGAAGATATCACCGTACACTACTGTAGACTTTATCAGCACTTCACACTTAGGTTACACTACATTTGTTTAAAAAAGTAATTGCACTACAACTGTATGATGGCTATGGCAACAGGAATCTTTAGCTCCATTATAATCTGATAGGACCACTGTCATATATGTGGTCTCTTGTGGACTGAAAGGTATAAGGGTATAATCCGTGGCATGCAGGGAAGGGCTGACATTTAAAATAAGTGAGCACATGTCAGAATTAATATTTTTTACCAAATTATATCATCAAAGAAGTTCATGATTTACTTCTAACTTTCACCAAACTGTAGTACATTTTTATTTCTATTTTTTTGAGCTAGAGTCTTGCTCTGTCGCCCAGGCTGGAGCGCAGTGGCGCAATCTCGGCTCACTGCCACCTCCACCTCCCGGGTTCAAGCAATTCTCCTGCCTCAGTCTCCCTAGTAGCTGGGATTACAGGCGCCTGCCACCACGCCCGGCTACTTTTTGTACTTTTAGTAGAGACAAGGTTTCACCATGTTGGCCAGGCTGGTCTCAAACTCCTGACCTCAGGTGATCCGCCTGCCTCGACCTCTCAATGTGCTGGGATTACAGGTGTGAGCCACCATCCCCGGCCTGCAGTGTATTTTATACCTGGCTCATCTCACAAATGGTTTAAGAATTATTTTTAAATAAAGAAAAAATTCATCAGTCTGGTTTTGCCAGCGCTATAAAGTATCGCATTTCAATCTTGTAGTGACCCAGTGAGGTATTATTTTTCCCACCCAACAGGTAGAGACAGAGGCTTGCAGAACCAAAACTCCTGGCTTTGAGGAGAAATGGATCCCTGCCCTGCGGTGTGGAGCTGCACTTCACAGGAAGAGACAAATAAGTGCCCTAGAACGCGGAGTAGAGTCTACCTCACTCCCACGTAATCATTCAGCAAATGAACTGTTTGAGCACTTGTGGGCTAGTCGGCTCCTCTGGGCGCTGGGAAGCTCCCCTGGGGCCATCAGAAAATGGTCTCATTGTTCCCACCACTGCCCTGCACACCTGTGCTGACTTTCCCCCCAACCCGCCTTTGGGAGCACAAGGCAATCTAGGTAGGGCTGTTTACAGCTGCCCATCAACAGTCATCTTTTGCAGATCTTAAAACATCCAGCCTGCTTCAAATAAAAGCTGTATTTGCTCTTCCAAAGTGGCCCTTTTCCCTTAGCTCAGGGGGCCAGGCTGCGGATGCAGAGGGACTGGGACATCTCTGCTGGCTTTCCCCTTCCCGCTCCACTTGCCCAGCTCCTCAGGGTGGGCCCGGGATGCAGGAAGAAGGTGGGCGGCTGAAGGGCGTTAGCTGAGCGGGTACTGAATGTGGCTGTTCCCTGACCATCCAATGCCTTATGTCAGGGGGATCTCAGGCACTTGGCCGGTATTTGGAGACCCCCATTCGGGATGCCCACACTGGTGACTGCCACCTAGCCTGGCTTCCCTGTGTCCATTTGGTCCATGACAAAACGGTCCTTGTTCTTGTCCTACGGAATTCCTGAAGCATGGCCTGCTCCCTAGAACCTGCTCTGGAACCCACTCGGCAAACCCCCTGGGCGAGGGTGAGATGGTGGGCTTCCCTGGGATAACCCCAGTCCATGTGGGGGGGTCTCTGATGGCCTTTGCTTGGCTTTTGGTGGTGGTGGTGGGGAAGGTAAGGAAATGTGCAGAGATTCTTGCAGGATGCCAGCCCTCTCCCAAGAAACCCTCACGCCTTGCACTGAGTTTCTAACCTTCTAGAAAGTAGTGGCTGGCTGGGGGAGGGGAGGGGTGTGGGTCTCAGAGTGGCCTCTGGTCTCTCTTGGCAAGTGGGGTTGTCCCAGTAAAGTGCTTCTCTTTGGATTCACGGATAGTTCTCAGCTGTGGGCTTCAGCTGAAATGCCAGAAAACAGGTGATGTTCCACTTGATATCTGCAGAGACAGCTCCTGCCCTCACAAAGCTGCTTGGGTGACAGGACAGCTTGAGAGAAGACAGCGCGGCTGGGCTGTGCCCAGAAGGAATCCACAGAGTGACGTGGCCGAGGGTGACTGAGGGGGATTTAGGTGGGCGCAGTGCTGGAGTGGCTGCCCAGAGGAGGTAAGACGACACCGAGACTTGAGGAACAGGGAAAATCTGGCAGGTTTAGAACCTTCCAGAAGCTGCTGACATGAGAGGATGGTTACCAAAGAGGGCCATAGGGGTAAAAGACAGGGTTAGAACAGTGGGCAGAGGCCGGTCAGGCAGTGCCTCAGGGGCTGTGTGGCCAGCTAGTGCCACAGTCCTGCTGCGTAAACAAAGCTGAGCGTTTCTACTAACAGGCCAGCAGGTCTGCGGGGGCCTGAGGGGTCCAGGCTGGTTGCAGCTGGGCAGCTCTGCTGCAGGCGTCTCTCACTGTCCTGGCACCAGCAGGTCGGCCGGGGCACAGGCTCCACAAGCAGGGACGTGGGAAGTGGAGACCTAGGAGGCGTCGACGTGGGAGGCGTCTTCAGGTGCGGGCACAGACGCGGGGATGTGGGGTGCGGGGATGTGGGAGGCGTCTTCAGGTGTGGGTGCAGACGTGGGGAGCGGGGACGTGGGAGGCGTCTTCAGGTGCGGGCGCAGACGTGGGGACGTGGGAGGCGTCTTCAGGTGCGGGCGCAGACGTGGGGACGTGGGGTGCGGGGACGTGGGAGGTGTCTTCAGGTGTGGGTGCAGACGTGGGAGGCGTCTTCAGGTGTGGGCGCAGATGTGGGGAGTGGGGACGTGGGAGGCGTCTTCAGGTGCGGCGCAGACGGGACGTGGGAGGCGTCTTCAGGTGTGGGCGCAGACGTGGGGTGCGGGGACGTGGGAGGTGTCTTCAGGTGTGGGTGCAGACGTGGGAGGCGTCTTCAGGTGTGGGCGCAGATGTGGGGAGTGGGGACGTGGGAGGCGTCTTCAGGTGCGGACGCAGACGGGACGTGGGAGGCGTCTTCAGGTGTGGGCGCAGACGTGGGGACTTGGGGTGCGGGGACGTGGGAGGCGTCTTCAGGTGCGGGCGCAGACGTGGGGACGTGGGGTGCGGGGACGTGGGAGGTGTCTTCAGGTGTGGGTGCAGACGTGGGGTGCGGGGACGTGGGAGGCGTCTTCAGGTGCGGACGCAGACGTGGGGACGTGGGAGGCGTCTTCAGGTGTGGGCGCGGACGTGGGGAGCGGGGACGTGGGAGGCGTCTTCAGGGGCGGGCGCAGACCTGTTATGCCGTCACTCCTGGCTGTAGGTGGGAAGCCAAGCGAGTCGAGTGGCCAAGCTGAAAGTCGAGGGTCAGGGAGCGATGCCTCCCTCCGATGAGGCCACGGCGAGGGGCAGAGGCAGAGAGGCTGAAGAATTGGAACCGACGTCTTAATCCCACAGAGGCCGTAGAAATGGGCTTGGATTTTGTTCCAGGAGCAGTGGAGAGTGACTGGCGGGCTTAGGAGGGGAACGGTGTGATTTTCTCCATATTTTTAAGGGAATGGTTGGCAGGAGGCAAGAGTGGGGTCATTAGGCCAGTCAGGGCTAATGCTGCTGTCCAGGTGAGAGCGGCTGGCAGCCAGGCCAGAAGGACTGTCAGGGGAGATGGAGCCGAGGGGGCACACCCCAGAAAAATGGGTATGGGATTGGAGCAAAGTGGGGATCCCAGCAGGCACCCTGCTCTGTGGATGGAGTGACCGAGAGAATGGTGGTTCGTTTACCCAGGAGGAGACCCTGGGGATGGGGAAGACCTATGGTGGAGTTCAAGGGCTCTGCGTAAGTCACCCTATGAGCTTCTTGTGGCTGCTGTCACAAATTACTGCAAACTCAATAACTTAAAAACAGTTGTGGAGGTTAGAAGTCTGATATCCAGGTGTCGGCAGAGGTTGAATGGACTCAAAGTTCCACATGGCTGGGGAGGCCTCACAGTCATGGCTGAAGGCTAATTAGGAGCAAAGTCACATTTTACATGGTGGCAGGCAAGGGAAGCATGTACGTGGGAACTCCCCTTTATAAAACCATCAGATCTTGTGAGACTTATTCACTACCACGAGAGCAGCATGGGAAAGATCCACCCCCATGATTCAATTACCTCCCACCGGGTCCCTCCCACAACACGTGGGAATTATGGGAGCTACAATTCAAGGTGAGATTTGGGTGGGGACACAGCAAAACCATATCACCTGCGTTTTCTCAGATCAGGGTCTTCTCCCACTAAACACACTCTATCGAGTTAATAGGAACTCCCATAGAGCACCTGTATTGGTGTCTTATGGCTGCTGTCCCAAATCACCAGAGATTTAGTGTCTTAAAACAGCATGAATGTGTCATCTGACAGTTCTGAGGGTCAGAAGCTCAAAATGGATCTCCCTGGACTAAACCCTGCAGAGCTGGTTCCTCGGAGGCTCTAGGGGGTACCTATTTCCTGGCCTTTGCTGGTGGTGTCTAGAAGCAGCCCCGTTTCTGGGCTCTGGTCCAGCCCCTTCTTCCACTGTCAAAGTCAGCAGCCTCACACCAATCTGACTTTGTTTCTGGTACCACCTCTTCTCACCTTCATGAATTTCCCTTGATTAGATTGGGCAAGGATCATCTCTCCAGCTCCAGGTCCTTCATCACTCCTGCAAAGTCCCGTATGCAGCACAAGATGGCATGTTCACAGGTTCCAGGGGTAGGATGCAGGCTTCTTTGAGGGGCCATTTTCAGCCTTCCACAGCATCCGCTAACTGGTCTGGAGTCAACTCTCCCCAGGTCTCTTCAAATGCCTGGGAAGCCAGCTGTTTCAAACCAGCTTCCTCTCATTTAGCTGTTGCATTTGGTTGTATTGGCTCTTGAGCCTCTTTCAACCCAGAACAGTGATTCACCTCATGACATGGCCTGTTGAGAAGGCCAACTGGGTGTCCGGTGGCAGACCCTGTGTCCTGAGTGCATCTGATTTGTGTGGGGCGCTTCCACTTGTCCCCCTCTCCCCCGATTTCCTAGGAAGTGGAATCTCCAGGTGGAATCTGATTCAGGTGGACCATCCTTCACCAGACCACTCTGTGGGTGATGACATGCACGTTACAGGGTTTCCCCACAGGGCACAGACAACAGGGGTTCCACTGCCAGCCTGCCAACCCTGAGGCTCTGAGAGCTGCCCCTTCATGGGGAAGACCCTTCTTTGGGTGTAGCAAGTAATTCTGGATGATTCTTTCTCACCCTGTGAGTATCCTGTTTCTCACCTACCTTTTTTGCTATGATGGTAAACATATAACATTTACTATTTTAACTATTTTAACAGTACAGTTCCATGGAATTAAGTACATTCACCTGGCTGGGCATGGTGGCTCATGCCTGTCATCCCAGCACTTTGGGAGGCTGAGGCAGGCGGGTCACCTGAGGTAAGGAGTTCAAGACCAGCCTGGCCAACTTGGTGAAACCCCGTCTCTACTAAAAATAAAAAAAATTAGCCGGGTGTGGTGGCACGTGCCCGTAATCCCAGCTACTCGGGAGGCTGAGGCAGGAGAATCGCTTGAATCCAGGAGGCAGAGGTTGCAGTGAGCCGAGATCATGCCACTACACTCCAGCCTGGGCGACAGAGCAAGACTCTGTCTCAAAAAAAAAAAAAAAAAAAAAAAAAGTATATTCACACTGTTGTGCAACCATCATTGTCATCCATCCACAAAACTTCATCTTGTCAAACTGAAACTCTACAACCATTAAACACCAGCTCCCCAGCCCCTCCTCCTGGTCCCTGCAGCCACTATTTTGTCTGTTTCTATAAATCTGACTACTCTAGGGACCTCCTATCAGTGCAGTCATCCAATGTTCATCCTCCTGGCTGCCTTTTAAAAAACAGCTTTATTGAGGACAGGTGTGCTGGCTCACGCCTGTAATCCCAGCACTTTGGGAGGCTGAGGCAGGTGGATCACCTGAGGTAGTTCGAGACCAGCCTGGCCAACATGGTGAAACCCCGTCTCTACCAAAAATACAAAAAAAATCAGCTGGGCATGGTGGTGTGTGCCTATAATCCCAGCTACTTGGGAGGCTGAAGCAGGAGAATTGCTTGAACCTGGTAGGCAGAGGTTGCAGTGAGCTGAGATCATACCAGTGCACTCTATCCTGGGTGAAAAGAGCATAACTCCATCTCAAACAAAACAAAACAAAAACTATTGAAATGTAATTCACATACTACACAATTTGCCCATTAAAAGCATGCAATTCAATTCAATAGTTTCCAGGATGTTGTACAACCATCACTTCTCTCTGTATTTCCAACAGGCTTGCATCATTCCCAAAGGACTCCCTGCCTCTGCCTCCCTCTACCTCCTGGCAGCCACTGATTCACTTCCTGTCACCATGGAATGACCTATTCTGGACATTTCATATAAATGGGATTATAGAGGGAATCACTCACTCTTTGTCTCTGGCTTCTTTCACTCAGCATCATGGTTTCCAAGTTGTCCAGGCCTTAGCAGAGATCAGCACTTCATGTCTTTTTATGGCTTATTAATAACCCCTCATATGACTGGACCATTCCATCTGTTCATCAGTTGATGGTCATTTGTCTCCCTGTCCCCACTTTTTGGCTACATAAACAATACTGCTGTGAAGATGTATGTACAGGTTTTTGTGGGAACATGTGTTTTCCCACAAAACGTGTTTCTTGGGTAACATGTCAGAGTGGAACTACTGAGTTACGTGAAAGCTCTGTGCAGGCCTTTGAGGAACTGCTGGACTGTTTTCCAAAACAGCTGCACCCTTTTGCATTCCCACCCGCAGTGCACGAGGTTCGGATTCCTTCACATGCTCATCAGTCCGTGTCATTGTCTGTCTTCGGTTAGAGCACCCCAGTGAGCACCCCAGTAAGTGAGGGAGTTGGTGTCTCATTGTGGTCTGTCTCCATCTACCCTTGATTAAATTGATGCTCCTGACCGAGCCAATTAGTTCATGGATGTTGCAAAGTGGCGATTTTATAATTCTGTCCCTTCTTCTGCATTTCGTTAGCTGGCATTCTTTGTCAAAATGAGCTTTACTTCACCCTCTGGAGCTATTTGGTTTCCCTGAAAGGCAGTTCCAACTGAAGGGGCAGGAAAATACTTAGTTCTTTTTTTTTTTTTGAGATGGAGTCTCACACTGTTGCCCAGGCTGGAGTGCAGTGGCGTGATCTCGGCTGACTGCAAGCTCTGCCTCCCGGGCTCACGCCATTCTCCTGCCTCAGCCTCCCGGGTAGCTGGGACCACAGGCACCCGCCACCACGCCCGACTAATTTTTTGTATTTTTAGTAGAGACAGGGTTTCACCGTGTTAGCCAGGATGGTCTCGATCTCCTGACCTCATGATCCGCCCGCCTTGGCCTCCCAAAGTGCTGGGATTACAGGCGTGAGCCACCGCGCCCGGCCATTTAGTTCTTGATCATTACAGGTGCTTGGGTACTTATGCATTCAGTGTGTTTCCACCATTACAGTCATTGTTATTATTTTTGATACTTAGGTAATTCCAAATTTGGCCAATGGGATGTGACATATTTTAAATGTACATAAACTTACAGACTAGTGCAATCATCACCGCAATCCCACTTGAGAATACAGGACTCACATTTTAAAATGGTAATTTTGTTTTTTTAGTTAACTTTAATCTCAAGGTAGAGAATGAACCAGAAGTCCCCGCTGGGCTGGTGTTTACTCTCTGGCCTGCACTCATCCCAGCTGGGAGATCTGCTGGGATTCTGCTGATGCATTCCGGATCCTCCTTCAGGGTCCTTCTTTCACAGCTTCTAGCACCTCAGTTCTCAAAGTGAGTCTGAGCAGAAGCCCAGCTTTACCCAGGAGCCTGTTAGAATGCACCTCCCAGAACTTTGGGAGGCTGAGTCGGGTGGATCAATTGAGGTCAGGAGTTTGAGACCTGCCTGGCCAACATGGTGAAACTCCATCTCTACTGAAACAAAAATTAGTGAGGCATGGTGGCAGGCGCCTGTAATACCAGCTACTCAGGAGGCTGAGGCAGGAGAATGGCTTGGACCCAGGAGGCGGAGGCTGCAGTGAGCCGAGATTGTGCCATTGCACTCCAGCCTGGGCGACGGAGTGAGACTCAGTTTCAAAAAAAAAAAAAAAAAAAAAAAAAAGAATGCACTTCCTAGTGGGAGGGCAAGTTTTCTAGGAAGCTCCACCGCCCCCATCAGTTCTTCCCCAACTCTGTGCTTCCTGAGTTCTCACCTCTTCTCTAAGAAGGAGACTTTTGAAGCCCAAAAGCCAAGAACCAACTTTGGTTTTCCTCTGCTTCCTGGAGCCCCCCTCCTTCCCAGAGCAGTGGTACCATGGCTTGACTCCCACATGAGGAGAGGGGTCAGACGGGAAAAAGAAGATGGGGAAGTATGACTTTGATGCAAATGCAAATATTGACTCAGAGCCTCGTGCCTCTGGGCTGGCGGTAAACTGAGCTTTGGTGAGTCTTGGGAAGGGTGTGATTGTCATTGTGGATCAGCTATCGGTGGTCCCAGCACACTTGGTACATGGCCTGATAGCACTGGATCTAGGTACCCGTTCTGGGGTCACAAGTCTTTGGCAAGGCCAAGAACCCTGGTATCTGGAGTTCCCCTTCCCTGCAACGATTGCCGGGGGTGGAGGAGCAGCTGCCCCCTTCCTGAGTTTTCCCCAGGCCCCTCTCCTCCCTTCTGGCCTCTTCTGCTCAGCCTTGTACCCTTTTACAGAACTTGCCTGGCCCCTGAGGCATTGGCCAATACATCAGGGTTTAGGCTTTTCCTCCTGACTACAAAGAGAAGGGGAAGTCAAGAACATGGAGGCACCAAATAATTTCATATTTTAATAACTCCTGTTGCCATGAGCCGCTGGTGATTTATTTTGAGAACGGCTGTAGATGGAGCGGGCCCTCTGCTGTGTCCCCTAGGAAGGTTTAGAATTAGAACCAGAGGATGTCGTTCTATTGAACTTTTGCCAGAACAAGTTCAAGAGGGAAGACTTTGACCTCTTATATTTGATTTCAGACCCCATGATCCTCCTTTGGGAAGGAAAAAAAAAATCTTGTCTGGAATCTTTTGTGCTATGTACATATATATATGGTTTTTCTTAGTAGAAGTTTGCTAAATCCTTGGGGATAAGAAACCCCAACATCCTGTTTTTATGTGTCCGGAATGAAAGATAAGGATCTGATTTAGACCCTGCCCTTAGTGCAATAAGACATAGTTCATACAGGGCATGCATGCCTTCCCTCTCCCCAGAGCCTAAAGCCCAGATTAACCCTGAGCATTCATGGTTTCTGGAACTTTCGTTTCCCAGGGAGCTCTGAGGTCAGGGCCGGCCCAGGGCACTCCAGAGCAAGGGCTGCAGGCCCCTTGGGGCAGGGAGTGGGAGCCTGAGGCCTCCAGGAGGGCCTGTGGCTGGGTCGTTTGGATGCTGATGCAAGTTCTCCCTGGAGCAAGGCAGACACATCAATTTTGGGGGCCTGGGGGCTCCGTGGTGGAGGAGAGGACTCTAAATCACCCCAGGAGTGTCTCCTGCATAAATCAGATGCCTCTGCGGGTGGAATCCCAGCCAGTATTGATTGAATTGAGCCCTGGTAATAAATCGGGTAGATAAATCAGTTGGGAATTAAGGCAGGCACAGGGCGCACTGGTTATAGAAAACGTTTAAGTTTAATGCATTGACCGGGAGTGGAGCATAATTTCACGACGGCGCCAGTTTGCTGATGACATAAAATAGCAAAAAGGTGGCAGACGCTCATGGGAGCAACCAGATGCATTCTAAGTGATCCAGGCAATGTGGATGGGGCTGATGAGGGGCCTGTGTAAGCTCATTGCGGAGCTGCCTTAAGTAATGAGGTTGGGGCCTGAAAGTCACCAGCTGCTCTGGCCCCAAATTGTGCAGAATACTAATCAGAGGGTGTCCACCCCCCAGCCTGCTCCTGGGCTGCTGTGGCTCTGTCCCACCCCATCTCAGAATGGTGCCACCCACTCCTTCCTCTCTCTCTCTCATCCCTACAGCCCAAGATGGACATACAGCTCCCAGCCACCTTCCCTTCTCCACCCCACCACCAGGGTGATCTTTCCAAAAACATTTATGATCATGTCACCCCTCTGTTTCAGACTTTCCATGGCTCCCATTGCTGTTCAGATAACGTGGAGACCCCTGATGGTTTTGACAGGTCAAGGCTCCCCCTGTCCCGCTGGCTTCTTTGCGGATCTTGTTCCAGGCCACGCTCCTTTCCTCTGAGTCTCTGGCGTGTGGCTTCCTTTCATTTCCTTCCCATATTAGACCTTTTGCTCAGGCTGTTCCCCAACCCAGTGCTCTTCCTGACTCTCCCTGCTGTCCCCAACACCCCCCCTCCCCGCCCATCCTGCAGCCCTCTTGCTTTCCCAGCCCGCTCCTGTCATTCACCCTGACCCATTCCTCAGAGCCCCCAGACGTCTCCGGTGGACTCTGCAACGACTCGTGTGGTGTCTGAGTTGGTCCCTGGCTGGGTGAGAGCAGGGCCAGCTCTTGCCCTGTTTTCCCTTTCACGGGTGGGATCTAACAGGCAGACCCCTCAAGCACAGCATCAGAGCTAGAAGAAGCCATCACGAAGGAATGCATATTGCACGACTCCATTTACACAAAGCGTCCAGCAAAGGCAAATCCATCCGTGCAGACGGAAAATCTCTGTTTGTGGTTGCTTAGGGCTAGGGGGAATGGGGAGTGTCTTCTTGGGGTGATGAAAATAGTCTAAAATGAGATAATGGTGATGGTTGCATAATTCTGTAAAAATACTAAAACTCCTTTTCTTTCCTTTTTTTTTTTTGAGACGGGATCTGGCTTCATCACCCAGGCTGGAATGTAGTGGTGCCATCTCGGCTCATTGTCTTCTGGGCTCAAGTGATTCTCTCACCTCAGCCTCCTGAGTAGCTGGGACTACAGGCACGTGCCACAATGACTGGGCTGATTTTTGTATTTTTGGTAGAGGTGGAGTTTCGCCATGTTGTCCAGGCTGGTCTTGAACTCCTGAGCTCGAGTGATCCACCAGCCTTGGCCTCCCAAAGTGCTGGGATTATAGACATGAGCCACCACGCCCGGCCAAATCCAATGAATTTTTACATTGAATTTTACACCCATTGAATTTTTCACTTTAAATGGGTGATCTTCATGGTATGTGAGTGTTTTTTTTTTTTTTAAAGGCACCTACAGATATTGAACAGATGAAAGGTTGTAGAGTTCAAGAGAAAGGGGGATTCTCCTTTGCTGAAAAGCAGCCTCATGAATCGTGAATGCTTACGACGGTGTGCTGGTGGGACAGCATCAGTGCCACAGAAGTGTGAGCCTGGCTCCGTCCTCAAAGATCTGCTGACCTAGCAAGGAGAAAAGAAGCGAGGGAGAGGCGGAGGGCCAGGAGAGGTGGCCCCGGTGACGGGGCGGAGTGGGAGAGGAGGGCCAGAAGAGGTGGCCCCGGTGACGGGGCAGAGTGGGAGAGGAGGAGGCCCAGGAGAGGTGGCCCCGGTGACGGGGTGGAGTGGGAGAGGAGGAGGCCCAGGAGAGGTGGCCCCGGTGACGGGGTGGTGGTAAGATGGATGGGCCAGCGGGGCTAGAGGTGAAGGTGACCAGCTCAGTGTGGTTGTGCTAAGCTTCAGGCCAGTGGGACACTCCGGAGGCAGCACAAAGGGTTAGGGATAGAAACCTAGGTTTAGGAAAAAATGTGTGTGTCTGTGTGTGTGTGTGTGTGTTTGTGTGTGTGTCTGTGTGTGTGTGTCTGTGTGTGTCTGTGTGTGTGTCTGTGTGTCTGTGTGTGTGTGTCTGTGTGTGTCTGTGTGTCTGTGTGTGTGTGTCTGTGTGTGTGTGTCTGTGTGTGTTTGTGTGTGTCTGTGTGTGTGCACGTGCGCATCAGGCGAGGGTGTGGATGAGGAGCCACAGGGAAAGCTGGTGGCACGAGAAGAGGAGGGTCGAGGAGAGAACCCAAGGGGATGCGCTGGAGAGCCAGGTGGGGGAGAGATGCTGGGTGTCTGGGTCCTCGGAGAAGTAGACACCCATGCAAGAGATAGGGAAATGGGGAGGAGGCAGGGACGCTGGGAGAACCTTGTAAGGAGAAAGCGAAGGAAGGGGACGGACGTGTGTTCGAATGCACTGCAAGGCAGTATCTTGCAGAAGGGATCCATCTTAGCGTCCTGGACATGCCCGTGATGGGCAGAGCGTGCCTTAGGCGTGAAAGCCAGGATGTTTTCAAAGGGAGGCAGCTGGGGCTACCCAAGGCCAGTTCCACCCCCTGCAGGCAGTAAGAGGTCTTCGGGGACATTTCCATGGCTGCCGCCATGATGCCCAAGACTGAGAAGTGGCAGTCTAAGCAGAGGGGGTGCAGGATTTCTGCTGTCCACTTGTTCATTCGCCCACTCATCAAACATCCTTGAGCACCTACTACGTGCCAGGTGCTGTTCTGGGCAGACACAGCAGCAGTGAACAAAATAGAGAACGTCCCTTCCTTTGCGTGGCTTACACAATAGCATGGCATGCCAAATCCCAGAGGGAAAGAATAGCAAGGATTTCAAGACGGAGGTGATAACCAGGATGGGTGACGTAGGATGAGGAGGATTGGAAGGTGGGTTGGGTTAGGCTACAGGGCGGCCACAGCAGGTCTCTCCAGGGGGATTCAGAGGAGTCGAGAGGAGGTGGAGGCAGAGGGGATGGGGAAAGGTGGGTGGGTGGGCACAGAGAAGCTGAGGCAGGAAGTGGAGACTCATTTTTTTTTAATTAATTAATTAATTTATTTAGAGACGGAGTCTCACTCTGTCACCCAGGCTGGAGTGGAGTGGCTTGATCTCAGCTCACTGCAAGCTCCACCCCAGGTTCAAGCAATTCTCCTGTCTCAGCCTACTGAGTAGCTGGGATTACAGGCATCTGCCACCACATCTGGCTGACTTTTGTACTTTTAATAGAGGCGGGGTTTCACCATGTTGGCCAGGCTAGTCTCAAGCTCCTGACCTTAAGTGATCCTCCTACCTCGGCCTCCCAAAGTGCTTGGATTACAGGCGTGAGCCACCATGCCTGGCCCAAGACTCATTATTATTATTTTTTTAATCTCAGGAGCTTGGCTGGGAAGAGGACTGTAAAAGTAATAATATTAATTCTTAATGAACTTCAAGTGGTCCAGACATGGACAACATAAAAAGTGGAGATTTCGCTTCATTTGTCCCACTGAAGATAATCAACACAAACAGTCTGGGTTTGGGGCAGACTTGGCAGATCGGCTGTCCTCCAACCAGCTCCCAGCTTCCTCCTCCATCGCCTGATTTCACTGTACAGGTAGAAATAACCCTATTCCCCAGCCGGTCTTGCAGCTGGCGGTGGCCATGTGACAAGTTCTGGCCAATGAGAAGTGTGCGAGGGTTGCTGAGAAAGCTTTTGCTTACTTAATAAAAGGACAGCATTGCTAGAGATGCCTTTTGTTTCTTCCTCCTGGCCTTGAATTCAGATGTGATGACTAGAGATGAGGCAGCCATTTTGCCATCATTAAGACCAAGAAAATTGCAGAGACTGCAGCTGTTATCCATGGAGCTGCTGAGCCAGGGTTAGCAGCTGCCACTCACCTTTTTCTGATGTGAGAAGACAAACTCTTAATTTTTAAAGTCACATTAGTGGATTCTTTGTTATTTCTAGCCAAGAGCTTCCTAACTGATACAGTCCATACCTTTCCAGGCTGTTTTCTGTCTGTCTGTCTGTCTGTCTGTCTCTCTGTCTATCTATCTATCTAAATGAGATTATACTATACATTCTATGCTACAATTTTTATGGTGCACATCTTTTTACATGAATATTCTTTAAAAAAATTGTTTTCAACAATTTTATTGTGCACACAAACTATAATTAATTTAACCAGCTGCTGACTAATTATTTGGCCATTTCCAAATGTTTTGGTATTGGGATGAACAGAGTGTTGCACTGCTGTGTTCTGTAGGGAATCAGCCAGATGAACGTGAGGCTCTGGAGACAGGCCTGGGCTAGAGGCACAGCTGGGGAGTCACCATCACGGGTCTGGAGGAGATGGCTGGCTCCAGCAATCTGTCTTCTCCCTGTGTCCACACCCTTTGGTAACTCTGCCGTTTTCTCCCATGGACAGAGTGGTGTATATTTTCCAGCTTCTTGACTTTAGGTTTTGCCATGTGACTTACTTTGGCCCCTAGACCAAGGCAGAAAAGATAATGTGTCTGTTCCAAACCTAGGCCTTAAGGAGTCATGTGACTTGGGTTTTGGCATGTGACATGCTTTGGCCTCTAGAACAAGGCAGGAAAGATAATCTCCTGTTCCAAGCCTAGGCCTTAAGGAGCCGCCCACATTTCCACTCCTCCTGTTGTGGTTTTGCCATTGCCATGAGAAGAACCCGCCCCAGCTCTTCCGCTAGTCCAAGGAGGAGGTTGAGAGGCACACGGAGCTGACTGCCCTAGCCAGCCTCACTGTGAGCAGCTGACCCTCAGTGACCCATAAGTGCACAAACTACAGATGTGCTTGCAGTTGTCTGCCACCGAGACCCTGCAGTTTGTTAGGCAGCATGAGATGGCAGTAGCTGACTGATACAATGACCCAAGGAAGGGAGCACAACAAGGAGAGAAAAGGGCCTGCAATGGAGTCCAGAGAACTCCAGGATTTTAAGCAAAAGCAATTGAGAATTGGCCATTTCCAAGCCTAACTTAGGAAGCAGTTCAGCAGTACACAAAGAAGGAGTCCAGGAGGGTTCTTTGGAGGAAGGGGCCGTTACTGGATGGGAAGAATCTGGCCAGGTAGAGATGGGAAGGGAGGGGCTCCAGGTATGTGTGTAGCATGCCTGGAGCGTGGAGAGGGGCTGGCTCTGCACACTGCACTGGGACTAAGTTCTTTCCCCTCTGGACTTGTCCCCGAGGTGGGGACGCATCTCTGCTTCTGCTCTGCTTAGAGGACAGGGTGCTCACAGACTCAGGTAGGGTGCTCGAGGGCCCCCAGGCCAGCAAAGGAATCTAATTCCTGGCTTTGTGTCTGACTGTAACCCAGCAGAGGCTAGTGGCCTGGTGGTGGGAGGCCCAGTCTCTGAAATTCAGAGCCTGGCTGGGAACCCTGTCCCACGTCTCACAGGAGCAGGGTGTGTCCGCAGACAGTGACTGGGCTAGGACATGCCTTGCTTTTCCTTGCCATACCCCCTTCCTCTGGGGACATCTTGGGCAGACTCCGAGGTCTCCAGTCACACTCAGTTGTGAAGACATCTATGTGACTGGAACTCAAAACGTAAAGCTCACGTCCAGCTCACAGCTTCTGGGAGAGGGTCCCCAGACCAGGCCAACTGGATGCCAGGGTCCTGCCATTGGGATGATGGCCTGTCTTCCACCCTCCTTGCTCTGCTACCTTCTCCGCCTGTGCTCCTGGTCTGGCAGGGTCAGGGCTGGACAGGGGTGAGAAGGAGCGGGGCCAAGGTCTTTTCATGTGGCTGGCGGCATGTGTGGCTCTCCTTCGGCTGTTGAGCGCCTTCTGCCCCCTCGGGCATGGAATGCTGTTCCTGCATGGGGAACACTCATGGGGTTTCTTTGAACCCCCACTCCCAACCTCATTCCTTTCTAGGTCCAGTTTTATTCCCCCTCTGCAAGGAAGAATTATGAATGTCACTGATGGGACCTGCACTTTGCACTTTTTGCACCAACCTTTGGGTACAAATAGGGCCACATTGATAGCCTAGATGTCACCCAGTCTTGTCCTGGTCATTTACTTTCCCGGGATCCCAGAAAAGCCCCCATGTCCTCTCCACCCCAGGCATTTCTAGCGGGGGTCACACAAGTGCTCATAAATGGGTCTGTTGGCCACCACTGCCCTCTGCTGGTGTCCCTGGGCACTGCTGCAGCGGCCCCATCCCTGGGTTGCAGGTGAGGGGTGAACAAGACCCCAACTTCCCCGTGATGCTGTCAGGGTCTCCAGCAGGGCCGACTGCTGACTCTTACAGATTGCTTAGGAAGGGTGCCATTTCCCATGTGACCTGCTCTCTTGGATACAGACATGACTTTTTCCTCATTAATGATGAGGGTGACTTCTAGCGCCATGACCAGCTTGGAGCTAAAACCTTCACTCACATCCATCTTCACTGAGTGCTCACACACCTGTGAGGGGGACCGCCATCTCCACACTTTACAGGAAGAGACCCTGAGGCTCACGGGAGCTCAGGGGAGCTAGAATTTGAATCCGATTTGTCCAATGCATCCAGATATGGCTGAATCGTGGTTGGGTGCCAGGGTGTGTTTCTGCATGTGTCTCTGTGCATATCTCCGTGTGTTAATGCATGCATGCATGTGAGTCTGGGTGCATGCATGTCTGTGTGTGCCGGGATGTGCTTCTGGGCATGTGTGCGTGTTTATGTGTGCATGTGTCTGCGTGCGCGTGTGCATATCCTCTTTCACCCACAGAGTGGTATCAGTGAAGACTTTTGAACTCAAAAAAGAAAATCCTACAAAGCAAAACTGAGGAATGAAGGAGCTGTTGTAGGATCTCATGGTCACTTTCTGGGCGAAGGTCCCCTGAGTTCTGCAGTTGGGATTGGGATCCTCTTTGCACACTCCCCTGAAGACCCCAGCTTCTCCTTTGTGGCACCTGTCACTCCTGTCTCTGACTGACACTCTGTGCAATTATTTGTCTAGTGACTGTGACCTCTGCTCGGTTCTGCTGGCTGTGGATCAGGGACTGTGTCTTTCTTGTCCGAGTGAGTGAATGACTGACAGAAATTCTCTGTATCACTCAGGACATCTCTGGGTGTAACTGACAGAAAATCAGCTCAAACTGGCTTAAGTGCAAAGAGGGCATTGCTGGCTCAAGACACTGAAAAGTTCATGGTCCCCTGGGTTTAGGGGCTCCAGGGAGTCAGATGATAGAATCAGGTTGTTCTCTCTCTTTCTCTCTTATCTCCACTGTCTCTGCATTTATCTGTGTCTTCCTCTTTTCCTGCAGACAGGTCCTTCCATGTGTCAGGGAACAATGGAGGCAGGAGCTCTAGCTTATGTGGTCTTCATAGCTTAAGACCCCAGAGAGAAGGAGAAAGTCTCTCCTGGCATCAAATCTCAGCGAAGTCCCTGATTAGCCAGTTTGGGTCACATGCACATCTTAGAACCAATCCCTGTGGCTCTGTAGGATGGAGGGTTTTTTTTTTTTTTTTTTTTTTTTTTGAGACGGAGTCTCGCTCTGTCTCCCAGGCTGGAGTGCAGTGGTGCGATCTCGGCTCACTGCAAGCTCCGCCTCCCGGGTTCACGCCATTCTCCTGCCTCAGCCTCCCGTGTAGCTGGGACTACAGTCGCCCGCCACCTCGCCCGGCGAATTTTTTATATTTTTAGTACAGACGGGGTTTCACCGTGTTAGCCAGGATGGTCTCGATCTCCTGACCTCGCGATCCGCCCGCCTCGGCCTCCCAAAGTGCTGGGATTACAGGCGTGAGCCACCGCGCCCGGCCAGGATGGAGGATTCTAACTGACCAGACTGGTTCTTGGCACGTGCATGTGTTGGGGGTGGAGTCCTATGACTGACACATGATTGCAGGAGTGGGGCTGACTGGAGTTGGAAAGGTGGTTTTCTGAAGGAAAGTATTGAGCAGAAAGCATGTGTATTTCTTCTCATTACATTATTTTAGAATTAAAAAGGCAACAACATCTTTTTCTTTTCCTAGATTGACCTAGTTTGGAAACCAAATTTAATGTGTAGCTTTTATCTAACTTTGAGAACATTTGGTAGTATATGGAACTTGAAACAAAGCAAAATAAACAAAAAGGTAGAATTTGACAGTAATTTTGTAGTCACTGCATTTTAGCTTTTAGCTGTCCATGCACTAAATGAGTATATGTCATTAAATCAAAGTGTGGCCCCCACATGGGCTTTCTCTGCCATTAAGACCTGAGAGGTTCCTGGAACACATTACCCCACATATCGTTTTCGGGAGAGTAAATGGACAAGATCCTTTTCTCAGTGGGCTGGGGAATGAGAAAGGTATGACTGGTCATTAAAAGCCTTAGTCCAAGGATTTTTTTTTTCCATTAACACAAATGAAATTGTCCTGAAAGCCAAGTTATTATCTCTGGAAGGTGAGGAGTTTCAAGTAGGTGTTGGTGAAGAGGTGTGAGTTTTAGCACCTAAGGTGGGAACTTTGCTAGGAGTCTAGGGGGACGGGGACTTGCTGCCCGTGGACACCTGTGGTTCCAGTGGAGGGGTCTTGGCTAACTCCCAGGGCTCCACAACGCCCCAGGGCTACCTCGACTTCCCTGTCATCTGCTGGTTCTCTGGGCCTGGAAACTTTCTTCTCTCCATGTTCACCTAATGTAGTCTTGAAAGGATGTCTCTGAGTTGGAGGCGATTGCTCTGTGTCCTGGCTCCCCTACTTGCAAGCTCAGTGATCTACCCCCTATCTGGGAAACAGATGCCCCTGAATCCATTTACAGCAAATAGCATTTGAATGTATGGGGGGAACTGAAACAGCCTCTCCCTGATTTTCTAAAAAGATCTAAAAACAAAGAGAGATGTAGAGGCCAAATGCCTTTACAATGTTTATTTAACTAGTTATATACATACGTTTTGTGAAAGGAAAATAAATCTTGGGGCTGCCAAATCACTAAGCTAAAGGGGAAAGTCAAGCTGGGAGCTGCTTAGGGCAAACTTGTCTCCCATTCTATCCAAAGTCACCTCTGCTCACTGAGATAAACGCATATCTCATCGCCTCCTTTGGAGGGCTCATCAGAAACTCAAAACAACGCAGCTGTGTGTCTCTTATCTACCTATGACCTGGAAGCTTCCTCCCCGATTCCAGTTGTCCCGCCTTCGTCTGGTGGTGTCCCACTTTCCCAGACTGAACCAATGTACATCTCACACATATTTATTGAAGTCTCTTGTCTCCCTAAAATGTATAGAACCAAGCTGTGCCCCAACCACCTTGGGAACATGTCGTCAGGACCTCCTGAGGCTGTGTCACGGGTACGCATCCTCAACCTTGGCAAAATAAACTTCTAAATTAACTGAGACCTGTCTCAGATTTTCGGGGTTGACAATTTAAAAATCACATGCTAGGCTGGGCACGGTGGCTTACGCCTGTAATCCAGCACTTTGGGAGGCCTAGGTGGGCAGATTATGAGGTCAAGAGATCGAGACCACCTTGGCCAACATGGTGAAACCCCATCTGTACTAAATATACAAAAATTAGCTGGGTGTGGTGGCGCAGGCCTGTAGTCCCAGCTACTCAGGAGGCTGAGGCAGGAGAATGGCTTGAACCTGGAAGAAGTAGGTTGCAGTGAGCCGAGATTGTGCCACTGCACTCCAGCCTGGCAATAGACAGAGATTCCATCTCAAAAAAAAAAAAAAATCACATACTATACAACACGAGGTGTGAATCAAAAACATGGCCAGTTCCCTCTGGCGCATCTCATGAGTAAGTTTCATGTCAACTCTTCCGCTGGGCCTCCTCCAGCCTCTTGGTCATCACCAGCCCCTCGATGTCTGAGTGATGCTTTCCACAGCTCAGTGTCTTCACTCCCACCCAAGTTGTGGGACACACAGCACTTTCCAAATTCCCCCCATAGGGCTGTCAATCCCCATTTCATCGTAAGGCACGTTTGCAGCATATTAGGATGGCTCTCCCCATTTGTCCTGTAGGTGTAAGCCAGTGATCTCGAAGTGTAGTCACTTGCTTTATTGCATTTTAAAGAGATTTTAATAGACTCATTACATTAGTTTTCTATTGCAGTGTAACAAATTAGCACAAAATTAGTGGCTTAACACAATAGTTGTTTATTCTTTCCCAGTTCTTAGGTAAGAAGTCTGGGCACAGCTTATCTGGGTTTTCCTCTAGGGTCTCACAAAGTGTCAGTAGAGCTGCCTTCTCATCTGGAGGGAAGACTTTGCTCCCAAGCGCCCTCAAGCTGTTGACAGAATCCATTTCCCTGTGGCTGTAGAATCCACTCCAGGGCAGCTTGCTGCTTCTACGAGGCCAGCAGGAAAGAGACAGAGAGAGGGACAAGAGAGAGGCTCTCACTTCTCACCTTCTTTTAGAGAACTCACCAGAGTGGGTCAGGCCCACAAGGGATAATCTCCCTTTCAAGTAACTTTAAGTCAACCGATTAGGGACCTTAATGATATCTGCAAAATTCCTTCACCTTTGCCATATAATTTAACATAATCACGGGCACGATAGCCCTCACCTTGGCCTCGGTCCATCAGTTAGAAGCAAGTCACAGATTCCATTCACATTCCAGGGAAAGGGCCATACAAAGGTACTGACATCAGAGGCAGGAATCATGGGCTCACCTTAGCCTTCTGCCTAACACACCTGTTTACAATGAGAAGCAATAATTGCTATGCGAAGATACCTCCAGATAATAACAAAATCAATGGGCTGCTTTCTCCTTTCTTGTTGATGACATCAAGGCAAGCCTCCCAAAGTAGCATTTATTGAAACACCCTTCTCCTTTTTAAGATAATATGCCTTCCTCAAGCACAACTTTGTTGTTAACATATTTTATTTTATTTTTTGGGACAGAATCTCGCTTTATCACTCAGGCTGGAGTGCAGTGGTGCAATCTCAGCTCACTACAACTTCTGCCTCCTGGGTTCAAGCAATTCTCCTGCCTCAGCCTCCTGAGTAGCTGGGACTACAGGTGTGAGCCACCACGCCTGGCTAATTATTGTGTTTTCAGTAGAGATGGGGTTTCACCATGTTGGCCAGGCTGGTCTCGAGCTCCTGACCTCGGGTGATCTGCCCGCCTCGGTCTCCCAAAGGGTTGGGATTACAGGCATGAACCACTGCGCCCAGCCATGTTGTTAAAATATTTTTGAGGACATCTGATTTTATGACAAACTTTGTAATGTAAAGGGCTTCAATACCATTTTTTTCCCCTGGGGGATTCAATTTCAATAGGTTCTCCTCCTCCTACAGAAAAAAGACCAACTCAGGAGAAGCCCAGGAAGGTTGGGGACGTCTGAAAAAAATGGGAGGCTGACTTCTCTTTCCCTAGTTGGACGTTTATTTGGCTCTCTTCCCTTGTGGAGGTGAGAGTGCTGGGGAGAAATGTCCTGGTATGACCAATATCACCACCCCTCGATGCTCATGGTCCTGAGAAAGGGGAATGGAGCTCACTCATCTTGCATGCCCCCAGAGTTGGGTCATGAAAGGTCAATGGGATCGGGGATTTCACCCTACCAGGAATCCTTGCAGTGCGGCACAGAAGCATGTGTGTCAGGGGTGTGGCAAGATGCCACTAGCTGGAATGACTGAAAAACTGTGGGGCTGACCACCACCACCAACATGAGGGTGGGCTGCTCCGGCCTTCCCCTCACCAATGTCACCTGGCTCCAGCGTGGGAAGGATGAGAAAGCGTGGACTAGAGGGGCTGGCCCAAGCGTGGCCGTGCCCCCTTCCACTCTCCCAGAGCCCAGGTTGGCCTTTGCGTGGGAGGAGGGATTTGGATGGAATATTCATTAATTTATTCTGTGCTTACCATGTGCTGGCACAGTTTAAATGAAATACCATTTAGAACCAAATGGGACTCTTATTTTCAAATTTATGTTTTAATCAAAGTCATTACTATGCTTAGAGCCAAATATTTCCATAAAGGTTGTTAGGGAAAAAAAAGGTGGTATCCATTGCACCTGCCTGACCAGGGAGATCCCACACTTTGACTTGATTATCTCAGCCATTTTTTTCTTTGCACCTAAACCACATGCTTGGCCTGCTCCGTCTGGATGGAGCAGCTGCAGGCATTGCCCGTGGACTTCCTTCCTCAGAAACAAGGGCTTCCCTCTCTTTCCTTACACACGTGCTCGCCACACAAGTCCACCCTCCTTTCTGAGCCATATGACATAAGATAAAGTTGCCTAGATCAATATTCCATGTTTCCAATATTATTACTTTGTAAATGTCCTGGACCATGTCATAAACTATGAAATTCTTGCTTTTCTACCCAGCTTTGTTTTCCCTGGGGTTAATAACTGCAACATTACTTGCTTGCTTAGTTTTTTTATTTTTTTTTTAAGTGTCCTTCTGATTCATTCAACTTCAACTTTTCACCGGTTACCCAGAGACCTCCACGCTATCCAACACATCAGTGACTCAATAGATCTTTGGCTTCATGAAAAAGTTCCATAACTTTCTGAACTGGTTGCCATCTGCTGTCCAGCCACCCTCTTTTATTTTTATTTTTGTAGAGATGGAGTCTTGCTTTGTAGCCCAGGCTGGTCTTGAACTCCTGGCCTCAAATGATCCTTTCATCTTGGCCTCCCAAAGTGCTGGGATTACAGGCATGAGCCACCATGTCTGGCCCTCAGACATCCTCTTAGTTCTCCCTTCACCACCTCTTGGATCCCACCCTGCCTGGATGCAGAGCCCTCGTTTTTAGGGCTTTCTTGGGAGATGGGTGGTGAGGGGAGCTGTTGTCCCTGAGGCTGCCCCTTGACACTGACCTTCTCCCTCCTCCACGGCCCCTCTAGACACCCTGTCTCTGGCCCGTACTTCTGCTGGTCTGGGCAGCTTGCCTGGTGGGGTGGCCCGGACCCTCCTCTTGGGGCTCTGAGCAGGTGAGAAGCTTGTGGATTCTGGAGAGATTTGAGACAGAACTGATGAGGATTTGCTTGCCAGAAGGGTGTGGGGTGTGAGATAACTTCTAGTTTCCCAGCCTTAGCAAACTTCTATGTGCTGAGCTTGGGAAGAGTGTGGGAAGAGCTGGCTTTAGAGACAGAGGTCAGAGGAGCTGCTGTTGATGTACCACACCTGAGATGCCCACTGCACAGCCGTGCACCAGCTGCTCACCACACCTCATCTAGTTTAATACTCCCCAGCCCAAATACACACACACATATACACACAGGTGCAAACACACACACAGGCATACATGCACACACGCACACATAGGTGTGCACACATACGTGGATGCACATGCAGACACATGGGAAGTACAAGGGAGGTGGTCACCTTTGGGATGGCAAACTGAGGCTTGAGAAATCCAGCCTCTCACTCATACTCACACAACAAGCCCATCTCAGAGGCAGGATTCCATCCGAGGCCTGTGCTACTCCAAAGCTTCTGCTTTTTGTTGGCTGGAGAAACATGGGTTCCTTAGAATGAGGCGGAATCAGATGGGAAGTGAGAGGTCTTGTCCCTCTCCAGGGAGAGGCAAGACTTGGAGGTGAGGAGGCCTGGGGCTTTGCTTGCCCCAGGGGTGAATGGAGAGGCCTGGGTCCAGGAAGGTAGGGAGGAGGAGGTGGGGAGGAAGAAGTGAAGGAGGCCTGGCCCAAGAGACGGATAGGTGGGTGTGTCCCTTCTGAGGGGAGGGTTTGTGTGGCAGAGAGCTCCAGGCAGCTGGCCTTCTGTGTCTGAGCCTGATGGGGAGGAGAGAGAGCCCTGGGGGGTGTGAAGCTGGCTCTCCCCAACCCACATAAGTATTGAGCACCCTGTGCCAGGCATTGAGGGCATTGTGGTCAAGGAGGTCGAAAGTCCCCATGGTGATTGTCTGCAGAGACGGCAGCTGCATTCACCTCCTGCAGCTGCTGTAACACATGGCCACAGTTCAGTCTCTTAAAGCACACATATTTTATTTTCTTCCCGTTCTAGAGGCCAGAAGGCCTAAATGGTTTCATGAATGAAATGAAGGTGGCTGCAGGGCTGCATCCCTTCTGGAGGCTCTGGGGGAGAATCGATTCTTTGTCTTTTCTAGCTTCCAAAGGCCACCTGTACTCCTTGGCTCGTGGCCCCTTCTTCCATCTTCCAGGCCAGCAGAGCAGCATCCTCCAGCCTCTCTCTGCTTCCATTGTCACATTGCCTTCTTCCTTCTGTAGTGAGATCTCTCTCTGCCTCCTTCTTGTTAAGACCCTTGAACATTCAGGACCCAGCTGGATAACCCAGATCATCTCTCCATCTCAGGGTTCTTAAGCACATCTGTGAAGTCCGTTTTGCTACATAAGGTGACATATTCACAGGGAACAGGGATTTGGACCTAGACATTTTGGGGGGCATTATGTAGCCTCCCACAGCTACCAACAATTCCTCCTGTCCCTGTGTGTACATGCCACTCTTCCCATTGGAAGAGGAGTCTATTTCCTCTCCCCTTAATTCTGGGCTGGCCTGGGATTTGTCTGATACTACTCCAGTCTTGGGCTAGGCAGTGAGAGGCCTGGTAGCTTCTGCCTTTACTCTTTTGGGTTCTTAGAGGTGGCATGTAAAGAGATCTGACAACTCTGATGGAAAGAGGAATAGTTGGGAGGTCATTGTGGGGCAGGGAGAGAGAGAGGGGTGCCCAGCCAGCTCCCAGTTTTCCAGCCCCGCCAGCCATGACACCAGGCATGAGAGTGAAGCCATCTCGGATCCTTTAGCCCTAACTGAGTCACCCCAGCTGACACCGTGTGGAGCAGAGATGAACCATCCCAGCTGAGCCCTGCCCAGGTTTCTGACACACAAAGCATGAGGCTATTGTTTCAAGCCACTAACAGTATAATCACCAGCTTAGGGAGGGTGCTTTGGAGCAGTCACTGGGGAATGGGAGCTGCTACAGGCAGCCTGGGTGTCCCTGGGTGGTCTCAAGGTGGTAATGCACCCTTTCTGAGCCTTGTTTTCCCCGGAGAGGGTGGACTAAAGGCTCCTGAGGGCATTTCAGTATGTTGCCGGCCTCTGGAGTCTCTCTGTGGCTGCCCTGGACTCCCAGGGTGTATGGGTCCCGAGGACTCCAACAATTCCGTTTAAGGTGTTTTGTGCCAGCTCTTAGAGCATTAGCATCTTGGCCATGTTTCATGAGGAGTAATTCTCTGTGGTCCTTGTATCAGTCAGGATTCAACCAGAGAATAAACAAGCAGGAGGAAGATATTGAGGGATTTATTGGGAGGAGTTGGTTTAGGTGACTGTGGGGCCTGGCCAGGCAAGTTCGGAATCCATGGAGAGACGGTGAGGACAGGTTGGGTCTCTCAAGCACCTCTCAGGCCACTGTCACAGGAGGAATTTCTTCTTCTGCAGGGAGCCTCAGCCCAGTTCTAAATCCTTTCCACTGATGGATTGGATCAGGTCCACCTGGGACATCCCGGATAGTCTCCTTTACTTGACATCATGGGCTTTAATCACATCTACCAAACACCATCACAGCAATACCTAGATGAGTGTTCAGGTGAATAAGAGGACTGTGGCTTCACCAGGTTAACAATTCAGATTGCCTTCAAATTGTCCTTCACAGTCTTCCTTTGAAAATATGACCCCCAAATCCTGGGAGACTGAAGGTGGTGGGAAAAAAATAAATATGATACATATCTGACATGTATGGATATGTATGAGGTACGTCTATGTAAATATACATTTATATGTAAAACATATATATATATATATATATATAACATCGCCCTCCAGCCCAGATAGGCCTGTTAACTCTCCTTTCTTTGGAAATCAACTCTGCAGGAATGATTTAGAGATAATTTATGTGTTCCCCTAAGTCACAAGGGTTTGCCCATATAATTAGCAATAATAAATAAAAATAAAATATGGGATTATATGTGGCCATTTATCCATAATAAAGCTGTAATTCCATCTGTGGGGATCATAAACCACTGAGCATGAGTGAGGTGTCCTGGGAGGTTAGCTCCTGTCACCAGAAATGACATGAAATGACAGCTGACCATGTAAAAATGTGACACACCTCGTGTTTGAACGATGCAGCGGCACCTGAGGTTGCAGGGAGCTGGGGCAGCCAAGCCCTCCGAGAAGGACAGGAGGCCCGGGTACCAGCACTCCCGCCACGTCCCCTGGCTTCCTCCTGCAGGCAGTGGGCACAGGCAGGTGGAGGCAGCCACTGCAAGGAGCCAAGCTTTCTACATGCACCATCTCATCTAATCCTTCCAATGAACATGTCAGATGGGCACGGCCATTCCCCCATTTCACAGACCAGGCAACTGAGGCTCAGAGATGTAAGGCCATTTGTTCAAGGCCACAGAGCTCACTATGGGCAGCACAAAGAGTGGTCAGGGCAGTCTGACCAACACCAGTCAGGATTCCCCAGCTAGAGATCATGTCATCAGCACTAGCATTGACACAGTGTCTCTCTGGTGCCAAAGACTGTTCATAAGACATGACCAGCTCCCCACTGTAGAAGGGAGGAAATTGAGGCTCAAAGAGTCGATGTCACTTGTCTCAAGGGTCCCAGTAAGTGAGGGTAGAGCTGGCGGGGGCACTCAGGTCTGTCTGGCAGCTGAGCTCTTAAACGGCTGTCCCTCGCCTGTCCCAGAGAGCAGCTGGCATGTCACAGGGCCCCTGGGAAGCTGAGAAATGGGCCCCAAAGATATCAGGTCCCAATCCCTGGAACCTGTAAATGTGACCTTATTTGGGAAAAAAAGGTATTTTCATGAATGATTAAAACAAGGCTCTTGGGATGGGGAATTTATCCAGCATCATCTGGGTGAGGGCAGATAATCTCCCCTTTTTATTTTCTATATTTTGACCCTAGCAAGCCGTCTAGATGGGCAGTGGAACGCTGCATTCCTCATTCCAGCTAAAGAGGAAAAGATCTCACAAGGAGAAGGGAGTGCCAAGAGAGAGCAAGACCCTACACCCTTCCAAAGATCCCCTATGGTCCAAACTCCTTTGGCCAGCTCGGTCAGTTCTTTTTGTTTTCCATTGGCAGAGGAAGGACAGGTGAGAGGAGCTGGGGGTAGTCATGAAGCTCCCCAGCCTATTTGAGAGAGCACTGCCTCTGAGCTCCAGCAGTCTCAGCTGGTAAGACCCAGGGGTCCTGTTCTTTTCTGTAGTCCCTTGAAGATGAGGTCCAGCTAAGGTAGAGTAAGCAGTCATGCCATCTCAAGTGTCAGAACAGGGAGGCAGAGGGAGATTGGAGTCAGAGGAGGAGAGTTTGATGTGACTACAGAGGCAGGTTTGGGAGTGATGTAGCCACAAGCCACTGCAGGAAAGCCTGGAGCCACCAGAAACTGGAAGAGGCAGAAAGGATCCTACCTTGGAGGCTTTGGAAGGAGCGTGGCCCGGCTGACACCTTGACTTTTGACTTCTGCCTCCAGACTATGAGAGTCAATCTGTGCTGTTTTAAGCCCCCTAGTCTCTGATCGTTTGTTATGGCAGCCCAAGGAGACTGATCCAGGGTCAGTGGTGTGTGAGTGAGGCCAACCTTCTCCCCTGACCCGCTCTCTCTCTCCTGTGTCATCTCCAGGGGTCCCACGACTCCTTAAAGCATGCTGGTGCCGGACACAGTGGCTCATGCCTATAATCCCAGCACGTTGGGAGGCTGAGGCTGGTGGATCACCTGAGCTCAGGAGTTCGAGACCAGCCTGGCCAACATGGTGAAACCCGTCTCTACTAAAAATACAAAAATTAGCCGGGCGTGGTAGTGGGTGCCCGTAATCCCAGCTACTTGGGAGGCTGAGGCCGGAGAATCACTTGAACCCTGTAGGCGGAGGTTGTAGTGAGCTGAGATCACGCCACTGCACTCCAGCCTAGGCAACAGAGCGAGACTCCATTTCAGAAAAAAAAAAAAAAAAAAAAAAAAAAAAAAAAAAAAAAGCATCCTGGAGGGCACTGTGGCTGCTGTCACAAATTTCAGAGTGTAAGGCAACACAATTGTGCTACCCCACAGCTCTGGAGGTCAGCATCCGTCACAGTCTCCTGGGCTAAAATCCAGGTGCCGGCCAGCTGTGTTCTCCTCGGGAGGCTCTAGCGTAGAATCCGTTTCCTTGCCCGTTCCACCTTCTAGAGGCTGCTGGAAGGAGGGGTGGTGAACCTTGCCTGGTGGGGAGGCCTGAGGAGTTAAGAGATCCAGAGCCCCTGGGGAGAGACCACAGAAAGAAGCAGGAGGGAGGGACCACGGCTAGGGTGAGGCAGGTGATGCCATCGCCTTGGGTGCAAAATTTAAGGAAATGCTAAAAAAGCACAACTCCCAAAACCCTGTAATCAAGATAGAGGATATTTTAGTGTGACTTTGAAAAAATCAAAATCAATGCAAAAAAATTCATGATATACAAAATATTAAAGCTTTTTTTTTCTTTTTTCTTTTTTTTTTTTTTTTTTGAGACACTGTGTTACTCAGACTGGAGGGCAGTGGCGGTGTGATCACAGCTCACTGCAGCCTTACCTCTCTGGACTCAGGTGATCCTCCTGCTTAGCCTTCTGAGTAGCTGGGACCACAACCGTGGGCCACCACACCTGGCTAATTTTTGTATTTTTTGTAGAGATGGGGTCTCACCATGTTGCCCAGGCTGGTCTCCCACTCCTGGCCTCAAGTGATCCTCCCCGCTCAGCCTCCCAAAGTGCTGGGACTACAAGTGTGGGCCACCTCGACTGGCTTAATATCAAAGCTTTAAATAATGACAGATAAATAACAGCGCTGGGCCTAGCCGTATTGCAGCCCTAGGCAAAAGGACAAATCAGTACTACTGATCCTGACTTCATTTACAGTTTTGATATTTTGTTCTTGGATATGCTTGCATTGATTTTGAATTTTCAAAATACGATTTATTTTGAAGAACGATTTTTTGGGCTCTCCCTTGAATTTCCCACCCCATGTCATCCCCTCTCCTGGCTGTGGCGGTGGGGGTGGTGCATCTGGCAGTGACCGGCTGACCCGGGAGCCAGGGGTGTGGGCAGTTCCGGGGGCCACCCACGCGCGGGGGTGTAGACGCTGCGCCGTCCTGCTTCCCCCTAGCCCTGTCCTCTGGGGACAATCCTTTGCAGGAGGTCGTTCATCAGTGTTCCTCAGCCTGCGCCAGGCCAGCCTCCCGCCTTTAAGGCGTGCATTGTTTTTCAGCCTGGCCCCTGTGAGACCCCAGTGCGTGGCCGGGGAGGGCGCTTCACCCACGCGGCGCGGGAGCAGCGCGGAGCCCGCAGCTGAGGTCCCGCCCGGCGCCCGGTTCCTGCAACTCCAGGCGTGGCCAGCAGGGGGCGGCGTGGGCACGCTCGAGGCCCCGCCTGGGACCCGGGGCATTTCCTTCCCTCTTCCGCGGCTCTGCCTTCGTGCAAACGACCCTGACCCGGGGACAGCCCGGGTACTGCTCTTTAACCCCCTGCTGCTCAGGTCCGGCTCCTGGGGAGGGAGGGGCTCTGTGTTCTGGTCTTGCGGGGCAGCAGCGTGCTTTTCTTGGATCTGAATTGGGAAACCATGAGCAGACCCAGGCACTCAGTGTGTGTTGAATGTTCCCTGTATCTCCAGATTCTTCACGCAGCCTAAAGAGGCGGCCAAGCCTGTAAGTCTCACTTTGCAGATGTAGAAGCAGAGGCTCAGCAGGGCAGATCTCCTCCCGAAGTCCCGGGACCATCAGGTAAAAGGTCGAGTCATACTCAAGTCTCCCTGCTCCACATCTGAACGCATGGCCTCTGTCACCTTGTCTTGTGAACAAGGCTGGTGTGGACCCAGGATGCAGGGTCTCCACTGAACTCCGGGGGGTTGCCGAGGTGGGAGCGTGACCAGGAGCCAGGGCGGAGTGCATGACCCTGCCCCTGGGGCCCCTGTCCTGTTTGTGGCAATGAAGAGTGAGGGAGAAATACGGAGAGAAGAGGAAGCATTTTGTGAATGGCTGCAGCAATATGAGTCTCCACTCCTAGGTCCACCTTCCAGTCTCCAGGGGGAGTCCCTGGAGAGCCTAGAACCTGAATTGTCTGTGTCCCCACCTCCAAGCACAGATCCAGCACTGAACAGCACCTGCACTGGTTCTGCCCAGTTCCCTGTACTCACCATTCCAGTCTGGACCCACATCCCAGGAAGCTAAGTTCCCCCAAGAGCAGCCCCCAGCCAGTGATGGTGGGAACGGAGGATAAATACCCCAGCTCCCTTGCCCCACAGGTGAGATAACCCTGAGGGTGTCCAGCACCTCTCCTCTGGGGCCCATGTGGCAGCTGGCCTTGATGACACCTTGATTAGCCTCCTCAGTCTCACCTGCCTACTCCTTGGACTTCCTGGGACCACCTCCCCTATAAACTACCTGCCCTCAAATCCTCACTTCAGACCATGCCTCTGTTAAGCAGAGACCCTTGATACCACTGTGATGGTGGTGATGTTAACATTCATTGGTGCTGTTTCTTGAGCACTTACTGTAGGCAGACGTTGTGGAAAGGGCTTTGTGGGGTGAACTTCATCAAATCCTTGCAACAGCCCCATATTGTGATGAGGAAGCCGGGGAGGTGGTCACGGGGCTGCTAGGATTCGAACCCAGGTCTGGAATGAGGGAGTGAATAAGTGATGGGGGCCTGGATTCCTCCCAGGACAGTGGCTTAAGATGGAAACTAGATATTATGGAATGTGGGCATGTTTGGGGAAGCCAGGAGCACATCCCAAGGCTTTCAAGAGTCACTCCCACAGAGGGCAGTTCACTTTCTCAGTCCCGGCCAAGTCTGGCAGGGGAACCCTACTTTCCTCTTTGTGTGTTTTATGTCTCACTCATTTTCTACAGTAGGTAAATATGCATTAATTTTCATAATTTGAAAAGAAAACCATAAAAAAGTAAGGCTTTCAGATAAAAGCACACTTGGACACGTTAGTTGGGAAAATGTAGCTAAAGGGAGCTCCTGGCAGGATGCTTGGTCAAGGGCGGTTTCTGGGATGAAGATGCAGCCGATGACTGAGAGGCTGATTCGAGTTGATCCGTGGAGAAGCCACACCTCTCAGCCTGCACCCTGTGCGTGGCGCCACATGGTAGTGGTGGCTGAGGCTCGGCGGACTGCTTTGGTGAAGGAGATGAGACCTGTGAGAGCTGCTTAGCGATTTTTGTTGCAAACTGAGGAAGTATCTGGGGTGGATTAGGGCCCAGACTAGGGAGGGAGCTGGGATTGCTGTACTTTCACAGAGGGTTTTCTTTCCCAGGGTATGGGGCCAACACTTGGTCATGGGGCTTTGGTTTCTCCAGGTGTAGGGAAGGACCCTTGGCCCCTCTGCTTCAAGGCAAGCCCGTTGTGTCTGACCCCAGGCAGCAGGGGAGGGTTTGGGCCCACTACCCTGGTGGTCCTCCCCGGGGTGAGGACAGAGGCTTGAGAATCCCCCACTTGGTGAGGGGGAAGGAGGGAATTCTGGGAGTCAGGAGGGTGACAGGCCCTGGCAGGTGGGGGTCTTGGCTAGTACCTTCCTGCCAGAACAGGATTCCACAAGCCAGACAGATGGGGGAGAAGGTGGGGGTGGGGGAAGACTGACGGCATGTGACAGCGATGGCTGGGTTTTTTGTTGGCGTCTGGCTGGTGACCTTTTGGGGGAATGGATTCAGAAGTGACTGCTATTTGTCAAGGCCCAGTTCAGAGATGCCAGTGGGGGTCACCTCCTCAGGATTAAATGTCAGGGCCCTACTGTTGCTGGAAGTGGGATATACATCCCTGCAGGACACAGGCTGGTTGGGGCTTGGCAGTCTCCTGAGCCCAGGCGTGTCTGCAGAAATGCAGGTGTGCCTACCTCATGTGCTGTGATGTTAATTTGTGACTTGCTCTTGTGTGTGTGTGTGTGTGTTTCCTTTCTCCTCTTCCCAGAAGGCAGTGGAACTCCTTCATCAGGGTTTTGTGGTATGGAGTGGGGGACTGAAATTGCCCACTCCTGGTTTTTATTTTCAAAAGGAAGATGCCTTGTGGGGGGCATGGCTGAGATAGTGAGAAAAACAGCCACCAAGCTGGGAGGGGGTCCTAGGGCTGGGGGGGCCACAGCCCAGTCTCACAGCTTCCTGGGCAGATGGCAGAGTCTGCATTGGTAGGGCTGCCAGGAATTCCTGCCAGGCTAGACCCTGGATGCCCAGGCCCCTGCTTCTCCAAAGCCCCTCTGCCTCCACCTCTTGGCCTCTGCCCTCAAGAGACCCTTAGGGTCTATGTATATCAAGAGCCTAGGGACCAGAGCCACACCTCAGGGTTTGAAGTAGGCTGAATCACTTTGCTGGTGGCCTTAGGCGAGCCTCATCTGCGATAGGAATGGTGCCCCTCTGTAATCTGCAGTCAGGATTATTTAAACACATAAAGCACTTAGAGCAATGCCTGGCATAAAAGAAGTGCTCAATAAATAGTTGCCCTTGCTGTTCTTGTAAGTGATGACTGACCATTGTGAACTGAGAGTTCGGGGCTTCCCCAAGAGTTTGGCTCCATGCTAGGCCTCTGGGGCTTTGAGAAGGTGCGGGCGTAACAGCAGCCTCCATTTGGCTGGAACTGAATTTCTCATCAGCCCAGGGGCATGGGGGCTGGAGGCGCTTCTAGGGGGTTGGAAGAAAGTGGGGAATGAGTATCTCGAGAGCCCCAGTAAGCCCCAGACTCATGACCCCCTCTCGTAAGAGGCTCCTCAGATTGGGCCTGTGGTCTCCAAGGGTAATGGTGGGGACAGCTGGCAGCCACTGCGAGAACCCACCCTGTGAGTCATCTGAGTGGGTCCCCCCAGGGTCTTTTGAAGTCAGCTATGAGACCCCCATTTTATAGGTCAGGGCCCCATCAGGGGCTGCCCAACACTCATGGCTGGAGAGTGGGGGACCAGGGATAGAAGTACGATCACCTCCTTCAGGGCCTCTGCACATTGGACTCAACTGCCCTTATGGGGACACTGACTTCCCAGGGGGGACTTGGGCACAGGGTCTCCGCTGTCAGGACCAGCTCTACTCAGGGCGCAAGCCAAGCCAGGACCTGGTGCCCCAGCCCGGCCTAAGTTAGTGATGGAAGTGAGACCTGAACCCAAGCCAGCTCCCAGCTGGTGACTAACATGGGGACTATCACCACCATCCCCCTTGTCCATCCCGTCACCCAGGGACAGAACAAGTGACCACACCAGGACCCTTCTCTATGGGACAGATGCTAACCTGCAGTATGGGCATAATCTGGCCCTCTCCTGGGTAGATGGAGCTGTGGCCCCTTCTCAAGTGATGGCTGCTGTTGGAGGAATCCCTATTCCAAGCTCCAAGGCACAGCCCCTATGGTGCGTGCCTGCCGGGGCATAAACGCAGAGTCCATCCATGTCCTCTCCACACTACAGGGAGGACACAGACGAGGCCCTGATCACTCAAGAGGAAACCGTTCACCTGGGATAATGGGATGCAGTGGCTGCGGGTGGCCAGTGGGGACTTGAACCCATGCAGTCTGGTTCTGCCCAGTTGCTCAGCGCACACTAGGGCTGCTGGGGGAGGTGCTCCTGTCCTGGGAATGCAGATTCTCCCTGTGCTGAAGTTCAGAGAAAGAAAAGGAAGGAAAAAGGAAAATCTTCTTCCCTCCCATCCCCTCCTGTTCCCCGTTTCTCGCTCACTCTGTCTTCCTGTCCTTTCAATGTCTTCCTCCCTTTCTTTTCTTTTTCTGCCTGCCTGCCTTTCTGTCTCTCTCTCTCCCTTGTTTTTGCCTCTACTTGTCTGTTTTTCTTTCCCTTCTCCTCTCTTTCTGTCTCTGTCCCTCCCTCCCTCCCTCTTTTCCTTCTCTCCTTTCTCCTCCCACACCCTGGGGCGGGGGATGGAGGTGGGGGCTGTACTTGTGCTCTGAGCCTGCCCGCTGGCTGTGGGGACCTGACCTTTTCTGCACTGAGGGGAAGGAATGGGGTAATTAGCTTATATAATCCCCGGCCTGCCTGCTGTTTGCTGTGGATGTGGACAAACTCCATGAAAATGTGGACTTCTGGGCTGCTGCTGTGGGATCCCTTCAGAGGGCTCGGTATGCTGGCCTGGGAGGGGAGCAGGGGCTCTGGAAGGCAACTCTGGGTGCGGTCCTTTCACAGCCTTTCCTGGGCTCCCTCCGAGGTGTCTGTGAACTTGTGGAGGGAGTGAGGGTATGGGGAGGGGCAGCAGCTTCCCCAGGGACTCAATAACACACCAGTGCGTTCAGATTCTTTCCAAAAAATTAGAGGAGCGTGTGCCCTCTGCAATTACGTTCCTTCCCTGATTCTAAGCCTGAGAACAGCTTTGGTCTGGGCTGATGACGTTCCCATCCTCCATTTTCTTTCTCCTGAAAGAAAGGAAGGAGCTTTGTGGTTTCGAACTCTCCTCTCCTCGTGCTGCGAAGGTACAGTGACAAGCTGCACTCACACCCGCTTTAGGAGCTTGGTCTCCAGATGTGCTGGGGTAATTTCTGTTTGCATAAAAAAAGTTATAATAAGCCTTTGAGACCCACGTCTGTACAACATCCCACAAACTCAACTCTCGGGTGTCTTGCAACCTGAAGCCAAGGCCTGGGCCTCTATTTCAAAGGCTTGGCAGGAAATTCAATGTATCTGATGGATTTATGCATTTATTATTTCTTTAAAAACTTCTCTAAAGCCGAAGTAATACAGGACAGTGCATGCGCGATTGTGCAGCCCCAGGAGCGTTCACAAACTGAACACATCTGTGCCGCCGGCATCCAGATTCAGAAACAGGAAGTGACCAGCACAACCCCCTTCATGCCCCTCCCAACCACCACCGCACAACGACCCCACCATCCTGGCTTCTGTAGCATTGATCAGATTTGTCTGTTTCTGCACTTTATATAAATGGAATCATACAGCCTGTTCTCTTTCGTGTCTGGCCCAACATTCTGCAGATTTATTTTTATCTCTGATCCCACCAGAGCAGTTTTCCCGAGGCTGGGAGAGATAAGCAGGTCTCCCGGGTGGGGACCGCCGGTGGAGTGACGACCAGGTGACCCGATGGGCACCGTGGATGATGGAGATCTACCGCGGCAAACCGGTGCCTCAAGGGCCTGTCCTGGCCCTGCACTGTGTTGAATTTCACCCGTGCAGTGGGTAAAATATATTCCAATATGTGTATCAGAAATTGGGAAAAATATGTAAAAGAATAATTTCACGCACATCACCCAGAGTTGACAACAGTCATGTTTTTTGAGGTGAAATTAACATGACATAAAATGAACCGTTTTAAAGTGCACGATTCAGGGTCCTTTAGCACTTTCACCATGTTATACAGCCATCGCCTCTATCTCTGCGTCTAGCTCCTGTTCGCTGCCCAGCCCCTGACAACGGTGAATCTGCTTTCTGTTCCTAAGGGTTGATTCCTTCTGGATTTGTATCAACTGGACCATGCAATAGGTGACCTTTTGTGTTTTCTGGCCTCTTTTCCGAGCTTATCCACGTTGTAGCGTGTATCACGACTTCATTCCTTTTAGTGGCTTCCAGTCATTTTTGCTTCGTGTCATTTTTTTTAGAAAAATAAAGAAATGAAACATTACTGGTAAACTCGATGAGTCTGCTGTTCTATAGGGTCACTTCTGTTCCCCAGCTTCATCTCTGGGGGAAACAACAGTCATGAAATTTGTCCTTCAGAGTGTTTTTTTTGTTTCTTAAATTGGGAATTATATGACAAGATGAGAATGTGTTTCCATCTTCTTTGGGCAAATCAGAAGGTCAGACTGTACTGGAGCCCCGCCCCACGGCAGCCATTGGCTGCAGCTTCCTGGCCCCGCCTCTCAGGTGGGCTTGAGTTCTGCCCACGGTCCTGGCCCCACGGCCCCACGGCCCCACGCGGCCCAATTCACTTGTCTGCCGCTTCCTTCCCAGCCTCTGAGTTTTAATCCCTAAAGGATTTCACAGTCCAGGGCTCCCCAAACACTTGTCTGTGCCCCACAGCAGCCTCTGCTGAAGTTTCCTCTTTTTGCAGATATATGAAGAAAATAAAGTCATCACGTCTTTTCCATCAAGATCTGATTTAAGGGTGAGCCTCTATTCTGAGATACCATTTCCCTACCTTCTCAGTTAAAAATGTTCTTTTTTTTTTTCTTTTCCATTTTTTTTTTTTTTTTGAGACAGAGTCTTGCTCTGTTGCCCAGGCTGGAGTGCAGTGGCGTGATCCAGGCACACTGAAGCTTCTGCCCCCTGGGTTGAAGCAATTCTCCAGCCTCAGCTTCCCGAGTAGCTGAAATTACAGGTGCACACCACCACGCCCAGCTAATTTTTGTATTTTTAGTAGAGACAGGATTTCGTCATGTTGTTCAGGAGAGCTCAAACGATCCACCCCCCTTGGCCCCCCAAAGTGTTGGGATTACAGGCGTGAGCCCACCTTGCGCGGCCCAAATGTTCTTTTATGAGATAATTGTGACAGTGAATGAATGAGCCTAGGGGTGCTCAAGCTTTTTCTGTAAAGGCCCAAAGTAAATATTTTCAGTTTTACAGGACCCGAAGTATCTGTTGCAACTACTCAGCACTGTTGTAGCGCCAATGGTAGCCACAGACAATATATACAACAAGCAACAGGCTGTGTGCTGGTAAACCCTAATTTACAAAGAGGTTTTGGGCCGACTGTGGCCGTTGGGCCATCGTTTGTCCGCTGTTGATCTAATAGATGGTAGTGGTGGATATATACTTTTAAGTGTTCTTTACTGGCAAAACCCAAAATTTAGCAATGGTAGAAGTTACTTGTCCCTGTGGTAGATATTACGAGTGCTGATGAAGATTTCCTGTCCCCTTGAAGTTAGGCAAGGTCAGGTGACTTGCTCTGGGCTATGAGATATGAGTAGAAACAACACGTCACCTCCAGGCTGAAGCATTTCCAGGCTGGTGTGCACTGCAAACAACAACAACATCCACCATGGCCCACACAGTCTGCCATCACGGCTGTCTCTACCAGAGGTGTGCATCACAGTGTCACAATGCCTGTTCTTTCACAGAGATGATGGTGCTGGAGGTGGGTGAAGCAGAGAGTTATGCTGAAGGATGGTTGGGGAGGTGGGTGGGGCAGAGGGAGCCGAGACTTGTGCATGGGCTGGGTGGTGAATGAATGCTCTGGTCACTGACTTGCCTGTGAATGTGATGAGGAGCAGAGGTGTGTTGGAGTCGGTGTGGGGGTGGATGGGGCGGGGAGATGCCTGCTGGAATCGAGAGTTTCATTTTTGACATGTCAGGTCTGAGATGCCTTTTAGAGATCCAAGTGGAGAAGTCACAAAAGCAGTTGAAAATATGAGTTTATTTCAGAAATTATCAATTGGAGGCTGCTGGCTTATTGGGTTTAACTTGCATAGTATTTGTTTATTTATTAAATACTATTTATTTATTGAGACAAGGCCTTGCTCTGTTGCCCAGGCACGTGCAGTCGCACGATCATAGTTCACTGTAGCCTCGACCTCCCTGGGCTCAGGCGATCCTCCCACTTCAGCCTCCCAAGCAGCTGGGATTACAGGTATGCACCACCACACCCTGCTATTTTTTTGGTATTTTTTGTGGAGATGGGGTTTCACTGTGTTGCCCAGGCTGGTCTCAAACTCCTGGGTTCAACTGATCCTCCCGCCTCAGCCTCCCAAAATGTTAGGATTACCGGCATGAGCCACGGCGCCCGGCTTACTAATAATTAAAAACATTAAACATTTAAAAGACATTTTAAAATCGGGAGATTTTACATTTATAAAGTCCAAATTGTTCGGCTTCCTTTGGAAGCTGGAAAGATCTGGCTGTGCTGTCCCCTGCTTCCCCAGGCAGTGACCCGTGGCGCTGAGGGGCAGCTGCCCTCTCAACAGGACATGGGTTCTACAGACGCCATTGTCTCTGCCATGCCCTTCAGGATCCTTGATCGTGAATTTACGTGTCTGTTACCATTTATTGTTTTGTTCAGGATTCAGCTTTCCTTGTAGTAGAGAGAAATCTTGACTCCTTCTCCACACCCATGTCTCCACTGAATGCTGGAATAAAACAGTGCAAGAGAGGCATATTTTAAAGAAAGGAGAACGGCATATACTTTTTCTTGCACTTGCTGTGTGTTAGAGGATAACCCCTGCCGTAGCAGCCAGCAGATGAATTTGAACTGCTGCCTGGGAGTGCAGCTGCCACCTGGTCTCTGCACCCCCGAGATCGGGATGGGCCCGGCACCATCTTAGTAGTTCTCTGGCTTTCGTTGGTGCAAGTATTGGAATGTGCTTTGTATTTTTGAATAATTATTTATAAAAATGAGTAGGGAAAACAGGAAATTGCTAAAACCAGAGATGATAAGTAAAGGTGTCTCACACCACTGTTGTCGTAACCACGATGAATGTCATTGTACAACAAGGCGCATCCGTGGCCCATGTGGATGCTCAAGGGAGGCAAATCCAATGGCTTCCTGTTTAGTCTTCAGATTCAGCACCTCTAAAGAACAGGTGTTGAGCTGAAACATGGCACTCACTATTACATCTAAGGCAAGGGGAATGAGGAACTTCGTAAAAATGTTTTCTCTTTATGAGAAGAGAAGCTCCCTAGTGATATATATGGGGATTGCTAAGATTTTAAACACTTAACCTTTGTACATGTTTTTAGGACAGCATTATATTTGAACATTGGAGGTGATTGTAATTTTATCTATCTATATCTATCTATCTATCTATCTATCTATCTATCTATCTATCTATCTACCTACCTATCTATCCATCTTTCTACTTACCTACCTACCTACTTATCTAATCTATTTATTTATTCTCTAGACAGGGTCTTGCCCTGTTTCCTAAGCTGGTCTCAAATTCCTGAGCTCAAACCATCCTCCTGCCTCAGCCTCTCAAAGTGTTGGGGTTACAGGCATGAGCCATTGCGCCTGGCCTGTAATTTTATTGGAATGTGATATTGTGGATATTCTGTGGGACTGTGACTGTCTCAAGGGCTCAATGACCTGACTCCATCACCAGCAGTTTCTTCCTTCTTTTAATAAATGTTGAGCAGCTATTATGGGCTGGGCATTTTCTTAGACACTGTGTATGTAATGGTGAGAAAAGTCAGGCATGATACCTGGAATACCAAGTTACTAGGGGACTCAGATATTTGTAAAAATATCACACAAAAATGCAAAAGTTTTAGGTGACAAACTGTTACGAAGGAGTAGTATTTGTTGCTCCAATGGCGTGGAAGGTGTCACAGGGCTGAAAAAGCCACTCTCAGGAAGGGCTACCAGCTGCTAGCTGGAGATGAGTGGGAGGGTGATGGTGAAAAGGAGAAGGAACTGTTGTGGGGTCTGGGATTTCATTTTACTTTACATATAAGCTCGTAAGTTAGAGTGCTACTGATTCATGGATGCTGGCAGAAGACACAAGACTCCTGGATCAAAGACGAAGGACTTCATGACTCACAGCACAATAAGTAGCCTGCGCTTCAGCATGTGTGTTCCCTTGCCCTCAAGTCCCATGGACATGGTGGGTTTGTGTTACAGCTGAGGAATGCGGAGCTTGGGAACCAACCATTTCATAGCAAGCAGGAAGAAGGCCTGCTCTTTGTCTGGAGGGAGACATTGCCTTGTCCCTAAAGGATGCTGGCTGCAAACACAGCTCTGAAAAAGGGCCCCAGGTGAAGAGCAGTCAGGGACTCGCATCCTTGGCACCTGTGGTGGATTTGCTTTTAGTTTTTTATTGCTGCTGTAATAAATTACTGCAAATTCAGGGGCTTAAGACAGCACCCATTGATCATCTCACAGCTCTGTGGGTCAGAAATCCAGATGGACCTTGCTGTTCTCTGCTTAGGGTCTTACTAGGCCACAATCAAGGTGTGAGCTGGCTTGACTTCTTAGCTGGAGTCTCTAGGGGAGAGCCCACTTCTCTCCCATTCAGGTGTTTGGCAGAACACAGCTCTGGTGACTGCAGGATTGAGGCCCTGTTTCCTTGCTGGTTCTTGGCCAGGGGTGTTTTCAGCTTCCTGAGGCTGTGCTGCCTCCTCATGAGCTCTGCTCCAGCCTCAGAGTATCAATGACAGGTCACGCCCCTCTCATGCTTCAATGTCTCTGACTTCCCTTTCTGCCACCAGCCGGAGAAAACGCTCCACTCTTAAGAGCTCATAGGATGACACCGGATGATTGCACTTGGATAATCCAGGCTCATCACCCTGTCTTAAGGTCAAAGATGCCATAGACCCTAACATAACCATGGCAATGACATCTCCCCATAGTCACAGTTTCTGGGGACAATGATGTGGAATCCTGGGTGTGCAGTGGGGACACTTTTAGAACTCTACCTCCCACGCCTGGCAAGAGGTGTAGGTGTGTGAGAGATCCCTGGAGGACAAAGGTGAGCTCTGGGCAGAGGGAGCAGCCTATGCCACGTCTGTGGGTGGTTCCCTGTGAACTTGTGCGATGCCACATGGTCCTCTGGTGGCTCTGGAGTCATGCAGGGTAGGATTTGAGGTCTGGTTCCACTGCTGTGTGACACTGGGCAAGTCACTTCACCTCATATAGCTTCTGTTTCTCCCCCTCACATGGGGGCTTATACAGGATGGAGGATGCAGGGTTGCTGTGAAGGTGGAATGAGTTTAGCACAGTATCTGGCTGCCAGGAGCAGCCTGCTGGTCTGCAGATACAGGATGGACCACCCTCCCCACAAAACCTTGTCCAATGCAGACAGGGACGGGACACACACCGAGAGGTAGGAAAAGTTGATTACTTGCATCATGAGGCTTCCAGGGGAGAGCAGAGCAGATTTCCCAGCAGGTTTGAAAACGGCTGGAGAGTGCAAGGAAAGGAGGCCGGTTGGGATTTTTATGGGGCCTGGGGTGGGCCTGGAGGATGGCTGGAACGGCCCCCTCATGCCAAAGGGAAGAGCACCTGGGCTTTCTTACCAGCTTCCCCAAATGGGGGGCAGACGGACAGATTTAAAGAGTCAGCAGGCAGACATCAAAAAGTAGGGTCAGACTCTTTAATACACTGACATTTGGTAGGACCCAATAAATGTGAGCCATTGTTTTTGTACCCTCCTCCTCAGTGGCCGTCCAGCACCAGCCCAGGTTCAGCCCTGGCCATGCACCCCTCCTGCTGGGCACCCTACGTCCAGGCCTCTGGTGGGGCCGGCCCTTCCCCATAGCACCATGCTTCCCACGGCACGAGTGGCTCCTCCTTCACTCCTGGGTCAACACTGCCTGTGTATTCTCAAAGGACAGTTATCGTCACACATCGAGAAGCAAGATTTACTTCCTAATTAAAAGGGAGCTTTCTGAACAGTAAATCAATCAATCATAGCCATGCACAAACACTCAGACAACAGTTGCTTACACTTGTGTTTAATTTCTCAGGGGGAGCAAGCAGCTCTCTCTGGGTGCCGGGGATTCCAGGTCTGTGGCTTACCCAAGAGCCCTCGTTTGAATTTCATCTAATCAGAATCATTACCCACCCATGAAGAACACAGCTTATTAACCACACGATCATCTCCTAAAACTAAGGCCCTGTCAGGTCACCTCATAGTCATGCAATTAGGCTCAGCAAGCATAAAATCCAGAATTGTTTTGGGACCCATTTTTAAAGTTTAAGTGAATGGCCCCAGAAAGGTATTAAATATTATTTTTTTCAGTGGGCATGAGAGAAGTTTAATTTATTTTGTGTTATTTTGAAGGAGCACCCAGCTTTCTCTTGAGCCCTGGCAACGGCCAGATTTAAACATGGATAGGTGCTGAAATAAATGTAGTTCACTTAATTGAAAAGCCTGCTGACGGCCTAATTCTATGGGCGGTAGAATCATGTTCATTAACAACAACAACAAGAGCAGCAGCAGTAAAAGTAGCACCAGCCAGTCTTTGTTGAACCTCTTGGCCACGCCAGATGTTTCAGCAGGTACTTTATCACCAGCGTCTCATTTGATCTTCACCCTGTTTCTGAAGAATCTCTTGCTTTGCTGCAAGAGATGAAACTAACATTGTGTCTGCACATCTGCTCTCTGCCAAGCCCTTTCCCCACGTATCCTTCTGTCACCCCCATGGGTCCCCATGTCACAGCTGGGGAAGGCAGAAGTCTGAGAAGTCCAACCACCTGCCCAAGGCCACACCCCTGGAGTGGGGAGTGTCGGGATTTGAACGCAGACCAGCCCCACTCCTGAGTCTCCTCCTCTCACCTGTTCTCCTGCCTCTCCTTTTCCGCTGATTCAAGAGAAGGCATTTCCAGCCCTTGGTGGGCCTCTACAAATAGTTTTTAGGTGATAACTTGGGACTAGGGATTGTGGATTATTTTTCTGGCTCTGTCCCCAAACTAAAAATGACAAATGTCACCTGGAAGGCTGATCCAGCTTCTGTAATTTTTTGAAATTAAATAATTTTTACTGATACCTATGAGTAAAAATCGGGTCCTCATACATTGGTGGATCATGGTCTTCTCAGTCCCTTGTCCTGGGAACATCTCCATTGAGCATCTCATGCTATTGCAGGTGGCTTCATCAGAGAGAGTGAGATTGTGAGAGAGAGAGAGAAAGTGGTGGAGAGAGAGAGAAGGAAAAGGAGAGAGAGAAAGAGAAAGAGACAGAGAGAAAGAGAGAGAGGAGCAAGCTGGCAAGATGAAAGTCAGTCTTTTGTAACCTAATCTGGGAAGCGACAACCTATCACTTTTGACATATTCTATTCATACAAAGGAATCACTACATCCCACCCACCCTCAAGGGGCAAGGACTACCCAAGGATGTGAATATCAGGAGGTGAGGATGCCAGGGCCATCTCAGAGGCTGCCTGCCACATTGGCCAAAGTGAATTGAAGCGATCTGATAATTACCACCACACATGAGGTCGTGAAAACTTCATTTTCAGGTTCTATAGCGGGCTTGTTTTGTTAACTGTCTTTACCATGCGGCTTCCATTCCCCCTACTTTTGGGAACCACCTTCAGATTTCCATCTGGGAGATGTCTTCCTCTGGTTCGACTTACGTGCCCTGTGCGCTGTGGCCTACTCCATCTCAGGGGTGGAGCCAAGGACTAAGCCAATCAGTGCACTTCATTTCTTGGGCCACACTGATGGGTTCAGGAAGGGATATGTCACCCAATTAGAGTCAATGAGACTTTTGTTGGGAATCCTGGGAAACAGCCTCTGGGCGTTCTTCCTGTTCTACTTGACGCTAAAAGCAAGAGAAGTGGGGAGCTGCTGCATCTTTGTGACCACGAGGCATGTGAAGTTCCGGTGGATGTTGCACTGCCTCCTACTACAGAGTCACGATGCAGCGTGGGAAGGGGTTGGCTTGTTTGGCCCAAGGGAGATAAAGCCATGATTTACTCAGGAATGAGGATACGATACATTTCTGGCCAATGACACCCTCCAGAGGAGTTGCAGGGATGAGTGGGAAACCTTTCCCTCTTTCTATTGCCAGAGGTGAACAGGAAAGCATGTGGCCTAGGCCGCTGACGGTGCCCATCCTACAGCCAGGAAGAAAGCCAGCCTTTGACGAGGCTGGCATTGGGAGTGGCATGGCTGAGAGAGGTGGTTAAAAGCATGCAAATCCTTGCTGAATTTAAGTTACTAGACTAGCCCTGGTGCTCTGCCTACCTGGGGACCTCCTGTCTGTGATCTAAGAAATAGCCTTGTCATTTCAACAATGCTGAGCCATGTTACTTGCAGCTGAAAGCAGTCAGATAGACCAAACTGAAGGAAATTGGAGCAGAAAAACCCTGGGTCTTGGTGATATTGCTTGAATCCCTGATCAAGC